>NC_000004.12:140171381-140796381 GCF_000001405.40 Homo sapiens | reverse complement strand
GCAATTAAAGTCAGATGATGGTTGCAGCTATCATGTCCAACATGCTCACTCGCATCTGCAGTGCCTTGGTAGGGACGGCTGGAAGACTGACCTCAGCTGGCATGCGTGGAGTGTTGGGCCTTTCCATATAGAAAGGTCTCTCCATAAAGACTCAGGTCTCTCCCTTTCCATAAGACCTTTCTGCATGATCTCTCTTAAAGGGTGGCCTGACTTCTTAAATGGCAGCCTAGGCTTCCCCAAAGTGCAAAACTTTAAGTGCCAGACCTTCCTAATGCTTAGGGCCTGGCACAGCCTCACTTCAACCACATTTTATGAGTTAAAACAAGCCTCAGGCCTAGCACAGATGCAAGGGGAGGAGACTGATCAGGTGTAGGTCCTAGGGCGCATGGCACATTGGAGGCCACTGCTGGAGCTGATTATGATAAGATGTATGTATACTGAGTATATGTATTTGTTTGCTAGAGCTGCCATACAAAATGCCATAAACTGGGTGGCCGTAAACAAAAGACTTACTATCTCAGGGCAGGTGCAGTGACTCACACCTGTAATCCCAGCACTTTGGGAAGCCGAGGCAGGTGGATCATGAGGCAAGGAGTTTGAGACCAGCCTGTCCAATATTTGTGAAACCATGTCTCTACTAAAAAAAAAAAAAAAAAAAAAACCATAAAAATTAGCCGGGCATGGTGGCGCGCCTGTAGTCCCAGCTACTCGGGATACTGAGGCAGGAGAATCGCTTGAACCCAGGAGGCAGAGGTTTCAATGAGCCAAGATTACGCCACTGCACTCCAGCCTGGGGGGCAGAGTGAGACTCCATCTCAAAAAAAAGAAAAAAGAAAAAAGAAACTTACTATCTCTGGAGACTAGAAATCCAAGATCAAGGTGTCTGCAGGCTTGATTCCTTGAAAGCTCTGAGAGAAAAAAAATCTGTTCCAGGCCTCTCCCCTTGGTTTGTGGACTGCCATCTTCTCCCTTTGTCTCTTCATGTTGTCTTCCCTCTGTGTGTATCTCTGACCAAAATTTCCCCTTCTTACAAGGACACCAGTTATACTGGATTAGGTTCTACCCTAATGGCCTCTTCACTTTAACTTGATTACCTCTGTAAACATCCTATCACCAAATAAAGCCACATTGTTAGGTATTGGGGGTTAGGACTTCAACATAGGAATTTTCAGGGTGCATGATTAGACCCATGACACTGAGGAACAACTAACAGTCTTTGATAAGCTTTGCAATACATTAACCTTTTACTTCCCTAGAAATACGTTGATAATAATTTCCTCCTTGCATTGTACTTTTTATTATTTCTTGAAAAAAATTGGACATTTAAAATATATTTTCTACTTTTTGCCTGTGTACATTATCTTATAAATCAAAATTGTCACTGGCAACACAAAGTTCATGTCACGAAAAGGCAGAAATATGCAGTTCCAATTTTGCTCTGTCTGTTCTGTTAAAGAGCCTCATATTCAGTTTAGAAAGAAATAACAGGAAACTTTAGCCTAAAAACAAGTGAGACAATTTAAGAGAAAACTTTAAGACCTCTAAATCAATATCAGGGCCCAAAGGAATTAAGTTTTATCATTCTAAGAAAATATGAAAAATAAAGCATCCTGTTGCTATAGAGTTACCTGATTATATCAGGTCCTCCTGAGCCTGTCATAGCAGATGATGTACCCAAAAACAACATAGGCTGGAATACTCATCTGCACACACAGGAAATATGTACAAAGACGGTCATTGCTGCTGCACTGTTTGAAAGAGTATGAAATAGGGGGAAAAGACCTAAATGTTCCATTCTCATTAGGGGTTTGCTTATATAAGACATAATGTATCTGCACCATGAAATAACGCAACAATTTTTAAAAATGCAGCTGTATTATACGTAGACAAGGAAGATCTCCAAGACACATTGTTGAGTAATACAAAGTAAAAAACTAAACACACAAACAATATGTATTTTCTACAATTATATGTAATGCATATACATATATGTGTGCACATATATGTATGTGGATATATATATTTGTACTTATATACGTGTGTGTATATGTGTATGCATAGACATGTGTGTATACACATGCATGAAAGTATATAGGAGATAAAAGCTGTGCAAAGATATGATTCTCTCTAAACAGAAAAAGAGCCAGAATTGAGGATGGGGAACAGTCCAGAAATGATTTTATTTATAATGACTTAATTTTTTTACCAGGATATTATATTCATTTTTATATGTTTAATAAAGATCTAATGTAAAAATGTAAGAGAAGCAACACAGCGCAGTGGCTAAAAGCATAGACACAGAAGCCAGACTATGAATTTGAAGCCCAGATTTGTCACTTTCTACCCATGTGACTTTGAGCTGTTTATCTTCTCTGCATCAGTCTCCTCAATAATCAAGTAAGAATAATGTTCCTACTTCAGAGTGTTATTATGAGGGTTCAAGTATTTTTAAATAACCTAAAAAACCCCTGATGCACAGTAGGCATATTTGTTAGTTTTTAACTGTTTAAAATGATTGATTAAAAATATTTTCTGAAATAGAAAGGACTATAATGGGATTTGCTGAATGAGGGTGATTAGGATATGGCCATTGGGAGAAGGGATAGGAAATCGTAACACAATACACAGCAACCCTCTTCACATTTGACTTGTTTGTTTAGTTCTCCCCTGCCCCCGCTTCCTTGCTGAATTTTTCTTCTTGATCCTTTTCCTATGTGGAGCTACCTACCCCCACCGGGGTACCTTTGGTTTGGCTTCTCTGTTCAGTATTGCAAAGGGCTGACCGCCAAGGAACAAAGGATCTCAAGCAGAATCAAAGGGTAAGAGAAAAGGAAATATTGCAGATACACCTCAAGTTCTTTCTTTCACCTTGACATATGGATCATCTTTTTGCCTTTTCCAAGAACAGATGGCAGTTGCCTCAATGCCAAAAGTGACAGAGCAGATAGTGAAGCTTCTGCAAATGCTCAAGGCATTAAGCTCTGTCCAGGTCCTACCTACCTGCTGGGGGAGTCCCCTGGGATGCACAGGGAAGGGTGTGGGAAGGGGCAGAGCTTCCACCTAAGCAGCATGCACACATCACAGCCTGATCCTGGGAGGAACAAGGCCACTCTCTGACCCTCATTTACCTCTCAAGTCTCCAACAGCCTGGTGGGGAGATGGGGGTACCATGGGGGCCTCCTCTGCACAGAACAGGACAATCCCTCTCCTGTCTTACCCTGCATGGCAAGTCAGGCTGATGCTCCCCAAATCTCTCCTATCTGTTGCAGAGGGGGCTGTAAGGGAGGCAGGACGGGGATAATGAGACTTAGGGAAGACCCAGTTCTAACCCCTTCCCTTACTCTTCATCTCTTCCCAGGCTACCCATATACTAAAGAGAAACTAGCCATTGCCAGCAGTGGCCAGAAGCCATTTAATCTTTTATGTTTTAATCATATATATAACCTTTAAGGAATAACTTTACCCTATTTTACATAATTTAATTTTATAATTTTATAATTATAGGATTTTAAAGCTAATTTCTTATATCAGAAAATACTATTAAGGTAATCTTAGGAATTATTTATGGTTTATCTTATTGGATAATAGTCATTCTTTAAGTATTGCATGCACTTTTTTTTTTTTTCTGAGAACAGAGTTTTGCTCTGTAGCCCAGGCTGGCGTGCAATGGCTCAATCTCGGCTCACTGCAACCTCCGCCTCCCGGGCTCAAGTGATTCTCCTTCCTCAGCCTCCTGAGCAGCTGGGATTACAGGCGCCTGCCATCATGCCCAGCTAATTTTTATATTTTTGGTAGACACGGTGTTTCACCACGTTGGCCAGGCTGATCTCGAACTCTTGACCTCGTGATCCGCCCACCTCTGCTTCCCAAAGTGCTGGGACTACAGGCGTGAGCCACTGCGCCCGGCCTGCATACTCTATTTTATTATCCTTACCAGATCATTTGAAATTTCTGTTTATCTCTTTTCACATTGGAAACAGAAGGTGGTGTCTTTAGAAAGAAGCAGACAACAGCATGTGCCTCAAACCTGGAGATATACCTTCTCTCTGCTAGTTGGCCTTAAGCAGGCCCTTTTTCATACTTTAAAACAGATTACCATGGTGATCTCAATCAAGACCTAACTGTAGTCAGACAGGAAAAACTGAAGGCTGCATTTTGAACCATTCAGGTTACTTAGGAGATGCTAAGATCAATTAACCCCAAATAAAATCCATGGAAACCATTCAAATGATGTTGCTATCTTCTTCTCAAGATCATTCTGTCTCTGTTTGGAGACTGTCTTATCTAGCCAGACCAAATATACATCATAATAGGCTGGAAATAAAACCTAGAGAATGGATAAGATGAGGAAAAGAAAAGAATAACCAAACAGAAATGGGAATTTTGCTCTGGATTATGGATGGGTCTCTAGCCATTCATTGGCTCTGGGGCTGCCAAGCCAAGACCCTCACTCAGATTGTCAAAGTGGCAGGGAACTTGGGCTGGTTGTAGAAGAGGCCTCCAGCATCTACAGCCCTTCTTGGCCAACAGAGCTCAGACTGCTCCTTTAAAATTAAAGACGGCTGGGTACGGTGGCTCACAGCTGTAATCCTAGCATTTTGGGAGGCTGAGGAGAGAGGATTGCTTGAGCCCAGGAGTCAGAGGCTGCAGTAAGCTGGGATAGCACCACTGCCCTCCAGCCTTGGTGACAGAGGGATGGAGACCCCATCCCTTAAAAAAAAAAATAGAGCCTTAGAAAGAGTAGTGATTCGTAAGGAGAAGCATGAATGCATTTATTCATGTTCCCTCTAAAAAAACAGACAACTGCCCTTATACTGGCTGCCTTCTGAGTCTTGGGGGGGTTTGGTAATTAAAAGCAATTTTGTAAAATCTGAGCACCAGTGTTGAAAATGAGCTTAAGCATAAACTAATTCATCACTTAGTGAGATAAATACATAACTGATAAATTTTTCATTACATCAGTGAGAGTTTCATCTTTTTAAACTAGCTTTTTGCCATGTTCGCAAATTTTGATTAAAGAATCCTCTGAGTATTATAACATAGAAATGTCTTTATATTTTGAATGGGCCTTACTACTAGCCTTCAAAGTTCTGGAGCACAAATAAAGAGTCCCCCCAGATAGAATTCTGAGTTCATGAGGTTTATTTCTGTTGGGTGTGCTACATGTCACAGATACTCTCCTTATTGGGAAGCTGGTGGCCTTTTGGCTAGAGAATGTCTTGACACTCTAGGGTACTCATTACTGGAAGCCTTGATTTGCTCTTGAAAGAAATCACAAAGGCATGACACCTCTTCCCTTTGCACTTCTCCCCACCCAGACCCCAAAGAGGAACTGAAAGAGGAACATGCACTGTTGGAGTAGACACGGACCAGTGAGCACGCGCACAGTCCTCAATACCAGCCTACAATAGCTGTATGTACATTTTCTGGCCTCAAACCAGTGTCCTCAAGTCATGATATCTGTTCTCTCTGTTCCTCAAGACTAAGCAGTTAATGTACTTCACAAACAGGGATACCTGCCATTTCACTGAGTCACAATAGGAGTTGATATTACTGAGCTCTTCCTATGTGCCAAACCCTATTCAAAGTATGCCCTAGCTGTCTCAAGAGAATGTAATAATTTGCCAACAGTGACACAGGTAATAAGTGGTCTAGCGGTGACATGAACACCAGCAGTATTACTCTAGAACCCAGATGTTTTTCCTCTTTATGCCATTCCTTCTGCCTTAACTTTACCTCAATTTCTTCTATCTTGTGTAGAAGGATGTTGTGAGGATTCGAAAAATAATAGGAGAATACTTGATATGGTGCCTCACACAGGGCAAACTCTCAATGCCCTGTTAGTTGCTATGGCTAGTTGAGAATTTGCTCAGTCACAGTGCTAAGTGGCTGAACCAGGACCCCCACCCTAGAGCCTGTTCCTAGAGTTCACTCTAACGCCAACCCCTCCTGCTGCTCTGCGTCAGTGACAGCACAGATAACACACCAGCACAGTTACTGGCAATAACTGAGCACTAGGGAGATGTCAAGCTTGTTCCTCTCCCACATCTCCCTCCTTCTCCTCACTGAAAGACAGAGGCACAGAAACACATTCTTATATAAGGTAATGACCAACTTCGAAAAGAGAAGCTTGATTCAATTGCACTTTATACTTCCTTTCTCACTTTTCATGCAAGATGAAAAGTAAAGTCCATGAAATAGAAGACACGATTTTTAAAAATGTATTCATATATTTGGGCAACAGAGTGAGACTCTGTCTCAAAAAAAACACATATCTCTCTCTCCACGTATTTGGCTTCATTTTCCCTCCCCATTATTGTCATGCTTCATGCTATTGAAACTGCCAGGACAGAATGTATCCTTAGTTAGTCATGACACCTCATATGTCTCGTGTCAAACATAACACACAGATTACTCACACGCTGACAATGCCATACGTTAGGCACACTGTGCCTTTAATTGTGCAATGACATTTGCTATAAGCATGAACATTCATGTTTCAGTTTTGAAGGAAGTTGGCAATTACTTGCTATGTCTTGCAATAGAATAGTGCACTTTTCACTTTTCGCTTTTTCTCCTTAGAAATCTTGTACTGTACAAATTGTGGAACACAGTAATCTGACTTTGTCCTCTGTTTTTCTCCTGCTATGAATGCTATAAAGTTATCTTTCTTTTTCTTCCTTTTTTTTTTTTTGACAGGGTCTCACTCCTGTTGCCCATGCTGTAGTGCAGAGGTACAATCATGGCTCACTGTAGCCTCAACTTCCCAGGCTCAGGTGATCCTCCCACCTCAGCCTCCTACATAGCTGGGACTACAGGTGCATGCCATTACACCCAGCTAATTTTTTATATTTTTAGTAGAGATGTGATTTTGCCATGTTTTCCAGGCTGATCTTGAACTCCTGATGCTTGAACTCAAGTAATCCGCCTGCCTTCACCTCCCAAAGTGTTGGGGTTATAGGCATGAGACACTGTGCCTGGCCCCCCAGAGTTACCTTTCAAATCATGAGGAGATCACGCTGCCCCTCTTGGCTTTTCTTGATTACAAATCAAACTTTCAATGTTTCCAAAGAAAAATATAGGAGCTCAGAGTATTTCCGGGGGGAAAACAGCACATGGTTCCCTTCCTCACCACCCTCTGGTCTCTCTTCCTTTGCCACCTCCAGGGTCAGTCAGGAACATCTCTGGAGTTGTGAGGATCTTCCTGGTGTCCCCAATTCCCAGCAACTCTGAATATCCTTGTTTTCATGTTTTAAAAACATGCATCTGGTGTAAAAGCTTTTATCTGGTACATCTCAGTACTTGAAACACTTCATTTCACTCTTTACATGTATATCTATCTCTACCAGAGACCATCTGACCTCTTGAGAGTGGAGGCCAACATGATTTTCTTTGCATATACAGATCCTACACTGGCCTAGCATGTGGTAAAGAGATATGAAATGCTGTTGAATAATGAATTATATGTCCAGAACCCATGTGGCTCAGTACTGGTGGTATCATGTTTAAGAAATACACTTCAGAAAACCCCTGTCCAAGATGGCCGAATAGGAACAGCTCCAGTCTACAGCTCCCAGCGTGAGCAACGCAGACGACAGATGATTTCTGCATTTCCAACTGAGGTACTGGGTTCATCTCACTGGGGATTGTTGGAGAGTGGGTGCAGGACAGTGGGTGCAGCGCACCGTGCATGAGCCAAAGCCAGGCGAGGCATCACCTCACCCAGGAAGTGCAAGGGGTTAGGGAATTCCCTTTCCTAGCCAAGGAAAGGGGTGACAAACGGCACCTGGAAAATCTGGTCACTCCCACCCTAATACTGCACTTTTCCAACGGTCTTAGCAAATGGCACACCAGGAGATTATATCCCGTGCCTGGCTCGGATGGTCCTATGCCCAAGGAGCCTTGCTCATTGCTAGCACAGCAGTCTGAGATCAAACTGCAAGGTGGCAGCGAGGCTGGGGGAGTGGCTCCCACCATTGCTGAGGCTTGAGCAAGTAAACAAGCGGCCAGGAAGCTCGAACTGGGTGGAGCCCACCACAGCTCAAGGAGGCCTGCTTGCCTCTGTAGACTCCACCTCTGGGGGCAGGGCATAGCCAAATAAAAGGCAGCAGAAACCTCTGCAGACTTAAATGTCCCTGTCTGACAGCTTGGAAGACAGTAGTGGTTCTCCCAGCACACAGCTTGAGATGTGAGAGCAGACAGCCTGCCTCCTCAAGTGGGTCCTGACCCCTGAGTAGCCTAACTGGGAGGCACCCCCCAGTAGGGGCAGACTGACACCTCACACGGCCGGGTAAACCTCTGAGACAAAACTTCCAGAGGAACAAACAGGCAGCAACATTTGCTCTTCAACAATATTCGCTGTTCTGCAGCCTCCACTGCTGATGCCCAGGAAAACAGGGTCTGGACTGGACCTCTGGCAAACTCCAACAGACCTGCAGCTGAGGGTCCTTTCTGTTTGAAGGAAAACTAACAAACAGAAAGGACACCCACACCAAAACCCCACCTGTACGTCAGCATCATCAAAGACCAAAGGTAGATAAAACCACAAAGATGGGGAAAAAACAGAGCAGAAAAACTGAAAATTCTAAAAATCAGAGCGCCTCTCCTCCTCCAAAGGAACGCAGCTCCTCACCAGCAACGGAACAAAGCTGGATGGAAAATGACTTTGACGAGTTGAGAGAAGAAGGCTTCAGATGATCAAACTTCTCCCAGCTAAAGGAGGAAGTTTGAACCCATGGCAAAGAAGTTAAAAACCTTGAAAAAAGATTAGATGAATGGCTAACTAGAATAACCAAGGCAGAGAAGTCCTTAAACGAACGGATGGAGCTGAAAACCATGGCACGAGAACTACGTGACGAATGCACAAGCTTCAGTAGCCGATTCGATCAACTGGAAGAAAGGGTATCAGTGATGGAAGATGAAATGAATGAAATGAAGTGAGAAGACAAGTTTAGAGAAAAAAGAATAAAAGGAAATGAACAAAGCCTCCAAGAAATATGGGACTATGTAAAAAGACGAAATCTACGTCTGATTGGTGTACCTGAAAGTGACAGGGAGAATGGAACCAAGTTGGAAAACACTCTGCAGGATATTATCCAGGAGAACTTCCCCAATCTAGGAAGGCAGGCAAATATTCAAATTCAGGAAATACAGAGAATGCCACAAAGATACTCAGAGAATGCCACAAAGATACTCAGAGAATGCCACAAAGATACTCCTCGAGAAGAGCAACTCCAAGACACATAATTATCAGATTCACCAAAGTTGAAATGAAGGAAAAAATGTTAAGGGCAGCCAGAGATAAAGGTCGGGTTACCCACAAAGGGAAGCCCATCAGACTAACAGCTGATCTCTTGGCAGAAACTCTACAAGCCAGAAGAGAGTGGGGGCCAATATTCAACATTCTTAAAGAAAAGAATTTTCAACCCAGAATTTCATATCCAGCCAAAATAAGCTTCATGAGTGAAGGAGAAATAAAATCCTTTACAGACAAGCAAATGCTGAGAGACTTTGTCACCACCAGGCCTGCCCTAAAACAGCTCCTGAAGGAAGCAATAAACATGGAAAGGAACAACTGGTACTAGCCACTGCAAAAACATGCCAAATTATAAAGACCACCGAGGCTAGGATGAAACTGCATCAACTAACGAACAAAATAACCAGCTAACATCATAATGACAGGATCAAATTCACATATAACAATATTAACCTTAAATGTAAATGGGCTAAATGCTCCAATTAAAAGAAACAGACTGGAAAATTGGATAAAGAGTCAAGACCCATCAGTGTGCTGTATTTGGGAGACCCATCTCACATGCAGAGACACACATAGGCTCAAAATAAAGGGATGGAGGAAGATCTACCAAGCAAATGGAAAACAAAAAAAGGCAGGGGTTGCAATCCTACTCTCTGATAAAACAGACTTTAAACCAACAAAGATCAAAAGAGACAAAGAAGGCCATTACATAGTGGTAAAGGGATCAACTCAACAAGAAGAGCTAACTATCCTAAACATATATGCACCCAATACAGGAGCACTCAGATTCATAAAGCAAGACCTTAGAAACCTACAAAGAGACTTAGACTCCCACACAATAATAATGGGAGACTTTAACACCCCACTGTCAACATTAGACAGATCAAGGAGACAGAAAGTTAACAAGGATACCCAGGAATTGAACTCAGCTCTGCACCAAGCAGACCTAATAGACATCTACAGAACTCTCCACCCCAAATCAACAGAATATACATTCTTCTCAGCACCACACCGCACTTATTCAAAAATTGACCACATAGTTGGAAGTAAAGCACTCCTCAGCAAATGTAAAAGAACAGAAATTATAACAAACTGTCTCTCAGACCATAGTGCAATCAAACTAGAACTCAGGATTAAGAAACTCACTCAAAACAACTCAACTACATGGAAACTAAACAACCTTCTCCTGAATGACTACTGGGTACATAACGAAATGAAGGCAGAAATAAAGATGTTCTTTGAAACCAATGACAACAAAGACACAACATACCAGAATCTCTGGGACACATTCAAAGCAGTGTGTAGAGGGAAATTTATAGCACTAAATGCCCACAAGAGAAAGCAGGAAATATCTAAAATTGACACCCTAACATCACAATTAAAAGAACTAGAGAAGCAAGAGGAAACACATTCAAAAGCTAGCAGAAGGCAAGAAATAACTAAGATCAGAGCAGAACTGAAGGAGATAGAGACACAAAAAACCCTTCAAAAAATTAATGAATCCAGGAGCTGGTTTTTTGAACAGATCAACAAAATTGATAGACCGCTAGCAAGACTAATAAAGAAGAAAAGAGAGAAGAATCAAATAGATGCAATAAAAAATGATAAAGGGGATATTACCACTGATCCCACAGAAATACAAACTACCATCAGAGAATACTATAAACACCTCTATGCAAATAAACTAGAAAATCTAGAAGAAATGGATAAATTCCTGGACACATACACCCTCCCAAGACTAAACCAGGAAGAAGTTGAATCTCTGAATAGACCAATAACAGGCTCTGAAATTCAGGCAAAAATAGCTTACCAACCAAAAAAAGTCCAGGACCAGATGGATTCACAGCTGAATTCTACCAGAGATACAAAGAGGAGCTGGTACCATTCCTTCTGAAACTATTCCAATCAATAGAAAAAGAGGGAATCCTCCTAACTCATTTTATGAGGCCAGCATCATCCTGATACCAAAGCCTGGCAGAGACACAACCAAAAAAGAGAATTTTAGACCAATATCCCTGATGAACATCAGTGCAAAAATCCTCAATAAAATACTGGCAAACTGAATCCAGCAACACATCAAAAAGTTTATCCACCATGATCAAGTGGGCTTTATCCCTGGGATGCAAGGCTGGTTCAACATACACAAATCAATAAATGTAATCCGGCATATAAACAGAACCAAAGACAAAAACCACATGATTATCTCAATAGATGCAGAAAAGGCCTTTGACAAAATTCAACAGCCCTTCATGCTAAAAACTCTCAATAAATTAAGTATTGATGGGACATATCTCAAAATAATAAGAGCTATTTATGACAAACCCACAGCCAATATCATACTGAATGGGCAAAAACTGAAAGCATTCCCTTTGAAAACTGGCACAAGACAGGGATGCCCTCTCTCACCACTCCTATTCAACATAGTGTTGGAAGTTCTGGCCGGGCAATTAGGCAGGAGAAGGAAATAAAGGGTATTCAATTAGGAAAAGAGGAAGTCAAATTGTCCCTGTTTGCAGATGACATGATTGTATATCTAGAAAACCCCATTGTCTCAGCCCAAAATCTCCTTAAGCTGATAAGCAATTTCAGCAAAGTCTCAGGATACAAAATCAATGTGCAAAAATCACAAGCATTCTTATACACCAATAACAGACAAACAGCCAAATCATGAGTGAACTCCCATTCACAATTGCTTCAAAGAGAATAAAATACCTAGGAATCCAACTTACAAGGGATGTGAAGGACCTCTTCCAGGAGAACCACAAATCACTGCTCAATGAAATAAAAGAGGATACAAACAAATGGAAGAACATTCCATGCTCATGGGTAGGAAGAATCAATATCATGAAAATGGCCATACTGCCCAAGGTAATTTATAGATTCAATGCCATCCCTATCAAGCTACCAATGACTTTCTTCACAGAATTGGAAAAAACTACTTTAAAGTTCATATGGAACCAAAAAAGAGCCTGCATCGCCAAGTCAAATCTAAGACAAAAAACAAAGCTGGAGGCATCATGCTACCTGACTTCAAACTATACTACAAGGCTACAGTAACCAAAACAGCATGGTACTGGTACCAAAACAGAGATATAGATCAATGGAACAGAACAGAGCCCTCGGAAATAATGCCACACATCTACAACTATCTGATCTTTGACAAACCTGAGAAAAACAAGCAATGGGGAAGGGATTCCCCATTTCATAAATGGTGCTGGGAAAACTGGCTAGCCATATGTAGAAAGCTGAAACTGGATCCCTTCCTTACACCTTATACAAAGATTAATTCAAAATTGATTAAAGACTTAAAAGTTAGACCTAAAACCATAAAAACCCTAGAAGAAAACCTAGGCAATACCATTCAGGACATAGGCATGGGCAAGGACTTCATGTCTAAAACACCAAAAGAAATGGCAACGAAAGTCAAAATTGACAAATGGGAGCTAATTAAACTCAAGAGCTTCTGAACAGCAAAAGAAACTACCATCAGAGTGAACAGGCAACCTACAGAATGGGAGAAAAGTTTTGCAATCTGCTTATCTGACAAAAGGCTAATATCCAGAATCTACAAAGAACTCAGACAAATTTACAAGAAAAAAACAACCCCATCAAAAAGTAGGTGAAGAATATGAACAGACATTTATCAAAAGAAGACATTTATGCAGCCAAAAGACACATGAAAAAATGCTCATCATCACTGGCCATCACAGAAATGCAAATCAAAACCACAATGAGATATAATCTCACACCAGTTAGAATGGTGATCATTAAAAAGTCAGGAAACAACAGGTGCTGGAGAGGATGTGGAGAAATAGGAACAATTTTACACTGTTGGTGGGACGGTAAACTAGTTCAACCATTTTGGAAGACAGTGTGGCAATTCCTCAGGGATCTAGAACTAGAAATATCATTTGACCCAGCCATCCCATTACTGGGTATATACTCAAAGGATTATAAATCATGCTGCTATAAAGACACATGCACAGGTATGTTTATTGCAGCACTATTCACAATAGCAAAGACTTGGAACCAAGCCAAATGTCCAACAATGATAGACTGGATTAAAAAAATGTGGCACATATTCACCATGGAATACTATGCAGCCATAAAAAAGGATGAGTTCATGTCCTTTGTAGGGACATGGGTGAAGCTGGAAACCATCATTCTCTGCAAACTATCACAAGGACAAAAAACCAAACACTGCATGTTCTCACTCATAAGTGGGAATTGAACAATGAGAACACTTGGACACAGGATGGGGAGCATCACACACCAAAGCCTGTTGTGGGGTGGGGGTACAGGGGAAGGATAGCCTTAGGAGATATACCTAATATAAATGACGAGTTAATGGGTGCAGCACACCAACAGGGCACATGTATACATATGTAACAAACCTGCACATTGTGCACATGTACCCTAAAACTTAAAGTATAATAATTAAAAAAAAAGAAACACACTTCAACTGGCAGAAATAATTACAAATATTTTTAATTATTCTTTACTCAAATACCTTGTAGGACATTAAAAAAATTACAAATACATGGTCCATAGCAGCTCTTGCTAAAACCCCCTTTCTTCTTTTACTTTTTTTTTTTTTTAATGTTATTGTTATTATTTTTTAGAGATAGAGTCTTGCTACATGCCCAGGCTAGAGTGCAGTGGCTATTCACAGATGACCATCATAATGCACTACAGCCTCAAACTCTTAGGCTCAAGCAGTCTTCTTGCCTCTCAGCCTCCTGAGTAGCTGGGACTACAAGCACATGCTACAGTCCCCAGATCTTATTTCCTTTTTTCATACTCACAACTGCTCCAGCTCAGCCTTCCTTAAACCCTCCCTCCAGAAGAAAAATACTTTCCCTACCCTCAAAGTACCAAACATTTTTCCTTTTCCCATCTTTCTCAATAATTTATTAGGTAGATAGATTTTTTTCTTCTGGCCTAGCCAGAAGAAATTCTTCCTTTTTTTAAGGGTACAATACTGAAACTGGGTTGAAAATGATAATATTTTTTCTAGGGCTTTGGAGAAGAGAGGAAATATGTCAACACTCTTACATTCATAATTTTATCCCATCGCAGCTGTAGTAATAAAAGGCCATCAATCCAATAGGAAGGCAAGCAGGAGATGAGCGGTTTGTCTGTACAGCCAGTGAAGAAGACCTTGGCATGTGCTTGCCTGTGACTGTGTTCAGTAGCTTCAAACACATGAATTTTCTTAAACTTTTACCAATGCATATCTCTTTTACATGTCCTTGGAGGAAGAAGACATTTCTTAAATCTTCCCCATTGCAGGGAGCCAAGATCATGCCACAGCACTCCAGCTGGGGTGACAGATTCACACCCCGTCTTGAGAAAAAAAAAAAACAAACTCTCCCTGAAGAGGACTTTTCTGAATGCAGGAAGTTTACATTGGCTCTGATATGCTGTATTTTATATAAATATTAACGGCCAAAGGAAAATTCCTTTCATCAAGAAACTGGCCATCATCTCTATTATCTCCCACTGCACACTCCACTCTCAGTGTTTATTAAACTGGGTTAATTCCCACGGCATCATTGTCGGATATGTCTTTGACTAGAATGGAATAAGGAGTGGGGGATATCCTGAGAATCCACAAGCAATTTCTTTGGCCCTGGTGGTAGATGAGGACAGGCAGCGTTAGGTCTCCATGTTTTAGAATTAATAGATAACAGTACACTGTGTTAGGTCATGAAGGTTCTAAAGACTGTGCAGGCTAAGTATGATCACTTTTATGCTTGTTCAAATATTTTCTTTTCTTTTTTTTTTTGAGACAAGGTTTTGCTCTGTCACCCAATTACTTTTGTATACATATATGTATACAATACATATATATTGTGTATATATACGTATTGTATATATATGCATACAATACATATATATAGTATATATGTATTGTATATAGTATATATGTATACAATACATATATATACTATATATGTATTGTATATAGTATATATGTATACAATACATATATAGTATATATATGTATTGTATATAGTATATATGTATACAATACATATATAGTATATATGTATTGTATATAGTATATATGTATACAATACATATATAGTATATATATGTATTGTATATAGTATATATGTATACAATACATATATAGTATATATGTATTGTATATAGTATATATGTGTATACAATACATATATAGTATATATGTAGTGTATATAGTATATATGTGTATACAATACATATATAGTACATATATAGTATGTATATGTATTGTATACGCGTATACAATGCATATATTGTATACGCGTATACAATGCATATATTGTATACGCGTATACAATACGCGTATACAATGCATATATTGTATACGCGTATACAATACGCGTATACAATGCCTATATTGTATACGCGTATACAATGCCTATATTGTATACGCGTATACAATGCCTATATTGTATACGCGTATACAATGCCTATATTGTATACGCGTATACAATGCCTATATTGTATACGCGTATACAATGCCTATTTTGTGTGTATACGCGTATACAATGCCTATTTTGTGTGTATACGCGTATACAATGCCTATTTTGTGTGTATACGCGTATACAATGCCTATTTTGTGTGTATACGCGTATGCAATGCCTATATTGTGTGTATACGCGTATGCAATGCCTATATTGTGTGTATACGCGTATGCAATGCCTATATTGTGTGTATACGCGTATGCAATGCCTATATTGTGTGTATACGCGTATGCAATGCCTATATTGTGTGTATACGCGTATGCAATGCCTATATTGTGTGTATACGCGTATGCAATGCCTATATTGTGTGTATACGCGTATGCAATGCCTATATTGTGTGTATACGCGTATGCAATGCCTATATTGTGTGTATACGCGTATGCAATGCCTATATTGTGTGTATACGCGTATGCAATGCCTATATTGTGTGTATACGCGTATGCAATGCCTATATTGTGTGTATACGCGTATGCAATGCCTATATTGTGTGTATACGTGTATGCAATGCCTATATTGTGTGTATACGTGTATGCAATGCCTATATTGTGTGTATACGTGTATGCAATGCCTATATTGTGTGTATACGTGTATGCAATGCCTATATTGTGTGTATACGTGTATGCAATGCATATATTGTGTGTATACGTGTATGCAATGCATATATTGTGTGTATACGTGTATGCAATGCATATATTGTGTGTATACGTGTATGCAATGCATATATTGTGTGTATACGTGTATGCAATGCATATATTGTGTGTATACGTGTATGCAATGCATATATTGTGTGTATATGTATACATGTAATGTATATAGATATTTGTATGATAGCAATACATGTGCATGTAGTATATGATAGCAAGTTTTTATAAGTCTCTATTGCATACAAAGTTACCTCGTGTAGGCTTTTTTTTTTTGAAACATTGTACAATGTAAATTTGGCATTATTAGCCAGTTTTAGATATAAGGGAACAAAATCAGAATTTAAGTTAACATGTCCAAAGTCATACCCTTAATTCAAATGTTTTTTCTTCTATACTATGGACTTTGTGGTCTCCATTCTCCATTCATTGGTATGCTTGTCTTAACCATCCCTGCTAAACTGAAACTACGGGGATTACAGACTATCTTTGTTTTTTTATTTGAAACAGGGTCTCACTTGGTCATCCAGGATAGAGTGCAGTGGCTCACTGCAGCCTCAACTTCCTGGGCTCCAGTGATCCTCCTGCCTCAGCCTCCCAAGTAGCTGAGACCACAGGGGGGTACCACCACACCTGGCTAGTTTTTTTTATTTTTATTTTTTGTTGAGATGAGGTTCCACTATGTTGTCCAGGCTGGGTTCGAACTCCTGGGCTCAAGTGATCCTCCCATCTCAGCCTCCCAAAGTGCTGGGATTACAGGCTTGAGCCAACATGCCCAGCAGGTTACAGACTCTTATCTTTTACACTATGAATACTCAAATATTTCTTGGCTGGTCTGAAGGTAGTGAATTGTTACCATTGATTGTCCAAGATCAAGCTTCTTGTTCCACTCTTTCCCCCCATTCTTGCTAATGCATTTGGCTAGTCTAAAAAATAAAAAATGAATCTTTAAAAAAATAAATATTTCTTGAATTCTTAGCTATATTTAGCCCTCCAGGATTTTGTGTGCTATTTTATGGTGTATCTGTTTGAATACTGAATACACCCTTTTGCCCTTTAAAATGGACTAGCATCTCTTTAGAAACAGAATAATAGTGCCAGATATGAAAGAGATAATCTCAGGAGTTAGTTTTCTCTCTTAACTAGTAGAAGAAAGTAGAAAAATTAGCCACAGTATACTAGATGAATAAACCTCCAAAATGTGAAATTTTTAGTCAAATTGACCAATTTCCTGGTTGGTTAGAAGTGACTTCATCGTGCCTAGAAAGGTACTGATATTTAATAGACCCTTTAAAAAATGTTGGCTTCATTAATTAATGAACTTCCTTAGTTGCAACTACTAAATACCAAAGAAAGAAGTCAATTTGGCAAAATGTTTTAAGCAATAATTCAGTTAAATGAAAAGACATTTATTTAAATTAATTGTTGTTAGATTGATAAGAATGAGTTTATCAGTTAAAACATCTGATCCACATGTAAACTCAAAAATGGTTTGAAAAATATAATCTCATTCACAGCAAATACCCTTTCAAAAGTTGTTGACATGGTTTCAGGGTAAATATGGGACTTGCTAACATGTACACTTTAAGCATTATTAAAAGACATGAAGTTGACTCCACTTAGTTTTAGGAATAACATTTTATTTTATAAAGTATTAATTTTTAAAAAGAAAACCAGATTTACCATTTGAATTATTTATGAAATCTGATTACCCAGACTACATTTCATTAGCTCACTCTGACCTTTAGATTCTATTGAATGCAATGACTATTGACGGAGAAATTTTTTGAAGCCAGGGGAGCATGTCTGAGTGAACTTAATACTTACTATTCAAGTTCACAGACTATTCTAGAAGGAAAACAGCTGTCTAAGTATAGGGCAGAATTGACCACAGATGTTGCTGTTTTAGTCTTTAACAAGGTGTGCAAGTGTGCCATTTCTCAAACACTTAAAATGTCACACGTTTTGAAAGTACACAAAATACATTTGTCAAAGGAAAGAAATCTAATTTCCATAATGTATGTAAGATTTTCCAAATTTGCACAACTGAAACTCAATAGTCATTTTGCTATATGCTCACAAATTGCCTAGTTGAAACTATTCAAAACAAAGTATTTTTACTATGCTCTTATGGCATAGTAGGTCAGATGGCATTTTTTTATAGGGTAAAAAGGAATGTTCCTATCTGCACTTTATTTAAATGCTTATATTCTCATTTATGCTTTGCTTAAAGTGAGGCATGCCAATGAGGTAGGACTTGTCTCCCCTTGTGATGAAGAACCACAGTAAGCAGAGGAAAGACCTGGAGGCTTGGTGCAAGTATCTTTCCCCTAATCTCACCACCCTCAGGCAGGGATGCCAACTGGCTTATATTCCCCTAGCTGCATCATGGAGCGTTCCAGAGACCAGAGCCTGCCAGAACAGACAGGTGGGGTTACATTTTTTATTCTCTAGAATCAAGAATATGTTTCTTGAAGAAGGTGTGGCCTACATTTTAGGGTTGGATGACTAGCCCTAAACTATACTTTAGGAGAAAAAGTCTCCTCTTTAGGAACAAATATTTGCATCTCTAAATCTGGTTAGGAGTCTGATCTTTTTGGACAGAACAGAAAATGCTTTTATGCTGAAAATGAAATCTTTGCTTTATCGCTATTTTCCTCATAAAACCTCTCCTACATGTCTATCTCTTGCCCAGAAACAGCTTGATAATTTCTTTCATTTTGATTTTTATTTGTTAATATTTATTTAATGTATTTATTAGAGATGAGGTCTTGCTCTGTTGCCCAGGCTGCAGTGCAGAAGTACGACCATAGCCAGGAACAGTTTTAAGATATTAGAAATATACTTATCACAGTGCACAAAAATTACAGCGATATTGCAAATTTCCTTTGCATGTGTTCTCACAAATTACTATGGAACATATTTTCCTTATAAAATACAGTACAGTGAAAATTTTAATTTACTACACTCAGGAATATATTGAGTACAATCTCGATTTTGAGAAAATAATAATAAAGGAAATTAAAGCCAAGATAGGCTTAGATGTTGAGGTGTTGGTTAACCTCACTCACTAGCTCAGAGTTCATTCTAACACATGGGCCTCAGCACAAAAACAAATCACTGCCAATCATGTGCCTTCTGGTCAAAACAGTAAATTTTAAATGCTTGAAGAGAAGGATCAGCTGTGTTTGTTTACACATCTATCAGCCAAACAAGATTGTGAGTTCTGGGAAACCAGGGTGTGTGTCTTGTTTCCTGCACCCAGCACAAGGCCTGCCTCAAAGTGAGGCTGCAATTGAATGAACGAATGAATGAATGATAACGTAGATGCTAGAGTTAGCACTCTTGTCTCTTTCAACTGCTTTCTTACTGCTCACACTGTGCTGTGTTTCTCTAGTGTTACTTCCAGAAAGCAAGCAGACAGGCAAGCTGGCAGTCACCTTTGCGACCTCCTAGTGAGGAATAATATCGTATGTAGAAAATCCACCGCGAGTCTCCAAACTAGTCTTTTCCAATCACAAGTTTAACTAGGAGAAAATCCTGAGTGCCGAGAACCGACACCAGACTCGTTAGGAGATGCACTGTTAAAGTTGCACTGTTCAATTCAACATGAATTTTGTTAATACCTGGTGCGTTCCAGGCAGTGTGCCAGCTGCTTAGGATACAAAAGTAAATTATACATGATAGAGAAAGAGAGGGAGGAAGAGAGAAAGAGAGACACAGACAGAGAAACAGAGAGAGGAAATGGATAAACAGCAAAGAGCTAGTACTTTGCTGTGGATCTCAAAGAGGCCTCCCAGAGGTGAAGAGGCATGCACTGAGTATTTCAAGATAAGATAGATCTATCAGGACAAAGAAACGTGGAAATGAAATTGATGATTGATCACTGATCATTGAGTAGAGGCAAGGAATGGAGAGTCAGCATGAAGAGCGGGGGTTTTGGCAGGAAGAGCAGCTCCCTACCGTGAGATAATAGAGGATGAGGAGGGAATGTGGGAATGAGGCTTAGAGGAAGATGGGAGCCAGCTTGTGAGACCCTCATAGACCATGCTAAGACTTTACTGGGAAAGCTGTGGTGAAACACTAATGGATTACAAGTAGAGCCCGTTGCACCCATCTCAATTGCCATGAGACCAATGACTCCTCCTTTGCCTCTCTTTCCCTCATCCTTTACCTCTGTGTGTTTCTTATGCATGCTGGGTGTCTTCTACCATGCTTTGGAAGGTACCATAAGCAAAATGATCATCAGCTTAGACAATCTAGTCATCTCTCGCAGAGACTTTGGAAATGATTATATGGGGCAAGACCACTTCCAGCACATTATGGCACAGTCTAGAATTCTTCAGTAAAACCAAGGACATTCAGAGGGAGGATGCTGAAAGCATCCACAATTACATTCAAAATTTATGCCTAACAATTCACTTAATTCCACCAAGATCCAAAGTGGAGAAAAGAAAAGGAAGTTCACTTGAAAACCAAGACAGCTCTTTCAGGACACTGCTTTATTTCACGAATTATCTTTTAGATAATCTTGTACTTTCTGGAAGCCATGAAATAAATGGTGATTTTTGATTAAGTGTCCTCAGGTGATTGTTTTGGGTCCTAGCATGGGAAGGGGCAAGGAGTGGAGATGATTAAAAAAAAAGGAGGCCACAAGTAATATTGGTTCTAGAGTTGATAGCAAACTTCTTCACCTCAACAGTCTCTTGTTCTAGTTCTTACCTCCTTACTTCCTTCTATGAGTGCTCCAAGGAGCACAACCTGAGGGCTGTTGGTGGATGAAAAGGCCAGGCTGATTCATAGTAGACTTGTGCTTTGAAGTTCACTTATGAGGGGTTATAAGCTCAACTGTGTTTCCCCCTAAATTCATATGCTGAAGCCTTAACACCCAATGTGACTGTATTTGAAGACAGGGCCTTTAAGGAGGTAATTAAGGTTAAAAGAGGTTGTAAGAGTGGAGCCTTAATCCAACAGGACTGGTGCCCTTATAAGAAGAAGAAGAGACACCAGATCTCTCCATGCCTCTGTTTCTCTCCTCTCTCTCTTTGCACATGCACAGAGGAAAGTTCATGTTAGGACACAGTGAGAAGCCATGATCTGCAAGCTAGGAAGAGAGGCCTCGTCAGAAACCAACACTGCTGGCACCTTGATGTTGGACTTCTAGCCTTCAAAACTGCTGTTCAAGCCACCTGGTTTGTTATATTTTTTTATGACAGCCCCAGTAGGCTAAGATACATGAGATTTGAGGAAGTTTTAAATTCTTAATTAGCCAGGCATGGTGGTGCATGCCTGTGGTCGCAGCTACTCGGGCGGCTGAGGTGGGAGGATTGCTGGAGCCTGGGAAGTAGAGGCTACAGTGAGTCTTGATTGTGCCACTGCACTCCAGCCTGGGTGACAGAACGAGACCCTGTCTCAATCAATCAATCAATTCTTCTTCTCACTCCAGATCGTTGCTTCTACAGTTTTCCTTTCCCAGTGGCAACCACTAGAAAATATTGCTATTAATATACTAGAATATAGACAGATAGATATAACCACCTTTTTATGTGAGTAAGGACATTCGACATATATTGTCCTGAACTTTGATTGTTTTTAACTTATCATTATTTCATATAAACTCATTTCATAGTAGATATACATGTAGAGGGGCCTCATATTTTAAAAGTTGTATCTAATACAATTGATAAGGATGTAGCACAATTTATATAACTTGTGTTCTGTTGAAAGGACATTTAGATTTTTCTTTTTATTTTTAATTAATGTATGGATTTTTTTTTGAGTCAGAGTCTCACTCTGTCACACAGGCTGGAGTGCAGTGGCACAATCTTGGCTCGCTGCAACCGCTTCCTCCCAAGTTCAAGAGATTCCCCTGCCTCAGCCTCCCAAGTAACTGGAACTACAGGCATGTGCCACCACACCTGGCTAATTTGTGTATTTTTAGTAGAGAGAGGGTTTTGCCATGTTGGTTAGCCTGGTCTCGAACTCCTGACCTCAAGTGATCTGCCTGCCTCAGCCTCCCAAAGTGCTGAGATTACAGGTGTGAACCACTGTGCCCAGCTGAGGATATTTAGGTTTTTGCAATCTTTGTGCTTCAATACAAATGATTCCATAATAAACATATGTGCAGTCATCTTTGGCACATACACAAGTATATGTGTAAGATAAGTTCTTAAAAATGAGATTCTAGTTCAAAAAATATTTTCATTTTAAAATGTTTTATTTTGTAGATATTACCAAATTCAGACACCCTTCCAATTTTTATAAAGATTAGGAGGCATTTGTCTGGCTACATGGCTACACCTTTCCATTATATCATTATCAAAGGTCTTTCCTAAACAACTCCATACATCTAATGCTATATAACGATACTCTTCCTGAATGTCCTTCTCACTTGACCTAGGGAATAATCCTAGAATGGTGGGTCACCAGCAAAGTCATCTGATATGCTGAACAAACAGCATATCCCTCTGTTACTACCCATGGCCCTAGGTCCTTTTCTTCTTCACTCTGCTGCCACGGATATTGTTTTGGCTCAACTTTTCAGATTCTTCTTGGTTTCTACTAGGAATAGAAAAGGAAGAAAACAGAAATAGAGGACTATATTTTATTACCCCACACTAGAGAATATGTTTACATTTGTTTAATAAGCTTTGGAGAGAGGAGATTATTTTCTTGAGGAAATGTTCAGTGTCTTCATGGACACTTCGAACATGGCGAGACTGCGTCAGAGGGTAACATCAGGTTTGCTCAAGTGAGTCGAAGGTATTTTAGCTCTTTCTTTATTCTCTTAGAGGAGGGATAGCACATGAAACTTTTGCACTTGTAAACTCTACCAAAACACATTAAAGTGTGAGGATTTTCCCAACGTTAGCTGGATATTTTTCCTAACAGAAGTAGATCTGCTAGATAAGTGAGAAATAAACCCTAATCAATTCTCACTAGTGTCATACGATGTTTTAAACTGTTAGAAATTTGGTATGGGGACCCAAAGCATTAAAGTATCAGGAGGAGGCGTGGTGGCTTATGCCTGTGATCCCAACACTGTGGGAGGCCGAGGCGGGTGGATCACTTGAGGTCAAGTGTTCAAGACCAGCCTGGTTAACATGGTGAAACCCCATCTCTACTAAGAATATGAAAGTCAGCCTGGTGTGATGATGAGTGCCTGTAATTCCAGCTACTTGGGAGGCTGAGGCAGGAGAATCACTTGAACCCAGGAGGCAAGGGTTGCAGTAAGCCAAGATCACGACACTGCACTCCAGCCTGGGAGACAAAGTGAGACTCTGTCTAAAAAAATAATAATAATAAAAATAAAATGAAAGTGTCAGGAGATTAGTTATTTATGAAAATACCATATGTTCTAGGTCATTCAACAATCCACAGGGGCTGCCTGAGCTTTTGGTGTTGTAGCTGAACATTTCTTCTCTAAAATTATTTTTTATTTAATGTTCAATTGTCATTTGAAATATCTTTTAGTGGGGATTTTTGTCCTTTGGCTCTCAGCTTAAGCATCACCTTGGGGAAGAATTTCGATTATGACCATGACTAAGTCAAATCTCTGACTTTAAGATGAAAGAACACCACCATGTCCCTCTTTTTAGCGCTTATCACAGTAGACATTTACATTTATTTTAATTGTTGATTAATATTTGATGCCTACCTGCTATAAGCTTCATGGGGCTACAGATCATGTTTGCCTTTTTTCAACAACACATTCCCACAGTGCCAGGCATCTAACAGGTGTTCAGTAACAATTAGTGAATCAATGTGTTGCCTTTAAGTAGAGTCCATCAGGTGAATACAGAATCACAAAGATAATTTGGGACCCACTGTAAAGCTGACAGGTGAGTTTAGATCATTTCATTAAAGCAGAGTCGTGTCAAGGGATAAATCAATCCAGGGCTAAAGGCTTAATACCCAGATCCCATGCATATATTTAAATAAATCCATGGATTATCTAAAAAAGAACACCCAACTGAGGCACCCTTGGGTGGATTGCCTGAGCTCAGGAATTTGAGACCACCTGCACCAGTGGTTCCCAGAAGTGTGGTCCTTGGATCAATAACATCAACATCACCTGGGAGCTTGTTGGAAATGCATATTATCAGGCCTCAAGCAGATCTACTGAGTCAGAAATTCTGATGGTAAGACCCACCATTCTCTTTTAGCAATTTCTCCAGGTTGTTTTGGTGCATGCTAACGTTTGAGAACCACTGACTTACACAAATCTTACCACTGTCAAATAATGGAAAAGGCAAACCAAAGAACAAGTGGAGTTTAAATTTCTTAGTGGAAATCTGAATAAAAATGAAGGAAAGAACTGGTGACTATTGTCCACGTAAGATTTCCTAGCTGTGTTTAACAGTTACCAGCTAAAAGTGCCTTTTTGAGAATAACCCTACCACATTTCCTTTCTTGCCATCATTTCACTGTTTTTGTAGAATTTCACTCAAGTCTTGCCTATCTGCATACAAAACACTTAAAGCACCAAAGGCGGTCTGAAAATGATTCTATCATTTAATGAAGTTTAGTAAGCAATAATATTGAGACAACTATGGGATGAAGTCATAATTACAATAAACAATATTTATAGGAGGCAAGTAGCATGATGACTGAGAGTATAGGCTAGATTTAGACTGCCTTGTTTAGAATTTTGACTCGGCTACTTCCTAGCTGTGACTTTAGTGAAGTTACTTCACCTTTTTTTACTTGGATTCCTCATCTAAACATGGAATTCAATAATTGTACAGTCAATCTTTACCTCATGGGGTTGCTGTAAAGGTTAAGTGAAATAATTTTTATGGCCTTGGCACATAATTAATGCTCAATAAATATCAATCATATAATAAACAGAATGGGTGAATATATGTATATATACATACATACATACACACAATTGGTTATTTGTATCTGCAGGTTCTGCATCTGCAGAATCAGTCAACCATGGGGTAAAAATATTCAGAAAAAACAATAAAATATAACAATGCAATAGCAAAAATTAACATAAATTAAAAAGCAATTCAGTATAACAACTATTTATATAGCATTTACATTGTGTTAGGTATGTAAGTAATCTAGAGATTAGAGTATACAGGAGGATGTGTATGAGTTATAGGCAAATACTACACCATTTTTATTTTTATATATTATTTTATTCCTAACCACTAGCCCACTGGGGACTACACCACTTTATATAAGGGACTTGAGCATCCACAAATTTTAGTATTCACAGGAGCTCCTGGGACCAGTGACTTACTGATATCAAGGGATGATTGTACCTACACACAAGTGTACACACACACACGCCATCATGTTGAAGCAGCCATAACCCACAACTGGAGGTATGTCGTACCTGTTGTGAGAGCTAACCTCCTAACTGGGAGAAGCAGAGAAAGGTCCAGAAATTTATATCTTCCCTTCTACAGCACACCCATCACCAATAAAGAATAAAAATTACTGGCAGGCTGGAAGGGTTCTTTTGTTTTGCTTTTGTTTTTTCGTTTTTTAGAGATGAGATCTCACTATGTTGCCCAGGTTATTCTCCAACTCCTGGCCTCAAGCAAGCCTCCTACCTCAGCCTCCTGAGTAGCTGAGATTATAGGCATGAACCACCATGTCCAGCTATGAAGAGGTTCTCTTGATTGGGAGCAGGGGAAGTCTCATCAGAAAGGTGTGGAGAGAGAACTCTAGGGCTGGGTGGGGAGCTACCTGCATCTTAGTGGATCACCAGCACCAAGTGCCAAGTGGGAGCTGAGACAATCCTGGTGGAGAAAGTCTGGCTGCCATTTGAGGGACAATCCTAAAAAGTGGAAGAATATTCAGATGATGAGCAGCCAAAAAAAAACAAATGGGCACTCTGACAATCATGTACAGTACCCCCCTTGACAATGAAGGAAAATCAATTCCTCTAGCAGTACCATGGCTGACAAAGCCATATTTGACAAGATAAAGCTATCACAGCAAGTAAATTAGGAGGAAAACATTTAAAATGGCATTGCAGGCCGGGCGCAGTGGCTCATGCCTGTAATCCTGGCACTTTGGGAGGCCGAGGCGGGCAGATCACCTGAGGTCGGAAGTTTGAAACCAGCCTGACCAACATGGAGAAACCCTGTCTCTACTAAAATACAAAAAAATTAGCTGGGAGTGGTAGCGCATGACTGTAATCCCAGCTACTCGGGAGGCTGAGGCAGGAGAATCGCTTGAACCTGGGAGGTGGAGGTTGTGGTGAGCCGAGATCACGCCACTGCACTCCAGCCTGGGCAATAAGAGTGAAACTCTGTCTCAAAAAATATATATATAAAGAAATAAATAAAATGGCATTACATACCTATTTTTAACTGTACAAAGGAGTTCTAGAGGACCTCAGTTTTTCAAATATGTTGGATTCATGAAAACATTATGAAGCAGTTATTCTAGTAGGTGACACTTCTGCTGTTTACAAAACGTTGTTTGTGTTGGCAGTTGCTGAGTAGAGTTTACCACAGATTTTAGAAAGGAACTGTGCACCTCTTTTGAAGGGGGAAATTTAGAATCATTTGCATTGTCCTCTACTTCAAGTTTGAGCAAGACACTGGGGTAATCACTGACCTTTCCACACACGGTTATGATTCATCTCAGGGCCTGGTCTACAAATACATAAGCAAGTGGTGCATAAACAGACCTCCCTCCGCCTGACCCCCTGGACCTGTTCAGGAGCTCTAGGAGAAAGGCTGCATAATTGCAGTCCTGATCTTTAGTTTAATTCAGTCTACATAAAGAGCATCAAAGATGTCCTTGGAATACAGATGGAAAGTCATGTTATCTCAGAACAGCACTTAGCCCAGGAATAAAGGATGTCTTCTTGTCCATATATGTTAATATGCACAGATTGATATGTGGAAGGTCAGTTGTTAGTTCTAAGTGGTGATATTTTGAGGAATTTTGCTTTCTCTTATGCTTTTCTATTTTGCTCATTTTACTAATAAACATAATTTTTATAATCAGAAAACAAACTATTTTAATCTTGGAAAATTGTATATGTCATACATTGAAATTACTAAAATGCAATAAAAATGCAGTCATATTATCATGTTCCACCCAAAAAAAACAGTGACAGATATTTTCATGAAACATATTAGATGAGTCTGTAGAGAACCAGGTGCTGTCTTATTTGTTGGGGGAAATAATTGGTTACATTCTTTCTGGAGCAATGTATATCAATAACATTAAAAGGCATATTCTAGATGGCCTGGAAATTCCACTTTTAGGAGTCTATACTAAGAAAATAATTAGATATGCCAGATGCAGTGGCTCACCTCTGTAATCCCAGCCCTTTTGGAGGCCAAGGAAGGAGGACTGCTTGAGGTCAGGACTTCAAGACCAGCCTGGGCAACAGAGCAAGACCCTGACAATATAAAAAAATACAAAAAAATTAGCTGGGCGTGGTGGTAGATGCCTGTAGTCCCAGTTACTCAGAGAGCTGAGGTGGGAGAATCACTTGAGCCCAGGAGTTTGAGACTGCAGTGTGCTGTGTTCATATCACTGCATTCCAGCCTGGGGCAACAGAGAGAGATCCTGTCTCAAAAAAAAAAAAAAAGAAAGAAAGAAGAAAAGAAAATAATTAGATAAATATACAAAGACATACAGTTAAATATGTTTATCATAGATTTGTTTGTAACATCTTAAAGATGCAAATAATTGTGGCAGATAAATGAAGGTACATCATATAATTAAAAAATTCACAGCCAATGTAAGTAATGATATGAATGTACATTTTTTAAAAATCTGAAAATATGTTCACAATATTGTTATGTAATAAAAGCAATTACAAAAGTTTTGTAGGTTTGTTTTATTTTGAGATAGGATCTTATTCTGTCACCTGGACTAAAGTGCACTGGTGCAATCATAGCTCACTGCAGCTTTGAACTCCTGGGCTCAAGTGATCCTCCCGCCTCAGCCCTCATAATTAGGACTAAAGGTACATGAGACCACACCCAACTAATTTATTTTTATTTTTTGTAGAGACAGTGTCTTGCTGTGTTGTCCAGGCTATGTTACAAAAGTTTAGGCATAGCATGAACTCTTTTCTGTTTGAGAATAAAAACACTACATACATATAGATTTGGCATCTTTCCATTTTGCTTATCTGTATTTTCTAATTTTTCTACAGTGAACATTATTTACTTGTATAATTAAAAATAAAACATCAGGAGAATTAATTGGAGATGTTTAAATTTGTAAAATAGTTCATGTGCTCCCCTTACACAACACACACACACACACACACACACACACTTTTATATACAGGTGGTTACTTGTTCCTGGTTCTAAGAAAGACTGTATATCATCTGGCACCAGCTTCAAGGGGTTCCACTGCAGACTTAAGCATAGCTACATAGGGTTGATTAAATAAAATGTAGTCTTTTCATTTTTATCTTTCTGTTTTTATTCAAGTATGATTATTTTTCTCTTTTTACTCAAGTATGATTAAAATGTAATCTTTATTACAGCACTGTTTTATTTAACCACCAGTCAGCTATCTTTAACTAGAATTCTGTGATCTTCTATTAGCACATCTAAAAAGATTTTCTCATTTCTTTCAAAAGGCTTCTTACTTGACACTTCATATTTAAATCTGAGGGCCACAGTTTGTAGAGAAGGATAAAGTCAGTAGGCATTTATTTTTGTTTTCATTATATGCCTTCCTCTTCAGTGTCCTTTAGGTGAATGATGGTTGGCTCCGTGTAAGAGAAGAGGGAGGAAATGATGTTTTAAAAATTTTCATTCAGGGACAGAATGTCAAGCTTCCAATTTGATTGACTGAGTCATGCCCACTAAAAGCAAACTGTAATTTTCATTGGAATAGAAATCAGTGTGATTTAACACACTTCCTTTTTATGGAAGATTACATTTCACAGCCTATAAGGGGATTGCAAGTGACAAAAAGAGCAAAATTCTCACCAGTACAACTTTATGATGAAAATGTCAATTTAGGTCTGTATTTTATAGAAGTAAACGACATCACTGAGGGCAAAGATTCTGCAAAAGAAAACTCAGCAGTAAATGCTCTGCAAAAGAAAACTCAGCAGTAAATGCTCTGCAAAAGAAAACTCAGCAGTAAATGCCTAAAGAGAGGGTGTTGAGAGCCTCAAGAATAAAAACTGAGTCCTTTTTTTTTTTTTTTTGAGATGGAGTCTCGCTCTGTCACCCAGGCTAGAGTGCAGTGGTGTAATCTCAGCTCACTGCAACCTCCTCCTCCCAGGTTCAAGCAATTCTCCTGCCTCAGCTTCCCAAGTAGCTGAGATTACAGGCATGCACCACCACACTCAGCTAATTTTTGTATTTTTAAAAGAGACAGGGTTTCACCATGTTGGCCAGGCTGGTCTTGAACTCCTTACCTCAAGTGATCTGCCCACCTTGGCCTCCCAAAGTGCTGGAATTACAGGTGTGAGCCACCGTGCCTGGCCTGAGTCCTTTTGGGGTTTTGTTTTGTTTTGACTTTTTATTAATCCTGGTAAAGATAGCCTGACAGCCAAGTCTCATGTTTAACCTTGGGAGTTTCTCCTTTGGTGCAGCGAATACTTTTTTCTCCCCTTAATGTTTTATATTTAAGGTTTTTCAAATATTTGGGATCTTCAGATCAAATTCTGTTCTATGATTTACAATCTTGTTTGGAAATTCTGAGGGGCTGGAAATAATGAGATAAGTGGTTTTATACATAGTTGATAAATTAGAAGGTTTGGGTGGTAAGGTGTTATTATGTATTGGTATTGATGCCTAGATATTCTTCTTTCTTTTAAATCATTTAGTAAAACACACCATAAAAATGTTTTAAAGAGCCAGGAGTGGTAGCTCATGCCTGTAATTCCAGTACTTTGGGAAGCTGAAGTGGGTGGATAACCTGAGGTCAGCAGTTCAAGACCAGCCTGGCCAACATGGTGAAACCCTGTCTCTACTAAAAATACAAAAATTAGCTCGGTGTGGTGGTGCATGCCTGTAATCCCAGCTGCTTGGGAGCCTGAGGCAGCAGAATCAGTTGAACCTGGGAGATGGAAGTTGCAGTGAGCCAAGATCACGCCACTGCACTCCAGCCAGGGTGACAGAGTGAGACTCCGTCTCAAAAGAAAAAAATGTTTTAAAGATTTGAGATTTATAAGATAAAATGTAGTATTTCTCTAATGAGAATGTTGTCAGTATAATAAAAATTATTACACTGTGTGATATTCTGTATATTATACTGCATACAGTATATCTAAAAATACACCACATTAAATAGCTTTTGTCTTTTTTTTTTTTTTTTCCCAGACTACAGTGCAGTGGCACTATCATGGCTTGCTGCAGCCTCAACCTTCTGGGCTCAAAGATCCTCCCACCTCAGCCCCACAGGTAGCTGGAACGACAGGCATGTGCCACCATGCCAGACTAAATTTTTCATTTTTTGCATAGACAGGGTCTCACTATATTGCCCAGGGTGGTATAAGAGCTTTAGTCTTTATTGACATGGTTGACTGGCTTGTGTTAAACAAGAAATACTTCAGACATTTTTCAACTATTATAGCATTTGAAGGCAAAGTGATGGGACACTTTTCGTGAGAATTTGTGAAGTACCAGTTGCACAAAATATGCATACTTACATAGATGCTATGTCTTGTTGATCTGACCAAATTGTTACCAGATGGAAAGTCTTGACTGTGAGTTGTCCAGGTTCTTGGCAAGTTGAAAAAAGAAATAAACAAAACTCACAAACAAAGCAACAAACGAAGCAACTAAAGCACAGATTTAGCGAAGCAAAATTACACTCCACAGAGTGGGAGTGGGCTCGAGCAAGCAGCCCAAGATGCCTGATTACAATGTTCTTTAGGGTTTTTATTAAGCTAAAAGAATTTGGTAACACCCCCAGGTGCTCTTTAGAGGCCTCCAATTGGTTACACCCTATGAAGGATTGGCCCACAACCAATCAGAGGCTGAAATAGAGACTTGGCCCGCAATCAATCAGAGGATGAAGTGGAGACTTGGTCCGTGGTCAATCAGAGGCTAAAGTGGAAATTCCTGTCTTGTTATCACAGGCGTGAGAATGTGGCCTGTATACTGCCCTATCTTGCCTAGAACTGGTTGCACCTGCTGTTCTTTTGCTTCTATCTTAACCCTTGGTTACCCTATTTCCCTATTCTTCTGCCTCAAGATGACAGCCAGTCGTAAGCAATACAACAACCTTGATCTTGGACAAAAAGATAAGCTGAACCAACTGATGTTCCTCATGAATTGTAGCTAAGAAATACCTACCTAAAGTATTCAGAAAATAGCCAAGAAATGTTTCTTCTTTCCTTGAGAAAACTGAATGGTGGGAGCTATAGCTTGAAAGTAACAGAGAGATGGAACCAGAGAGGCTATGATGGTTCATGTGTATGCTTAAATTACAAGGGGTCAGATACTATTGTTAGCAAAGAGGCTGATCAGTGGAGAAAGACACTAGACCAAATGTACAGAGAGAAGCAGAGATTCAGAGAAGGGTTTGGGTAAAGAGAAAAGCACTGGGCCAGAGCCCTTTTTTTTTTTTTTTCCAGACAGGGCCTCCCTCTGTCATCCAGGCTGGAGTGCAGTGGCACAATCACAGCTCACTGCAGCCTCAAACTCCTGGGATCAAACAATCCTCCATCTCAGCCTCCCAAGTAGCTGAAACTACAGGCATGTGCCACCATGCCTGGCTAATTTTAAAATTTTTTGTAGAGACAGGGTCTTGCTATGTTGCCCAGAATGGTCTTGAACCCGTGGCCTCGAACCCCTGGCCTCAAGCAATTCTCTCACCTTGGCCTTTCAAAGTGCTAAGATGACAGGTGTAAGCCACTGCACCTGTCCTGATCTGAGAGCTTGCTAAAGGTCTCTGGTACTAGTTTAGTCTATCTGAACCTTTGCAATAATTTCTTTTCTTTAAATATGAAAAAAGAAATTAAGTAACTCAAATGACTTCTGACCATAATTATCAAGAGTCAAACCACTAGGTTTGTTAGCAGAAAACAAAACATGTTATATTCATGCAATATCAAATTACTTTCAAGAAGATACAGTCACCAAAAAACAAGTTGTCAATAGTAGGTTGTATAATAGACCTCTGTCACATAGGCTTGCCCACGACCCTGTCTCCTTATTCTCATAGTTCTCTGATTTTTTCCTTGGGGACTATTCCCCACACACTGTCCCCTCTCCTCTGCCACCACCTACACCAGGGAAGGCATGTGGCTTAGATCTGGCCAATCAGTGGATAGGTCTCAACATCCAGACCACAGTGATAGGTAATGGCATGAAAGCATTATATAAATATAAACTTAATTATTGAGGAAAAAAATGTGACAAATAATGTGTAAAGAAACAGGAAAAAGTTGCAATTTGTATTCAGGTTCTTCATAGTCTTCTAAATAAGACCAATTTCCAACTTTGCTATTAATTATCCAAGTGACCCTAGTCAAGTCTCTTCCTTATTCTGGGCTTTCATTCCTTTTATATAAAATGAGGAGCTCAATATAACTATGTTCAGCGTCTCCTAGGGCCTTTTTCTTCTAAATCTGTAAACATAAGTTTAGAAATTCAGTAGTCCTGTGCACACCAAAAGAACACCAACAAAGAGGGTCCTGGCCCTCAGGGAACTTGCAGTAGATAATTTTGAAGTAGGAAAAGTGTTTCACCACCCTGCCCTTTGTTCTAAAGTCTCTACCTTATTTATCATTCTTTCCCAATCATTAAAACTTGCCCTTAGGTTTGACTCTTTCATGAAAGGACAAAACAAAAAAAAACACAAAAACTTGCCCTGTTTGATGACAAATAGTCAGTCTGAAAATAAATCTCTGCTAATGTTTAGCTTTATTCTTCCCTCAGAGAGGCTAGGGTCTTCTTTCCTTCCTTCGTTCCAGGAACACAGATACATTTGACAGAGGTCATTGACCACAATGTTCCCAACATAGAAAGAAATAATGTTTTGGCTGGGTGCAATGGCTCTTGCCTGTAATCTCAGCACTTTGAGAGGCTGAGGCAGGAAGATTGCTTGAGCCCATGAGTTCAAGACCAGCCTGGACAACATGGGGAGACCCCATCTCTACAAAAAAATTTAAAAAATTAGCTGGATGTGATGGCACACACTTGTAGTCCCAGCTACTCAGGTGGCTGAGGTGGGAGAATTGCTTGAACCCAGGAGGTTAAGGCTACAGTGAGCCATGTTTGCACCATTGCACTCCAGCTTTGGCAACAGAGCAAGATCCTGTGGAAGGAAGGAAGGAAGGAAGAAAGGAAGGAAGGAAGGGAGGGAGGGAGGGAGGGAGGGAGGGAGGGAGGGAGGAAAGAAGACAGGGAGGGAGGGAGGGAGTTTCATTTATTCTTTATTTCCAGAGCATCTCAGAATGTAATAAAAAGTGTAATGATTTAATGAAGGGATGCAAGGTAGCACTGTTACAGTAAGAACTATTTTGAGGAATCTTTTCCCTTCAATCATACTAGAAGGATGGTCCTGGCTGCAGAACTGTTCATTCATTTAAAGCTAAAATAACCTAACTGTGGCTTCTGTATCAATTATCTCTATTACTTGCAGAGTTGACAATGCGGTGACTGGTTGATCTAGTTTCTCCAGCTGGTTTAGCAACTCAGATCCACTGTGAAGTTCTCTGTATTGTGATAGTTAATTTTAGGTAGCGACTTGACTGAATTAAGGAATACCAAGAGAGCCAGGAAAGCATTAATTTTAAGTGCATGTGTGAGGGTGTTTCCAGAAGAGATTAGCGTGTGAGTCTGAGTGAACTAGGAGGAAGGATTTGCTCTCATTGTGGAGGAGAACACCATTCAATTGGCTGAGGACCTAGAGAGAACTAAAACAGAGAAAAGGTGAATGTGGATCTCATATACAGATCTTCTTTTCCTGTTCTTGGACATTTTGCTGACCACATATTCTTCTTCTCTATCCTTGGACATCAGAACTCCAGGCTGATTCTTCTAAAAATCCTCTCTCATAGTATATAGCATATTGGTTATGTCTCTTTAAAGAATCTTGACTAATACAGATTTCAAAGCAACTGCAAAGTACTGGATCTTCAAAGCAATATTACTCTTTCCTATCCCAACTGGTCATCCTTCTTCTACCTCAGTGGGTATAAGAAATTCCAAATAGCCTACTAGAGCTACTGCCCTTCCAGGTTGGATATCAAAGATAGGGGAATTAATTTTTTTTAAAAAAAGCTCTTGTTAAAATGTTATCTTCAGACAGGAGGCCTAGTGGAGTTCTTCCAAGGAAACATTAGCACTTTATTGTTCTGCTGGGTGAATTCTCTGCTGAAACTGAAACTGAATTTTCTACTAGTTGACCACTCCTGGGACTGCCGGGCAGTGCAATGTTTTTTGTTGTTGTTGTTTGTTTGTTTTGAGACAGTCTCTGTTGCCCAGGCTGGAGTGCAGTAGTGCAATCTTGGCTCACAGTAACCTTCGCCTCCTGAGTTCAAGCGATTCTCCTGCCTCAGCCTCCCAAGTAGCTGAGATTACAGGCATGTGCCACCATGCCCAGCTAATTTTTGTATTTTTAGTAGAGACGGGGTTTCACCATGTTGGCCAGGCTGGTCTTGAACTCCTGACCTCAAGTGATCCACTCACCTCGGCCTCCCAAAGTGCTGGGATTACAGGCGTGAGCCACCGTGCCCGACCTGGAATGGTTATTAACACCCGTGTTCTGCAGCCTTTGTCCCGTTGCTTCTGGGAGAACTGAGCCATGAAGGAGCAGACACCGCAGTTGGGAGGCAGGATGTGTGGGCACAGTGCTTCCGAGACTCCATGCTATTTCCAAAGTGGGGCAAGTCCCAAGAAGACCAAGCAGAGGACTGAGTGGGAGAGGAGTGAGGATAAGGAGGAAAACACACCACTGTGAAGGTGAAAAAGCAGAAAAGGAGGGCATACTGCAGAAATGGGGGTGGACATTGCCAAAGACTAACTAACTACACTTGGAATTTTGCCTCAGTCAGATCTGCCCACTAAGCAATACACGGATTAACTGCTTGAAGGTCAAGCAGTCAGAACCCTATCAGGGTCAGCCGGGCGCGGTGGCTCACACCTATAATCCTAGCACTTTGGGAGGTGAGGGCGGGCAGATCACCTGAGGTCAGGAGTTCGAGACCAGCCTGGCCAACATGGTAAAAGCCCGTTTCTACTAAAAGTACAAAAGTTAGCTGGGCATGGTGGCTCACGCCTGTAATCCCAGCTACTTGGGAGGCTGAGGCGGGAGAATCACTTGAACCCAGGAGGCAGAGGTTGCAGTGAGCCAAGATGGCGGCACTGCACTCCAGGCTAGGTGACAGAGAGAGACTCCGTCTCAAAAAAAAAAAAAAAAAAAAAAAATAGGAACCCTATTAGGGTTGGAGGAGAGAGTGAGAGATCTGAGGGACAGAAAGACACGGCTGGGTGCGGTGGCTCACGCCTGTAATCCCAGAATTTTGGGAGACCGAAGCGTGTGGATCACGAGGTCAGGAGTTCAAGACCAGCCTGGCCAAGATAGTGAAACCCCGTCTCTACTAAAAAAATACAAAAATTAGTCGGGCGCAGTGGCGGGCACCTATAATCCCAGCTACTGGGAAGGCTGAGGTAGGAGAATTGCTTGAACCTGGGAGGTGGAGGTTGCAGTGAGCCAAGATTGTGCCACTGTACTCTAGACTGGGTGACAGAGCAAGACTCTGTCAAAAGAAAGAAAGAAAGAAGGAAGGAAGGAAGGAATGAAGGAAGGAAGGAAGGAAAGAGAGAAGTGAGGGAGGGAGGGACAGAGGGCAGGAAGGAAGGAAGGAAGGCAGGCAGGCAGGCAGACAAAGACATCATCTACCTCTACCTTATCTAGGCATCTGTTGAATGCTTTTCCTCTTCAGGTGGTCTGAGACTATCCTAGGGCTTAAAACCAGTGAGAATAAATTGAAAGCTAAAAATAGTCATGTATTTCACAGAGGAACTAGTTAGATTAATTAGGTTCTCCTTATGTCATTTCTTGTCTAGGTATATTTGATTGTCTTTTTTTTTTTTTTCAAAGTCACATTTAATTGAGTAGGTAGCACTATGGGACTGGAAAGCCACCAAAACTCCTTATAGTTTCTCTAGTTTTTTGCAATGTCCTTTTACTACAGGTTATCACAAGTCATGATAATAATGGCATGATTTCCTGGAGAGAATGTGCTCTAAATCTTCCAAGAAACTAGAAAATGGCTAAGGATTTTAAAATGTTTCTTCTTTCCTCTTGGTGTCCAATCTTGTTCTCAAAGCAAATTTTTATAAGCTTGTTTTGGTTACATTTTAATCTTCACAAAAGCAGGGACTTTGTATGTTTTGTTCACTTTTTTTCACTCTGTCATCCAGGCTGGAGTGCAGTGGCGTGATCTCAGCTCCTTGCAACCTCCGTCTCCCGTGTTCTAGCAATTCTCCTGCCTCAGCCTCCAGAGTAGCTGAGACTACAGGTGCATGGTGCCACGTTTGGCTAATTTTTTGCATTTTAGTAGAGACGGGGTTTCACCTTGTTGTCCAGGCTGGTCTCGAACTCCTGAGCTCAGGCAATCCACCTGCCTCGGTCTCCGAAAGTGCTAGGATTACAGGCTTGAGCCACCACGCCTGGCCTTGTTCACTTTTTATTCCAAGGCCTAGAGTATAGTAGGCATTCAATAATTATATGTTGAATAAGTGAATGAATGAATGAATGAATGAATAAATTGTATAAGTAAATAGCACTTGGTACCAGTATATAAAAAAGGCCAAAGTAACTTACATTTTGGGGCTAGGGTATAGGTTTTGGTGTGAAACCACAACCTTAAGCAGCATGCCAAGGGCAAGCCAAAAGATTGTTGTAGGCCGGGCATGGTGGCTTCTGGCACTTTGGGAGGCCCCAAGGCGGGCGGATCACTTGAGGTCAGGAGTTCAAGACCAGCCTGGCCAACGTGGTGAAACCCCGTCTCTCCTAAAAATACAACAATTAGCTGGGCGTCGTGGCTCACACCTGTAGTCCCAGCTACTCAGGAGGCTGAGGTGGGAGAATCACTTGAACTGGGAGGTGAAGGTTACAGTGAGCTGAGATCGTGCCACTGCACTCCAGCCTAGGTGACAGAGCGAGACTTTGTCTCAAACAAAACAAAAACAAAAGATTGTTGTAGGGGAAAAGGTGTGATATCTTTCCTTCCCATAAGGGTCATAGCCAACACACCTATAACAAAAGACAGGCTAACAAGAGAAAAGCACAACACATTTGTTTAATCAAAGTTTTAGGTGACATGGGAACCTTCAGAAATGAAGACGGAAAAACCCAGGGAAACCTGTCTATTTTTTTTTAATAGAGATGGGGTCTCTCTGGTTTAATACAGATGGGGTCCTCCTGGCTCTGCCTACCAAAATGCTGGGGTTGCAGGCATGAGCCACCATGCCCAGCCTGTTTATTTTTTTGAGAGAGTCTCGCTCTGTCCATTTTTGTGCTTAGGTTCAATGAAGAGTGGGCAGCCATGTAGATGTGGTTGGACAAAAGGGTAAGATCCAATGGTAATAGACTGAGAACAGACCCAGTCTGTCTGTTCAGATTCTTCTTGGCCTCTCCGTATAGCTTTCCCTCCTCCTGGGTTTAGAGCAGGACTCCTTTGGAAAGGGGACCTACTATCCAACAAGGTAGGGTAGATAATTTCTTTATTTCTCTATTCTTTATGTCTGCTCTTACACAGAAGAGTGAGGAATGGTAATATTTCTAGGTTTTGTAGCTTCCTTTGGGAAGAGGGGTTTTAGTTTCTATGACCTGCCTTTAGTTTCCATGACTCACTTTGGGGGAGAAAGAGAGGTGGGAGACAGGAGGGCAGAAGGAGGTCAGAGAGAAACTGCTTCTGAGGCCTTTCAATCTCCTTTAGTTCAAAGTACTCAGCATGCCAAAGCACCATGCTTTGTGGTATCATTTTCCAAACCCCAACATGGTATTAAGGCACTTAGAGTTTTTAAAAATACCAATTATATCAAGTAAAAGAATACCTATGGAAACACTTCAAAAATATAAAAGTTACATGATATATTAATATAATTTTTGCATATGTATGACTTATAATCTTATTGTTTGCTTTTTATTTGCAGATTTTGTGACTGAAGGCACTGCACTGTGACCAAAAGTGCCAAATGAGTTTTTTGAGTCTGTGTTAAATACATGAGGTTTCCACTGATGCCTGGAAGAAGCAGATCAGTCTGTGTGGTAACATCAAGGGAAACTTCCATTCCTTGAGAGCCCAAGCGGTAGGAAGCGAACAGATGAAATGGCAGTCTCATTAGAATGGCTGGTGATTTGCTCATTCGACTAATTGAAGGAATTCAACAATTCAAGTCGGAGCTACAAAAGTCACAATTTTGAAGCCCACACAAGAAGGTTTCATTTGAATCTCTGCTCATTTGGAAAGGGAAAAGTCCCTAGGATTGCCCAGCATCCACAACAAAGCAGAGTCTGCTAAATTCCCATCATTTGGGAAGAGGAACTTTTTTTTTTTTTTTTTTTTTTTTTTTTTTGGCTGAACTATCCTCCAGATCTCCTGGGCGGGAGGAAAAAAAAATGGTCATCAGATATGTAGGCAGATGGGCTGTGATCACCACTGGAAGCTCGAAGTATTTGGGGAAACTGAAACTGTCTAGGGATAAAGCTGCCCTGGTTTGTGTGTTTCTGGTTTCACTGATTAAAAAAAAAATCCATCTACCAAGAGTGGATAAATTTTAAAATTCTGCCATGCCCAGTTTTCGAAGCCCCAAATGCGATATAGGAACAGCTGTGGTGTGAATTAGTTGGTCTAAGCTTTTGGGCCGCTTCCAACTTCTCTATTGCTCACGCCCTACAGGTCAAGGAAAGAAGTGATGTAATGCACTTAGCTAGGCCACTTTAATTACAATGGAATGGAGAGGGGGGAGGGGTCACAAGCGGTGACAAGTTTAGCGCATGACTTGCCCTGGGGATGCAGGAAACAAAAACATCGACGACCATTGGCTGCGTTGGCTTCCGACCCCGGGTCTCTAACCGAGCTCCAGGTCTGGAACCTTGAAACACTTTTCCTGGGAAAAGGGGTGGCGCTATCCCATAGAGCGTCAACCTTAAACACAAACAGCACACACGCACCCACGCAGGCTGGCGGCGTCCTCCCTGCTGGGATGGGCGTCGGGCCCAGTGCTTGGCACACGGTCCCCAGGAGCTTCCCCCGAAGGTTCCCCCGAAGCCAGCCACAGCTGCTCAGCTCGGCGCGCGGAGCCCGCGGTGGTACCGAGTCCGCACAAACCCGGACCCGCTCCAAGTGAGCCGCGTTGTCGTCATTCATTCGCAGTGTCCGGAGCGTCCTTCCAGCGGGGAGCTGGGCTTCCCTAGTGGCGCCTGCGGCCCCGACACGGCGCGTTAAGGCGCGGCGACTTCGGGAGCTCGAGCAGGTAGAGACGGGAGGGGCTCTGGAGCTCCAGTCGGCGCCGCGGGAGCAGCAGCGCCGGAGCCCAGCTTGGCCCTGACCGCGGGGCCGAATCCGCTCGGGTGGCCCTTAGCCCTGCCTGGCGCTGAGCCGGATCCCGGGACTGAGCTATACCACTTCCTCCTCCTCCCGCTCCCTTCCTCCTCCTCTTCCTCCTCCTCCCGCTCCTCCCGCCGCCGTGGGCCGGGAGCCGGGCTGCAGAGTGCCAGGCCGGGCGTCTGCGGCCGCGGGCTCTCGCGGGGCGGCGACGCCGCGGGGAGGATGCTGCTTGCCGCGCCCGCGTCCTCACCGTCCTCCCGGGCCGCCTGCTGGGGCTTTGTTGTGGCCCGGACGCCGCGGGCCACCCCCTGAAGTCGCCTGCCGCCGCCGCCGCCGCACCTAGCGGACGGGCGGGCGGGCGCGCGTGTGCCCAGGAGTGCGCGCCTGTCGCGGTGGTGGGTGCAGGACTGGACCCACGGGCCCATTGTGCGCCCGCCCGCGGCAGCCAGGACCATGTGGGTGAACCCGGAGGAGGTGTTGCTGGCCAACGCGCTGTGGATCACCGAGAGGGCCAACCCATACTTCATCCTGCAGCGGAGGAAGGGCCACGCCGGCGATGGAGGCGGCGGCGGCGGACTGGCGGGTAAGGACCGTGGCCGATCCCTGCAGGAGGGGAGCCGGGAGCGCTGCGGCGCCGCCCGCGGCCTGGGCTGCAGGCTCGGGAGACGCCGCCCGGTCCCCTGGGGCTGGGCGACCCGCCCTGCCTCGTTGTATGCGAGGCATCGAGAGTCGTGATGTTCAGGTTGGGCAGAGATGCTTCTTTTTTTGACTCTGTCAGGCTTGGGGCCCTCAGCGTACTGAGCGCTCTTTAAGTGGATATGTTGAGGAGAATGGGAAAGAGTGAGTCTGGGGCGGAGGGAATGTATTATCCCCTATATATTGAATGCATCATTCCCTTCCCCTCCCCCCCTTAAAAATATTGTTTTCCAAATGGAAAAGAGGGATGGAAGAAGGTTAATTTTTGCTCCACTTTCTTTACTGGCAACAGCAGGATCAGGTATAAAATGCTCTTTTGTTTCCAGGGAAGCGATAAGTAAGGAACTGATGTGGTCATTTCCTATATGAGTTATGACCGAAGAGAATGAATACGGAAACAGGAATTTTTTTGTTTCACCTAATTAGACATAAAGCAAAGCAAATTGTCTGGTTCTAGTTGTAAAAATAATTGGCTGTATAACTGCATTTTAACTATTTTTGCTCAATCACTTCTTCCCTAAACCCCCTCCCTTCAAGGTATTATTGTAATTGTTGCTGAAGCCATGTCATATCATTCAGGATAATAAGATCAGTCAGACCCATATCCAAAGTAGTGCCATATTAGAAATAATCTCGAACTCATACCATACTAGAGAAATTGGACCTTCTCCATCTCTGTGTTATTTAGAATGAACAGAACTGGAATACTTTTTACAGTGAAAAAGTTAGCAGAAGAAATAGTAGAGGTTTCACTAGAAAGGAGACTGCAAAAAAGAGATGAACTTTGACCCTCCTCAGAGTTGAGCTTATATCAACCTCATATATCACCTGGAGTTTGCACAATAGGTAAATTGTTGCTTTCAAATGCTGTGCTATGAAATAAAGATTCTTGATATATGTATTTACTTATGATTATATTTATAAACTAATTTTCTTAAGATTAAAATTCAGGTGTCATGTGGTACAATGTATACTGGTATGTTTGAAGGATCTTGATTCTACCAGAAAAGATAAATCTGCAGAGCTCCAGACCCCATTCTGGAAATACTTACTAGTGATCTGATACCAGGATTTTCCAGGTCATTTTGTAGAAGTTATCTAACTCTAAATGTTAATATGTAATTTACATATCTAATATTGGAATCAGCCCACATTGTCCTTTTTTTTTTTTTTTTTTTTTTTTTTTTTGAGACAGAGTCCTGCTTTGTCGCCCAGGCTGGAGTGCAGTGGCGTGATCTCGGCTCACTGCAACCTCCTTCTCCTGGGTTCAAGTGATTCTCCTGCCTCAGCCTCCTGAGTAGCTGGGACTACAGGCATGCACCAACCCGCCCGGCTAATTTTTTTTGTATTTTTAATAGATGGGGTTTCACCATGTTGGCCAGGCTGGTCTTGAACTCCTGATCTCAAATAATCCGCCCACTTTGGCCTCCCGAAGTGCTGGGATTAAAGGCGTGAGCCACCTCACCCGGCCCATGTAGTCCTTTAAGCCTAGGACAACAACACAGAGTAGATAATTTATTGTAGTAAAAAGAGAACATTTCCTTCTGCAATTAACCCTCCTACACCTTGTAAGCATTAAGTATTCATTTACCTGTGTCATTTGTAATAGGATGTGAAAAATTCAGGGATTCAGAGCCTTCTTTTTCTGCTTAACATTTGTATTGTGTTCCTACTGGTTCTTAGAGCTATAACTGACTACGGTCCACTTGAAATCTCATCTTGTCATCAATGACTTCTTTCACTTAGGTAAAATTACATCTTGTAAATTGAGAAATCACAGTGATTGCACTTATTAATGGAATAATTGAAATCATTGTCATGAGTAAAAGTATTTATGACAACAAAGGCTATTTTCAAGCAAGAGAGGTAAAATGTTTGGTCTAATACCTTGGTGCCATGTCAAATGTAGCAGGAACATTTTAGAAATGTTACACAATGTGTAGTATATTCTGATTCTAATGTAAGTTCATTCATTCACTAACTCACTAAATCATTTAACAAATATTTGTTGGCAACTTCTAGAAGTGCTAATGTTGTGAAGCTCAAGCCTAGTAGAAGACAGGTATTGATGAAATAATCACATAAATTAAAGTAAAATTGCCACTCTACAGAGTCCCAGCAGAAAACAGAATCCAAATGAAGAGAGATGAGTGAAAAGACAACTTCGAAAAATAGAGGCATGGTTATTTGAACTGGTGTAAGGCAAACCAGAGGCAGGACTCTCAGGAGTCCGTGAGAGCTGGAGCCAGGGAAGAGGAACTTGAGCCTGGAGAGAAGCAGCTACTTGTAAAAACATAGACAATAGCAGAAAGGGAGTGGGGAGTACATGCCCTGACTTCTCTCTTCTCCCACCCTCCCAGCTTCTGCCACTGCCTCCCATCCCTGGAACCCAATAGAAGCCAGCTAAGGAACTGGGCATGGTGGTGTATGCCTGTAGTCCCAGCTGCTGGGGAGGCTGAGGCTGGAGGATGGTTTGAGCCTAGGCATTCAAATCCGGACTGGGCAACATGGTGAGACCTTATCGCTAGAAAAGGAAAAAAAAAAAAGAATCTAGCTGGAAAGAGTCCTGGTAATGTAGTTTCTTGGGATCAGCCTCCCAGGAATGGATGGGGGCAAACTGAGAATGATCAGAACAAATATCATAAGAAGAGGAACATGATGTTGGTTAGTCCCAGTTAAGTGATGGGGTCTTGGAGGTGGAGGCAAAGGAAAGATTCCTTGAGGAAGTGACGCTTGAGCTTAGAACTGAAGAAAGAAAAAGATCTGCCTGTGAGGAGAGGAGGGAAGAGTAAGTGTTAGATATCAGCTGTTGGAGATTTTCTGGAAGATCTCAGGACCTTTACATAATATGCATTATCTGGATCAGTGTACATGTGTACACCCAGCAAATAGATGACAGATGAGTAGGGAAACTTGCCCAGTGTGAACTGGCCAGAAGTGGTCTCAAAGTGTGGTCATCAGGGAGCTTGGAAAGATTAGCACAGAAAGCTATAAAAAACAGTGGGTCAAAGTTGAGGACACTTAACATTTTTTAAAAATTAAGATATTCTAGGTTCCTGATTCCAAGCAATATGTATAGGCATTGGTGCAATGAAGTCTTCCATTGTGGATGCATTTGATTGATTTATTTAACCCCCTTTGACTGAGATTTCATACATATACATAAAATTACAGAAATCAGATGCAAAGTGCAGTGATCTACTACAATGTGAACACTTGGCAACCAACACCAGGATAAAAAAAAATAGAACACCAGGATAAAAAATATAGAACACTGCTAATGTGCCAAAAGCCCCCTTGTGATTCTCAGCCAATCATTGTCACCTCCCCCAAAGATAAAGACTATCCTCATGCTTTTTTGTAAACACTTCCTTGATTTTCTTTGTAGTTTTTCCAAAGAACATATCCCTAAACACTATATTTTGGTTTTGCTTTTTTTTTTAAGCAAGAAATGAAATGGAATTATAGAGTATATATTCATTTGTGTCTGGATTCTTTTGCTCAGCCTTGTGTATGTGATATTCATTTTGTTGCTGTTGGTTGTAATTCATTCATTTTTCTGTTCTGTGTAGAAAACTATGATATGAGTATACCACAATTTATTCATCTCTTTATCAACTGTATTGTTGGTGGCCCATTGGATGGTTCATTTGGGGGCATTATGGATAATGTGGCTATGGTCATTTTGGGGCATGTTTCTTGGTGCCTGTGGGCATACGTTTCTATTTGCTCTATAAACAGGAGAGGAATTGCTAGCTCATAATGTATTATCAATTTCAGTAGATGATACCAGTTTTCCAAAGTAGTTGTACCAATATACTCCCACCAGCAGCATATGGAAGTTCCCCTTGTTCCATCACATATCCTTGTCAACACTGTCAGTCTTTGTAATTTTAGCCATTGTTGTGGTTTTGGAGTAATATCACATTGCAGGGTTAATTTGCTTTTTCCTGACTGATGAAGTTGAGCATTTTTCCATATGTTTATTAGCCATTTGGAATATTTTGAGATATGATTGTTCAAGTCTCTTGTCCATTTTTCAACCGGATTGTCTTTTTTCTTACTAACTTGTAGAAATTTAAAAAATATGTTCTGGGTATAAGCCTACTGTTACATGTGTGGCAAAATCTTCATTTGTTCCTTACCTATTTACTCTGTAAAGAATGAACAGAGATTCTTAATTTTTAAAATTCCTTAAGTCCTGTTTAGATACCATTTCCTTTTAAATACCATTTCCTTTATGGTTAATATTTTATTGTGTTCTGTTCAATAAGTCTTTTCCTGCTCTGTGGTTATAAAGACATTCTTATATATTCTAGAAATGTAACAGTTTTAACCCCCACCTTAACATGTACAGATCACTGGGAATTAATTTTTGCATATTGTGTGAAGTAGGGGTTAGGTATTGTATTTTAAACTTTTTGTGGACATTCATTTGCCCCAGAATGATTTATTGGGAAGGCTATTCTGTCTTCACTGTTCTGTAGAGCTACGTTTGTCATAAATCAAGTACCCGTATGTGTGTGGGTCTGTTTTGGGTTTTCTAGTCTATGTCTTTTGTTTATTAGCATATTCTTGCACCAACACCACACTGTAGTTTTATTTTAATTTTCTTTTAGATTCATGGGTTACATGCACAGGTTTGTTACATAGGTAATTGTGTACTGTACTTTTATCATAAGAGTTTATATGCAGTAGATCAAGTTCTATTATCTTGTTCTTTGTTTTCTACAGGTTTCTTGACTATTCTTTGAGCACAATACAGATGCTCCTCTACTTACAGTAGAGTTATGTTTCAGTAAGTTGAAAATATTGATGCATTTTTTTAACTTAAAATATCCTCAATTTACAGTGAGTTTATCCAGATGTGACCTTATTGTAAGTCAAGGAGCAAACCGAATTTGTATAGCTTCCACATCATTATGAAGTAAAAAAAAAAATTTGTAAGTCGAACCATTGTAAGTTGGGACCCATCTGTATTTTAGAATCAGCTTGCAAAGTCTCACCAAAACAAAACAACAGCAGCAACAAAGATGTTAAAGCTATTGAGATTTTGATTGACATTACATTGAGTCTGTAAATAAATTTGGGCAAAATTTTTACCTTTATAGTATCAAGTCTTCTGATCCATGAACATGGTATATTCCTTTATTTATTTAGATCTTTACAAGTTTTTCTCGGTGTTTTATAGTTTTCTGTGTAGAGGTTTTAAGCTTCATTTATTATATTTATTCCTAGGTGTTTCATATTTTTTTCACTCTGTTGTATATTATGTCTTTTTAAAATTTCATTTTCTGTTTCTTTTTTACTGGGATGTAGAAATATTGCTGTTTTATATATTCACCTGTATCCAGAATGTAGCTAACTTAAGAAATGAATTCTGGTAATTTATCTGTAAATTCTTCTTTTTATTTCCTGCATACACAACCATATCATCTGCTAATATTTACAGTTTATTTCTTTTTTAATTCTTATGCTTTTAAAAATTGTCTTTGCCTTTCTTGACAGGCTAGGACCTCATATACAATTATGAATTGATGTGGCAATTGTACATACTCTTATCCCTTCCCAGGTCTTAAAAGAAAGACTTTCAACATTTGTTCATTGTTAAGTATGGTGATTTTTGTAAAATTTTTTTTTTTTAATTTTTGTTCTCCTTGCCTGTTTTCATTTTATTTTATTTTATTTTATTTTAAGGAGTTCTTATTCCTAGTTTGCCAAGCGTTTTTGATTATATTTGGATGCTGAATTTTTAAGAAATGCTTTTCCATTTTTATCAATGTACTAGTGATTTTTCTTTTATCCTGTTAGTGTGGTAACTTATAGTAACTGATTTTCAAGTGTTTACCTGAACTTGCATTTATAAAGCAATCCTAATAATATAGCATTATAATTGTAATATATTCCTGGTGAATTGAGCATTTTATCATTATGAAATGTTCACATGTATTTCCAGAATTGCTTTTGTCTCATTCTTATGGTTAGAATAGATTTATTTGGTTAGTATTTTTATGGTATCTCTTTTTCATACTTTCACTTTCAACTCTTCTGTATCCTTATGTTTTAGATATGTCTTTTATAAATAGCAGATAGTTGATTTATTTCCTTTTTATAATGTTTAGTAATTTAATTGTTTTTTATAAATAGAGACGGGGTCTCACTATATTGGCCAGGCTGGTCTCAAACTCCTGGCCTAAACCAATTCCCCTACCTTGGCCTCTCAAAGTGCTGGAATTACAAGTGTGAGCCCCCATACCTGGGCAGTTGACTTTTTTCTTACTCAATTTTGAAAATTTTTGACTCTTAATTGTATTATTTAGTTAATGTCCATGTGACTTGGATTTAAATCTGCTCTTTTATTAAGTGCTTTATACTTTTTCTAGCTACCTTGTGTTCTTTGTATTTTGCCTTCCTTGCTTTTTGGTGGGATATGGGAATAATTCTTTTTAAGTTACACTTTTTGAGACTCTATTAGCTAGAAGTTTTATATTCATTTTATTATTCTTTTAGTGGTTATTCTGGACAATACAAATGCATTTTTGACTCATCCAATTATATTATTAACCAGTACTTTTTTTTTTTACCTTTTATTTTTTTAAAGGAAAGCCAGGGTCTCACTATGTTGCCCAGGCTGGTCTCAAACTCCTGGCTTCAAGTGATTCTCCCACCTCAGCCTCCCAAATTGCTGATATTAGAGGTGTCAGTCACTGCACCTGGCCATTATTTTTTATTTTTTAAATTGACATGTTAAATATTTTCTCATAGATTGCAAAGACCATGGAATACTTTAACTCCCCACCCCCAATTTACATACCATTTGTGTTGTAATAGTATATTTTAATTCTTAACATATTTTCAACCCAAGGACATGCAGTTATTACTATTTTTAAAGTCTGTATTCAGTTGGATCTCTACACGTTTACCATTTTTGTTTTACTTTCTTCTTCCCTCTCTGACCATTTTTCTGGAATCCGTTTTCCACTGCCAGAAAAACATCATTTACTCTTTCCTTTAGCGAGGACCTGCTTGTGACAGCTTTTCTCAGTTTTTGTTTGTCTCCAAATGTCTTTATTATGCTTTCTTTCTTGAAGGATATTTTTGTTTTGAATGGTTGGCACTTAATATGTTTTAAGCATGGTTGAGACATCGTTTCTTCTGAGGTAAACTGTCACTCTGAATTGTTGTTCTTTTGTGAGTAATATGTCTTTTTTCTCTAACTGCTTTTAAGGTTTTCTCTTTGACTTTGGTCTTCTGCAGTTTTAATATGATCTAGATAATTTGTGATGTTTAAAAATCCTGCTTAGGGGTAGTAGGTGTTCTTTAATATGTCTTTCGTTGGTTTTGTAAAATTCTCATCCACTGTCTCCAAATATGGCCTTTCCTTCATCCCCTCATCTCTCTTTCTGGCACTCCAATTACATGTATGTTAGACATCTCATTGTATCTTCTATGTCTGTTACCTTTTAAGTTTTACTTCATTTTGGCTACTTTTTTCTGATCTCTGTTCCAAGTTAATAACTATCTCCTTAACTATATTTAATCTGTTCAGCCCAACCACTTTTAATTATTTTTTTAAATTAAATATTCCTGTTTGGTTCATTGTCTAATTTTCAGTTGTTACAATTCTCAATCTTATTTTTTGTCTCTTTTGAGCAAGTATGGTTCTTGTAAGGCCTCAATTAACTTAAATATCTCGAGCTCTTTTAAGCCTGTTCTGCTGTCTGTTTTTTCTCCTAATTTTCATTCATGCTCTGATGTCATTTTTTATGTCTGGCTACTTTTGATTATGAACTGGACCTTGTACTTCTAGTTTGTGAAACTAATCTGAAGGAGAAGATAATGTTATTTTCTATGAGAAAAATTTTTTCTGCCAGTTGCAAACTAAAATCACTAATTTTTGGTACTGATATATTTTCTAGCTGAGCTCTAACTTGAGTGGATTTGCCTACTTAGGATTTACAGTTATATTAGGTCATAGCCCTCCATCGTCCCAACCCAAAGAGGAAAGGGTGGCATCATTAGCTGCCCTACCTCTTTGGTGGTACTAACTCCTATCCTGGTCCCCCCAGTCCAGGATTCTGTTAAAAGCACATCCAGACTCTCAGCTTACTCAGCAGCCCCTTATGGAAGGGGCACATGCCTCCCAAAATAATTGTTACTCTAAAATATAGAGCTCTCCCCCTTGGAGCCTGTCTTTTTTTCAGGTATGGTAACTTGTTGCTTTTTATTTTTTGATATTTTGAAATATATTTTGTCCAGTTTGTATAGTTGTCCTGATTAGTTGATATTGGTATAGATTATCTTATCTGACATTATAAGGTAGATGCTATTATTATCCTCAGTATGTAGAAAAGGAAACTAAGGCCTTAAAGAGATTGAGTGATTTACCCTAGGTCCCACACCTAATAAGTGTGAGCCTATTTGATTTTGTATTTATTATTCTTTTTTTTTTTGACAGAGTCTCTCTCTGTCATCCAGGCGGGAGTGCAGTGGCACACTCTTGGCTCACTGCAATCTCCACCTCCTGAGTTCAAGCGATTCTCCTACCTCAGCCTCCCAAGTAGCTAGGACTACAGGTGCATGCCACCATGCCTGGCTAATTTTTTTGTATTTTTTTAGTAGAGGAGGGCTTTCACCACGTTGGCCAGGCCAGTCTCAAACTTCTGACCTCAGATGATCTGCCCATTTAGGCCTCCCAAAGTGCTGGGATTACAGGCATGAGCCACCATATCCAGCCTATTTAGTATTCTTCTTTATATGCATTTATTTATTTATTTATTTATTTTTTATTTTTATTTAATAGAGATGGGGTCTCACTATATTGCCCAGGCTGGTCTCAAAATCCTGAGCTTAGGCAGTCCTCCTGCCTCTGCCTCCCAAAGTGCTAGGATTATAGGCATGAGCCACTGCGCCCGTCCTATTTAGTATTCTTTACAAGACTGATATGCTTTGGCTGTGTCCCCACTCAAATCTCATCTTGAGTTGTAGCTCCCATGATTTTCACTTGAGTGGGAGGGACCCAGTGGAAATAATTGAATCATGGGGGCGGTTTCCCCCATACCGTTTCATGGTAGTGAATAAGTCTCACGAGATCTGATGGCTTTATATGGGGAAACCCCTTTCGCTTGGCTCTTATTTCTCTCTTTGCTGGATGCCATATGAGACGTCCCTTTGCTCTTCCTTCATCTTCCACCATGATTATGAGGCCTCCCCAGCCATGTGGAACTGTGAGTCAATTAAACCACAGTCTTTTGTAAATTGCCCCCTCTCAGATATGTCTTTATCAGTAGCATGAAAATGGACTAATAGATTAATTATAATGGTGTATATTAATCTTATTTTCCTCTTATAACCACCCCCCATTTGAAAATCTAATAAAAGCTATGGACTCTACCTTGAGAAAAATGAAAGCACTCCAAAAAATTGCATGCAATTTTAGGAGTTTAATGGATCTCAGGTGAATTAGAACGTAGGGGCTTCAAGTTAAAATATCTCAAGAGATGGAGACAGTTTCTCGTTATACAAAATCAAATGTGTGATTCCTTCAGTAAGCTGTTCTCTCAGAAATGTGTTTGTGTATCAACTATGTTTAGGGCGCTGAACTTTACAAAGATTTAAAAGAAAAAGCCAGTTTTTGTTGGGTCACATTATTAACCTTGAGATGAAACATGGGTGAACAAATTCGGGAGATTTGAGAACATAGGCATGGAGATGGTAAGAGTGCAGACTAATTAAGTCCATATCAAATTGTTCCATCTGAGTTAGAGCATTGGACTGTCCAGGAATTTGACATAGTGCATTCAGTGGAGACCTCCACAACTAGGGAGACTTTCCATTTTATAATCAAACAACCAAATAATTCCCAGAAATGTATGAGAAATAACAAAGTGATATTCATGAAGCCCTGACTGGTTAGGAGGTGTATGTTTTTAGGATAAATGCTTTCATCTTGCCAGCTTGTAAGTACTGTATTAGTAAAGTTGCAACTAGTAGTGCTTGTGTATTTATTTATAAATACACAGGGGGTTAGGGATGCCAATCCCCCATGCAGTCAAAAATCTGTATAATTTTTGACTCCCCCAAAACTTAACTCCTAATAACCTACTGTTGACCAGAAGCCTTACTGATAACATTAACAGTTGATTACACATATTTTTTGTTATATGTATTATATACTGCAGTCTTATTATAAAGCAAGCTAGAAAAGCAAGTGTTATTAAGAAAATCCTAAGGAAAAGAAAGTATATTTACTGTTCATTAAATGGAAGTGGTTCATCATAAAGGTTTTTGTCCTCATCGTCTTCACAAAGTTGAGTAGGCTGAGGAAGAGGAGTTGGAGGGATTGGTATTGCTGTCTCAGGTGACAGAGGCTGAAGAAAATCCCTGTGTGAGTAGATCCAGGCAGTTCAAACCCATGTTGTTTAAAGGTCAACTGTAATACAAAAGCAGTTAAAATTTATGTTAGCTCCTAATGGAACTTAATGTTATAATTGGTGTCAATGAAAAGAATCAAACTCTGTAAAATATTTAAAGAAGTCTATTCTGAGCCTAATATGAGTGACTGTGGTCCAAGGCACATTCTCAAGAGGTCCTGAGAACATGTCCAAGGTGTCCAAGGTGGCTGGGTTATAGTTTGGATTTATACTTTTTAGGGGGATGGACATAAGACATCAGTATATGTAAGGTGTAATTGGTTTTGTCTGGGCAGACAGGACTACTCAAAGAGGTGGGGCTTCCAGGTAACAGGTGGATTGAAAGATTTTCTGATGGGCAATTGGTTTAAAGAGTTATTATCTATAGATCTGGAATCAATAGAAAAGAGTGACTGGGTTAAGATAGGAGTTGTGAATAGAAAGGAGTGACTGGGTAAAGGTAAGGGGTTGTGAAGACTGAGATTCTTTTTTTTTTTTTTTTTTTTTTTTTAAACACTCTTGCTCTGTCACCCAGGCTGGAGTGCAGTGGCAAGATTTCGGCTTACTGCAATCTCTATCTCCCAGGTTCAAGCGATTCTCCTGTCTCAGCCTTTGAAGTAGCTGGGACTACAGGTGTGTGCCACCACACCCAGCTAATTTTGTATTTTTAGTAGGGACGGGGTTTCACTATGTTAGTCAAGCTGGTCTCAAACTCCTGACCTCAGGTGATCCACCCACCTTGGTCTCCTAAATTGCTGGGATTACAGGTGTGAGCCACAGCCAGGGCCCCAAGGCTCTTACGTAGATGAGGTCTCACAGGTGGATGCCCTTAGTGGGAATAGATGGCAAGTGTTTTCTACTCAGACCTTTAAAAGGTGCTAGACACCTAGCTAATCTCTTTAGGATCAGAAAAGTGACCTGATCTCTGTTTTAATGTTAATGCTGGTCAGTTGTGCCTGAATTTGAAAGGGAGAAGGGTATAATGAAGCATGTCTGAAAACCCACCTTCCCATCATGGCCTGAACTAGTTTTTTGGTTTCTTTGAAGTTCCCTTGGCTGAGAGAAAGGGTCCATTCAGTCAGTTGGGGGGTCAGAATTTTATTTTTGGTTTATATTGGTGACTTCTATGTGTTGGGGTGGGCAGTAGTCTATAGCTGTGTGTGGAGTTGGCTCATAATACATATTATTAATAGGAAAATGCTGCTGACAGGAAACATGACCAGACAAAAGCAGATTTTGCTTGCTTGTCCCATGAATCCCCCCCACCTCCATCCCATTATTATTATCAACTTTAAGATAATTTTGTTCACAGAATTCCATTGTCCATACCAATTTCTCTTGAGACTGATTTATTCTACAAAGAAACCGTGGGAATGAATGCTTATAATTTGTGCAGGATTTGACATGACATTTAACAACTTCTGGGTGTTTGTAAACTGGCCACAAAAACTAGGCAAGAAAAAATTTACTCCAAGCGTCCTAGAAATTTGAGGAATTTGAAAGGTTGAGGCAGACCTGCTGCTCTAGGGACACTGCATATCCTTTCTGCTTTGCCTTCCTCATGCACAGAGAGGACCCACTTTATGAAGAGTCAGATTGTGAATTGTGATATGGTTCCCAGGCCTGACCACAAAAGCCTGTTTTGTAGTTATGTACAGAACAGGATTTGTAATTATGTGGACCTAGGCAGCTTACAATGCCAACAGCTGTGGTAGGTACCACCTTGAGTTCTGAGTCTTGGAGGTGGAAGCCCATGCCTGCTTCATGGCACAGCAGTGTGCAGGGAATGCCACAGACAAAAGCCCTGAGGGTGGCTCTTTGCACAGCGTCTTTGTGTTCTCTGCCTCCCTCACTGACTTCTACTCTTTAGTCCTTCACTTAGTAAGCAGACAGCTGGATTCAAATCACAGCTCCACCTGTTGGACATGTGATTTGCAAAGTTTCTCTTCCTCTCTGAGCTTAATTCCCTTATTTAAAATGTGGCTTAATAACGTTTTAGCACCCGTTATGAAGAATCTGAGATAAGTCATGTAAAATACAGGAAACATAAAGAACCATTCATAGATGATTGTCCCATCATTGTCCTCCCTTGGTGATGATCTCATGTAGGTATTAGGAGGCAACTGGCTCTAATTCACAGCAATGTGTGAGTAATGGAAGAGTTCTGCAGTTTACAGAGACATTACATTTTCTGAAGGATGCTGTTAAAGCAAATGGATATCTGTCTGATATTTAGGCAGTTTGACAACATTAAGTCAAATACTCAGGCTTTTTGGAGAAGATAATTTTTGATCAGCAACCTTAAATTGTTTCTACGTAACTCCTTCCATCTGTCCTTCCCTCCTTCCTTTCCTCCTTCCTCCCTCCCTCCATCCCTTCCTTTCTCTCTCCTTCCTTCCCTTCCTTTTCCTCCCTTCCTGATACTGTATGTACATTTTGAAAGCTCTACCAGTAAAAGGTAGTTTCTTTCTTTCTCTTTCTCCTCCTCCTCCTCCTCCTCCTGCTCCTCCTCTCTCCCCTGCCCCTGCACCTTCTTTCTTCTCTCTTTTCTCTTCTGTTTCCTTCTTGCACAAATAGTCCTCTCTGAGAATGGCAAACTGGAATCACCAGGGAGAGGACTGGAGTGGGAAAGACAGGAGGAGGGGTCACCTTTTCTCTTTGGGGGTTTGTGGGGAGTGTGTGTATGTATAGTTACTAGAAATTTGTAATTTGAAAACATCCTCTACTAGTGAAACTAGAGAACTGTGAAGAAGTCAATAACCCACCTTCTGCTTTTCTTTGTTTTCTTTTCTTGTCAGATGTGCATTCTAAAAAGCCCAGTGGATGAGTCAGTCTTTTTTTTTTTTTTTTTTTTTTTTTGAGACAGAGTCTCACTCTGTTGCCCAGGCTGGAATGCAGTGGTGCAATCTCGGCTCACTGCAACCTCCACCTCCCAGGTTCAAGCAATTAGCCTGCCTCAGCCTCCTGAGTAACTGGGACTACAGATGCCCGCCACCATGCCCAGCTAATTTTTGTATTTTTAGTAGAGACGGGGTTTCACCATATTGGCCAGGCTGGTCTCAAACTCCTGACCTCATAATCCACCTGCCTCAGCCTCCCAAAGTGCTGGGATTACAGGTGTGAGCCACTGTGCCCGGCGAGTCATTTTTTAAGGTGTTCTGCAATTGCCACTGGCTTCTAGTTGATTTCAAATGGCATGTCACAGTTTTGCTGTTAGCTTTGTTGATGAAAAAATCCAAACTCTGTAAAATATTTAAGGAGATTTATTGAGCCAAATGTAAGGACCATGACCCATGACACAGCCTCTGGAGGACCTGAGAACATGTGCCCGGGGTCATTGAGTTATAGCTTGATTTTGTACATTTTAGGGGCACAAGTTACAGGCAGACGTGAACCAACCCATGTAAGGTGTACATTGGTTTGGTCTGGAAAGGTAGGACAACTCAAAAGGGAGGGGGCTTCCAGGTCATATGTGGATTCAAAGATTTTCTGATTGGCAATTGATTGGAAGAGTTAAGTTATTGTCTAAAGACTTGGAATCAATAGAAAGGAGTTTCTGGGTTAAGATAAGGGGTTGTGGAGATCAAGATTTTTATTATGTAGATGAAGCCTCCAGATAGCAGGCTTTAGCGAGAAAGATGGTAAATGTCTCTGTTTTGTTTTTGTTTTTATCTGGACAGGGTCTGGCTCTGCCGCCTAGGCTAGAGTGCATTGGCATGATCTCTGCTCACTGCATCCTCTGCCTCCTGGACTCAAGCCATACTCCCACCTCAGCCTCTCAAGTAGCTGGGACTACAGGCACATGCCACTACACCTAGCTAATTTTTGTATTTTTTTGTACAGACAGGGTTTCACCACATTGCCCAGTCTGGTCTTGAATTCCTGAGCTCAAGCAATCCGCCTGTCTCAGCCTCCCAAATTGCTGGGATTACAGGCGTGAGGCACCACACCTGGCCTGATAAATGTCTCTGATCAGATCTTAAAAGGTGCTAGATTCTTAATTAAATCTCTTCTGGATCTGGAGGAGATTTGGAAAGGGAAAGGGATTCTCTGCAAAATGTAGATTTCCCCCACAAGAGATAGCTTTGCAGGGCCACTTTAAATATGTCAAAGAAATATTTTGGGGTAAAATACTTCAATTTCTTTCTTTAGGGCCTGCTATTTCTCATGTAATGCTATACTAGAGTCACGTTGGAGTTTGGTATCTTCTTCCTACAAAGAATCTGTTTTGTAAGTCTTCAGATCTCTGTTTTAATGTTAATACTGGTCAGTTTTTCTGGAATTCCAAAGGGAGGAGATTATAATGAGGTATGACTGACAGCCCTCACCACCCCACCCTGCTCTATTCTTCCTACCATGGCCTGAACTAGTTTTTCAGTTTACTTTTGAAGTCCCTTGGCTGAGAGGAGAGGTCCATTCAGTTGGTTGGAGGGCTTAGAATTTTATTTTTGGTTTATAGGTTATTTACATATTCTTTCAGGGAACATTAGATTGCTAGATTTTCTAGTTGTGAGATCCACTCAGGAAATCCATTAAGATTTTCCTTCTAACTCTCCACTGGAGATCTAAGTTAGGAACTTTCATTTGGATGAAATTGACAGCCAAAATGAGTGATTGAGGTATAAGTCTCACTCCTCTCTATTTATTAAGCCAGCTTTAGGGCATGTCTGGGAAAAACACTAGCACAGACACATCTGTGGCTGTTTTTCCAAAGAGGTTTTCCAGAGGTTTAATATGTTTACATTTCCTTAAAGCAGGGGAAGGCATGTGGGAAAAGGGGAAGGTATGATGTAAGGCAATGGTTACATTCCTGGGACACTTTAATTAGTGCCTAGTGAACCTGCATTTTACATAAGATAAGGTGAATGTTTGAAGAGAAAGAGCGAGTAAAGGGGGAGTTCATTATGTAGACCCTCTCTGGGTAGGTGGAGGAAATGAACCTTGTCTTTCTCCTGCACCCAGGAAGATGAGATTGTAATTGGGTATTACTGGTGTGGAAAACACTTTAGTTTTAGGAGCTAGACTTAGATTGTTGACCTCAAGTTAAAATTGTCTGTCCCTGTTTTTGGAAATCCAGAAAAGAATTTACTTATTAAAGATCTTTTAGAGCAGTCCTTCAGCAGATGCCTGAGGCCTTTTACCTTTCCATGGGAACTTGGCTAATACATAGTGTTAGGAACAGCTATTCATTTGGAAGAGGCCTGTTGTATGACTCAGCCTCTGGACTGAAGTTCAGGGGTCTAGAGATTATTAATCAGGGGCCTAAAATCAACTCTTTTACTTTATATCTGGGTGCAAGGAGCACAAAGCTAGATGAAGTTCCATGAGGTGATGTCAGAAATGCACACCCATAACTGTACCTCCACTCCTACCTTTTCAGCTCCATTATTCTAAGGCATGCTGGACAGATACTTGCTAGAGTGAAGATCAAGCAGAACATTAAGGATTTGGTCTCTGTTTACACTGAACAAACAAAAGGGAACTCTTGTTTATCTAATTCTGTTTCTTCTAGATTACTTTTAATGCTTCTGTTTAAAAAAAATTTTTTTTTTCAATATGATAGGGTCTTGTTATTGCCTAGGCTGGTCTTGAACTCCTGGCCCCAAGCGATCCTCCCACTTCAGCTTCCCTAGTAGCTGGGACTATAGGCATGTACCGCTGTGCCCAGCTTTAATGCCTCTTAATAAGGAAAATTCTACATTTTGGTAATATGTACAAATGAATTTTTAAAAATTCATTTTATAATTAGCATAGACAATATATAGACAGAAGAGCTAAAATTTGCCGAAAATCTGTGATTCAGGCATCCTGCTGAGAACTTTTTCATTCTTTAATTGATTGTCATAATAACCTTGTAGGTTAGATATTATTCCCCTTTATATATGAGGAAACTGAGTTCTCAGAGAAGTATTTACCTGAGGAAACCCTGGTAGCATAGGCAGAGCTTGGATTTGTACTCATTTTTGATTGAGTTTAGAAAAAGAAAAGGATTAAAATGGGATATTATTTTTACAAAAGGAGGGAGGAAGATGATCTTACAGTGCATCCTTTAGAAAGCTAAAGGAAACTTGGGCAAAGTGAGTTCCAGTCTTAAAAATTCAGTTTTGAGCCAGGTGCGGTGGCTCAGCCTGTAATCCCAGCACTTTGGGAGGTGGGCAGATCACCTGAGGTCAGGAGTTTGAGACCAGCCTGACCAACTTGGAGATACTCCGTCTCTATTAATAATACACAGTTGGCATGGTGGCACACGCCTGTAATCCCAGCAACTTGGGAGGCTGAGGCACGAGAATCACTTGAATCCAGAAGGTGGAGGTTGCGCCATTGCACTCCAGCCTGGGCAGCAAGAGCGAAACTCCATCTCAAAAAGCAAAACAAAACAAAACAAAATTTAGTCTTGAGTGTGGAAATGAGGGAGCTAGTAGAGTGAGGCTGTACCTTCTCCCTTCTCCCATGTTTTGATGTCATTGGCCATTGTTTGTCATGGATTATAGTTATATAACTGTATGCCAGGGGGAAGTGTGAAAACTATGTGGATTTTCTCAAAAAAGTTTTCCAGTCTTTCCCCATTTTAAGGCTTCTAAGTCCAGCTGTCTTTGGGACCACAATATAGAGCCATTCCAAGATATAAAATTAAGAGGGCATTGGACATTTGACTGGAAGACTAGACAAGGAAAGACTTGTTTGTATGAATGTTCAACAAAGAAGACAAATATTCATGCTTATTGTGAGGGTGGTCACTCTCAAAAAGTTTTGTAAGCCAAAAAGTGTCTAAAACAGATCTCAATTTAGAGGTTTATTTTGCCAAGGTTGAGGATGTACCAGGGAAAAGGAAACACAAGTCACAGTAGGATCTGTGTCCTGTGCTTTTTCCAAAGATGGTTTTGGGAATTTCAATATTTAAAGGGGAAAGAGCAAGAAGGAGGGGAGTAAAAAGGGAGAGAGAGGTAGGCAATGAAGCAAGTGGTTACATTCTTAGGAGGCTCTGATTAGTCCTCAATGAATCTACATTTTACATGTGAAAAGAAAGGGGGGGTCAATTATGCATTCATCTCATGCTCAGCAAATCCACATTTTTACATAAGATAAAGTAAGCATGTGAAATTACAGCTATCTGTTTGGGAACAAAAGGAAGGCAGTTTTTGCATAACTCGGTTCCCAAGCCTAACTTCTCCCTTTCAGCATAGTGAGTTTGAGGTCCCAAGATTTTCCTTTCATAGTTTCTAGAGAACAAGAGAGGAGAAATGCAAGTTTGACATACCATGTTGATTTTCATTAATGTAATTTGTGTTAAATGTCATGAAGATTTTCTTTGTTTAATATCTGGTTTATTTTTCCTTGTGGACATAAAATTATTATTAAAGTTTTCATAGGATCATTACAACGTTGGCTCCCAAATCGATTTTTTCTTTTAGCAGTACTTGAAACTGGTAGCAATTTCAGGAGGTCCTTGAATAATGTGAGATTATATACAAGATTGGTGGAATTAACTGTGAAGGTGTATTTTTCTGGAACTGAGGCTCCACTTTTTATCAGCTTCTTAAATTAGATTGTGAATCAAAGAATTAAGAGCCGATATCCTAATGTCTAACATTCCTCAACTCCAAATTTTCCACCAAAGCGATTTTCAGGGATTTAGTATTGTGCTTGCAGCAGGATTACTATAAATTGTAAGACATCTTATATCATTTCCAGGAAATTCTCTTAGCCTTTCAACCAGTTGAAAATGTTCAGTTCACTTTGTATTGTTTAAACAATAGGAATGTATCACTGTCTGTGACTACAAAATGATAAACATGTTAGTGCTTGTCTCTTACTCTTATCCTGGTACCCAGATGTGGATCCCTTCAACCACAGCTCTTAGTTTCTTATTGTGGGGAAGACCCTATGGATGTGAATGTGAGTGTGTGTGTGTGTATGTGTGTGTGAGAGAGAGAGAGAGAGAGAGAGAGAGAGAAGGGAGGGTGCAGGGAGAGAGAGCTATTCAGGCAGAGATAGACAGAGAGATAGAGAATGGAGGGAGAGAGGGAACAGGGCATGGAATAAGAAAATGGAGGGTCTTTCCTTAATCTAGGAACTGATGTTGCCCTGGCTGTCCCTCTTCCTGCAGATCTTCCGCTCAGGGGCCCCTCACTAGGATTCTCTGTAATGTAGAGCAGGGGTCCCCAAACCCCAAGGCGCAGTCCAGTACTCAGGAAGGCAAGCATTACTTCCTGAGCTCTGCCTCCTGTCAGATCAGCAGCAGCATTAGATTCTAATAGCGCCAACCCTACTGTGCACTGCGCATGCAAGGGATCTAGATTGTGGGCTCCTTACGAGAATCTAATTCCTGATGATCAGAGGTGGAACAGTTTCATCCCGAAACCATTCCCACCCCTGCTGCCCCCACACCCTTGGCCATGGAAAAATTGCCTTCCACTAAACTGCTCCCTGGTGCCAAAAAGATTGGAGACTGCTGATAAAGAGCATGCAGTTCTGACAAGTGACTCCACTGGTTGCCTCTTGCTAATTCTGCTTCCCCACAGGGGAATGGAGAGAAGAGTGGGGTCCAGATACAGCACAGTGTGTTGGCATTTCCTTTTTGCACTCTACAATTCAGCTCTCAGCCTAATCATTGTACAGTTCTGATTGAATAGCATGGCTAACCCTACAGATCATACTCTGCTCTACTTAACTGTCAGGAGGCTAATCTTCATCATGAGAACTGCAAACCCCTCTTTCTTCCTGTTCTCTGTTTTGCAGTGGGGTCACCTCTAGTTTCTCAAATATGGCTCTGCTTGAGTGTAGCCACTGATCCTTAGGAAGAGGATGCCATTTGCCCTTTGACTTTATTTTATTTATTCATTTATTTTTTGAGATACAGTCTCACTCTGTCACCCAGGGTGGAGTACAGCGGCATGATCTTGGCTCACTGCACCTCTGCCTCCCGGGTTCAAGCAATTCTCCTGTCTCAAACTTCCAAGTAGCTGGGATTATAGGCACGTACCACCATGCCTGGCTAATTTTTGTATTTTTAGTAGAGATGGGGTTTCACCATGTTGGCCAGGCTGGTCTCAAACTCCTGACCTCAAGTGATCCACCCACCTTGGCCTCCCAAAGTGCTGGGATTACAGATGTGAGCCATCGTGTCCAGATGCCCTTTGACTTTAATCTGTTTATCTGATCTCACCTGTTCCTCTGAGCCCACTGTCTCCTTCCCCCTCACTCTCTCCTTCCCCCTCACTCTCTCCCTAATAAAACCCAATTTTCCTTCCTGACAACCTCAGCTTCATGGTATATTCTAGGGAGGTATCATGTAGCTTTCTTTTTGTAAATGACTCATAAATTTGTGGATCATTATTTTTCAGAAGCCTGATAATCTTGTCAGTATCATTCCAGTTTCAGGGTGTGTTTGCCCAGAAAAGCACTCGGTAACTTTTTTACAACATAAGTAGGTTAGGTTGTATCCTTGCTAGAAATATGTATAATGAGCTGTGATCCATCCCCGCTTTCTTAGTGCCAGTAAACACTCTGGTTGTCTAGCAAAAGACAGCTCTTATCTCTTGTTGTTGTTGTCATTTCAGTTTGTCACAGGGACTGTGCTCAATTGGATGTTATTGTACGCCACAGTAGGTCTTGCTATTCACTGTGCAATAACTGTACTAAACTTTGACATGTACACTTTTATTTTTATTTACTTATTTAAGACAGGGTTTTGCTCTGTCATCTGGGCTGGAGTGCAGTGGTGCAATTATAGCTCACTGCAGCCTTGAACTCCTGGGCTCAAGTGATTCTCCTGCCTCAGTCCACAGGTAGCTGGGAGTACAGACACATACATGATGCCCGGCTAATTTTTTGTGATTTTTAGTAGAGATGGGTCTCACTATGTTGCCCAGGCTAGTCTCCAACTCTTGTGCTTAAGTGATCCTCCTGCCTCAATGTCCCAAAGTATTGGAATTACAGGCGTGAGCTACCATGCCCAGCTGACATATATGCTTATAAAAGTCACTTGCAGATTTTTATTTCTGATGTGCCTATAACCCATTTCATTAAAGTTTAGATGAACACAGGATTTTATAAAGTCCTTAGATAAATACTTTTCTTTTTCCACTCTTATTCATGAGCCAGATCTTTGTCTTAGAGAGCCCATAATGGTTATGCAGAGTGGGCAATAGTATTTTCAAAAAGCTTAGTAAATGTAGGCAGTTTCTTTAGGGTTAATCATCTTTCAAAGGGCCTTAGGAATGTCCTTCAAACAGAATATAAATGTCAAAGAGAATATCTCTTTCTGTTTGAAATTATTTGGGCAGGTTGAAAGAATTTGATAAAGGGAAATTCTATATTTAATCTTTCATTGTAAATTATATGTGCAATGAAAGAGTTTAAACATTTTTGGAGTTTGCTGTCTTAAAGGCCTTTCTGGAATGTAAGGAAACCCAGCAGTGGTGTCTGCTAAATATGCGAATGTAGTTCTTAACTTCTTTGAGACTGCTTTTTATCTGAAAATGGGAGTGATTCCTCCTACCACCTCACATGTTTATTGTGAGGGTTAAATGAGATACTGAAAGCAAAAAACATTAATTAGGTTTTTCAAATTTGTGTTTATTATTTTTATTTTAGAGACAGGGTCTTGCTCTGTCACCCAGGCTGGAGTGCATTCAGCTTGATCATAGCTCATTGCAGCCTCAAATTCCTTGGCTCAAACGTTCTTCCCACCTCAACCTCCAGAATAGCTGGGACTACAGTACACCCCACCATATCCTGATAACTAAAAAAAATTTTTTTGTAGAGATGGGGGTCTCACTATGTTGCCCAGACTGGTTTTGAATGGCTGGCCTCAAACAATCTTCCAATCTCAGCCTTCCAAAGCACTGGGATTATAGGAGTGAGCCACCGCACCTGGCCTGCGTTATGTATGGCCTAATATGGTATTAGGATTCTGTGTTCCTCAATGTAGTTTTCTCTTATCAAAGTATCCACCATCTGGCTGGGTGTGGTGGCTCGTGCCTGTAATCCCAGCACTTTGGGAGGCCAAGGTGGGTGAATAGCTTGAGCCCAGGAGTTCAAGACCAGCCTGGGATACATGGCGAAACCCCATCTCTACAACAAATATGAAAAATTCGCTGAGTGTGGTGACACGTGCCAGTGGTTCCAGCTACTCGGGAGACTGAGATGGGAGGATTGCTTGAGTCCTGGGAGGCAGAGGTTGCAGTGAAGTGCTACTGCACTCCAGCCCAGGAGATAGAGTGAGACTGTGTCTCAAAAAAATCAGAAAAATCCAAAAAGCAAAGTATCCTCCATCTACTCAACAAAATCAGGATCCGTGGCAATGGCAGTATCAAAAATCTACAAAGTGGCCATCAGCTCGGTAATAGCATTTACCATGTAAGGATAGTATACATGAAAGAGCCTTGTCCACATGGAGCAGAGGTTCATTAGAAAGAAGGAAGGAAGGAAGAAAGGAAGAGGGAGGAAGAGCGGAGGAGAGAAGGAGGGAGGAAAGGAAGAAGAGGAAAATAAAAGAAAAATGTTGTTTACAATAACTATTTGGAATGGTAAGTTGTCAGCCCATTTGTTTTTTTGAATCTAGGTGAAACAGAATGACTATTGCTTATTTCTTTGGAAATGGTATAGTGCATTATTTTTATGTCACATATAGAGTTAAACAGAACGCATAGGCAGTTCCATGTACCTTGAGTTTTCATGAACCTTTAGATTCCATATACCCTGTGAAGACTTCATTCAAGGACACTCAAAGTAGAAACAGGCAGAAAACCTACTTAACAGATATCTGGAGGCCATTTGTCCAGACTGCCCAGGTATAGTCAATAAGATTATGACTTCATGGAAATGAGTATGTAAACACACATAATAAGAATATAATGTTTAGTTTAAAGTTGTAGCGGTGTTTGTTGAAATTAATAGGGAAAATGGAGGTCTAGGCATTACAGAGAATCAAATTTTTGTCCCGGAAAAACCTGAAGGGTGTAGAAAACATCTCCCAGATTTCTCTTGAAAGACTTTTTCTTTTCTTGGGCAAGTCTGGTCCTGACATCAGCTGAACAAAGGAGGGATTGGTATCTGGACATTTAATAACTCTTGGCATTTAAAAAAAAATCACATAATTATTTTCAAAGGGGAGTAAGGAAAGAGGCATATTGTCTGTATTGTAAAAGTCAAATTTTCAAAACTTTAAACAATTAGGAATATTCTTTATTGTGTAGATAGATACCTTTTCCTAAATATTTTAAAATATGTAGTTCTCTTTATTTTTTGTTTTTCCACCATGGATGGAGATACAGCTTATGGCTATAGAGGTACATTTCTATGAACAATGCTTGTAGTTTTAATTTTAAGAGTACAAGGTGATAAATGGAAACTGACACTCAGCTCTAACGTCAAGGAGACAGTCTGCAGTGATGAGGACTGGGGAAATTGGAGAGTTCATGCTGTAACTGAAATCAGTAGTCAGAAGCTATTTTTATAGTGGCGATTGTATTGTACAGTGTCACCATGATGTATATTGTTATAATTTACATATATATTATCTGTTGGATTGTATCAATAGGAATTTTCATTTCCTGATATTCATTAAGCATCCTTGAAATTTGCCCCAAAGTGTTACTGATTCAAATAATCACCCTTTCCACCAAAAAAAACCCTGGTTTCCTGTTAACAGTGAAGGAATTTTAGGGCTTGATGGGGTGTTATGTTCCTTGGTACAGACAGCTGTGGAAGACTTGAGTTCTATGTTGAAACTGGTTTTAACTTGTAATGGTGTGGCTGATGTTACCCGACCAACACCAGATTTCATTTCAGTTAATTAAATAAGTACTTAATGAGAGGAAGAAAGAACTGAGCAGTGTTTTATTTAGGACTTGGAGAACATGGGTGAGTAAACAGTAACAATGTCCTAAATGGGAAAGGTGTTCTAATTTCCCAAAAGTCTTCTTGTAATTATATTTGAGACATCTTACAATAGTATCTGGCTATTAAGGCAGAATGTATTTGCAGATTTAAATATTTTGCAACTGCCCAAAGATATCCATTAGTGTTTGGTTTTCTTTCTAAATAAGACCTGTGACAGGTCTCTGACAAAGACAAGCAACTGTCCATGGAGACTTGATGTCTTGGAGGTCAACTGGAGAAGATTAAGGTATAATATCTCCCATACCTCTAAGTCTCATTCCCATTTAATAAATTAAAACCACTGCATATTATATGTTATTCGTATGTTTATCAATACTCCTTTGAATTTGCATTTTCAACTGGTACTACTTCTAGGGACAGCAGACTAGTGAGCATAGACTTATGGTTAAGAGCCTGACTTCTGAGCCGTTACCTGAGTAGGGCCTATGTGGGCATTGTGCACTTAGAAAAAGATATCCTTTCTGAGCTATGTCACCAGAAAGGCACAGGCTTCCACGCAGGGCTGGGGCTAGATTTCAGCACCACCCATCCCTCTCATCCAGATAGCTTTATGCAATGTGCACATCACTCAGATGGAACACCAATATACCAGTTAAGGCACATTTTCTTTTATGGTATGGTGGAAAGAAGAGAGGTTTTAGAATAAGAAAATTTGGCTTTGAGACCAAATTCCACCAGCGTGTTTTTTTCATAGAGCTATAAAGTAAAAAAAATTGTATCTGCTCCTCAGGAGTTTTTGTGACGATCAGATTTGTAGTGAGTGCACTGAAGTACCCTGCAAATGTTTGGGGTGTGTGTGTGTGTGTGTGTGTGTGTATGTGTTTTAAAACTATGGTGCCATTGTGTAGGATTTTAGACCAGGTGTTCATTCTATAAGACACGCAACAGCTTGGAAACCATTTACCCTTTTGTGAATCAATCATTTTGGTGGTTCTAGAAACCTTTATTTTATTTTTATAGAGACAGGTTTTCACTATGTTGGCCACGCTGGTCTCGAACTCCTGGCCTCAAGTAGTCCTACCACTTCAGCTTACCAAGTAGCTGGGATTACACGTGTGAGCCACCTCACCCAGCCCTTTTTCCTTCTTTAATGGGTAGTCAGGAGACAATTTCTGGATTTGGGCAGTGAGACTCCACATAATAATTAGTGATCCTAATAATATGTAATATTAATTGAGTGTTTACTGAGAGCCTGGCACTGTGCTGAGTGCCTTACACATGCTCTCTTCTTGACCAACACAACAGCCAATAAGTAGCACTTACCATCATCATTGTGCTGCAGAGGATGGCACTGAGTGAGAAGCTACTCAGCAATAAGTGCTTGAGTTGGTGGTATGTAAACACAGGCAGTCTTCCTTGAGTCTACCTGCTTAAACCCTCTGCAGCCTACCTGCCTTTCCCCCTTGCATTTCTAGAACCTCAAAAGCAAGTTCAAATGGTCCCATGGTCTGAGTAAGAATGTGGCTGACTGTCTTTGGGTAAAGGACGAGCATCATTTAACTTGAGTTCATTGATGACAAGCAATTACTCTCTGAATCTTCGGAATACCAGCTCAAAGCATCTTCAGAATGGACAGTAGTAGTTCCAGTAGTAAGAAGGTATATCTGCAGGATTCTCCATTTTAGAGTGCAAGTACTCGTGCCTCATACTTGCTCCCTGTGGGCCTCAGCTCCATACCGTTGTGCATCAGGTGATTCCATGTACAAGCAAATTCATGTTCTATTTCTTTTTTGTTGTTTGTTTTTATTTTTGTTTTTTTGAGACGGAGTCTTGCTCTGTTGCCCAGGCTGGAGTGCAGTGGTGAGATCTAGGCTCATTACAACCCTGCTTCCCAGGTTCAAGCAATTCTCCTTGTCTCATCCTTTTGAGTAGCTGGGATTGTAGCACCCACCACCACACCTGGCTAATTTTTGTATTTTTAGTACAGACGGGGTTTTGCCATGTTGGCCAGGCTGGTCTTGAACTCCTGACCTCAGGTGATCTGCCTGCCTCGGCCTCCCAAAGTGCTAGGATTATCACAGGCATGAGTCACCATGCCCGGCCCATGTCCTGTTTCTTGATGTCTCATTTAGACAGTGCCGTCAGATCCATTATTTGTCAGGGTATCTTTGAAAGTCTTAGACAACATCTGATATCCCCTGGTACCAACAATGTAAGGCAGAGGGCTTTTTCCTGACCAGGTTCCCTTTGGTCTCAGAGTGGCCCGTTGACAAACACCAGGCTATAGGATAGACATTAATGTTACAGTGGCCTGATGAGGAAGAGCTACTCATGATGGTCCCATGCAGGCTTACTTATCATATCAAGGATTCAACTCTTAGAAAAAGCTTTTTAGTGCCTGGAATCAGAGTGGGACTCAAGGGCTGAAGCTTTATGAAGTTACACAAAGAGACACATAAAGTGGGTGAAGACTTTTTTCTGCCTGATTTCCAGGAGTCTATACGGGGGAAGGCATAAACCCTGGCTCTTGCTAAAATGGAGAATTTTGGCCCTGCAGAAGCCACAACAAAATACCTGGAAAAGTGGGTGGTGACAATACATTCAAAACAGTGCTTTCTCAGTGCTGGGTACCCCCTGGGGGAAAAAAAGACAAAAAATAGTTGTTTGCTCAGATTCAATGAAATAACCACTCAAGGGGATTTTTTTTTTTTTTTTTTTTTTTTTTTGAGATGGAATCTTGCTCTGTCACCAGGCTGGAGTGTAGTGGTGCAATCTCGGCTCATTGCAACCTCTGCCTCCGGGATTCAAGCAATTCTCCTGCCTCAGCCTTCTGAGTAGCTGGGACTACAGGCGCATGCCACCAGGCCCAGCCAATTTTTTTGTATTTTTAGTAGAGACGGAGTTTCACCATGTTGGCCAGGATGGTCTCAATCTCTTGATCTCATGCTCCTTCTGCCTTACCCTCCCAAAAGGGGATTTTTACAAAGGAATATGGCAAGGGAGAAAAACCCTGTTGTGTCATTATTTTTTATTCTATTTTGAAAATCAAAAGGAAGGGAAGTGCAACCTGTTACATGGAACTGAAATTATCATCTCCCTGGTGCCTCCATGGGGCCCTTTGCTGTTGTGATGGATAAATTGCAGTTCGAGAATGTGTTTGAGTGCAATCTCATTTTCATATCATCAGAATCTTCTGGGATTAGTTAAATCTCATTGAAACTGAGGATTTGTTCAAACTATGCATATCTCTCATATCTTATGAAAAGTAAATTATCTAGTATACACATTACGTCTGTGTAATTTTACTTTTACGTAGAGCTTCACATTCTGAGATCCAATGAGGTGGTTTCATCCTGTCGTTATGGGAAACGTGAAATGTCAACCTTCAGAGAGGGTAACCAATTAATGGCTGTGGCAAATGAGGACTGCATGACAGAGGGAAAATCCAAAAACAGGAAAGAGTAAGAAGAATAGAAAGATGTTAAAGCATTGCCAAGAGGATCTAGCATGGGCCCCAGAATGACACTGAAAATTTATTTACCTTCCATGTGCCTCAGTTTTCATCCAGAGAAGTAGATTTCGACCTGGTCCAGTGGCTCATGCCTGTAATCCCAGCACGTTGGGAGGCTGAGTCAGGTGGATCACTTGAGGCCAGGAGTTTGAGACCAGCCTGGCCAACATGGTGAAACACCGTCTCTACTAAAAATACAAAAATTAGCCAGGTGTGGGTGGCGCACACCTGTAGTCCCAGCTACTTGAGAGGCTGAGGAAGGGGGATCGCTTGAACCCGAGAGGCAGAGGTTGCTGTGAGCTGAGATCGAGCCACTGCACTCCAGCCTGGGCGACAGAGCCAGTCTCCTTCTCAAAAAAACAAAAAAAGCCGAGCGTGGTGGCACGTACCTGTAATCCCAGCTTCCCAGCTACTCGCGAGGCTGAGGCACAAGAATCGCTTGAACCCAGGAGGTGAAGGTTTCAGTGAGCCGAGATTGCATCACTGCACTCCAGCCTGGGTGACAGAGTAAGACTGTCTCAAAAAAAACAAAACAAACAAACAAAAAAAACAAGTAGATTTCTACTTTTCTAAGATGGCTAACTTAAATTAATTGAAAGTTTTGTTAAAACTGTTACTTTTTTTTTTTTTTTACCATTTAAAGTTAAAAATTTTTTAATATAACCCAGAAACACTTGACTTTGAGAGAATTCTGTTTATTTTCCCCTTTCATTGGATTATGGCCAACATTCCTGACTGGTGCAGAATATGGTATCAAAAGAATGTCTGCAGTATGTAGCCAGTGACCTTTATAACAACTGTGTGCATTGCATTTGGTGGAACAGTGTTTACCATCTTACTTTCTTTATTAACTTTGGGCCAGTAGAACCTGCTTGTTTTAGCTTTAGCCATGGCAACAGGCCAAATATCAGAATGACTCCCTATACTACTTCTGCAAATACTTTAAAAATAAATGTGTCCTTCCTCCTATAGGAGCTAGAGTTAAAAGTAAAAAAGTAAAATAAAAGAAATGTGCATGGAAACTCTACTCTATTTTTCTGGTAGACTATGATTTCTTAAAGAAAATTTTATCTGGAGAAAGAATTTAATTAGCAAAAGGTAATACTCCTTCCGTGCAATTAGAGAAACTAGAGATAGCAAAGAGAGGCCAACTGACTGCTCAGGTGGAGTTTACCAGCAGGTAGTACTTTGATGGGTGTTATGCCATTCCCACCCCTTTTTTTTTTTAACTTCCTGGCTAATTCGTCACTCATTCATTCATTCATTTATTCACTTGTTCACTCATGGAACAGATATTAGGTGCTTATCACATGTAGGCACCAAGGATGCAGAAATACATGACAAATTTCTTTGCTTAAGAGACTGTATTCAGCAAGAATCTGCTGAATAGCACATTCTGAGTCAGAACAATAGATTTTTAATATGGAAATTAGTTTCTTGGTTTTTGATAAGACTTAATGAGAGGCTTTCAAATGCACACTGTAATATATGTGCCCTTTATGGAAAATAGTTATTTGTGCTGAATGGGGATTATAGCATCACAAAATGTCCACGCTTCCATCCTAGGCCATAGGTGGTTTGGGACTCTGCCCCAGGCTGGGCTTTGAGAGCCTGAACGTGGCCACCAGAATGGGGCCTGGCCTGCCCCACTGCTGTGGGCAGTGATGCAAAGAGAGAATCAAAGGTGAAAGTAGATGCAGGAGCCAGGAGAGAGCCAGGTAGTCAGGAGTCTGACCCCTCAGGGGCTTGAGAATCAGATCCACAGTAGAGTCTTCCACTGGGGCAGTGAATAGGGGCAATCACTGCATTTCAAACAAATTACAGATAATTAGATGGTAACTCATTATGGCTGTGTTTTGCACACTAGGCTCTGTGAACTGCTGGGGATCTGTATACCTCTCAGAGTCTAAGTTCTCTCTATAATTTTTAAATTTGATATTTTCATTTTTGTTATGATGTTAAGAATGCTAACAAGATAACCTTGATACAAGTTTATTTGGGGTTATCAGAATGACCACCTTATGACTCACCACTGACACCCAACTTTAGTGTTTGAGTTGGCACTTGGATTTATGACTGGGTTGACCGCATATCAGTTGTTATGAGATATTGAGTAAATGACAGAGGCAGCTTGACTATGTAACAGATGCATTTGGGCAAAAGAAGGGCAAATGATTTTGCAGCACACTAAGCAAAGAATAGAGAAAAGTTGTGGTAGAGTAACTGCTTTGTGTAACAAAGATAATGTGGTATGCTGAATTCAGGAGAACTTGGGCCATGTTACTCTGTACAGCATTTCTGATCAAGTCGTGATTTAGTTTTAACAAAACAATCTCATCTTGCACAATAAGTAAATGTGGTTATTTCAGACTTTCATTGGTTTTATAATTTTACCATATTTATTTTTAAATATAGCTTGGTTTTATAATTATATTATAAATGAGCTTTGAACATAAGAAGTTTATACTTGGTTTTATGTTTGTGTGTATTTAAGTAACACCATTTCAAGACAAGGTAGTATTGGGGGTAGGGGTGTTGTGAGAATGTCTCTACTTTCAAGCCCCATAATTCACATTTAGGAAAAGATGTAAGAGGAGAAAAGTTTGCGCATGTTGACCCTGAGCAGCTGTCCCTCAAGCATCCCCTAATTCTTGAGGTTAATAATTTATTAGTGTTCTCAACAAAGAATGTATTTGACACAGGCACAAATATACTTTTTAAAATTTTTAAAATTTTTTTTTTTCTGAGGCGGAGTCTCATTCCGTCGCCCAGGGTGGAGTTCAGTGGTGCAGTCTTGGCTCACTGCAGCCTCCACCTCCAAGGTTTGATTGATTCTCCTGCCTCAGCTTCCCAAGTAGCTGGGATTACAGGCATGCACCACCACGCCCAGGTAATTTTTGTATTTTTAGTAGAGACGGGGTTTTGCCATATTGGCCAGGCTGGTCTTGAAATCCTGACCTGAAGTGATCAGGAGTTTGAGGTGATCAGGAGACCTGCCTTGGTTTCCCAAAGTGCTGGGATTATAGGCATGAGCCACTGTGCCTGGCCAATTTTTTAAAGTTTTGAGTAACAATATATTTATATGGTTCAAAGATCCAAAGATATTAAACAGCATACAGTGGAAAATTTCTCAGCCCTATTATCACCGACTCTAGGTCACCATTGTATTTATTTTTTCATGTTCTCCAGATTCTTTTTGCATGTACAAGCAAATTACAATATGTAATTTTATCCCACACTTCCCTGAATCCTTTGTACAAAAAGGTTTTTCCATACCGTGCTTTTTTCAGTGAACAATTGCCGTGCCCAACCCCTATTAACTCCAGGAGGGAAGGCACCAGGCTCAAGAGGCCAAAGATGAGATCCGCATCCAGCAAACGAGATATGGGGTTTTACTAGAGGGAACTTATTTCCAGAGTGGTCCAGTGTCAGTGAGCTGGACAGGAGAACTGCCACCAGTTGTAAAAAGCATGCACTTTATATCACATTTTAACTTAGCACTCTCCCCGTAACAACCTCCACCCAGCAACCTTCATTTAAACTAAAACAAAGGGCCCCCATCCCCTGTACAGCTCTTGTTCCGCTGGACCTGACAGGGGTTCAGATGTTCCTCATAGATGAGGAATGAATCTCCAGGTTGGCTCCTCTTGAATTCCTTAACTTGGAACTCTGAACACACAATCAGGTGCATAGACCATACAGGGTCGTTCTCAGGGTATGCTTAAGTTATTGCTGTCAGGTTCATCTACCGTACAATGGTATATCTTTCTGTATCAAAACATAGCATGTCATCTTTCTTTTGCTTTTTATTTTTTATGATTGCACATTCCATTATATGGCAATGCCATCATTTTATTTACTCCTCTGTTAATGGACGTTTATTCTATTTTTCGGCATATACTATAAAACTGTTGCAATAAATAGCCGTGTACATATGTTATTTGGCTAATTGTGAAATATATTTGTGGAAAAAATTTCAACAAGTGAAATCGTAGGGCCATTGGTATATGCATTTGCAATTTTGATAGGTATTGCCAAATTCCCCTTCCTAGGGGTTTTACCAAGTTGCACGCTCACAAACCATGTGTGAGGAATGTCTGTTTTCCCAGTCTTGCAAAACAGAATGTGTTATCATATTATGGATTTTTGCCATTCTGACAAGTGAAAATGATATTTCAGTGTACTTCTAATTTGCATTTTCTTTTAAGTGTTGTTGAACATTTTTTCATGTTTACAAGCCATTTATAGATTTTTTTCCTATAAATTGTACTTGCTCTTTGCCCACTTTGTTTTTGGTGGTTGCTCCTTTTCTTATTGACCAATTTAGGAACTTTGTATATTAGGTACATGAGCCTTTTGTGTGTGATCTGAGTTGCAAGTTTTTTTTTTTTTTCCAATTTCTCTTAATTTAATGGTGTTTTTGACATGTAGAAGTTTGAATTTTTATGTAGAAGAATATATCAGGTTTTTCATGGCTTTGGGATTGTGAGTCACAGTTAGAAAGCCTTCACCACTCTAAAATTCAAAGAGAATCTTGAAGAAAACTTTCAAAATTTTGTATGCATCAGTGCTGGTTAGGTTGCCATTGAGAAAATGGCCGCTGTGTACCTGGGCCAGATCATAGTTATGTGAGGCTGGAAATTTATGGCTCATTCTACATCATTCTTGTCTGTAGCATAGCTTCAGGGAGCTGGTGCTGGACAAAGCTATATCCAGTTGCCTATTGAACTATTAACAGACCAGCTCCGTCCTTAGCTTGTATCCCATTTCTTTTTCTTGGTACTTTTGAGTGGATGGTGAGAAAGAAGAGGTAGAGTAGAAATGACCAGCTGGTCCGGGACACTGTGCCATGGCCTTGCATTAATCAGGCCTGTTTGGTCCCATTCACAAATATGCCATCATTTGTTATTTTTATGACATTTAGTATCTCAAATGCGTTCAGAAAGCAATGCCACCTCAATAGTTGAGAAGTGGCTTTGATCTTTTAACTTGACATTTTTGGCTGGCTCACACCTGTAATCCCAGCGCTTTGGGAGTCTGAGGTGGGAGGATCGCTTGAAGCAAGCAGCTTGAGACCAGCCTAGGCAAAATAGTCAGACTTTGTCTCTATAAAATAAAAATAAATTAGCTAGGCATGGTGGTTCACGCCTGTAGTCCAAGCTACTCAGGAGGCTGAGGTGGAACATTTGAACCCAGGAGTCTGAGCTATGATCACACCACACACTCCAGTCTGGGCAACAGAGCAAGACCTTGTTTCTAAAAATAACATAGATAAATAAATATGAATTAAAAATAAATATACGACAGTTTGTGGGGCTTATATGTTAAAATTTTTCTCATTTCAGTAATTCTAAGAGCCTGTCCCAATTTGAAGGAATCTATGTTAAAGACTGGGAAGTAGGCCGGGCATGGTGGCTCACGCCTGTGATTCCAGCACTTTGGGAGGCTGAGGCAGGCGGATCACTTGAGGTCAGGAGTTTGAGACCAGCCTGGCCACTATGGCGAAACCCTGTCTCTACTAAAAATACAAAAATTAGCCATGCATGGTGGTGCACACCTGTAGTCACAGCTACTTGGGAGGCTGAGACAGGAGAATCACTTGAACCCAGGAGGCGGAGGTTTCAGTGAGCCCAGATGACGCCATTGTACTGGCCTGGGCGACAGAGTGAGACCATGTCTCAAGAACAAAAAAAATCTGGGAAGTAAAGACCTGAAGCCAGGTCTGTGGCTGACACCTTCTCTTACTAAACCCTTCAAGGACACTGGCAGTTTGGTAACGCAGGTTGAAGCCATAATGATCTAAGTTGTGGAACATGGACATCCTTTGTATTCATGCAGGTTACCCAGGGTCCTGAGAAGAGAAGCTGAGAGTACATAGCATGTAACAGTAATTACTAAGCATTATTAGAGTTTGTAATTCAAGATGCCATAATCACTCAGACACAGTAAGGCCTTTCTTGTTTGGAAGAACTCTAATGAGTGGGTCCTGTGATTTCCATTATACAATGTCATTTGATAGCCTAAGAAAAGGTTAAACATTTACCCCCTCACAAAGAGGTTGAATCAAGTAAAGAGTGGGGAAGGGACAGAAAAGAAAAAGGGGGATTGAGAGGTGAGAGAGAACCCCGAAGAGTAATAAGCTATAACTCAATGGGGAGGAGAACTCCCGGTGAAATCCATGTTCTGAGAAGGAAAGGACAGGGGAGAATCAGAGGCATGTCCAGGAGGGGGTGAGAGTGACATTTCAGACAAAGTAGTGATGAGAGTCTTTTCCTAGTAAAATTTAAAAAAGAAATAACACCAGCCTGGAGCAGAAAATAATGTTTTATTTGTTTTAATAATAATTGAAGAGTAAAAAGATAGTTTACAAGGGTATCATTTTTAAGAATTATCATTAGGTCAGAATTTTAGTGTTCTCTATCATTATGTGATTTGCCAGCCTAGCTTCTCCCCACTCATCCCAAGGTTCCTTAAGATCAACATGGCATTACCAGGACCCAGCCCAGTGCCAGACACATGGTAAGTCACTTAGCAAATGTTTCCCAGATGAACAAATGATTGAATGATAAATGAATTTGCTGTTTGGAGTATATTTAGACCTCTGCCCCAAGTTTAATAAAAATATTTATGGTGCTGGCTTTAAGACATTGAGTTACCTGCCTATCTGCAGTACCAGATGGAAAGGTTAAGGGGAAGGATTTCAACAACCACACTTGGTTGCAGTTTACATTGCTGCTTCTCTTTATTTCTGAGCTTTTTTCCCCCTCTTTCATTAATGGAAAATGAATGAGTGAAATTTAAAAGTGATTAGTGGAATTTCTCAGGCATGTTCCTTTCCTTGTTTCCATGCCATTTGAAGCTATTATGGTTGAAGCTTGGTCTGAGTAAACATTTTCTCACCCCCCATAGGCTCCCCTGCTACTATGAATTGAACTTCAGTTAACTACTTCCATTGATTAAAAAACAGACTCCTATAGGAGTCCCAGGACAGGGGAGGAATAAATCCTGGCCTGGTGATGGGACAGGCCAGACCTGGGAGAATGGGCTAGGTATGTAGATCCACTGAGGCTAGGCATGGAGTCTGGTAAGGGCTCAGCAGAAGGCAGTTGGTTAAGGTCTAGGCCGAGATGAGCAGATGTGAGCAGGTAGAAGGACTACATGCTCAGGAGATATGAGGTGTTGGGCAAGTTATCAAGACGGGCATTCAGTCACAGGAGAACAATTCTAGACACTGGGTCAAAATGATCCTGTTATTAATAAAACCAGCAGGAAGATGGGGGTTTGGAATCTATCAACATTCCAGAAGTTACACAAATGGGGATTACGGAGAATACTGAAATTGTTATAGATTATCAGCTAAAAATAATGAAAATGGGAAGGATGCTGTGGAATCTGAAGTAGGTAGGGATTGAAATAAGGTTGAATTTTCTGGAAGCTAGAGAAAGTCCAATTATTCCTCTTTGTATTTGTGTGACTTCCCTCTTAGCATCCTCAACTCCCTTGAACTTATCCTAGAAGCTGATGCATCGACACTCCACAGGCTCTGGAGTCCAGCCGCCCTGGCCCAATGACTGGAGCTGCCACTTAGTAGCTGCCACCTGGTAGCTGCATGCCCCAGTGTCCTCATTCATCAAATAGGGATAATAATTGCATGTATGTCTTAGGATATTGTGAGGATTAAATTAGAAAATGCACATAAAGTGATTAGGAGCCTACCTGGCGTAAGGTCACCACTGTTAGCTATTACTGATGATATTTGATTGTTGTTTCAAGGGTTAATTGAAATAGTGTATGTGTGGCGTATCTAGTACATTTTAGTTTCACTTCTGCCTTTTTGTAACAAAGCCAACCAGAATATAAACAAGATTTATAGTGCAAATGGAGACCATGTTCCCCAGACCCCGCTGCACCCTCAGAGAGGGGCCCCCAGGATCTCCAGTCTTCCCCACCCTTCTAGGTCCACTTATCTGCGGCCAGTTAGGTGCGGTGCAAGTCCGGGAACCTTCTTCAAAGACTGGCTGAGCTGAGTGAGGGCTCTGACCTCGGTGAAAGAGCACTTTCCAGGAGCAAAGAGAGAAAGGAGCTGCACTTGCCTGTTGGGCCACTGTGGCTCCTGTCTGGGCGCACACACAAAGAGCTGGTCTGTGGTCTCACCTACAAGGGTCATGTTGTTCCCTTCCAGAGAACAAACAGAAAATATTAAACCTGCTGAGGCTGGAACTTGTCACTGAGGTTAGAAGCTTACGGGTCACCTTAGAAACCAGCTCTTCAAAGGTTACTCCTCCAGGAAGAGGGTGCATTAAGGAGCCTTTCCCCTAACAGAAATAGCAACAGCAGAGAACTTGCCCTCTTCTCTGGGATGGCCAATATTACCACCCAGGTAATATGCTGGTATCCTCACTGGCCCTGACGGGCCACAGCCTGCATTTCCTGTGTGTGGGAAGCAGCAGAATAGACTGGCTTGGACAGTTGAGCAAATCCCAGCTTTGCTCACTTAATGTCTCAGCCTCCATTTCCTCATCTGTGAAATGGAGATAATAATTAGCTGGGGTTTTGTGCAGATTAAAGAGATAATTCTGTATTAGGAAACCTCCTAGCCTAAAAGAAGGGGCTTAATAAATCTCCTCTTCCTCATAAGAAGTTTCCTAACTGGTCTTCTGCTCCTGTTGTCTCTTTCCTAACTACCACACACTGTTGTTAGAGTGGTTTTTATACAACAACACATGTGACTCCTGAGCCCAGAAACTTTTTGTTTTATTGATAAAGTTTAAGCAGTTTATCTTGAGGCTGCCCACCACAATCTGATGTCTATCCCAAACCTTTCAAGCACTCCCTTGCTATTGAGCTGATGGACTTACTGCTCCCCACACATCCCATGTGCCTTCCCACCTTGGGGGCTGCCTTCAGCCACCGCAATCGGTACTATTTATTGAACACCTACCAAGTGCCAGGTGCTGTGCAAAATTGGTTCATGTGCAATATTTCCTTTAATCCTCATTACAACCTCTCAGGAAGATACTATTATCTTCATTAAGTGGGTGAAGAAATTGTGGTTTTTATCAGTTATATAGCTTGCCCCAAGGTCATGACCCTAGGAAGCAGTGGAACAGGGATTCCACCCAGGTTCTTAATGCAAAGCCTGTGGTTTTGAAAAGCTACCTTCCACCAAACCCAACTCCAGGAGGCAGTTCAAAACAGTCTCCTGCATGAGTATGCCAGCCTTGGGTAAGTACCGTGTAACATCTTCTGTATTACCCTTGAGCTATGTACCCTTGAACTGACTGAGCAAATGACCATTCTAATGATTGCTATTTGTATGTGCTGCTTCTTTCTTCGCAGCCAGATCCTATTCTCAAAGACATCAGTGATAGATTATATTTCTAGTGCCCAGCAAAGCTTCCTCTCCACAGGTGCTCAGTGTCTATTTCATGATGCTAAGGATGAAATCACATCATGCCTCCAGGACTAAGGCCATATTTTTCCTTTACCTCTTCTAGACACTAATAATCATGGTGACTACTTCCTGGGATTCAGAACATAACTTTAGCAAGCACTTCCTTCCAGTGCCCAGCTTCCTTCTCTGTAGAAAAAGAAGATGCAAGTTTATGTCTTGACGCTCCTTCCCTGCTCCAAAATTAAGCATTATTTAAAGAAAAATCCTAGTTAGATTACATGAGTGAGAGACTCTACAGTTTTTGAAGCACTCCCATACACAGTATGTCATCTGTTTCTCAGCAGCCCTGGGAGACTAGCAGGGAAGATGAAATATCCCTGATGTAGTGGCAGGAAACTATGACTCAGAGAAGCTAAGTGACTTGTCTGAAGCCACACAGCTTGTGAGTGGGGAAATGAAGACTTGAATCCACTTTCTTTTATTTATTTATTTATTTATTTATTTATTTATTTATTTATTTATTTTGAGATGGAGTCCTGCTCTGTCGCCCAGGCTGGAGTGCTGTGGCATGATCTCAGCTCACTGTCACCTCTGTCTCCTGGGTTCAAGTGATTCTCCTGCCTCAGCCTCCGAGCAGCTGGAATTACAGGCACCCACCACAGCCAGCTAATGTTTGTATTTTTAGTAGAGACTAAAAATACAAATTTTTTTTGTGTTTTTACAAAAATAAAAACAGCCTTGCCATGTTGGCCAGGCTGGTCTTGAACTCTTGACCTTAAGTGATCCATCCACCTTGGCCTCCCAAAGTGCTGGGATTACGGGTGTGAGCCACCAGGCCAAGACTGAATCCACTTTCTCTGATTACTTTACACAACACTAGGTAGGAATATTAGGGACATTCTTATTGCTGTCATAGAAATAGGCCAGAACAAACATCTAAATGTTTTTCCTTAGACTGCTGGGTGCTCTTTCGGATTTAAGTTAAATGAGCTTAGTTTTTCTAGGGGTTTCCCTGGTGATCTTCTGGAAATTATTTGAAAATAGCCATGTTGGTAATTTCCTAATCATGTGGCTTGTTCGTTGTGAAAATGTTCAGTCATTGTTGTTGCTTATTCATTGGACTGTCTGGGAAGAGCTAAGGAGGTATGAGGCCCTGGGTTTATGTGGGGTAATTATTACATGGAGGATTATATAGGGTAGCTCTGACTCTGTTTTCCTCAGGGTTCATTCAGAGGAGAGAGTAATGAAGACCAGAGATCCTCACACTTTTGCAAAGAGGGGATTGTTCTGTCTTAATAAAAATGTTCAAAGAACTAGCATAAAGATCAGGCAAATGTCCTGTGAGTCACCTCCCAATGTGCATAGCTGAATGTACTTTTTTTTTTTTTTTTTCTGAAAAAAGGAACAGAAAAAAAACTAGGTATATCACATTTAAATAAAATAAAGCATATTTCATTTAACTTTTTAAAAGCAAACTATGGGGAAACTATATACTATTTACTCAATTGAATTAGTATATACTAATTACTCAATTGAATCCCATCAGTATGCATTGAAATTAAATGTATAGAAATATTGTAGAGTAAAGCACTATTATCTAAAATGCTTTTATGCTTTATTTGTTCTAATACAGAGCTTTCTACCTATTTTCATATCATAGCATACTTAGAAAATGATAGTGTTTGCAGGGCACAAAAGGTATCCTAAGAGCCAAGAGAACAAGTATATTGCTAGCTTGTCATCATTTCCTGGGGTACCACTGGGAAGTTGTGACCTGTAGACTTAAAGAAATAAGTTGGGGGGCTCCTGGGGATACCATGGCTTTCCAGTCTGTCTTTCATGACTGCACTGTGTTCTACCCAGTGGGAACCCTGAGAACATGAAACACATACTTGTCCCAATCACATAATCTTCACGCTGCACCTGAGCTGTAGAAAGAATCTGTTTCCCTGATCTGTGTTCTAGATTTCATAGAGGCCCCGGCCTTCCACCAGCAAAGGAAAAGTTTTGAAGCCAGCAAGTTCTGAGATGAGATGCCTAGTGCTGCCCTTGCCCATTTTCAGCTGAAAGTGAAGGTTTATTGTACCCAGTATATGCTTCAGATAAATTAATTTGATAGTCATAAATGAAATATTGTCCCAACAGGAAAGCTGAGTCATGTCTAAAAGGATTATGCATGGTGAATTAGCCATTAACAAAGAATCATTGCCATTATTGAATCATTTATGTCATAGTTATTGAACAGGAAGGCCTCTACGGTTAGAAGAAGCAGCTTAAATGTTGTTGTTTTTATAACTGGAAAATTTTAAAAACAACAACTTGGGCTTTTCCCCTCTCCCTCTCTCTTTCCTGACCCCTCTCCCAACTCCGGCTCCAAAACAAGACAGGAAAGTTGGGCAAAAGCTCCTGTCTGCATCTCCTGGTTCAGGTAACATATGTTGATTCTCTAAAGGATTATGACTTTTATTTAGGGTGATGTAACAGAACGTGAGGAAGAAAGTGAAACCTTTGTTTATTCAAAGAGGATATTCTTTGAGAAACACTGGCATAAAATAAATTCTTGCAGGTGACTGTCTTTTAAAAAGTTTCAAAATATTTATTTTGATATAACCCAAGTCTTTCATTGTATTATTGTTTTATTAAATGCAGAGATAGGTTGAGACCAAACCTGGAGTTGCTTTTTTTGTTGTTGTTGTTGTTTGTGTTTTTTTTTTTTTTACAGCCCCCATTACTCTAAACTCAGTTTAAATGAGCATGTTTTAAATCAGCATAGTGGGTTGTAGAGGGTGTGGGTGTGTGTGTGATTTTTGCTTTAAGGAACTAGGTGTAGACAATATAATTAAGGGTGAAAAAAACGTAAGTTCTTCATTACTTTAAATTTCCCCATTCACTAATCAATAATATAAAAATAATTTCTCCCACCTTGTGTTTTTGCTCATCAGTTTCTAACTGAGGATGTAAGGAGTCAGTGATACTGTTGGTATCCTACCCCTCTGTTGTGACAAGTTTATAGCATGAAAAGAGAATGGTTTCCTGGAAATGACTTTGTAATTACTTTGCAAAGAAGGGCCCCCAACTCTAGTACACTACTTTTGTTATTGCCAATGATGATTTCTTCTCATCCATTATTGATATTTTTTTTTCTTTTTTGAGACAGGGTCTTGCTTTGTCACCCAGGCTGGAGTACAGGGGCACGATCATGGCTCTCTGCAACTTCCATCTCCAGGTTCGAGGGATTCTCTCACCTCAGCCTCCCAAGTAGCTGGGACTCTAGGCAAGCTCCACTACACCCAGCTGATTTTTAAAAAACTTTTTGTAGACATAGGAGTCTCACTGTGTTGCCCTTGCTGGTCTCCAACTCCTGGGCTCAAGCAATCCTCCTTCCTTAGCTTCCCAAAATGTTGGGATTATGGGCATGACCCACTGTGTCCAACCTATTATCAATGTTTTTCAAAACAGGTTTCAAGCTATCTTCAGGCCATGACTAAACTACTTAGAAAATTTCAGTTGGGCCTAATATATTCTGTAAGGGACTTATCTACATTTACAGGTCATTTACATTTATTGAAAACACATCCTGTTACAATAGACATCTTGATAAAATAAGGGTGTTACTGGTTACCGTACCCATGGTTTTGCACAGTCAAACCATCTTTGGTGAGCTTCTTTGTTTTGTTTCTCTCCCTTGTTGGTGCCAGGGTGTTTTCTTTATTTTCAGGTCTTCCGAGCTCAATTTTCTCTTTAAGGCTTTATCTAGACTTTAGCTGAAGATTGCTCCCACGTTATCCATCACAAAATGAAATTTGTCTGTGAGGTCCCTCAGTCTTATCCAGGTGGATAAAGGCTAAGATAGAAATGGAATGCAGGTGGAGTTGCTTGCCCTCAAAGTGATGAGGTTCCACGAAACTCCCAGGAATCAAGCCAGGCTGCTACTGTATCTCTCCCTTGCAAATAGCATGATTGTTTTAATTACAGTCTGTAGCCACTATTTTTATCTGTGTTAGAATATTTGGATGCAAGACTGGAAAACATTATTGCTGTTAATGCCTTTGCACCTTCTTATATAACTTGCTATAGTGTGGAAGGGAACATTTACTCAAAGAGCCTATCCAGATGGAGCCAAAGGGGTTAGTTAGGGTTTTTGTTGGTCACTTTGGGTTATAAGGAACAGGAGTCATTCAAGGTACTATGAATTCAACTTGCTGGGCTTTGTTACCAGGATGTATGCAAACTGCAGCCAGTCTGAAAGACCAGAAGCAAGATAACTGGAGGGTATAAACTGAAAATTCTAAGCTCCCCCAACTGATTGATTGGACCCCTTCTGTCAGCCAAGGGGATTCCAAAGTAAACCTGAAAAACTAGTTCAGGCCGTGATGAGAAAGGGGGGTCAGACATGCCTCATTATACTCTCCTTCCTTTGGAATTCAGGCACAACTGACCAGTATTAATATTAAAACAGAGATCTTAAGACTGACAAAACAGACTTGCTTTGTTTGTTTGTTCGTTTGTTTGTTTTGAGACAGGGTCTCACTCTGTCACCCAGGTTGGAGTGCAGTGGTGGGGCTACTGCTTACTGCAGCCTCGATCTCTCCTGGCCTCAAAAAATCCTCCCACCTTAGCCTCCCGAGTAGCTAGGGCTATAGGTGCACAACGCCACACCTGGCTAATTTTTAAATTTTTTTGTAGAGACAGGATCTCACTGTGTTGCCCGAGCTGGTCTCCTGGGCTCAAACAATCTTCCTGCTTCAGCCTCCCAAAATTCTGGGATTACAGGCATGAGCCACTATGCCTGCTCCAAAACAGACTCTTTGTAGCAGTAAGGTGCCTAATTCCAACCTGACTCTAGTATAGCATCACATGACAGAGAGCAGACTCTGAAAAAATTATTTTACCCCAAAATGTATTTCTTTAGCATGTTTTAAAATGGTCCTGGAAAGCTATCTCTTATGGAGGAAATGTACATTTTGTAGAAAGTCTTCCCTTTTCAGGTCTTTTTCTGATCCTGAAGAGATTAGCTCAGAGCTTAGCACCTTGTAAAGGTCTGAAGAGAAAACATTTGCTGTCTGTTGCCTCTCAGAGTGGCCACCTATGAGACATCATCTAAATAATAAGAATTTTGGTCTCCATAACCCCTTATCTTAACCCAACCACTTCTTTCTAACGATTAGAAGTCTTTAGATCATAACTTTCAATCGCCATTAAGAAAATCCTTGAATCCACCAAAGACCCAGAAGCCCCCACTTTGAGTGGTTCCTCCTGTCCAGACCAAGTTGATATACACCTTACATGTGTTGATTGATGTCTTATGTCCCTGTAAAACATATAAAACCAAGCTGCAACCCAGCCACCATGGGTACATGTTCTCAGGACCTCTTGAGACTGCCTCAGGCCTTGAACACTCATATTTGGCTCAGAATAAACCTCTTTAAATATTTTACAGAGCTTGACTCTTTTTTGCCAACAAGGGAAGTGGCTCATCTTTTCATCCTAGGCCACGTTTTAGCCTTGTGTGTTTGCACTAATCAAAGTCCCTGGTGAAAGGCTGCACAAGGTTGCCTTATTCTGTATCATCTTGCATTCACCTCTTCAGCCCCCCAGGCTAATATTATGCCAAGGGTTACCGATTCTGATTTTTGCCAGTGACCTTTACAGAAAGCAGCAGGAGCTGATTGGTTAAGTGGCTTCATCATTTACAAACTCTTATAGTAGGATCTTTAATGTTTCATTGATCCTATAGTATTAAAAACTGCAATTACTTTTGCACCAACCTAGTGGTTCATTATTTGATTATAATACATGTACATTGTACAAATTATAAAAGTACAATGTTTTATAGTGTATAGTTCCAATAGTATAGAAATTACTTTAAAAAATATAGTTTTTTTTTTTTAATTCTTTTTCAGAGATAGGGTCTCACTCTGTCTCCCAGGCTGAAGTGCAGGGTGTGGTCTTAACTCACTGCACCCTCTACCTCCTGGGCTCAAGTGATCCTCCTGCCTCAGTCTCCCAAGTAGCTGGAACTACAGGCATGCACCACTACACCTTGCTTAATTTTTAATATTTTTTTTGTAGAGACAAAGTCTTAATTATTGCCCAGGCTGTCTCAGACTCCTGGGCTCAAGTGGTCTTCCCACCTTGGCCTCCCAAAGTCCTGGGATTACAGTCCACTGTACCTGGCCTAAAAATATATTTCAAATAATAAAAAATGTTTCTGATTTCTGCCATATCAATCTCATTCCCAAGAGGTAACCATTATTAAGTTTAATATGCATCTTTCCTGGCATTTCCTTTGTTAATATAAGCACAGAGTGGCTGGTCTCCTGGGCTTTTTTCTTTGTCTTGCTTATATGTAGCTGAAGGCAACACCATGGGTACTTAGAGATTTAATGAATACTCAGTGGAAGGCCCATGAGGCGGCTCACACCTGTAATCCCAGTGCTTTGGGAGGCCAAAGTGGGAGGATCCCTTGAGCCCAGGAGTTGTAGACCAGCCTGGGCAACGTAATGAGACCCCCATTTCTATAAAAAAATTTAAAAATTAACCTCAAGACTCAGACCTTAGTTATAGATTAAAAGAAGTTAATCACCTATGTCTTTAGATGAATGCACACTTACATGTAGACATATAGCTTAGAAGGTATATAAGCTCTGGAAAACTGTAATTTTGAGTTGGTCTGGTGATAATTTCCAGGCCTTCTCCCTGTAACCGGTTGCAGAAATAAAAACTTTCTTCCTCCCCAGTTCATTTGCATCTCGTTATTAGGCCATGAGAAATAGCAGCCCGACCCTCAGTTTGTTCCGGAAACAATCATGCCACTGCATTCCAGCATGGGCAACAGAGCAGGATCCCATTTATCTATCTATCTATCTATCTATCTATCTATCTATCTATTTTTTTGAGATGGAGTCTCACTCTCTTGCCCGGGCTGGAGTACAATGGCGTGATCTCGGCTTCACTGCAACCTCCGCCTCCCGGGTTCAAGCAATTCTCCTGCCTCAGCCTCCTGAGTAGCTGGGACAACAGGCGCCCGCCACTACGCCTAGCTAATTTTTTGTATTTTTAGTAGAGATGGGCTTTCACCATGTTGGCTAGGCTGGTCTCGAACTCTTGACCTCGTGATTTGCCCGCCTGGGCCTCCCAAAGTGCTGGGATTACAGGCCTGAGCCACCGCACCTGGCATATATATATATTCTTTTTTTTTAAAGAGCATATTCAGAGAATACTTGATAAAAATGGTAAAATCAATTTGATTCATTTTGACACTGTAAACTTCCTGACTTGAGATAAACTAGTTATTAAACATCAAGTGCCTGCAACTGGAGTAAGGAATGTGATTCAGTGTGTATGAATACGTACCAGTTTGTAGCATTGATGAACTCCGTATACCAGAGGGAAAAAATGAACTTCAAAAAAAAATTTCTAAAATGTAAACGCCAGGTCCCTCTCCAAGGAAGTGTGTTTTTGAGGGAGCCTCTCATTTAGATATGGACTCTTAGCTAGCATGTTGCAACCTAGCAACAAGATTTCTAACCTGTGGTTATCTGTTGTGAAGTAGCAGCGTTAGTATAACCATGGTAACTGTCTGTTTGCTTGATGGCATGAGCTCTCTTTGAGTAAAAAAAGCCCAAAATAAAAGGTTGGAGGTAATTATATATTTTTTGTTTTCTCATCATAAATGTATTGAATGTACATTTGAGATATTTTTGAAAACACAGAAGACCATAAAATAGCAGAATTGTCATCTCACCTACTAATGTTAATATTCATATTTAGTTTTGTATTCTTTAAAATTAATACATGTATTGTAATTTGTAATATAGGTTATATTATACTTTTTTAGACAAATTGGGATCATACAGAATAGTAATTAGTTTTGTGCTGTTTTTCATATGCTAGGTGCATTTCACCATGTCATGAAATAATTACTTGAAGGTATGATTTTAAATGTCTACATATTATATCAATGTACTATAATTTATTTAGACATTGTAGGTCATTACCTAAATGTAATTTTGAATTCAGAATTATTTCTATTTCATATTATTTCGTTGCCAAGTTGTTCTTCAGCTTATCGATGCTCTCAATTATTGGCAGTTGAATTACGTAAGAGGATACATGAATTAGAAGAAGGGTTGACATCTCAGGACAGTGAGTGGCTTCTGCAAATGTGGCCTTCCTGAGAGAAGGGATCTGAGGGGTATTGCCCCCAGGTATCCAGGAGGGGATTGATATAGCTAATCTCTTAGAAACAGAGGTGGGCTTCATAGCGATGAACTCTTCCTACCACACCAAAAAGGCCCCTCCTTCCTACCTCTCAAGGTTGACCTTGGCTGACCTTGACCTTTGAGTTTTAGGTTTTCAGACCCGCCTCTACAGCCAAGATTAGAATCAATATAACTTCCTGTTGCACACAGAAGCAGCTGTAAATCTAAGACAATAGCATCCACTTTCCTATTACGGGACTTGAGGGGAAATTAAATTAAGCCCCCGCCTTTTGAGGGGCTTCTTTGAGGAATTAGATCACACAAGGCTTGGCGTAATTTTTTAATAACTTCAATCACATTGTCCTCACTGGTCCGTATCAGAGCAGATTTGAGTCCTGCACAAAGTCTGAAAGCAGCAAGCTTGTTCGTGGGGAAAGAATGAGCCAACACACTGCTGGGGTTTCAAGGCCAGCTTCCTAGGTATGCTTGTACACAGGAACCTACACTTAGAAAAGCGCTGGGCTTGGCTTAATATTCTACTGCTGCTGCCTTGAAATTCTGAAGAATTTTTTAACAAGGGGTCCTGAATATTCTTTTTGCACTGGGCCCCACAGATTATGTAGTTGGTCCTGATTAGGGTGTAGAGCAAGGTATTGCAGTAATAAAGTATTTGAATCATTCCTTCCTCAGACCACCCCCCCACCCAGGAGAAGGAAAAATCCATTCCAACTGTTCTCACTTTATGCAGGAGCAGGTGCTTGTGACTTTAAGAGATGGGCTTGCAGGGGAAATGGAACAGCTCCTGGAAGACATGGCCTTTTGAGGGTGCTTAGGAGATTTGAGCAGCACATACTAATTGGATACAGATAAAATGCTCTTCAGATTTTAGTTTTCTGCTCTGTTTGTTTAGTCATAACCCAGCCTGTGTTTTATCTTTTGAGGTGGAAAATATGAAAGTCACGGCTTCTCTCTCTCTTGTTGAGCATTTACTTTGTGAGTACTTATATGAACATGTATATCAAAGACCCTGTGATCCAGAATACTGCTTAAAATTCTACAGAGTGGGCGCTCCACCTCTCTTAGCTTTGTCATTCTTCTCCCTTTAGCTCACTCCCCTCTTTGTAAGAAATGAGGCAGGGGTCTCTCGGGGATCACCTAACACACTAGTTCATATTCCCAGCACTTTTTAACCAGTGCCCCTCGGGATAAACATACAACAAAACCCTCATGCCTCCTTCATTCACATATGTTGAGTTTTATGTTAGTTTGTTGAGTTTTATATTGGTTTGCATTGTGAAAACAGTCATTTTTTCCCAAATGAGAGTTATAGAATTGCGTGTGCTCTGTAAAGCTATATAAATGATTCTAAGAAACACAGTCCCAAGAACATGACTGCCCTAGAGCCTCTCCTCCCCTAATTTAATACTGTTTAAAGCAGGGGTTCCTGACTGTCAGGCTGCAGACAAGTACCTGTCAGTCCGTGGCCTGTTAGGAACTGGGCTGCACAGCAGGAGGTGAGTGGCAGGTGAGGGAGCATTTGAGCTCCACCTCGTTTCAAATCAACTGCAGCATTAGGTTCTTACAGGCACGAGAACCCTATTGCGAACTGCACATGCAAGGGATCTAGGTTGCAAGCTCCTTAAGACAATCTAATGCCTGATGATCTGAGGTGGAACAGTTTCATCCTCAAACCATCCCCAGACCACCCCACCCCCAACTCTGGTCCATGGAAAAATTGTCTTCCATGAAACCAGTCCCTGGTGCCAAAAGGTTGGGGACTGCTGACTTAAAGTACCAAATTTTAAACTGTTAACCAGTCTGCCTCCAGCTAAGAACAGATATTGAGATTAAGCATTTAGGAACCTAGAACAATTGTCTGTTAAATTTAATCAAAAAATTGGAAGCTTGTATTTTTTATGTCTTTTTTTTTTTTAGTATTCCATATGCATCATATTTTTACAAAAGTGTCAGTCTGTAACAGATTGAAAACTAAAAAACAAAGAAAAACTGATTTTTTTCAGCCCCGTCCCCCAGTTGGCAAAACTGATTCTTAGCCACAATGTTTGAGAAGCACTCTCCTAATTGAGTCAACAGTGTATTTCTTAGACTTCTTAATTCATCTTTTGACGAACAATGATGAATTGGGGTGTGTGTGTGTGTGTGTGTGTGTGTGTGTGTGTGTGTGTGAGAGAGAGAGAGAGAGAGAGAGAGAGAGATAAGGCTGGTTCCTTCCCCACAGGTAACGGTGTCATCCTTGAAGGCAGCCATGATACAGGGGCAGCTAGAATGGGGTTATGAGAAGCAGCTATTGAAATTGAGAGGAAAGAGTTGTGGATGGCCGTTTAAAACAATAACATTCCATAGTAGGCTTGTTGAGAACCATTTTTATCTAGAGATGCTGGAGAGTGGAAGAATGTATGATACTTATGAAAACAAAATTGCTCCCACCATTCGACACTGAAGGTAGTATCCAAGTATTGGGATTGGTTACATGTCTATCCATGCCCTTCTAATCTCTTTCCCCTATTGCCAATAATACCTGCGCCTGAGAATAATATAATACTCTTTGAGGTCACGGAACAGAACAATACATTGTACCCATCTCCTGTCCCAGCCACCTTCCCTGACAAACCTCCCACATCCCCCACCTCCTTACCCATAGAACAGCCACCACCTGTATTCCCCTTTCATACATAATGTGGCTGGCCAACATTAGCTCACATGTACCTTCACATTGGCTATGGTGCCTCTAGGAACTCTGGCGCATTTATAATTATGGAGCTGACCCTCACCTGGCCATTTCAGCATTCTTCACACCTGCACACAGAACCATTTTCCTAATCCCTCCCTTGGTCCCCTGGCCAGTATGGTGTGCAAACCGTATTTACCAGTCTGTGTGTTGGGCACAAGGGTTTCAATTGGTTAATTAAATCTGTGAATTTTCTTGTTTATTGACAATTGCCAAAGTAGGAGAATAGAGACTTGTCTTTTCCCTGAATATTTCTGCTTTTGATCTAACTTAATTCCAGATAAATTTCAATACTGATTAAAAAGTAACAAATTACTTCTGAAATTGGAGAAATTGATTTCCCAAGGTAAGCAGTTTCAGATATGAGTTTGGTTTGCATTATTACCTCACAGTCTTTGAAATGGGATTTTTAGCTGCCTTCTCAAGTCTTTGTCTCCTTTCTAAGATTCTTAGACAATTTTAATTATTTAAGGCAGATTTGCTAGAACTTATAATATTGGAAACTATGGTACAAAGATGAATTAGTTCTTAAAATAATTCTGGTTTCTCCCAATGTTCATCAAATTGAGAATTTTGTGGTCCACATTATAAATATTCAGCATAATGTGCTGAACATTATTGTAGGCTTTGAGACTCCCAAGATAAATAAGGCAGTGCTTGTCCTTAAATTGCCCAGGGTCTGGTGGGAGGAAACCATACTTTTTTTTTTTGAAGTAGGAAACAATGTAGTAATTACCTTAGTGTAATATAAGTCAAGATGGTTGGCAGAACCCAAAAAAGCTAACAGTTAATTGCCAGGAGATTTGGGGGGCTTGAGTGTTGAGAACATTGGTTGGGAGCGTGCCGGAGAAAACAGGGACACATGCATTAGGTGACCTTGACCTGGATATTGAGGGAAATAGAAGTTTGCCAGGATGAGAAACACTTGTACAAAGCCTTGGAGGCTTTAAAAAGTAACAAGCAGACAAACAAGGCTCATTAAAGAAGTGTAAAAGTTATGGTATGGCTAGAGAGTTTGTAGGTATGTCAGCAGCTGCTTCTGAATGTTTCCATTTAATTACTTTCTGACCAGTATCATGTAAGTGTTAAGACTTCTAGAGAATGTATCACTTACATCTAAGGAGCAGCAGCCAGAAGAACAGGTGGCAGCAGGTGGCCTACAGAAACCTACCATCTTCGCAGATAGTAAGCCAGGCATGGAAGTGATGCACTGGAGAGGAAGTACTGAGCCAAAAGTCTTGCATGTGTATAGAAGATATATAAAGAAGTAAATCCAAGGATACTGCATCTCTGGCTTTAGGGAGATCAGTGAATATTTGCTGAAATGAATGGAAATCCAGTATGTATATAAATGGAAGCTTCTAGATGGTGAACTCTGAATGTCTAATGGGACCTCTTAGCAAATGTCACCACAATGGGAAAGGCAAATAACTCACAAAAAAGGAAATTGGAATGGCCAATAAACAAGAAAATTAATTAGTAATCAGAGGAATGCAAATTTAACTAACAAACAGGTACCATTTCTCACTCTAGAGATTGGTGAAAATAAAAAAAAAAACCTGGTAATACTAAGTATTGGAGATATTATGGAGAAACAGGTATTCTCACACTTTCTTGAGCACTTTAGAGAGCAATTTTGTAATATCTAATAAGGTTTAGAAATGAACTTACCCTAGGACCTGACAATTCCATTCTAAAGAAATGTGCTTAGGTGCTTAAGGATTTATGCAAACAGAATACGATTACAGTTGCATAATAGAGCAAAAAGTGTGGATAGATCCAATGTCCTTTACTAGGAAAACAGATAAGTTGTAATATACTTATATAGTGGAATATTGCACAATATTTTAAAATGAATGAATCAGATTTACAAGTATATTCTGGATAAATTTTACAAACATATTGATTGAAAAAAATAAGCTGCAGTGTACCTTGCAGACAAATTTGTAAAATACTCATCAGTTTTAAATTTTTTATATGAAAAACATGGCTCAGTAAAAGTATAAGGACCTGGATAGGAAGAATACAAAACAATTTAAGAATGGTTAATGGAGAGAGGGAAATGGGATTAAAGGAGTGCAAAGGGAACCTCACTGTGGCTGTTACCTTTTCTTTCTGTTAAAAAAAAAAATAGATCGGAAGCAGGTAAGGCAAAGTGTTAAAAAAGTCAGAGTAGTGGTACATGTATTTTGTAATTTCCTGTACTTTTCTATTGTTTTGAATGATTCATTACACAATAGTGCTTAGTGCATACTAAGCACTTTCTAGGGTAGATACTATTATTTCTTTATCAGGAAGCAGGGGCACAGAGAGATTAAGGGACTGGCTGGTATGTGAGCCAAAGCTGAGCCCACTCCCCTGACCACTCTGCCATGGATTTCCTGGATCTCTGCTTCATTTTGGACCAGCGTCAGGACTAATGGAGTCGGGGAGGCCAAGTGATCTTTAGGATCCTGTCCAGTTTAACTTTAGCCCTGATCATCAGTAGATGGATCGATCATTTCCATGAGCACATTTCTGCATGGCAGCACACTCCTGACATAGCCCGGCCTGCAGAGGGCTGACGGGGGTTTCTCTGCAGCACTGTGGACCTGCCACCTGTACCAGCTCCCAGCTAGGCTGCAGTTGTGCAGTGGTGACTGTGCATCACACATCTTCCAGTGCCCACAACCAAATGGGAAGCAAATATGGAACAATTTTGCCAAGTGTTTTCTGAATCTCCTTGAAAACAGCACTTTTACATTATAAGATGCCACTGTACTAATGTAATAGGTAGATGCAGAGAAGAGTTATTTTGAGGGCTGTAATTTGATTTCGTTATCTTAGGCAATCAAGATTGTTTAACACCAGAAATAGCTGACTAGAACAGCTGCTAAAACAGCGCTTTGTGTGGGAAATGAAGAAAAGGTTCAGTATTTTGACAGCCATTTCCAAGGTATGAGTAATGAGACTTCTAAGAAAATCGTAATTGTTGCTGCTTTTGCAGTGGGGCGGGGGGATTCTCTAGACCAGATTTCCCATCTCCTAGTATTCTACATCAATAGAGGACAAAGGAGGAGTATTTCCTTTTTCCCAGGGTCTTGACTTCATGTACCAACAGAGTTTAGATAGCATGGTGATAATTTATTATTTAGGTTTAAAACGCACACACACACACACACACACACACACACATGCACACACCCCTCACTTGTCCATTTATCATCAACCATGTGTTTAGTGCTTACTGGACTCCAAAGTGCAGGGCCTGTGGGTCCAAAATAATCAATTAGACCCTGCCCTCAAGGAACTCTCAGTCTGGAGAGAAGAGGAAAAAATGGGACAAGGCAAAATGTGCAAGTAATCTTAAACAAATGTAATAGGCATTATAGAGGCAGAACTGGGAGGAAGAGTAGAGTAGGAATGAGACGGCATTAAAAGATTAGGAGTTTGCTGCTGTTTGAGGTCGGGGGAGACAAGAGCAGACAGACAAGCACAACATTTTGAGTGATCAGTGTTATCCAGGCATGAAAGGACTCAGCACTTCTGGGTTAATATGGAAAGAGTCTGTTTCTTGATTTGACTGGCCAACTGCATACCTCAATTCACAATATTACTTTCTGTTTGGATATCCAGTGCCTTAAATGTTCAGGGAATTTTCACAGAAATTCTCTCATTTAAATGTATCTAATGTGAATATCCTGATATTATACTTTCTGTAATTTACTTGAAAATATTTCAGCATGTACCTGTGCTACGTACATGTATATCTGTTAGTTTTCATCCAAGTCTTAGTGGAAGTTGGTGGCGCCAGTTGTGAATGCAGAGGTAGGGTTGGTGAACTTGCATCTAATGAGAAACCCTCACTCCAGGGGGCTCTGCTTTAAGCAACTGGGTTTTCTTTATCTCTAATTGACACCAGAGGCTTTGTTAATTAGAATAGTTTATGTTGAGGTTGGATTTTAGTTGGGAACATTGTGGTGGTGGAGATATGTGGATTGGGTTAGACCTTTTCAGAGGTCTTCCTTCTTTTGTGTTACAGAGGACAAAAGTTCAGTGAGCCATTAAGGATGATAAAACTGAGGCTCCAGGAGGAAGTGGCAGAGTCAGAATTGAAGCATTCTAGAACCAGGACTGCCCCTGTCCGCTGCTCTGCCCTGCCCAGTCAATTATGCTTGCCCTTGGAAGAGTCTTGGTCTTTGATGATACTCAGAGGCTTATTAAACCACACAGGCCGATTCTTTTTTGTCCTTTTCTTTTTTTTTTTTTTTTCTGATTTTTTGTTTTGTTTGTTTGTTTGTTTGTTTGAGACAGAGTCTTGCTCTGTTGCCCAGGCTGGGGTGTAGTGGCATGATCTCAGCTCACTGCAACCTGCGCCTCCCAGGTTTAAGCAGTTCTCCTGCCTCAGCCTCCCTAGAAGCTGGGATTACAGGTGCACACCATTGTGCCTGGCTAATTTTTTTTGGATTTTTAATGGGGAAGGGTGTTCACCATGTTGGCCAGGCTGGTCTTGAACTCCTGGCCTCAAGTGATCCACCCGCCCCAGCCTCCCAAAGTGCTGGGATTGCAGGTATTAGCCACCGCGCCTAGCCCACAGGCTGATTCTTGATTGCAACCCTCTAAACCCAGACTAAAGTTTGTATGCCTTAGAACCAACATATATGACACTTGTAGTAGTTTCAGCATTTTATTTCTTATTTTGATTCAAGATGTGAGAGGTATTACAAACACTCAATTATGAGTGATGCATTTATGTGTCCTATTCTTCCATCTGTAGATAAGTGAAAAGTCATTTAAGAAATTAGAGGTCTCTGTAGTAAATCCAAGTCACAGTAAAGCAAACAAAAATGCATATGTGTGTGATATAATGTGGAACTCTACCCCCTTGGAAGACTTTGCAGGCTGTAAGAATTTCATTTTTAATGTATTTCATACAGGCCGGAGCTAACAAGTTAATTTCTATTGAGCAAAAGTTTTTTGTTTGTTTTTTTCCTGGTATGTTGAGGTCAGCTAATGGTCACTGTGGTTTGGAGTGAATCTAAATGGATTTTTTGCCCTTGGACAAAGACCAAGGACAACTGTAGGACTTCTGCATGGTCTACCTCACTTAGGCTTCTTGATTAATAACTCTGGTTCAGGAAGGCAAGGGCAGTTATGACCACTTTACAACTGAGGAAATCAAAGCAACGAGAAGTTAAATGGCCTGTCCCACTCCACAGAAATGGTTATAACAGAGTCAGAGCCAGAACTGAGCTCTTCCGAACATGAGTTGACTAGATTATGGCTCCTTCCGTGACACCAGGATGCCAGAGCAGTGGGAAGTGAATTTCAGTGGCATTGTGCATATCAGGGTCTTATTTGGTATGGCCAGAACCAAACCTCAAGACATTATTACAAAATAACATGAGGTACTGGTGGCAACATTTTCAGAATTTGTGCCTCAGATTCAGCAAAACTTCAGGAAAAGCCTGCAATATGGCACTGAGCTTTGCTGCTTTCAGTATCAACAGTTGCAAACAAGGGAGGCTGGGGCCTTTAGCCTCCATCTCCCAGCTTCAAATACCATTAGTTCTATCCCAAAGTCATCCTCTATAAACATGCAATCTAAATAAAGGTAAAATTCGATAAAAGTATCTTAGCAGGTTTTTTTCAGGTGGCCTAATCCCTCATTCCAAACAGCCTATTACCCCTAAGTCTTATTACCTTCAGTCTTCAAAAACAATCCTGGGGTAGTAATAGTGTCTCCATTTGGCAATTGAGAAAAGGGAGATTTTTGGAAATAAAGTGTCTTGGGCTAATATTGTCAGCTGGTCTGAGCTCCTGATTGGTCCTTCTGAGTCCAAGCCCTGCTCTATACTGGGTTCCATGTAGCTTTAGAGTAACTGTGGGCATTTACATTATGGGAATCTTTTGGATTCATCTTTCCAATTAAGGGATCTAGTTTATTATACCTTGGAGAACGTATGTGTGTAATCTGTGTTATTTTAAAATACTGTAGAAAATGTTTGGTGCCAATCCCGCTTCAGTGTGGTTAAAAGGTGGTTAAAAGAGAAATTTGCACTGATGACAGGTTCCCAGTTTGAAGCTGTCAGAATCCTTGTACTGTCACCACCATACCTGACAAGTTGTCTGGGAACATTGGAAAAAGATTGCTGAGTGAGAAACAGGGTTGTGCGTTCTCCGCATGGCTGGAGTGCCTCAGCCGGGTCATCTGGGCAGACTTCACCTTAGAGGCACCTTCCACCTTTGCTCACTAAGCTGCCTTCTGCTCTTAATTTCCTTTTCCTTGTCAATTTTCCTCCTAGAAAGAGAAGGTACAGCCTGTTCTTAAGTGAGCATTGGTATACTGGGCATTTGTATTCCTTACAAATAAATTGCTAAATTCTTTTGCTGAACATTCAGGCTTGTCTGGACTTGGACAATGTGAACAAGTTTTCACATGGGCCTGGTAAACCCTGGATAAGTGGATCACTGGGGTTCTTGACTGAAAGAACTAAACTTTGTGCTAAAAATGCAGACCCTGATCCTCAACCTTATTCCTGCATCATTTCATAGCATAAACCAGGCTCTGGTTAGCCCTGGTTATCGTGACTGATGTCACAAATGGCAGAGGACTCTGCTGTGGAAATGGGAAGATCCCTCTGTTTCCCGGCCCTAGCTCACTTCTAAACACAGTACCAAAGCACTGCCTGACCTTCTTCTCCACTTGATGATAAATGCCCTGGGGATGCTGTCTTCTTCAGTTTTGTGCCCACAGGGTTTGTTTTGCACATAGTAGGAATTTAATTAGTGTTTGCTGAGCTGAATTGTACTAATTTTTTAAACATAAATGGAAAGTGGGGCAGATGAAAATAACATGTGGGGCAGCCTGGCAGACTGAATCAGATGGACACGACTGCTTCTCGTGACCTTGTCAAGTTGTGCAACTTGTGTAGAGCCAGCATCATCCTAAAATGAAATTTTTCAAGGTGTGGTTCAGTGGGAGATGGGGTTGTTGGAAGATCTCATGAAAGGGCATGTTCATGCTGCCCCTGGGAATGTGGGAAAGTACTAAGGCAATTCTTACCTGTTTCTCCCCACTTTCCACCCTCAGGCCTGCTGGTGGGTACCCTTGATGTTGTGTTGGACTCCAGCGCCCGGGTCGCTCCTTACCGAATCTTGTACCAGACTCCAGACTCCCTGGTCTACTGGACCATCGCCTGTGGTAAGCAACCACATCCAGAAATACACAAGTTTTAAAAGAAGCGTTAGGGTTAACAACTTTTTATCAGAAGGAAAGGAACGTGTACTTGCTGAATGCAATCACTGGTATTTTAGGGTAATTAACCGTAGCCATTTCAACACATGAACCCAAAGTCTCAGTGGCTTAACACAATGAAAGTTTCTTTCTCACTCTGATAGAGTCGTGTTGGGATCATGTGGCCTCCTCCATGTGTAGTGACACTCTCTGGAACACAAGGCCTCCAAGGTCAGCATACAAGGGAAGAGTGTGAGGGTGGAGCACATCTGTGTTTAACTTCCTTGGCCCAGAAGTGGCACACTCCACCTTCCATTTCACTCACACTTAGTTGGCCGAGACTAGTCACGTGGGCCCAACCTCACTGCAGAGGAAGCTGGGAAATGAAGAGAGTTGTGTGGAATACTTGGATGTACTAAGTATATATCCTAGCACAGTACTTCCTACTGAGTAGGGATTCTTTATTTCTCCTGATGATAATCAGTAATGCTGTGCTGTGCTTAAAATAGTAGTCAACAATCTTGCTTTGGCTGGTCCGAAGGTCATGAGCTATCTCCATTGATCACAGTCAGTTGCAGATGGAACTCCTTTTCTACTCTTTCCCCACTTCTCACTGCTGCACTTGACTAGTCTTAATTTTTTTTTTTTTCCCAGACGGAGTCTCACTCTGTCACCTAGGCTGGAGTGCAGTGGCGTGATCCCGGCTCACCACAATCTCCACCTCCCAAGTTCAAACAGTTCTCCTGCCTCAGCCTCCCCAGTAGCTGGGATTACAGGCACCTGCCACCATGCCAGCTAATTTTTGTGTTTTTACTAGAGATGGGGTTTCACCATGTTGGCCAGGCTGGTCTCGAACTCCTGACCTCAAAGCAATCTGCCCACCTCAGCCTCCCAAAGTGCTAGGATTACAGGTGTGAGCCACTGCACCCAGCAAAAAAAATTTTTTTTAATCTTGCTTTTATTGGATCTCTCATAAGAACTTCTAGTCCAAACTGGGCAAGTTTTTTTTTGTTTTTTTTTTGGGACGGAGTCTTGCTCTGTTGCCCAGGCTAGAGTGCAGTGGTGCGATCTTGGCTCACTGCAACCTCTACCTCCCAGGTTCAAGCGATTCTCCTGCTTCAGCCTCCCAAGTAGCTGGGATTACAGGCTCATGCCACCACGCCCAGCTAATTTTTATATTTTTAGTAGAGACGAGGTTTCACCATGTTGGTCAGGCTGGTCTTGAACTCCTGACCTCAGGTGATCCGCCCCCCTCAACCTCCCAAAGTGCTGGGATTACAGGCATGAACCACTGCGCCTGGACTTTTATTTTTTTTTTTAATATAATTTCTTTTTTTGTAGAGATGGTGTCTCTCTGTGTTGCCCAGCCTAGTCTTGAACTCCTGGGCTCAGGTGAGCCTCCTGCTTTGGCTTCCCAAAGTAAAGGGATTGCAAGCATGAGCCACTGCAATTGGCCCAAAATGGCCAAGTTTTTGTTTGTGTGTGGCTTTTAAAATAACCATAAGAAAAGTAAGGGCTCTATATGAACACTTTTTTTAACTTTTATTTTTTTGCCTCTACTTGATTTACAGGAAAGTTGAGCAGATTGTTCAGAGAACTCTCATCTATACCACCCCCCATGCAGAGTTTCCTCTATTATTAACATCTTACTATGGTACATTTGTTATAATTAATGAACCAGTGTTGATACATTATTTGTAAGTAAAGTCCATTGTTTGTTCAGATTTCCCTCATTTTCTTTTTCTGTTTCAGTATCCCATCTGGTACAACATTATAGTTAGTCGGTCATATCCCGTTAGGCTCCTCTGGGCTGTGGAAGTTTCTCAGATTTTCCTGGGCTTGGATGATCTTGACAGTTTTGAAAGATACTGATCCAGTATATTTTGGCATGCTCCTCAATTGGAATTTGTTTGATATTTTTCTCATGATTAGACAGGGGCAGTAGATTTTTGTGAGGAAGATCACAGAGATAAAGGGCCATTTTGTTTCACCATGCCAAGTGTACATTTTATCAACATGATTTATGACTGCGGGCCTCCTTGATCACCTCCCTGAAATAGTGTTTTTTTAGGTTTGTCCACTGTAAAGTTACTCTGTTCTTCCCCTTTTCAAAGTATTCTCTTTGGAGGGAAATCACTATGTGCAGTCCATACTTAAGGAGTAGGGATTTTTCTCTCCTTTAGGGTAGACTATTGACATAATTTATGGAGAATTCTCTTGCACAGTAAATTTATCTTTTCTCCCTCATTTATTTATTTAATTATTTATGTCACTATAGACTCATGCCTATTTATTTTGTCTTCTGGGTTATAATCCAACATTACTTTATTCTTTGCTCAAATTGTTCCAGCTTTGGCCATTGGGAGCTTTTTCAGTTGACTTCATTCATTTTTAAAATTGATCTTTACTTGGTAGGAAGTGCTGTGCTGGGATCTAAAAATATAAAGACAATTATATTTGGTCTCTGCTCTTGAGAAACGTACAGTCTAGTGAGGATACAAGTAAATAGTCAATTACAGCCCAGTGTGAACCAGTGCCTTACAGTTCCATTTAATTTCTGGGCATCCAACTAAAGAGAGGAATATAGGCTAGCCTCCTGCAGAATTAGAGGAGGTTATCTGGGTGTGATTTCAGGCTGCTGGCAAGCTCCATTGCCTGGGTAATTCTCCTTCAAGGATTTAGTAGTACCTGAAATTCTAACATTGTAATTATGTCTTTCCCCCCCCCACCCCCGAGATGGAGTCTCACTCTGTCGCCCAGGCTCGAGTGCAGTGGCACGATCTCAGCTCACTGCAACATCTGCCTCGTAGGCTCAAGCGATTCTCCTGACTCAGCCTCCTGAGTAGCTGGGATTACAGGCACGCCCTGCCAGTTTTTGTATTTTTAGTAGAGACGGGGTTTTACCATGTTGGTCAGGCTGGTCTCGAACTCCTGATCTCATGATCCGCCCACCTCGGCCTCCAAAATGCTGGGATTACAGGCATGAGCCACCGTACCAGGCCATAATTATGTCTTTTTAAATGTATTCTGAGATGCAAACAGCCCAGCGAATGACAATTGACTATAACCATTGTTTACACAGCCCATGAACGAAGGCATGGCTTCAAGGTTTAGAGCTGCGGGAAAACCCATCTAGAAGTGAAGAATGGGGATTGAGTGAGAGGAAGGTGATAAAGGATTAAGGAAGAGGAAGCTGGGACTCTGACCTGGACAGACTTACCAGTGTAACCTAGGCTCCTGGAAGACAGTGTTCCAGTCTTCTCTGCACGTTTACCCACCACAGAGGGAGCCCGTAGAAGTGAAAGTGCCATCTGGCCTGCCGTAGTTGATTGGGAAAGCATCACATTTAGTTGGCAAACAATCTAGAATCGTTTCATAGTCAGCAGATGAAGAACTAAAAAGAAAGAAGTTAAAAGTTAGGGAGAGCCACCAAACCCCTCCACCTCATGACGGTGTGAAAAGGACGCTGCAGCCTTCTTGCTCACTTTCCAGCAATCCCACCATGAGTGCCAAACTGCCTGCGAGATCCTTTGCAGGCAGCAGGTCTTCAGAGCCCTCAGATCTCTCCTTACAGCCCTCCAGGCTCGGTCTTCCCACCTCAATTTCTGGTGATGTAAGGAACTGGTTTGTGTCTCCTGTGACTTTTCCTCTGCCCCTGAGCCATTACCTTTGTTGTCATTGACATTTATAATGTCACTGCCTGACGTTACTACTCCTCAGTCTGATTCTGGGGCTTTGCCATGGTATTGCTATGAAACAGATCTTCCTGTGAATACTCCTATGAGATAGAATTGTATGTTACAAAGCTGAGTTATTCCTGAATTATTTGCTGAGCCAAGGCTAAGGAACACTACGCTGTGAATGCTGATGGCATAAATTATTGTCCAAAGAGATGTATAGTTTTCTTTTCCCAGTGACACTTGTTTCATTATAATAAACCCAGAATGGTTTTAGTTTTTGTATATATTGATTACCCATAGAGATAGCTCCAGAATTTCCTTATGGAAGACTGCACAGAAGGAAGTGACAGGCGTTGTGAAAGTGGTTTTTTGTTGTTGTTGTGTTTTGTTGCATTTTGTATTTTTTTTTGAGACAATGTCTTACTCTGTCGCCTAGGCTGGAGTTCAGTGGCATGATCTTGGCTCACTGCAACCTCTGCCTCCCAGGCTTGAGTGATCCTCCCACCTCCACCTCCCAGGTAGCTGGGACTACAGGCACACACCACCGTGCCCTGCTAATTTATTTATTTATTTTTTTGTAGAGACAGGGTTTTGCCATGTTGCCCAGGCTAATCTCAAACTCCTGTGCTCAAGCCATCCGCCTGCCTCAGCTTCCCAAAGTGCTAGGTTTACAAGTGTGAGCCACCACACCAGGCCACCTATTAATTGTTCTTTCTTACTGATTTCCATTTAAAATCCAAGTTACTGGCTCCTTTTCATGATAAGATTTTAAGAGCAGAAGCTTCTCCCTTAAGATTTTTAAAATATATCTGTATCTTATTGTTTGTAAATTTAATGTTATTTTTCATAAACTACAAAGTTAGTATGGCATAGGAAAATATATTAAAAACTTCTAATTTGCTAGGATTTTATGAAATATTGCTATAAAAGAAACTTCTGCAGATAATTGGGTAAGTCTAAATCACTGCCTTGTAGAATCCATGGGATTATAAAACCTTTTTCTATAAACCTTGATCTTGTCATGTGTTTTGTAAATCTTTAATAAGCATAAATTGAATTAAAGGGAGCATCTGCGACCAATGTCTTGACATAGACCACATAGAGCAGTAGTAGTGTTAGTGGTAAGTCCTAGCTGTATGATTTGCCTTAGACTTGAGCCACATGAAATCAGGCAGGAGGACTGTTTTGGACCATCTTACTGCCACTGTAATAAGCACCTGGCCCTCGGCAATATGAATCATATAGAAAGCGGGGTGGAGGTACCAAGAGTTATTTGATGAGACATTATTTTCATATGCCTCTTTTTATCTTTTTTTTTTTTTTTTTTTTTTTTTTGAGACGGACTCTTGCTCTGTCTCCAGGCTGGAGTGCAGTGGCACAATCTCGGCTCACTGCAACCTCTGCCTTCTGGGTTGAAGTGATTCTCCTGCCTCAACCTCCCGAGTAGCTGGGATTACAGGCACCTGCCACCACGCCTGGGTAATTTTTGTTTTTTTAGTAGAGACGGGGTTTCACCTTGTTGGCCAGGCTGGTCTCGAACTCCTGACTCAGGTGATCTGCACACCTCAGCCTCCCAAAATGCTGGGATTACAGGCGTGAGCCATCACGCCTGGCCCGCCTCTTTTTTATCTTCTGTTAGTTTATCCAAGTTGGTCTGAAGAAGTTGATCGTTTACATTTCCTTGACATGGAGAACTTTAATTGGGAAAGGGAGCCAAAAAACTTTCCTAAACAACGACCATTTCATTTCACTAGTACCCAAAATGTGGTTTTTATTCTTTTTGGCTAATATGCCATTATGTCAACAATTCTAGCCTACAATTAAGCATTATGCTTAATAGTTTGTACAGTAAATTCTACCTTTTATCCAGCCAGTTTTGTTGAGCTGATTTACTGTACTCTGACAATTCTGTCTCTCATGGTTTACCAGTGAATTGACTATTTTGCACCTGGGGCTCACATTGGAGTAAAAATAGGTACAGATATGCTACCAGCAGCTCTTGTTTTGGATATGGTGTTCCAGAGGCAGCAGAGAGTCCAGTCCATTGTCTTCCTTGGCCTTCAGTTGGCACAGGTAGAAAGCCATTTGGCTTTCTGCCCATTATAAGGACTAGAAGGTTCTAACAGTAAGAAGGGTTGGTTATATGATCTCCATGGGAATATGGGCACATAGGAATGCAGGTAATTCCAAGGATATGATCTAAAGAAAGGAGTTCTGTGACAGCTCAGGAGAATTAGAAACAAAGATACAGAAGGAGCTGCTGGCAGTTCCCTCTGGATGCATCTGACCTTCAAAAAGGGCTAATAAAGGAAAGCGTGGAGAGGATGTGTTTGACGGACAGCTCACTGACAACAGTGCCGAACGGTGCCTTGATTTGGCTGTGTATTGATTGAGTTTCCCTTTTCTTTACCATTCCAGAATGTCATCTGGTCCTAGATGGTCATTGTGTTTCAGAAATGAAAGATAGAGCAGCTATCGTCTTGCCTGCCCCTCTTATTGTAGTAGGATGCAGAAGCAAGGTGAATTGTCCAAGTTCACATTCCTGGTTATAACTAGTTATGTGGTGCTCAGACCAAGTTCTCAGGTCTCCCCACTCCCATCCCAGGACTTCTTAAGTGGCACCATGCTGGCTTTTATAATTAAATATTCTTTTAGTTAGCGGCTGGTAAGACCCAGAGTTTAATTAAAGATTACTAATTGGTTCTGCTCTTATTCTCTACTGTAGATAAAGAAAATGTTGGGTAATTTAGTTGCCTTCTGCATGAGGCAGACGTAATGTGAAAGTTGATAGGTATTTTTATAATTATTTCTTGGTCTGTGTAACTCAAGGACTATTCTCGTATCTTTAGAAACACAGTGAGTTAAGAAAGCAAACAAAAATAATTGCTCCTTTTTTCTTCAAGCAATACATGTTTATTGCAAAAATTACAAAATATAGATACATAAAATGAATAAAAAAGAAAACAAAATACCACATCACAAATCATCACTTTCAGACTTTAAAAAATCTCCAATATACTTTATATACCTATATATACAAATATATAGGTATATAATATATACTATGTGTATACTATATATTTACAGTATATATAAATATATAACAGATATGTATTTAAATGCAAATAAAAATGGAAAATAATATATTGAAAATAATTTTTATGTCAATAAAATGTATTTCCATACCATCAATTTTCTTTTTTCTTTTTTTTTTTTTTTTGAGACAGGGTCTTACTCTGTTGCCCAGGATAGAGTGCAGTGGCACGATCTCGGCCTACTGCAACCTCTAACTCCCAGCTTCAGGTGATTCTCCTGCCTCACCCTCCCGCATAGCTGGGACTACAGGTGTACGCCACCACTCCTGGCTAATTTTTGTATTTTTAGTAGAGATGAGGTTTCATCATGCTGCCCAGGCAGATCTCAAACTCCTGACCTCAAGTGATTCACCCACCTCGGCCTCCCGAAGTGCTAGTATTACAGGCATGAGCCACTGCGCCTGGCCTATCAATTTTAATAAGTAGATATTTTATGTGAATGTAACATAAATTATCTACTCAGTATGTTATTGGAAATCTAGGGTTTTTTCCCCTACTATTACTGTATTTTGAACAATCTTAGTGAATATTCTCCCAACAAAATCTTTGCACATTCTCTTAATTATCACCTTAGGATAAATTTATGGAAGTAGATATCTTGAATCAAAGAATATACATATAATTAAAATAGCAAAAATAAACAAGTTAAAAAAAGGATATGCATGTAATTAATATGTCTAGCCTGATTGCCCTCCAGAAAGATAGACATTTATGTTCCCACTATCCAGTAAAATAAGGATGTTAACTACTGATTCTTATTGCCAAGGCTGAATGAGTTACCTAGGACTCTCTTCTCAAAGTGATTATAAAGCTGTGAGCATATTATTATGACCCATAAGAGATTATAAGCAGAGTTATGTCAGAATCTTATCAGAGTTACACAAGAGGGCCTAGGCATATAATATGCACCCTTTGCAATCAAACATAAGTGTTCCAGGGCCTGAGAGGTTTGTGCTAAATGTATGTTAGTTGGGCAATAGTTAAACAGCTAGTTTCTTTTCTTGACATCAGAAGTTAGAAATATTTTCTGAATCACATTTCAAGATGAGGTCTTTGTGTTCTGCTGCTTATGATAATTCCAAAAGTAACTGTTTGGTGTTTTCTGTGTTCTAAGGACTTGACGTGTATTACCTGACTTAATCTCTAGCACAAACCAGTGTGTTAAGTGTTGTTCCTTACATATTACAGACAAGAAATCTGAAGGACAAAGAGGTTAAAGTAATTTACCCACGGCCCCAGAGTTAGTATGTGGCATTGTAGAAGTTTGAAACCAGGTGTACTTTCTCGACATGGTCTGAGGCATTAAGTAATATCGCCTCACTCATAACCAGGCTTCTTCTTATTTCAGATAATTTAACCTTTATTCATACTCACTGCACTTGTAAAACATGTAAGAAGGCAGCAAAGTGTAGCAATTTAGAGTGCAGACTTTGGATGTGTGCAGTGGCTTGTGCCTGTAATCCCAGCACTTTGGGAAGCTGAGGTGGGGAAGATCACTTGAGCCCAGGAGTTTGAGACCAGACTGGGCAACATAGTGAGACTCTGTCTCTATTAAAATAAATAAAGAAATGAAAAAGATTATTAAAAATACATATATATAGACTTCAGAGCCAGAAAAATCTGGATATGTTTGACAGTTTTTTTGTTGTTTTTTGTTGTTTTTTTTTTGAAACAGGGTCTCACTCTGGAGTGGAGCAAGCCAGGCTGGAGTGCAGTAGCACAATCACAGCTCACTGCAGCCTTGATCTCCCCATTCTTAGGTGACCCCCTACCTTAGCCTCCCGAGTAGCTGGGACTACAGGCACACACCATCACACCCTGCTAATTTTTGTAATTTTTGTAGAGATAGGGTATTGCCATGTTGCCCAGGCTGGTCTCGAACTCCTAGGCTCAAGTGATCCACCTGCCTTGGCCCCTCAAAGTGCTGGGATTACAGGTGTGAGCCACCGTGCCCGGTCTGTTTGACATTTCAGTAGTTAAGTGTGATGCCTATTCTTGGTAAGCACAAATAATAGAAGGCATTATCATTATCATCTTACTTAACCTGATTATAATTATAACTTTAGTTAGATGTGGATTTTGAAAAAGTATATTTTCATTTGTTTCTAAAAATGTTTCAAATCACCATGTTATTTTTGGGTTTTGTCTTTTGCCCTCTCTGAATATAAGTTTGTAATTTTTCTGGATGTAGAAAGTACAAGGGTGGCTTGGTAAATACAGGGACAGATTAAAGGTTGCTCCAGTATATGGAGTAATACTCTTGCCTTCATTTGGTATGGAAACTTCAAAATTATCATCTTTGTGACTAAGATTATATTGGATAAGGCCATAATACAGATGATTTATTCATTTGGTTCCCTTTATTTAATTAGCTTCAAGTGCAATTCATGTGAACTCAGTGATCCACATAGCCTGTTCTGAATCTGAAAATACTAGGTCAGTTGCTCTTTAATCCTTGGAGGCTTATTGGGTTTTTGTTTTGTTTTCTGCTATGTGATGAGTGGTTTTTATTTTTGTATGCACATACAAATGTACCTACACATGTGCATACATACACTTATGATCAATGAGAATTCACCATTTTAGTTATTCTGCAATACAGGTTTTTCTCAAGTTCTGCAGTCCCAGAAACAAAATGTATTATTCCTAGGAGGTAGGAAGAAAAAAATTTATTATGAATCATGCATCACAAAAGAAATATCTGCCAAATATCTATCAGTGGAGCCTTAAACCTTTGTTCTTAATCCTCAGAGGCCAGAAGTGATAGAATCATTTTGGAGGTCCATCTTCTATTTATTTCAAGTAGACTTCATGACTTTAAGATAGATTTCAAACTAGATGAATAATTAGACTAGGATGATTTCGTATTTTTCATCATTGCAGACAACATTAAAAAGTTTGCCCAGGTATATATTTAGGGCCTCTGGCCATTACCCTAAAAAACTGCTTGAAATGATAATTGTTCTTATTTTTTAGAAGTCAATGTCTAAACCTTAAGCCTATCAAGTGTTCTAGTTTTTAGCCACAGCAGAGTGCTTTAACTTGCATTTCCTGAAGGATTCTCATACCCAACATCAGGGTTCTTTGTTATTCCAGCTGATTACACAATCGGGTCAGCTTGTTTTTCCTGCTGCATCTCTGTAAATGGGGCCTTTCCAGAAAATCAACAGCCAAGCCCTTCCTTTCTCTTCTGAGTGTCCTAACACAGTTTGTTCAAGCTGCTGGGTAAATAGATCAGTTCCTTGTCAGGGTCATGACAAAGGAGCTTCATATTATCTCACTTTAATAAGTTCTAAGACTTGAATTACTGCAGCGCATGTACTTAATCTGCTTGAGAAATGGAAGAGCCATTTATAAGGAACATTTGGGATTCAAACACGTTTCCTTTGGAGTCTCAGGTTTTTAAGGAGTGGTCCAGAAAAAGTGGCATTTGTTCTGATATCTCTGAGAGGTAACTTGGACCCTTTTTTCTGGGGTGAGAAGTGGACAGAAGTGGCCACCTGCTTCCAGAAGTATTTTTTACTGGATTGGCATCTTCAGATGGTGATGGTGAATTCAGTCCTGGCTCGTACTTTTCAGTATCCTCGTACTTTTAGTGACCAGAACCTGGAGCTGGAACACCTGTCCTCACTGCTTCTTTGTGCATTTAGGAAAGTGTTCAGAGAATATGGTGCATTTGTGCAGTAAATATAAATTTTAAGATACTTTTACATTATTCTCCCCAGAAAGTATCTGTTGGGTCTAGATAGGAATCCATAGTTCAATTCCTAAAGCTGCTGTTTACTGATAGTGTTTGTCTTTTTTCTTTTCTAAAATAGCATATGATGATAATGGGTTCATATAATAATACACAAAGTTCTTCTGACTCGAGTAGTGCTCTCACCATGCTCTGCCCTTTACCAAGTCGTCACACCAGGACCTTTACTTTTAGAGTTCCTGCTATACTGGTCATAGAATCCAGTCTTCTGAAACTCTTTGTATCTTAGGCTTGGATGTAGCCAGAAGAAACTTCCAAAACCCCTTTTGGCAGTACCGAAGCAGCCCCAAAGCACTGAGCATGCTGAAAGACTTGAAGATCCTGAGACTTATGGTCCCAGCACCTCTCCTATACATGGGAGCAGCGAGTGGCTGGCGATGACTCCAAAAGGCCAGCCTTTTCATGTGACACAAGTGAGGAAGGAAGGACAGGAGACAGAGGACAGAACAAAAACAGCACAAGCAGAAGCAATAGGTTTGGGGCTAGTGCTGGTAAAGGAAGATAGACATGTAGGCATTACCTACCTCATAGCGAGCAGTAGAGAAAAGAGCCAGTGGTGAGAACAATGTTGGAGGTGGATGGTGGGGATTATGGAAATGATGGACAGTGGGCAGTGTGGGACAGCAGGTCCTGAGGCAGCAGAGGAGGCAACAGGTGGGGAAACAATGATAGTAAACCTGAACTTCAATGCAAGATTATTCAGATGACTATTTGAAGATGGGGTGGGAAAGACAATTAGCCTGTGGACTATATAATGTCAGTGAAGGCTGGAGGTACAAGTTAGATGTTTATTGAAGGAGTGCATTCATATGGGCATATACCATTTCTGCTATGGGAGTGTGTGTGTGGTGGGGATGTACATATAGAAATGTGTGCATAAAGAAACCTTTATCCTTTCTTTATGCATAAAGCACACAGGCCAGGCACTGTGGCTCAAGTCTGTAACCCCAGCACTTCAGGAGGCCAAGGCTGGCGGATTGCTTGAGGCCAGGAGTTTGAGACCTACTAAAAATATAAAAACAATTAACAGGGTGTAGTGAGACACACCAGTAATGCCAGCTACTGGGGAGACTGAGGTGATAGGATCTCCTGAGCCGCAGGAGTTTGAGGATGCAGTGAGCCAAGATCATGCCACTGTACTGTAGTGTGGGCAACAGAGCGTGACTCTGTCTCAAAAAAAAAAAAGGGGTGGGAGGAAGGGAAGGGAAGGGAAGGGAGGGGGAAGGGAAGGAAGGGGAGGGGAAGGGAAGGGAGGGGAGGAAGGAGAAAGGGGAGGGGGGAAGGGGAGAGGGGGGGAGAGGGAAGGGGAGGGAAGGGAGAGGAGGGGAGGTAGGAGGAAGGGAAGAAAAGGGGGAAGGGAAGGGAAAAAGGAGAAGGGAAAGGAAAAAGAAGGGAAGGGAAAAGGGGGAATGGAAGGGAAAAGGGGGAAGGGAAGGAAAGGGGGAAGGGAAGGGAAAAAGGGGAAGGGAAGGGAAGGGAAGGGGGGAAGGGAAGGAATGGGAGGGGAAGGGAAGGGAAAAGGGGGAAGGGAAGGGAAGCGGGGAAGGAAGGAGGAAGGGAAGCTTTGAAAGCAGCTTGTGCAAAGCTGATAGGTCTTATGGCTGATGGGCTTTTCTATCCACGACAACCAAGGAATAGTGTTGGATTCCATGGGATTCTGAAAGTAAAGTACCTGGTGTGATAACTTGGTAAAGGGCAGAGCATGGTGAGATACCAGTCAAGAGCCAGATTATCCTGGCTGAGCCGAGGCTCAGACTCTACAAGGCATATCTGTGATCAATGTAGGCAGGGACAGATGAGAGGCAAAACAGAGATGAATTATGCCTCTGGGTCTGCAGAACTCAGTCCTGTGGTTCCCAGGAGTACCTCTGTCCTGAGGTGCAGTCCATCTGACAGTGCCAACAAGCACAGATGGAACAATCGGGTGGAGGATTCATGGCTGGCATTTATTCTGCACAGGGCTCTCTCTGTGTCTGCCGCATGTCACAGCTGGTGATGGTGGTGACCTGGTTACAGACAAGGAAGGGCTCTGTATGTCTGAAAAAATTTTCCAGTTAGTATTTAAAATTTTTAAGTTTAAAATATTTTAAAGCTTTCAAACTCCAAAATGACTCATTCCCTAAATATTTCAAATAGGCATTGTAATTTGCATTTGAACAGTATTTTTGCTGTCCACAATGTGTCGACAGACATTAGCCCTTGTGATTTTCATAGTATTTCTCTGAGATGGGTAAAGGTTGTTGTTGTTGTTGTGTTGGAGTCTCTCTCTCTCCACAGGGTCTCACTCTGTTGCCCAGGCTGAAGTGCAGTGGCACCATCATGGCTCACTGCGGCCTCAAACTCTTGGGTTCGAGCTATCCTCCCACATCAGCCTCTGACATAGCTAGGAACTATGGGTGTGTGCTACCACTCCCAGCTAATTTTTTAATTTTTTTGTAGAGATGAGGGTATCACTATGTTGCCCAGGCTGGTCTCAAACTCCTGGCCTCAAGTGATCCCCTCACCTCTGCCTCCGAAAGCACTGGGATTAGAGGAGTGTGCTACTGCCCCCAGCCAGTTTTGTGTTTTTAACTGATCTCAATTTTACAGAATTTGAGACAGAGATTAAGCACTTGTCTAAAGTCACCCAGGTGACTGGTGGCAGAGAAGGAGGAGGTACCCAGCTGTCCCAATTTCAAGGTCTTGCCATGACATTGTAGGACAGTTATCCCACTGCTTTTACACGTGGTAGCTTATGGCCATGAAAGAGCAAGTGTGGAAAATACCCAGGAAGAGGAGCAATGTATGCTTCAGTGTTTTCACTGGACTCTTCTCCACTAAGATACCTGCTTTTTTTTTTCTTTCTTTTAGACAGGGTCTCACTGTGTCATTGTCAAAGCTGGAGTGCAGTGGTGTGATCATGGCTCACTGCAACCTTGACCTCCTAGGCTCATGTGGACCTCTCACCTCCTCCTCCCAAGTAGCTGGACTACAGGCACATGCCACCATGTCTGACTAATTTTTCTTATTATTATTTGTAGAAACTGGGTCTCCCCATGTTACCCAGCCTGGTCTTGAACTCCTGGGCTCTAGTGATGCTCCCATCTTAGCCTCCCAAAGTGCCAGGATTACAGTCGTGAGCCACTGCACTCAGCTGATACCTGCTTTTCATCCTTCACATAAGCATCCCTTGTAGGCAAGTTTGATGTTTAGTCTCAAAGTAAAAGAAAGTACATGTGGGTTTTGTTTTGCCTTTCCTCAGTGTATCTGAAATTTCTCATTCTCTCTCTCTCCTGAATTTCTTTCTCTCATTCTCTCAGCGATTTTAGTTCTGCCACAGTTCTGAGTATAATTGCAGATACATTTGTGTCTCCTGTCTTTCATTCTTTGTCAAGAATCAGAGATTCTGAGATCTTACTGATGACAAAGAACAGAGAGAAAAGACACTTTAAAGAAATCAATTAAAATATAACTTGGAAATCGAAGGAGAATCCTGAAGGGTGAATCAATGGAATCACAAACTCCTTCTTTAGTTCTGGAATGAGCAGTGCATACTATATGTTTATATATATATATATATATATATATATATATATATATATATATATATATATATGACACACACACACACACACACATATATATATATGGCACACATATATATGATATACGGACAAATTATAAAAAGCCATTTTTCTATAAGATCATTAACAATCATTAGGGGAATTTAGTCCAGTATCTTTATACCCCCACCCTGATGGCATACCTATTACACCCTGCAGCTGTGAGCAAAAACAGAGTAGTGATTACATATACTATAAAGCTGATTGTTTAAGTTTGGAGGTTGCTGGAAGAGTTATCTTAAATGCTTCTTATTATTGACCAAAATGTGTTGACTTGGTTGAGGCTGCAAGGATGACCTCATCCCATTACATTTCAAGGCAACTGTGCTAATGAGAGCCAGGCTGCTATTCCCTAGTGATAGTCCATTTTCACATCTCATTCATAATTGAAGTGAGTGAGAGTAATTTTTTGCCCATTATAGGAGGTGGTTACATCAGTTCTCCAGTGGCATACCAAAGCTCTCATATTGTTGCAACTTAACAACTGTAACCTAGTATCATAAGATCTATGTTACCCTGTAAAGTGCAAATTCTAGAAGGGAGGAAAGGGGAGGGATGTGCTAAACTCTAGTCCAGAAAAGTGAATTTGAGAAATATTGCTGCCTTCTGATCTGAAACAGTGTCCTCAAAGCCTCTGCACTCACCTAATCAAACTTGATTATAACACAACTTGATTATAATATTACTCTTGCGTTTCCACATCCTTAAATGTCTTGTGTGTGTGTCTCCTCTGGAGGAGAGAAAGCATTTAAAGGCAAAGCTCTTGGTCCGATAGTCTCCTTTGATGGTATAGACTATAATGAAAAAGTGAGCCTGGTTTTTAAAATATCTTTGGCATGAAATCTGACATGAATTATTATTTTCATTTGTACAGGTGGTTCCAGGAAAGAAATCACTGAACACTGGGAATGGCTTGAGCAAAATCTCTTGCAGACACTCTCCATCTTTGAAAATGAGAATGATATCACCACATTTGTGAGAGGAAAAATACAGGTAGTGGGATAAAAGAAAAACATTTTAATTGGAAATAATTTCAAATTTACAGAAATGTTGTAAAAATAAGAATTGAGTAAAACATACCTGTATACCCTTTGCCCAAATTCACCTGTTAACATTTTACTGCATTTGCTTTCTCATATGTGTGTTTGCCTCCTCTCCTGAATACTTCAGTGTGTATTTTCTAAGAATAGGGCTATTCCTTTTTTTTCTTTTATTGATAACATGATATTTTACATATTTCTGGGGTACATGTGAGTGTTTTTTACATCACAGAATGTGGAATGATCAAGTCAAGGTATGTGGGGTAGTCATCATATGGAGTATTTATTATTTCTATGTGTTGGTAACATTTCAAGTCCTCTCTTCTAGCTACTTTGAAATAGACAATATATTGTTGTTAACTATAGTCACCTAGTCACTATGGAACATTAGAACTTATTTCTTCTAACTGTAAGTTTGTACCATTCACCAGCCTCTCTTTGTTCCCTGTCCCACCTTCACAACTTTCTGAACCTCTGGAATCTATCATTCTACTCTGTCTCCATGTGACCAAGTTTTTAAGCTCCCACATGTGAATGAGAACATGCGGGATATTCTATTAAATAACAACACTACATTTATCACCTGCAATATTTAACATTATATGTAAATTTAACATTAATACCAGAATATTTGACACATATTCTAATTAATTTCATTAACTGGCCGACTTAATGCCCTTTATAGCCTTCCCCACCCCCACTCCAGTACAGGTAATTATCTAGGAAGACATTGCATTTAGTTTTCATGTCTTTAGTCTCCTTCAGCGTGGAACATTTCCATAGCCTTTCCTTGTCTTCTATGACATTGAGGTTTTTAAAGTATACAATTCTGGTTTTTTACTAGAATGATTTCATTTTGCATTTCGTCAGATATTATGAATCGATTCAGTTGTTGCATTCCTGGATGGAATACTGCATAGGTGATCCTGTGTCCTTCTCAAGATATTATTTCTTGAGGCACATGACACTCATTTGCCCCTCATTGGCATTATGAGCCCAAGGTGTTATATCCAATTTCTCCATTGTAGAGTTACTAATTTTGCCTTTGCAAATAATAAACAGTTTTCTGTAAGAAAACATTTTCAGGCCACACAAATGTATCACTCCTTGTCAAAATTTCTGTCTTGATTTAGGATTGATCCATTGATGATTTTTCATCTGAACCAGTCTTTACTGTGACAGTTTACAAGATGGTGATTTTATAAAATAATGCTTGTCCAATTCCAGGCCTCTCCCACATTTACCATTTGGCAACTATTATTCTACTATAAGCAAGAGTCTTCCCTCCATTTATTTATTATTTATCGATTATTAACATGGAATCATGGATTCTGTATTTTCCAGTTGTTTGTGTTTCATTACTGGACTTAATTATTTTGGTGCTCACACTATCCCAGATTTAGAGGGAGCCCCTACAAATTGCCTCCTTTGTCCTTGTCATAGTCTCCTTTATTTATTTATTTATTGAGACAGAGTTTCACTCTTGTTGCCCAGGCTAGAGTGCAGTGGTGTGATCTCTGCTCACTGCAAACTCTGCCTCCTGGGTTCAAGCAATTCTCCTGCCTCAGGAGGTCAAGACTGCAATGAGCCATGATTGCACCACTGCACTCCAGCCTGGGCAACAGAGTGACACTCTGTCTCAAAAAAGAAAAAAAGGGCTGTAGGAAGAAGCTAAAGCTTAGAAGTGACAATAGCCAGGAGAAATAAGTAAAACAAACAAAGACCAATTATGTCAAACAGCCATTTTCCTTTTTGTTTGTATTACACCAAAAATGTCAGATTTAATTCCCCTGAAACCAATTATGAGGAGGGATTTGCTATTAATGCAGTTATGTGTGAAAGAATGTCATTCATGTGCAGATGAATGGTTTAAGCATTCACATATTGTCCAATAATCAAGGGAACCAACAAAGTTATTTGTTTTGAGACCTAATTAACTTTTATAAATCATAAATGTAATAGTTAACTACAGATGCAACCATAATCCAAACACCTTATGTAGCATTTTGTGTATTTCTTACCAGACCTCCCTTTTCTTAACTTTTTTTTTTTTTTTAATTAGGGACAGAGACTCACTACATTGCCCAGACTGGTCTTGAACTCCTAGGCTCAAGCAATCCACCCACCTCAGCTTCCCAAAGTGCTGGAAGTACAGGCCTAAGACACCATGCCCGGCCTCCCCACTTCTAATATGCATATTGTCATAATAGAAGTCTCATGTACATATAATTTTGTTCTCGTCTTTTTTTCTTGACCAGTATCTACAATATTGTTATATAATTTTTAGTTATTATTCCATAATTGACTTTACCATTTCTGTCTTTCTAGAAGTCACCTTAGCTTCTAGACTAGTGGATGGCAGGTACAAATAAAAATCCAGTTAATACTTTTGTTCAAACAGTGTAACTTTACCCACAGGCTGTGTTTTTCCCCCTTTGGGATAGATTACAAAATTTGGATGAATGGGTTAAGTAGTTTAAGTATTTTTAATAGACCTTAGTAGATATTGTCAGTTAGAATCTCTGTGTGATTACAGCATTGCTTGCTTTCAGCATTTTGGTTGTTGAAATTATTTTTCAAATATAATAGGTAGAAGTTAAAGCCTTAATGTTTTAGTTTTGTCTTTGGTTATTATGGGGTTGAATATTTTTTCATGTTTGCTAAGTTAAATTTCTCCTTTTTGTAAATTACCTGTTAATATTCTTTTGCATATTTAAATTTATATTGAACATCTGATATAATAGGATTTTCCAAAGTCATGAGAAGCTGTTGCCTAGAACTGGAATGACCTATTTTATATTATGCGAAACCTGTAGAAAAACCTGTAGAACCTGGGAAGGAGCTATTCTATCCCTGTATTCCATAATCTAGTCTACCTGGCTAAAAAATTATAGCCAACTAAGAAAGGGTTCTACATTCTGGATTATTTCCTTTTTTAGTGTTGAGAAAGTTGGTATTTTAGCCTTATGGAGACTATTAGCCTTACTGTTGAAATGAGCTGGCAAAGCCTTGTCTCTTGATACTAGTATATTAGACCCTAGAGTGTTTCTGAGTGATGGTTCTTGACTGTATTTACTCTCATATATAAAAGCATTTTCTCTTTAAAATTTCAATGAGCAGGCCAGGTGCGGTGGCTCACACCTGTAATCCCAGCACTTTGGGAGGCTGAGGCAGGCAGATCACCTGAGGTCAGGAGTTCGAGACCAGCCTGACCAACATGCAGAAATCAAAAATACAAAAAAATTAGCCAGGCGTGGTGGTGCATGCCTGTAATCCCAGCTACTCGGGAAGCTGAGGCAGGAGAATCACTTGAACCCAGGAGATGGAGGTTGCAGTGAGCTAAGATCGAGCTATTGCACTCCAGCCTGGGCAACAAGAGCAAAACTCCATCTCGAAAATAAATAAATAAATAAATTCAGTGAGCACTCTAGAAATGTGGTATTTAATAGATCTTTAGATAGCATACTTCTGCTTATGGTTTGTTATATGTCACTCATTCTCACATTCTCCTCATTTTGACTTTAGGTAAGAGCGCTACTACAGTGACCCAGGAGAATAGCATGTTAGCCCACTTGAGGGTCTCCAGGCTTCTCTAAGTTGTTAGCCTTTGGTGATTCCCTGGAGGCCCAGCTGCTGCTTTCTGTTAGCAGGTTCTCATTCAGTTATTTTTATTTACTCATTCATTTATTTAATCTTTCATTCATAGATATTTTTTGATCCTTCTCTAAAGGCACTGACAACTTTGAAATGTCACATAGGCCACAGGTGTATTTGCCAACTGCGAAAGGCATTTTTCATCCCTTTTCCCTTCTGAATTGACTTCTCCTTCCCACCCACGGGTCCCATGCCCTCATGCTGCCTTCAGTTGTCTGAAGTTCTTAAAGTAACACTACCAACGCCTGCTTGTCCCTAGAATAGCCTGGGTCCAAAATTGAGCTCCCTCCTGGCCTTCATCGAGCTTAATGTCTTTGTTCTCTTGGTAGAGTGATATCAGTGGTAAATAGAGGAAAATATCCTTATGTTAGATATTTTTCCAGGGAAGCACATTGCTACTTCTATTGCTATCCATAATGCCCTCCAGTATGACAGAGGAACAGAAGTTAGCAACTTGGTACCTAATTTCTCAGGCATTGCTAACTCCAAAACAATTGTAGATTTAGAAATCTGCAACTCTGGATTATACAATAAAGACTAAGATATGGCCCCTTAAGATATCTTTTAATTTGGAAAAACAACAACATGGATTCATTTAGTAATATTGAACATCTTTTAGGTGCTAGATATTGGTGATTAAAATGTTCGAGACATTCTTTTTATCTTTGGAATTCATATTTAGTGGTAGAAGGACATATAAACATGCTATTTTCTGCCAGCATGTAAATTAAGACAACATAGACGTGAGAATGCTTAGAACCCATTTGGAATTGGGCTGGTTTCACAGGGAAGGTGGTATTTATGCTGGACCTGGAAAGGTTGACTTGGGAAGATTGAGAGCAGATTTTATGGGTTAAGATTCAGTGCAGATTTCTTTTCTCTTTCACTGAGAGCCTGTGGAAGATTATAAGGTGGGAATACTGTAGTCAGATCTCTGTTTCAGAAAGTGGCCATGTGAAGTAAATTGGAGTGTGGAGAGTGTTGTCAGGATGCCATTTGAGAAGCTATTATATAGTAATTCCTGGACTGTGTAGAGGGACTTTGGGATGCTTTTGTTAGAAGAATAGGATAAAGACTTGTCTTGGGGCTGTGCTTGCATCGTAAGCCCACCATTTGCTGTTATGATTATTGTCTACATGCTTACTTTTAACTAGAATAGGACAGTGACAGAGATTATAGAAGACTGAAGCCCTTTCTCCTGCCATCCACTCAGCAGCATCACAACTACCGGCAACAGGGTGAAAGGTCTGCAGTGGAAATAAGACTCAGGAAATGATTTCAATACATAATGCAGAGAGAATCAACATTACTTCATGTGGGGGGAAAAGAATGATAGTTGAGAAAAGGCTCACAAGAGACTTTGAGACTTGGTAGGATTCACGAAACAGAACAGTCTGATTCCAGATTTCAGGCATGTAGAATGGGAGGGCCATAGGCAAAAAGGTGGGAAAGTGCAGAAATGACATGTTCAGGCCCCAAGGGTGCCTCAGGCTGGCTGGAGCACAGTTACTAACGGGACATTTGGGTAGGATGTAGTCCAGTGAGAAAAAGTTGCGGCATTGGTTGGATCCAAAAATGTACATGGGTCTAGGCTACTCTGGGCACACTGCCTGTGGGTTACCCTGCTTCACAAGGAGCAGCCAGTCTGCAATAAAAATAAAAATTAAAACATTAAAACAAACAAAGTGTACATGATCTAGATTTTTGGACTTTATACTGGTGGTGGTTAGAAACCACTAAGTATTTTGGTAAGAATTTTGTGGTCAAATCCATTTTAGGAAGACAAATTTTTAGGGAGCATCAAGGATGCACTAGAAGCTTTAAGAGCCCAAAAAGCAGGAATTCTAGGTATGAGGAGGCAGTTGCAATTTTCTATCCTTGGGCTACAGAGAGCTCAGTCATGTCAATGAGAATCTGAGAAGTTGGCCAAGGCTACACAGATACAGTGATGCGGTGGGAGCACGAATCTAAGACTTGCATGCTCTAAAGGTCATGCATTTTCAGTTCTACCTTGAGATCAGAGAAAATGAAGATGAGGCGGGAGGGATTTGAGGATTACAAAGTCAAAGGTGGAATTCAAGGGAGCATTTTCCATCGAGATATATGTAGAAGCCAATTTTCAGGGAATTACAGAGGAACTGGGTAACAGTGAAATGGCTTCTCAAGTTATTATAATGATTGAATGGTAGATTAACCTGGTCACTTGCTATGCAGATGTTTCATTTCCTGTCTAACTGTCCAAAAATCCTGCATCTAATATAATTTTTGCTCTCATATCTACCCCTTTTCTGCTCAGATGATTACTCGTTTTTCCCTGTAGGCTCCCCAGTGTTATTCATGGCCCTGAGACAGTGAGTGTGGAGCTGAGTGTCAGTTGGTGACATGTGTTTGGTCTTTCTTTCCTCACTGGCTCATTCATGATGAATTTTTATTAATCTTGGAGAAAGGCAGAAGTTGACTTTTGAGACAATTCTACCATAATAAGCTTAGTAAAAACACTAGGACTAGCAAAATCTTTGTATCTCTTCATTTGTAAAGTAAAACTATAGGCTTCATTCCTAGTAAACTTAACAAAATAAAATTAGCACCAATAAAAATATAATAAAATCTATATTATGTGAAAATATTTTAGTACACAAATACTACTCAATAATTGGCTTAGAATTTGGGGGTTGCCATTGAAGGGCATTCCTCAATTTTTTTTTTTAATTCTAGCCTTAGAAATTTTTTCTTCTGGAATATGTACATCTCTAGTCATATTAATACCAGTTGTGTGCTTTGTGTTTTATTCCTTATTAGGGCATCATTGCAGAATACAACAAAATCAATGATGTAAAGGAAGATGATGACACGGAGAAGTTTAAAGAAGCCATTGTGAAATTTCATAGGCTGTTTGGGATGCCAGAGGAAGAGAAACTCGTCAACTATTACTCTTGCAGCTATTGGAAGGGGAAGGTCCCCCGTCAGGGTTGGATGTACCTCAGCATTAACCACCTTTGCTTTTATTCTTTTCTTATGGGAAGGGAAGGTAAGTCATCTAAAATTTCAGCAGGAAACTTTGGAAAGTCTACTGAGGTTTGCCCTGAACTCATAAACCACATCAAAATATCAGAAATAAATCTATAGTTATAACTAAGTCAATACTAATTTTTTTTTACTACTGAAGTGAATTTAATTATTTTTCAGTTCAAAATGGTCACTAAGTAATAAAGATTCACTAAAGGTGTAATTAATTCAGTAGACATGGATTAAATCTATAATTCTGACCTCAGAATTCACATGGCCCAGATTTACCTCTTAAAATGAACAAGCAAAACAAATATGGTATTATAAACTCAAAGGAGTTCAGTGGGATGGGGGAGTGGGGTTGTGAGACTGCAATATCTTGAAAGCGTTTTCAGGAATCAGATGTTGACCCAGGCTTGTTCCTTGTGCTCAGCGAAACTGGTCATCCGGTGGGTAGACATCACTCAGCTTGAGAAGAATGCCACCCTGCTTCTGCCTGATGTGATCAAAGTGAGCACACGGTCCAGTGAGCATTTCTTCTCTGTATTCCTCAACATCAACGAGACCTTCAAGTTAATGGAGCAGCTTGCCAACATAGCCATGAGGCAACTCTTAGACAATGAGGGATTTGAACAAGATCGATCCCTGCCCAAACTCAAAAGGAAATCTCCTAAAAAAGTGTCTGCTCTAAAACGGTGGGTGATAGAGACCTTGTATCTTCCAGACTTTAGAAATGAGAAACTCACTCATTCATTTATTCAGTGTAACCTTCTCTGACGATCTTCAAGGGTTCTGAACACTCTTCTGTGTATAGATACAAAACTAAAAAAGACTAGCTGAGGTGCTACCAGTTCAGAAAGTGAGACAGACATGACCTGCTCCAACACAAGGCAGCAGGCACTCTTCTGGTCCTGTGAACACAGTGCTGTGGGTGCACACATGGGGAGTGATAGCCTCAGCCCAGATGGGGAAGAGTGGGTAAGAAAGGCCTCTCAGTGGAGGCTGCTTTGAGCTGGGCTCTGAAGAGGTGATAGAAGTTACCTGTGCAGGTACATATCCATGCCTGGATATTTCAAGCAGAGGGAAGATGACGATGGGGGAAACACAAGGGAAAACACAGAGAGAAGTAACTTTGTCACATGGCTAGTAGGTGGCAGGGCATGGGATGAGGAGAGGCTGCAGAGAAGCCTCAAAGTCTGAATGTGAGAGCAGAGCTAGAGAGAGGGTGATGGAAAGTTGATGCCCCATGTGCCTGGAATTACCCTTCATCAACACAGGGAATGAGAGAAGGAAGAGCATGTCCAAGGGATACGATAGCTCAGCTTTGATTATGTTGAATTGAGGTGCCTGTAGCTCATCTAAGTAGAGATCAGTCCAGTAAGATATACAAAATTGGAAATCATTGATGTGCATTTGGTAGTTGAAATCTAACCAGAGGTCTTTGTAATTAAGATGTCCTTGGTGATTTGAGACATGTTCAAAAGAGCAGTGTAAGATAGATGCTGCTACTGCAGCGGATCAAATAAAAAATAAAAGACAAGGAAAGGGAACTAGGCAAATACAGACTTCATTTTCAAGAAATTCAGTGGTAAAGGAGGGGAGGATTGCTTTTTTTTTTAGAATGAAAAAGATTTGAACATAGTATCAAATGAAGGAGGCAGATGGGAAGAGCATTTTGGTGAGGGTAGGTGTGGAGACAGGAAGGGACATAGAGATAGTTATAAGAAAGTTGATCATTTAAGAAGTGATATTTTGTAGAGAAAGCATGGAAAGGATGCTTGTGTGTCCTGATATACCTTTTCCTTTGGAATGGAGAGGAAGTAAGAGTAGGTGAGGATGGAGGTGACTTTGGAGACAGAAGGGAAGGAATTGGAGGGGGCTTCTGCATCATGGACCTTTGCTCTATGAAGTCAGAGACTAGACCATCACGAGGCTGATGTCAGGTAGAAGCTTGAGGGGAGAGGTTTAAACAACTGACATGATGAGCAAGAACAAAGAACTCATTAGAGAAAAGATAGTAGTTAACAGAAGACCCAGCTAAGGTCAGAAGCCATAGTTGCCCAAGGTGAGTTGTTCCTGTGTCTTTTCCTGCAGCTTTGTTGTCGATTTGGGGTGGACACTGAGGCCCAGTGGATTTATATGGCTGGTTTGCATTCTCATTAGGTCTTAAAAGATAAGGCCCCCCCTAAAGTGGCTTGGATAAGAGTAAATGCAGTGACCTCTTTAGAGTGTATTGCATTTCTTTAGAAAGAGGAAGAGTTTCCTGTTCAGGCTTATTTTTGCTATGATTCTTTAACATTTACAGACATGGATTATAAGTGACTATGCAAGGGACTGAAATATAATAAGATAATTTTATTACGCTTTTGGGTCATTAGGTTGGGGTTAACTTCAATATAAAGAAAGCTGAGAAGCGGGGGATGAGTCTAGCAAGATTGAGGAGGTGGAAAATGGGCTGGGGGAACTTCCGCTGCTGCATAATTTAGAAGGTATGGAAACATTTTTCTTATGTGAATTGTAATTATTGCTTTCCAGTGATCTTGATGCCAGGGCAAAGAGTGAGAGATACCGTGCACTTTTCCGGCTGCCCAAAGATGAAAAATTAGATGGCCACACAGACTGCACTCTCTGGACTCCATTTAACAAAATGCACATTTTGGGGCAGATGTTTGTGTCCACAAATTACATCTGTTTTACCAGCAAGGAGGAGAACTTATGTAGCCTCATTATCCCGCTCCGTGAGGTAAGTATCTGATAAAAATTGATATTTTAAGTTTCATTTGTAATACTTTTCTGGGTGAACCAGGAATAATTTTTTTACCAACAATTGGCTTTTGAACACAGGTGAATGTTCATGCGTCTTTGGTGGCACCTGCATTCTTTCATTTGTTGTCACTGCTGTGACTCTGGGACCTGTGAGATCTCTTCTTCCAGAAGCTGCATGGGGGTTTTTTAATGTAGGTTTTGTTTTTATTTTATTTTATTAGAGACAGTCTCGCTCTGTCACCCACGCTGGAGTGCAGTGGCATGATCTCAGCTTACTGCAACCTCCACCCTCCAGGTTCAAGCGATTCTCCTGCCTCAGCCTCCTGAGTAGCTGGAATTACAGGCGCCTGCCACCATGCCCAGCTAATTTTTGTATTTTTAGTAGAGATGGAGTTTCACCATGTTGGGCAGACTGGTCTCGAACTCCTGGCCTCAGGTGATCCACCCACCTTGGCCTCCCAAAGTGCTGGGATTACAGACATGAGCCACTGTGCCCGGCCTAAATGTAGGTTTTATTACAATTCAAGCTTAACGAGGCCAGCAATCAGGGGATGAGTGCTATTGAAATAGCTTGTTTTATGCACAGATCCTGAAAGGCAAGGGCATGCCACGCGATGTGCTGGGCCACACGTGGAAGCACCATGGTCAGAGGAGGCAGGAGGGAAAGAAAATGTGGGCAAGATCCTTTATGTGATTTCAAGGGAAGAAATGGGCTACGCCGAGTAAATAGGCTTAGGCTTGGATAATTGGAACAATTTTGGTGGGCTGTGGGGCATAGGGGTTGTCCCTAGTTGTCCATGGGTTAAAAAGGGCAAGGAAATAGTAGTCTTGAGTGTGAGCATTCAATAAAGGAAGTGGTTGAGGTGTGGGCTCCAGATTGGTTGATTTGCTTTGAAAGCAATTTTCTAGAAATTGGCTAGCCCTGGGAAGGGTAATCCCTCCAGGGTCAGCAAGGCCCCCAAGATGCCAAAGCATCAAATACAGAAACTAGGAAACATGTTTATTGTACCTGGCTCAAGGTCTGAGGGCACCCTGGTCTAAAGGAGACAGTCTAGGTTGTGAGTCAGAAAGCCACGTGTTTGTTGGGCTCTGCTCGGCTGATTTCCTGTGTTAGAACCATCATGCTGCTGCTTACAATGGTAGATTCCTGAGTCCATCCCAGATCTTCTGAATCTGTATCTCTGCAAGTTTTAGATCTCTGTTTTAATACATTTACAGGCCAATTCTTATGCACAGTAAAGTCTAAGAAACATTATTATTGTTCTGGGGTGGAGGTGGGTTCCATCCTAACTCCAGGATGATAGCTTACTCTGGTACTTGTCTGGAAGCTTTGCTGTGAGGCTTGGAGTTGACAAAGACCCCAGGTTAGGATGTCAGAGAAAGGGCAGTGCAGGGGCCAGCAGCCCTGCAGTTTCTAACCTGACCTCTTCCAACCTACCCTGGTCCTTTCTGGAAGCTAAGGTGGCCAGAGGCTTTGGGTATTTGATCAGGATTGTCCCCTTGCTAACATCCCTTTAGCAAAGGATTCGGGTTTCTCTCTGCCTTCTTTATCTTTTTCTTTTTTTTTAATTAGGCATAGTTTCTTCTTATTTTCTTGTTTTAAGAGTAATATATCTTTATCCCAGAATTTGTAAAATACAGACAAATAAAGAGAAAAGTCCGCCCTAGTTCCACTGTTCAGAGAGGACCACTGTTAACATTCTATTGTACAGCTTTCTAGTTTTTTCTCTGCATTGCTGTGTATGTGTCATTTATATAATTTAGATGTAAAACACTTTATAGGGAATTTTTATTTTTAGTTATTTCCTTTAACATTGAGTATATCTTAAAGTGTCCTTCAAATCATTAAATATTCTTCTATAGGCCAGATGTGATGGCTCACACCTGTAATCCCAGAAATTTGGGAAGCCGGGGCAGGAGGACTGCTTGAGGCCAGGAGTTCAAAGACCAGCCTAGGCAACATAGCAAGGCCCCATCTCTATTAAAAATTAAAAATTTAAAAAAATTAGCTGGGGATGGTGATGTGCTCCTGTAGTCCTAGCTACTTGGGAGGCTGAAGTGGGAGGATCACTTGAACCCAGGAGTTTGAGATCACAGTGAGCTATGATCGAACCACTGCACTCCAGCTTGGGTGACAGAGCAAGACCTTATCTCTAAAAAATAAAAAATTAAAAAAAAATATATATATATATATTCTTCTACAATGTAATTTTTTTTTAAGAGATAGGGGCCTTGGTCTATTGCACAGACTAGACATGAGCTCCTAGGCTCAAATGAGCCTCCTGCCTTAGTCCCATGAGTAGCTGAGATTACAGGCATACACCATCACATTCATATCACAATTAAATTTTAAATCCTGCAGTTTATTCCGTAAAGTATATACATAATTTATTCATTCGGTTACCTATGGTTGGACCTTTCCGTTGCATCTAGTTTTCTCTCAAATATATGTATAATTTTCTTTAAGTTATAAATAGCAAACAGAAGTCGAACTGTGAATCAAAAAGAATGAAAAATGTTAGGCAACTGACAAATCTAGCTCTCCTTGTCGTAGGGTCAACTAATTGGAGTTATAACACATTTTGAGGCCAAGATATGTTGTGGGTAAATTCTGACAGGAATAATGTAACAGTTTTACATTTGACTGTGAAATGTATTTTGTAAGTTTTTTCACCAAATTTACCTTCTTAGTAGTTTTTGCTATAGGATGTTACTAAACATAATTTTCTTCACCCAATTCTGAATGTAATTTTCTTCATCATGTGCTACTCAAATGTAGTAAAGCAGCATTACCTGTACCAGCTAGGGAAACCAATTCTGTGATTCAGAATACCATAAATGTGCTATTTATGACCTGAATGAATCATCACTCTCAGTTTATCCAGAGGGAAATGAGGAGCAGAGAGGGTCTGGAAGCCGCTATCAAGACATCTGCTGTCCTGCTGGTCCTTCTGGCTTCCCCCTCCCGGGTGTTAGAGCCAACTAGCTCTGTTTACATTTTAGTGCGATTTAGAGTACACTGTTGAGATCTTGGAGGAATTGAGAGAATGGTGATTAATATTCTCAACCTCTATTCTGCTTGCTAGTTTTCTCTAGTAGAGCAGAGATAATAATAAATATGACTATATTTCAGGGTAAATCAGAAGAGAGGCAGTCTGCAGAGGTAGCATTTAGAAATCAAGCTTGTTGTGGTTGGAAGGCGCAGCTTTAAAGAAGCGCTCAGTGAGACGGCAGTGCCTTTTCTTTGAACTGATGACTCTGTGATGTATTAATGGTAGAGCCCCACCCCAACTAATGGAAGAAGCAAAAGACTTAATGTAATTTTTATTACCTTTAGGTAATGATAATGTCAGAAGAGCAATGGGGGCACCCCCACCATCCATGTGGGGTCTGAGTGGAGGGTGCCCTCCACGTGAGCTGGGTACCTTTCAGAACCGAGTCAGGCTGCTTGACATCCCTGGGAACATTACATCCTACACGGAATGCCCACTTTTAAGATTGTATAGACCAAGAATTGTTGTTTCACTTAATTTTTTTAAATAAATAAGCTGAAATATTGACTGGAGGTTTTTAACACACATTCTACATATTGACTTAAGGTAGACCCAGTCAACAGATGTTAAGCATTTATCCAGGATCATGTTGCTATAGATTTTGAAGAAATTATTAAGCCAGCAAGAGAAGGAATTTTTTTTTTTTTTTTGATATGGGGTCTCTCACACAGTCATCCAAGCTGGAGTGCAGTGGCACAGTCTTGGTTCACTGCAGCCTCCTCTTCCACCTCCTGGGATCAAGTGATTGTCCTGCCTCAGCCACCTGAGTAGCTAGAATTACAGGCATGCGCCACCACCCACAGCTAATTTTTGTATTTTTAGTAGAGATGGGGTTTCATCATGTTGGCCAGGCTGGTCTTGAACTCCTGAGCTCAAGTGATCTGACCACTTAGGCCTCCCAAAGTGCTGGGATTACAGGCGTGAGCCACGTGCCTAGCCTTTTTTTTCATTCATAAATTACTTTCCAGTGTTTCATATTAAACACCAAGACTTGATTAAGTTGCAGTCTCTTTTATAACTCAAATTGGTCATGAAAATATGTCTCATTATATTGTAGCAGACTCTAATGTAATTGTTCTCCTTTCCTGGTGGCGGGGAGCTTATGTGATAGAGTTCTGCTAGAACTCATTTATCAGTGAGAAACATTTTATAAGCCGTCTGAGCATTTATATGTTTTATGTGGGAGCTTTCTTGTTTCTGCATACATGCTCCAGCTAGACGAAGGAATTTTTCACTTTGACTTTATCAAGATCCACATAGCTAACTGCGTTTTAGACACATAATGTAACCTTTCATCTCCTTGGCATTTTCCATTTATCCCAGACACCTCATGACCAAAAGAGCCAGTAAAAATTTTATGTGAGAAAAGGGGCTTTTGTGGATTTTAAAAAATAAGTATTCTTTAATACATGCCTTAAGTGTTATGGGAAAATTCTTTTCAGGAAAAGGAGGTATTTCCCTCTGTTATATAGCATTTATTGCATTAGAAAGAAAATCCTTATGTACAACTTCAGGTGTCTCAGAAGATTCCTTTAATATATATAAATATATATTTTTAATATTCTATAATGTATGTTTAATATATAATGTATATTATATGTCATATATTAACACATATATTTAATATAGATATTAAAAGAATCATATATACTCTAACACATATATTCTGAAAACAGCAGTCAGATGCTACACTTTTTCCCTTGATGGACCCCAGGCAGACCTATTTTTTTAGATATGCAAGAGTTTTTAGACAACTTCAATAGGTTACTTAGTCTTGAGTAGGGAAAACATTTCTAAGTTGTGCTTTGAAGGAAATATATTTCACATGAAAATGCTAATGAACAACTTAAAGTTTAACCTGTCTAGACTGCTTGCAGTAGAAATGAAGAAGGGAAAAAAGATCTTAGCTTTAAGTATATTGTCAGAGCTGCTGCAAATAAACCATTTTTCTAGTGCTTGCCTTGAGATTTGTTTTCTAATGTGCTAAAGAGAAAAGTTTTAATGCGTTTATCCTAGTTTCTAGTTGATGAAAATCCTATTATAAATCACCCGTATATGTCTTCAGTTTAGAGCTAAATTTCCCCAATGTGGTAGGCTTCGGCACACACACACACACACACACACACACACACACACACACACAGTCTGGTAGTTCAGATAATGTTGCAATTAAGCTGTTTACATTCTTTACATGTCTGTTCAGAATAGAACCTTTAAAACTTTGCAGTGGTAGAAGGTGAAGGATGAAAAGCCCTGGAGTCTAAATGAAACATTTGAAGGATTGGTGGTGTTTTGAAAACCATTCCAACATTAAGCTTGGTAAAAGGAACCAGTATCATGGGTTGTTTTCTGTCTCTTATGGCTGATGAAGCAGCGAGGAGCCCTCTCTCTTATAGCTCCATGAAATTTTAATGAAAATCAAATAATTCCTTTATAGCAAGGTTTCTCAACCTTGGAGCTATTGACATTTTGGGACAGGCTTTCGTTGTGGTGGAGTGGGATGGCAGGGGCTGTCCTGTGTGTCGTAGGATGTTTAGCAGCATCCCGGGACTCTGCTACCAGATGCCAGTAGTATCCCTCTACCTGTGACAACCCAAAATGCCTCCAGATGTTGCCAGATGTCTCCTGAGAGGAAAAAAGTCCCATTTTGAACCACTGATTTGGAAAAACCAGCAAGACGGTTCCAGTTTCTAGTATAAGCTCCAGTTTGATTGTTTTGAGCTGTTTTATTTTACTGGAACAGAGTCAAAGAGTCTCAGTTTTGCTTCAATAAAATATAGGTGGTTCCTATAGAATAATGAAAGTGCCGCCTTCCTCCTTTAGTGCTGCATATAGGCTGCTATTGGGTAATTCTTGGAAAATAATGCTCTTTGTTTCCCACTTCTTTTCAGGTGACAATTGTGGAAAAGGCAGACAGCTCCAGTGTGCTCCCCAGTCCCTTATCCATCAGCACCCGAAACAGGATGACCTTCCTATTTGCCAACTTGAAAGATAGAGACTTTCTAGTGCAGAGGATCTCAGATTTCCTGCAACAGACTACTTCCAAAATATATTCTGACAAGGAGTTTGCAGGAAGTTACAACAGTTCAGATGATGAGGTCTGTGGGAGACACCTGAAAGTATTTTTGGTTTATCCTGTTCCTGTGCCCAAGTGTGTTCAGTTCCTTGCCCATTTTGTTTGATCTTCAAGCTTTGCGTCTGACGCCCAAAGCAATATCTCAGCAATATCTCATTTAAATCTCAAGGACTTTGTATTTGGGGTCATAGATTTAGAAGGAACCTTATAGATCACCTGGAATAACACTTTTATTTTATAGTTGAAGAAATTCTTAAGTAATCTGTTCTAGTTACATAGCAAGTGACTCAGGTCCATATAGTGACATTGTTGAGAATGGTACAGAGGTCACTAAATAAAGTCTCAAACCTGAAATACAAATCATTATGATGATTTTTATTATGATAGAATACATATTGGGTCCCTGTGGAATTCTTCCCTGGACCAACATTCAGGAACACTGGAGGCCTGAAAAGATAGGTGACTATCTGAATGGTTAGAGGAAGTTATGGCAGATAAAACATGTTTCGAAGGTGGTAAGCTCACACATAACATCTCTGTCTCTGTTCACCTGCTCCAAGCTTATGTGGACATTTTTGAGGCGCCAGAAACTCAATGGGGTGATGAGGCTGCCATAGCTGCTGATTCAACCATGACATGCTTTGCATACATGCAAATCAGAGAAACAAATGGCCAAGCACTTTGTTGCAAATATACATATAAAACATGAAGATTCAGAAACCTATTGTGAGCATTGAAGTGCTGCGGCCTGGGACCCAGCCACCTGTCTAATCCCTGCCAAAATGATGGCTTGCTGCTTTTCTCGTGTTTCTTCACATAGCAAGAAACACCATGGGAAAAAAATGATGTAGCTTTTGATAACCATACAGAAGACACTGAAGAAGTAGGTTCTATTGCCCGTGTCCTCCCAATGTCTTGTTCCTCTCTGTATTGACAGGTGTACTCTCGACCCAGCAGCCTCGTCTCCTCCAGCCCCCAGAGAAGCACGAGCTCTGATGCTGATGGAGAGCGCCAGTTTAACCTAAATGGCAACAGCGTCCCCACAGCCACACAGACCCTGATGACCATGTATCGGCGGCGGTCTCCCGAGGAGTTCAACCCGAAATTGGTGGGTGCCTCTCACTTTTCCCTGAAACTTTGTAGATTTGAACAATGCCATTAACAATATTTTTTACTGTAAGTAAATTCACACATGCCTATGTAAATGGAGATTTTCCTATAAGTTAAGCAGATTTTTGTCTAAATATGTTATAACTTTCACAGTGGCTTCATGGAAGGAGATGAGTTATAGAGGGTACAGGTGACTTCTTTTGGTCTTGTTTTGTTTTTAACTCTTGCTTAAGTTAAACCAACAAATAAATACCCGATTTCTCAGCCCATATTTAAACATCATTAACTTACTTTCACTTGGGGGTGCAGACATAAAACCATAAATACAATCTCAGGTAAGTAGGATTCTGACTCTGGGCCCAAAAGCTTCATGGCAGAGCTGTAGGCCATGATAGATGTATAAAACTAGAGAAGAACTCCAGAAAATCTGAGTTCCTTTTTCTCATGACTTCTTTCTGGAATTGTCACTCCGTTCAGCAGGGAACATGTTCTGACCTTCCATCACTCTTCTCTTACCATCCTCAGGGTACTTTGGATGTCATAATGTTTCATTATCCCTTTCAGGCCAAAGAGTTTCTGAAAGAGCAAGCCTGGAAGATTCACTTTGCTGAGTATGGGCAAGGGATCTGCATGTACCGCACAGAGAAAACGCGGGAGCTGGTGTTGAAGGGCATCCCGGAGAGCATGCGTGGGGAGCTCTGGCTGCTGCTGTCAGGTACGGCCGCTGGGCTGGGAATGCTGGCGTCAAAGTCTGTGGGACTCCACACCAGGGCCTCCCTGTGCCTTCAGTCATGCCTCAGGGGTTCTTTCAAATATGCATCCCCCAGTTGAAAGCTACATCATGTTTCCTCACCAGAGTATTGAAGTTCCTCAATTATTGTTCCCTTTGTAAAACTATAGGACCCATAGGAAGCGGACCAAATGTTGAATCCACCATCCTTCGAGTCTTTATAAATACTTCCATTTCTTCAGTCAGGCTATTTAGGAATAAAAGAGAACCTGAAGTAAAAGAACAGAATACTTTGTGACTTCAGTAGTTCTTTTTTCCTTGCCCAGCTACGTCAACTTCATTGAGAATGTTTAAGTGTGACACTTCCTCAGAGCAGTCATCGGGTGGGGAATTGGGAGGAAAGAAATAAGAGGAATAAAAAGGCCCAGGTGTTTGATTTTTGCCACCTCCTGAAGTCTTTGGTCATCATTGGAACCATAAAGATGAGGCCAGAGTCTGCACTGGAAATAAAAGCTTACTCAGATCATACCTTGTACTTCAAGCCAGAGATGCCAGGAAGGACAGAAGGGGACACTTCCATGGACCAGTGGTGAAGAGGCATCCATCTTTACTGGTCCACAGACCTGGCTCTTGTGCCTGTCCATCATTCTGTCACATCAGATCTTTGAGCCCTGCTACAGAAACCAGAGATCCTTCAGGCTAAGCTCACACTGCTTCCTCCCATCCGAAAGCACTGAGTGTATCCCAGGGATCTCTAATATCTCAGACATCAGAGCACTCCTTAGTTTCACCAACTTTACTTTCACATGTAAATTAGTTGCTCTATCTGGATTGAAGCCTGAAATATTATCATTCTAAATAGGCTTATGTGAATATTTTTATTTGAACCTAAGATGGTCTGACACAAATGCTATTATTAAAAGCTTTTATTCTTAAAAAGTGATACTAAAATTAATAATTACGACTCACAGGAAAGCCTTTAAAAAAACCTATAGCTCTTTGTAAAAGTAGATGTAATGCCCATAATGAGATGTATAAATGTCTCAGAAATAGGGACGTATAATCCTGAAAAATAATTGGTTTTGTCTATTTCATGTAAAACTAGTTTGTTCTATATTTATTTAATACATGTCTTATTTTTCATTTTTCTTTCCTTCTTTCTTTTTGTAGAGATAGGTGTCTTGCTGTGTTGCCCAGGGTGGTCTCAAACTTGTAGGCTCAATCAATCCTCCTACCTCAGCCTCCCAGGTGCTGGGATGATAGTCATGAGCCACTGTGCCTGGCCTCATTTTCCCTAAGTGGACCAGCCATAGCTCCTCATTTAGAAACCTAAATTTGAGTCAACTCATCTCTAATTATAATTCAAACCCAAGAAGATCATTACCATCCAGTCTTTTCTTGTCTTCCCTGTGTTTAGTGAACTAGTCACCTTGACAACCAGATTCAGATCACTGACAGAGTAAACAGATTTCCATTTTCATCCTCCTTGTTCAAATTAGAAGTTATTTATAGCTGCATTTTAAGTGAAAATGAAACTCAAAACGAGTACCAGGAAACTAGTGTATACAACAATAGTACACAGCCCTATCTCAGAGATAATGTTGAGAGTTAGACCCAGTGTTTCCTTTAACGGCAGATGGACCATGTGAGACCGCAGGGTGGTCTCCACACGGCCCTCTGTTGGGGTGATAACTGAGCCCGTATTTCCACATCCAGGAATGGGGTTCGCCTGAAGGCCAGCCTATCATGAAGAGAGCACAGCTCCAGGCCAGAGCCCAACTTGGGTCTCACCTGCTTCCTGTGACCCTTAGGGTGACGGCATCATGACCTGAACTCTGTACCCGCTGAAATGAAATGCAGGTCAGATGACAAGAAATCACAGTACGTCTCCCACATCAACAGAGCAAAAGCCAGCGTTATGTCCCTGTCAGCTGGGTTGGCTTTTCCAGGGCCAGCGTGAGTGGTGAGGCCAGCTCTCTCAGTGACCATCAGAGACAAGGCCTTGGCCAGTCCAGGGGTCTTGGGGCTCCACTTTTCTGAATTATGAAATGTTGAGTGTTTACCCTGTCAATATATATATCATTTATATATTTTTTGTGATATCTTTATTGAGATATAATTCACAACTTACTAGTTAAGGTGTACAATTCAGTGGTTTTTTTTTTTTAGTATATTCACAGAATTGTGCAATGATCACAATTATAGAACATTTTTCATCCCCCCAAAACACCCCATACCTTTTATCCATTTGGAAAATAGATATAGGCTGGGCGCGGTGGCTCACGCCTGTAATCCCAGCACTTTGGGAGGCCGAGGTGGGCGGATCACGAGGTCAGGAGATCGAGACCATCCTGGCTAACAAGGTGAAACCCTGTCTCTACTAAAAAAAATACAAAAAATTAGATGGGCGCGGTGGCGGGCGCCTGTAGTCCCAGCTACTCGGGAGGCTGAGGCAGGAGAATGGCGTGAACCCGGGAGGCGGAGCTTGCAGTGAGCCGAGATAGCGCCACTGCACTCCGGCCTGGGCGAAAGAGCAAGATTCTGTCTCAAAAAAAAGGAAAATAAATATAAACTGTTTGGAAATACAGACTGGTAGTTCCATTCCCCTCAAGCCCCCTCCCAGCCCCAGGCAACCACCAGACTACTTTCTGTTGCTAGACATTTTGTATAAATGGAAGCATACAATATGTAGGTTTTTGTGACTGGCTTCTTTCACATAGCATACTGTGTTCAAGGTTCCACCATATCATAGCATGTATCAGCATTTCATTCCTTTTTATGGCCAAATATTATATCATTGTATGGACATACTATACTCTGTTCATTCGTTTTTCAGTTGATAAACATTTAGGTTGTTTCTACTTTTTGGTTCCTATGAATAATGCTGCTATGAATGTTCATCTACATGTTTTTGTGTGGGCTGGGCACAGTGGCTCATGCTTGTAATCCCAGCACTTTGGGAGGCCAAGGAGGGAGGATCACTTGAGCCCAGGAGTTTGACACCAACCCAGGCAACATAGTGAGACCCCATCTCTACAAAAAAAAATTTTTTTTTTAACTAGCTGGGTGTGGTGGCACGCACATGTAGTCCCAGCTACTCAAGAATCTGAGATGGGAGGATTGCTTGAGTCTGGGAGGTTGAGGCTGCAATGAGCTGTGATCAGACCTCTGCACCTCAGCTTGGGTGACTCAGCAAGACCCTCTCTCAGAAAATAAAATATAGATTTAAAATTTAGAAAATTCAAAAGTTTAAAATTTTTTTAAATACAGGTTTTTTTATGGACACCTGCTTCTATTTCTCTTGAATGTATGAATGAAGTGGAATTTCTGGTTCGTATGGTAACTCTATGTTTAACCTTTTAAAGGTTAAACATTATTTTGATTTGCATTCTCCTGAAGGATAATGATGTTGAACATTTTTTCATGCACTTACTGACCACTTCTATATCTTCTTTGTAGAAATATGTACTCAGATCCTTTGCCTGCTCTTAATTGGGTTATCTTTTAGTTATTGAGTTGTAAAAGTTTTTAAACATATTTGAGATACAAGTTCATTATCAGATTTTTCCTAAAAATGCTCCCATTCTGTGCATTGTCTTTTCACTGTCTTTGATGGTATCCTTCGAAGCACAAAAAAATTTAATTTTAATGAAATACAATTTGTCTATTTTTTCCTTTGTCACTCTGCTCTCATGACATGAAGATTTACACTACTATGCTTTCTTCTAAGAGTTTGTAGTTTTAGCTCTTATAGTTAGGTCATTTTGAGTTAATTTTTTTTTTTTTTTTTTTCTGGAGACTGAGTCTCACCCTGTCACCCAGGCTGGAGTGCAATGGCATAATCTTGGCTCACTGAAACCTCCACCTCCTGGGTTCAAGCGATTCTTCTGCCTCAGCCTCCTGAGTAGCTGGGATTACAGGTGTGCACCACCACGCCTGGCTAATTTTTGTATTTTCAGTAGACACGGGGTTTCACCATGTTCATCAGGCTGGTCTCAAACTCCTGACCTCGTGATACACCCACCTTGGCCTGTCAAAGTGTTGAGATTACAGGCGTGAGCCACTGCACCCGGCCTTGAGTTAATTTTTTATGTGGTGTGAGATGCAGGTGACTGTCTAATTCATTCTTTTCCGTATGGATATCTAGTTGTCCCAGCACCATTTGTTGAAAATACTATTCTTTCCCCCAGTGAATTGTCTTAGCACCCTTGTTAAAAATTAATAGACCTTAAATGTTAGGATTTATTTCTGGACTCTTAAATCTAGTCCATTGATCTGTATGTCTATCTTTATGCCAGTACTACACTGTCTTGCTTACTGTAGCTTTGCAGTAAGTTTTAAAATTGGGAAGTGTGAGTCCTCCAATTTTCTTGTCCTTTTTTGAGTCTCTTGAAGTTGCATATGAATTTTAGGACCAGCTAGCCAATTTTTGCAAAAAGGACAGATGGGATTTTGATAGGTATTGTGTTGAATCTGTAGATCAGTTTGGGAGTTTTTCTATCTTAACAACATTAAGTCTTCCAACCCATAAACACAGGATGTCTTTTATTTAAGTCTTTGTCAATTTCTTTTAGCAATATTTTGTAGCTTGCAGTGTGCAACTCTTACATGTGTTTTGTTATATTTATTCCGAAATATTTTATTCTTTTTTGTATCCTGCAGCCTTCATGAACTCATTCATGCGTTGTTGAGGTATAATTGACAAATAAAAAGTATATATATTTAAGGTGTATTAATTTGATGATTTCATATACATTGTGAAATGATTACTATAATTGAGCTAGTTTACCATATCTATTACCTCACATTGTTCCCATGATTTTTTCTTTTTGTCTTTTTTTCTTGTTTTTTTTTTTTTTTTGGTGGGGAGAGTTTGGTGAGAGAACACTTAAGATCTACCCTCTTAGCAAATTTCAAGTATACAATACAGTATTACATTAGATCTTCAGAACATTTTCATTTCTTATAACTGAAGCTCTATACCCTTTGACCAACATCTCTCCATTTTTCCCCTTCCTTAGCTCCTGGTAATCACCATTCTAGACTCTGTTTCTATGAGTTTGACTATATTAGATTCCACATACAACTGAGAACATGTATTACTTGTCTTTCTGTGCCTGGCTTATTTCACTTAGCATAATGTCTTCTGGGTTCAACCATGTTATCAAAAATGATAGGACTTCCCCTCTTATAGGCTGAATATAGTATCCCATTTTGTATATATGCCCCATTTTCTTTATCCATTCATCTCTTAATGGGTATTTAGATTGTTTCTATATCTTGGCTATTGTGAAAATGCTGCAATAAACATAGGATGCAGATATTTCTTCAGGATACTGATTTCACTTCTTTTGGATATATGCTTAGAGTGGGATTACTGGATCATAAGGTGGCTCTATTTTTAGTTTAAGGAATCTCTATACTGTTTTCTGTAATGGCTGTAGCAATTTACATTCCCACCAACAGTGTACAAGGGTTCCCTTTTCTCCACATCCTTGCTGACACTTGTTATCTTTTGTCTTTTTTATCATAGCCATTCTGACAGGTATGAGGTGGTATTTCATTGTAGTTTTGATTTGCATTTCCCTGATGATTAGTGATGTTGAGCACCTTTAAATACACCTGTTGGTGATTTGTATACCTTCTTTTGAGAACTGTCTATTCATTTCCTTTGCCCATTTTAAAATCAGGTTGTTTGGTTTAGGCTATTGAGTTCTGTGAGTTCATTATATATTTTGTATATTGACCCCTTATCAGACATATGGTTTGCAGATATTTTCTTCCATTAAGTTGCTTTTTGATTGCTTCCTTTGCTGTGCAGAGCTTTTTAGTTTGATGCTATCCCACTTGTCTGATTTTTGCTTTTGCTGCCCGTGCTATTGGTGTCACATCCAGAAAATAATTGCCATATCAGTGTCAAGAAGCATTTTCTTTCTATATTTTCTTCTACTAGTTTTATGGTTTCAGGAATTGAAATTTAATTTAATCCATTTTGCATTAATTTTGGTACATGGTATAAAAAAAGAGTTCATTTTCATTCTTCTGCATGTGAATATTCAGTCTTCCCAACAGGAATGTAATTAAAATTTAGATTGAGAGGTAGATACTTGCATATAGGGTTTTTCTGTCTTGAAGAATCCTAAACTGTAAGTATCTCAAATGGATGATTCTCAGTATAACCCTCCATCCCCATCCCCAACACCTGAGGAACTTCTGTCAACAATGATGACTCACCACTGTTAGGAATACTCTTACCACTCTGCAATTTGAAAAACTCCAAGTATCTCCCTCAATATGGCTATTAAACCCTTCAGAGCTAACACGTTAGCAGGCAGTTTTCAGACTTATTTTGAGAGACAGAACCTCCTATTTCAAGTGAAATCTTAATGAAACCACAATAAAATAAAAGCAAAGCTGCTGGGGTTGAAGAGAGTGATGAGAAGGTGAAGCCTCAGCCTGGCTTGTTATGATGACCTCCCCACCTGTGCTCCTAAGCAGCCCTTCAGGACTGTCTGTGGGAGTTCCTCAGAGCATGGTTTTGTAGCTTGGGAACCTCTACCTTAGGAAAGTTTTTAAGTAGCCAGCCTACTATGGAGCTGAAAGAGGGAAGGAGGCCACAGGCAAATTCACCAGTCTAGCCACGATTGCAACATACCACATCTGTGATTTCACCTTCTCTTGCAAGTTTCCTTTGAGAGGTAGGAAAGTAAAGCAGTTCAATCATAAGCTGTAGTTGCAAACCAAAAGGCAGAGCTCTCACGTTTTTGATACTGTATCTGTTGGATATATCTCAGGTGCCATCAATGAGAAGGCCACACATCCTGGGTACTATGAAGACCTAGTGGAGAAGTCCATGGGGAAGTATAATCTCGCCACGGAGGAGATTGAGAGGGATTTACACCGCTCCCTTCCAGAACACCCAGCTTTTCAGAATGAAATGGGCATTGCTGCACTAAGGAGAGTCTTAACAGCTTATGCTTTTCGAAATCCCAACATAGGGTATTGCCAGGTAAATGTCACAGGTGGTTTTTGCTAAAAAAATAAAATAAAATTTCTATTCATTTGGCAGCAAATAGTGGGAAGGAAGGTTTATGGTTAACAGAACTATCACTTTACCAGGGCCTCTCAACCTTGGCACTGTTGACACTCTGGACTGTTAACTCTTTGTTGTATGGGCTGTTCTATGCTTTGTAGAATGTTTAGTAACATCCCTGGCCCCTACCACTAGATGCTGGTAGAAAATCCCCAGTTGTAACAACCAAAAATGTCTCTAGATATTGCCAGATGTCTGAGAGGCAGAATCATCCTGGGTTGAGAACCACTGCACTGAATGGAGGAGACCTTCCTGGATTCACCACTGTCTAGCTAGGTGACCTGGAGAAGATCCTTCTGATCACTGTCTGCCTCAACCTTCATCCCACCCTGGAGTAAGAGAGGGCATCCTCAGCACCAGGCCTGTCACTGTGGTTCGCCACAGTGTTGCTACTTTGCATCCTCTTAAGTAATAATGTCCTTGAATAGAGCTTTTATATGCTAGGGTTATGTCTTAATACACATTAAAATAAGTGCTTAACTTAGTATTAAGAAAAGTTGCCTACATACCAACAAAAGTCATCTCTTGTACTGGTATAGATGCCAAAATTTGGGAAGCTCCAAAATAACGTGACCTTAGAATCAAAGGCTATATCGGCCAGGTGCGGTGGCTCACGCCCGTAATCCCAACACTTTGGTAAGCCAAGGCCGGAGGATCACGAGGTCAGGAGATCGAGACCATCCTGGCTAACACGGTGAAACACCGTCTCTACTAAAAATACAAAAAATTAGCCAGGCGTGGTGGCAGGTGCCTGTAGTCCCAGCTACTCGGGAGGCTGAGGCAGGAGAATGGCCTGAACCCGGGAGGTGGAGCTTGCAATGAGCTGAGATCATACCACTGCACTCCAGCCTGGGCGACAGAGCAAGACTCCGTCTCAAATTAAAAAAAAAAGAAAGAATCAAAGGCTATATCATTGTAGAGGCCTTCCCTGACCATCCAGCAAAAGCTAAAAGAGGCTGAACTCCTACTTCAACACACAAGTGCACGTACATGCACACGTTAGTCTCCCTCTACTGCATTATTTTACCTCTTTATAACTTCCAATTTAAATAACCCCCCACATAGACTAGTTAACCTTTTCATCTTTGTTTTATCTAACACTAGCATTTAGGACCTGCAAGATATCACCACTCTGTCCCCCATCCTCCAATACCTAGTCCAGAGCCTGTTACAAGGTAGACCCCTAAAAAAACCTATCTCCGCTAAATGACTAAGGAACTGGCAGGGACCATCATCATGTACTAGGATCAGCAGGTTAATTCTCAAGTGGAATTTCCATGATGATGTCACTTGGGAACATAATGAGTAAGACTTACAAGAAAGAGCCTATTAAACCAAAATACCTTTTTTGAAATTGAATTGTAGAAGCCTGATGAACAGTTACCGGTTTCTGGGAGATCAAAAGAAGTACAGGAGGTAGTTGGCCTCTAATATGATAAAGTTCATATTTACCTTTTGATCTTCCTCTTTTTAATTAAGAAGACTATTAAAGTAGTTGAGTCTAGAGTGGTTATGAGGTATCTGATAATATCTTTTAATAAACTACAGTTACTTTAGAATTTAAATCACTCTCAGTTATCACTACCATCTCTCTCCGTATGGAAATGTTGGGTGAGGACTCCAAGTCTGAAAGGTTTCGTTGTTCTCTCAGGAGAGCCTGGAGCCATGTGTACCTGATTATAGAAACCATTACGGAAAGTTACAAAGGAAATGTTTACCTCACTGAATTAAGGATTAAGAACACTGAGAGATTTTAGCAGGTTAAAAGCTTTGTGAAATAGCCTTTGGGCAAATTTTTGGAATAGGGGTTTGCCAGCATGAGTTCGGGGCTCTGTCTGGTGAATATTGGTGTTAAGGAAGACCCTGCACACTTACTGGTTCAAGGACTCAGGTTTTTATGTTTTTACAGGGTCATAAAACAAAACTCAGAAGAATATATGACAGAGACTATGTGTAAAGCCTCCAAAGCCTAAACATATTTATCTCGCTTTTCACAGAAAAGGTTTGCCAGCCCTTGTGAGAATAACTGAGTAATTTTAATATGCTAACAGAATTGCTTATATTTTCAACTGTATTTGATGACATCCTCTTTCACTTTTTTAGGCCATGAATATTGTCACTTCAGTGCTGCTGCTTTATGCCAAAGAGGAGGAAGCTTTCTGGCTGCTTGTGGCTTTGTGTGAGCGCATGCTCCCAGATTACTACAACACCAGAGTTGTGGGTAAGTGGAGATGCATTTAACATTTCAACCTATGTCTCGTCAAGAAGATGCTTTTAGAGAGGTGCCAGCCAGAACACTATTTCTGGTCACCATAAGCCAAAAGAGTTTCAGACTACTCCAGTTTTTCAAAATGGAAATGAGAGAGGTTGAATAAATATAGGTTGTATACAAAGGAGCCCCGTGGAGTTTAAGGGACTATACACATACGCCTGCTCCAGAAATTATTTTAGAAAATATTTCATGTGTGTGTGTCACTCTGACATGTGAGAGCTACACCAGGTATGTGCACCATTAACACAAAGAGATTTGATAAAAAAAATTAATAAAGAGGATGGGAACCTACGAAATACAGAGGTGTTGCCAAAAAAAGGCTATCTGGGGTGGAAAAAATAGAATATAGAGGTTTATTGAAAGCTAGGTTTCTAAGGTATTTTTCAGGACTGGTTTTATTGCAAAGCAAACACCTGTTTTGAGGATTTAAATTATTGCTGTTACTCCTTGTAATTCTCTCAAATATCAGTGATTCATTTTAGCAGGACAAGCTTTTCATTGCTTGGGTTGTACAGTATATTGTTTATGCTTCTCACTTGTGTTCTTTCTATATTTCTAAACATTTGCACATGAATTTGATTATTGAAAATATTGTCAAAAATGTCCTTACGTTGATCATGAATGTGTACAACAGGAATGCTTTTAAGTTTTTTTAAAAAGTAATTGTTTTAAAAAATGATTAATCTGTGGGCACCATGCATCCAGAAGTGTGATTTTTTTTTTTTTTTAAGACCATCTCGCTCTGTCGCCCAGGTTGGAGTACAGTGGCGTGAATTTGGCTCACTACAACCTCCGCCTCCCAGGTTCAAGTGATTCTCCTGCCTCAGTCTTTGAGTAGCTGGGACTATACAGACTCCCACCACCATGCCTGGCTAATTTTTGTATTTTCAGTAGAGATAGGGTTTCACCATGTTAGCCAGGCTGGTCTCAAACTCCTGACCTCAGGTGATCCGCCTGCCTCAGCCTCCCAAAGTGCTGGGATTATTATTATTTTTTTTAATTAATAAGAGTTTGCCAGCTAAGCTGCTTAAATGTACATTTGGAACTGTAGTCATGTGTTGATGTTCTGGCTGAGGAAGGACTGCATATACAACAGATGTCCCATTAGATTATAATACTGTATATTTACTGTATCATTTCTATGTTTTGATACACAACTGTTTACCATTATGTTATAGTTGCCTACAGTATTTAGTACAGTAACATGCTATACAGGTTTGGAGCCTAGGAGCAATAGGCTATACCATATAGCCTAGGTGTGTAGTAAGGCTCTACTGTCTAGGTTTGTGTGAGTACTCTCAAAGATGTTCACATGACAGATTTACATGACAACCCATTTCTCATGTCTCCATTGTTAAGTGAGGCATGACTGTACTTGGATGTACATCTCATACCAAACCAAACATTATGTTGCCAACAAAATAACTAATTGTATGTCACGAAAACCTTATAAACTGGCTTTCTCAACAACCCTTATAATTGTCATGTGATTGTTCTTTTTTGGAAGGGAAAACAGGACAGGAAGAGCCCAGAAAGAGAAGATGCAGCCAGAACTAATCTGGTGACTGAGCTGTGTTGACACCTTGGTCTAGTAACAGTCACAGCAGAACAGTCAGCAGAAAGGAACAGAGTCCTGTGCTAGCAGTCAAGTTGTTTGAATGGATTCTTTAGTTACACTGTGTAGTTGGCTAAGCTGCGCCTTTTTGTATACATCGCTGCCACAGGTGCACTGGTGGACCAAGGTGTCTTTGAGGAGCTAGCACGAGACTACGTCCCACAGCTGTACGACTGCATGCAAGACCTGGGCGTGATTTCCACCATCTCCCTGTCTTGGTTCCTCACACTATTTCTCAGTGTGATGCCTTTTGAGAGTGCAGTTGTGGTTGTTGACTGTTTCTTCTATGAAGGAATTAAAGTGATATTCCAGTTGGCCCTAGCTGTGCTGGATGCAAATGTGGACAAACTGTTGAACTGCAAGGATGATGGGGAGGCCATGACCGTTTTGGGAAGGTATTGTACTAAGCCTAACTTTGAAAACCATCTCCGGTTTTCTTCCTCATGCTTTCTCTTCATTTCATGAGTCTTAACTGATTTGATGGTGATCATAATGCCCGCTTCTTCCTGTGGCTGAGGATTTATTTTCATATGCTTTTTCTTTAGAAATTAACAGAATTTCTTTCTCTCTTTCCATCTTTAAAGAAACTCTAGTCCTTTGTTTTAAAATGTAGAACTTGCAGAAAATGATTGGAGAATTATAATGGGAGGATTCCAGTTTCTTCTCCTGTGACTTCTGATGCATTCTTCTTCCAGGTATTTAGACAGTGTGACCAATAAAGACAGCACACTGCCTCCCATTCCTCACCTCCACTCCTTGCTCAGCGATGATGTGGAACCTTACCCTGAGGTAGACATCTTTAGACTCATCAGAACTTCCTACGAGGTAGGTCTTGTCTCCTGGCTGAGCAGGGCTTAACCATGCATTCGACACTTCCACTGCTGCCTGTTTTGTGCTGCTATAACAGAATACCACAGACTGGGCAAAGAACAGATATTTATTTCTCAGTTCTAGACTTTGGGACGCCCCAAATCAAGGCATTGGCAGGTTAGGTCCTGGCCTTTCTGCTTCCAAGATGGCACCTTGCATGCAGTGTCCTCCGGAGGGGAGAAATACCATGTCTTCACTGGCAGAAGAGAGAGAACCCATGCTCATAAGACCTTTTTATAGTGCCATTAATCCATTTGTGAAGGCAGAGTCTTCATGACCTAAATGTTGCAGGTGATTGGCAACTATCTGAGGCTGGTATCAGGAGGGTAGTAGGAAGAATTTACCAAGACAGTTGTAAGTAAAGAAAAGCAGATTTATTAAGGAAAGCATGAAAGTACATTGCAAGGATGCAATGGGCAAGTTAGCAAGAGAGGAGTTAACTGCAAAGAGACAAAGCCTTGCTGGGGATTTTATAGGATGGTTCTTGTGCTGTGTGCTGGAGAGGGCTTTGTGCAGTACTGGTAACGCTGAGGTTGTAGTGAGCTAACTTGCATTTTTCTGTCAGCCCAGGGTCTGGTGATAGCTGGGCGCAGGAAGATTATGAGTTATTTGCACAGGAGACCTATGTGTTCTGGATCATGAAAAAGGGCAGACTTATAGCTTATCTGTTTTGATTATTTATTTATATATTTATTTATTTTGCTTTCCCTGGGTCTTGCCAGCCCGACTCCTTTTCCCTAATTAGGACTCCACACTAAATACCTCCTATTAGACCCCACTTTCCAACACTGTTGTGATGGGGATTAATTTTCAACATGAGTTTTAGAGGGAATAAAAACATTGAGACTATAGGCTTACCTGCTTCCTTCTACATTGAGAACTACTTCTACATTCCTTCTACAGTGAGAACTACTGGCCAGAAGTAAGTAGTTCTGTGCTAGCTGACAGCTTTGGCCTCCAGAGATGGACATTGAATGGAGCCTGGATGTCTTAATGGGTCTAATACCATAGTAGCACATGGCAAGACAAGCTGTGGCTCTCCAGTGCTTTACCATTCACATCCTGAAGCCTGATCTAGTAGCAGCTCAGATTGAACTCTTTGTAGATTAAGTAGGGGCTGTTGAGAGTAGGGATGGGGAGGCTGACCTTCACAAATCAATTTGCTTTCTGTTCCCATGCTAAGTACTTAGGGCTTCTTTGAAGTAGATAGTCTGAGACACTTAGTATAGCCTGTATAGCCCAGAGTAGACCAGAGTCCTAGGATTCCTCTAAAATTGCTTGGCTTGGATGGGGGAGGATGCTTTCTTGTCCATGATGACCCTGGAATCAGCCTGATCTGCCGCTCTATCTCACAACAGAACTAATACGCTTTTTGGGGTGAAGGAACCACAGTGCCACTTTCCCCCTTAACACCTGGTGGTTTGTGGGGCCCCAAGTGCTCATAACACTTGATGGTTTCTTCATTTCCTGATCCTTGATTCTCTAAACTTTTATAGAAATGATCACTGAGAAAGCCTGAGTATTCTGCTGAGCGCACTATGCTCTCTACAGGTGTTTTGTGATTTTGATTGGTGATTGTCATATTCCAGCTAGCAACAAAGTGGATAAGAGACAAATAGTGAGGAATGGAGTGAGATCAGAAAGTCTCTCTTAAAGTAAAAAATTTAGTGCTTTTAAAAAAAATTGCTATGGATATAGAAATCTTTTCAGAAATGTGTGTCCTTAACTCATAATAAGAGAAAGACTGGTAATTATTTTTTAAAATCTTCATTGAAACTCCATATATATTGAAAGCAAAATACTTTGTTTTAGAATCATAAAAGCAATACATGTTCATTTTAGAAATTGTAGGGAAATAGGAAGAAAAAAATAAACTGTATCCTATAAGCGTTTTACATTTCCCTTAAGTATGTTTTTATACTTACAACATACACTTTAAAAAAAAGTCCTTCTAAATACTTGCTCTGTCATTTTCTATGTATACCATGAGCATTCCCTAATATATTAAATATTATATGAAGGCATGATTTTACTAAATTGTATTCTGCTTTAATGAGGTAACAAAATTTATTTACCTAGTTCCCTTTTGTTAGACATTTACTTCGATTTCTTCCAAATTTTCAGTATTATATAGCATTCTAAGATAAACTTGTACCCAAATATCACATCTCTGATTATTGTCTTAGAATCCTAGAAATGAATTTACATTAAAAGTTTGGATTAAAAAAATTAGATTAAAAAAAAAAGAATGATCAAGCTATTGGCACACACTGTCTAATTTCCATGAAGGATGTCTCAATTTATGTTTCCACTATTGGAGATAAAGAATGAATGTTTCACCTTACTGTCTCCAAAACTATTTCCATATGCATTTAAAAAAGTCATCGCCCCAGGACTTTGGAATAGTACTGTATGATGTAAGCAAGAGCTTTTCTATCTGTGGGTTGCTTTTCTAAAGGAATCCTCAGACCTTTATTGTTAAAAGAATTCTGGACCAAGGTTTTGTGGGATATAATGGGGTTTCTCTTCAAATAATCTGATCAATCTTTTATTCTTTAATTCGTAGTACCCCCCCCCACCCCTTTCTTCTTTTTCTCCTTTTTTCTTTTTTCTTTTGTTAGATGCCTAGGCATGCCTCAGTACCAAGCATTATCAGTACCAGCTCACATTCCTTTCCTTATTTGGAAAGAGGACTAACTTTCTAGCTCATTACAGACACCCCCTTCCCCTTTCTCTCTACTTTCTTTTACTTACCCACCCTATCTAAAAAAATCAAATGTTTAGCCAACCGGGATTAGATTGTACAACCCGACCCCAGACAATGGGGAAAGGGTACAGGGGCAGGACTTGGTGTCAGGAATAAAGGCTCTCATGCCCTTTGTTCAGGTGTGCTCTCATGGCAACTGGCCAAGGAGGCACCCCTCTGTGCAGAAGTAAAATTGCTTTGCTAAGAATCTTTTGTTCAAGTGTTCAATTTCCTTAGGGTTTTGAGCGTTATTCCTAACAGTATTAAAGCTTAGTATGTGGCAACTCAGCTTTTTTCTCAACAGCAGATAAGCTAGCTTCATGCTGAAGTCAGCATTTTGCCCATTTTTAAAGCGAAAGCAAAGAAATTGAGACAAGGCCAACAGCTGATTTCCATTTACGTCTTCTTGGGCTGATCCCTAATGGTGGCCCTCAGGCTGCCAGACATCCTATCACAGGACAAAGCCGCAGTTCCCTTCCTCTGCCTGGAAAGACAATCCTTTTAATTTATATCAGTGCCTATATTACCAGGTCTTTCAGTGCGTGATAACTAGGTTTTTGTTTTCTCTTCTCTGCTTAAGTGTCACTACTCTGCTTATGTTTCCAGTGGCTCTCTAATGCCTTGTAGATCAACTTAAAGAGAACACCACGAACTCTTGCTGATTGTTTTTTTCCCTCCTAACCATTAAATTGGTGGTTTTCAATCCTGTCTGTGCATTACATCACTTAATTTTTTTTTTAAGCTAAGCTTTTAAAAACATAAACTCCTAGGCTCCATCCCAGACCAATTAAATCTGAATGTAGGCATGAAGCCCAAGAGTACATATATTTTAAGAAGTTTCCCTGGCGATTCCAAATGTCCGGTGAGGGTTGAGATTCACTGCGCTGGATGCAGAATGGGGCTAATCACTGATGTGGGTAAGAATCTGGTTTGGGCTCAGGCATGACACCTGAGTGTTCTAAGATACACAATGCATTTCTTTCTGTTCTTCAGGATAATTAGCCGTGACAATTGAAACATAGGAAAGAAATACTGAAAGCACATTCATCTTTTGAAATTTAGTTAAGGGCTCCCTAGGTTGCTAGAAATTAGTCTGATATTGATAACTTCGCTTCATAAATACCTCCTGGGGAAAATCTCACTCATTATAAGTTCCCCTAAGCCTCTGTTGAAAGGAATTGTGTAAGTGGTGTGAGACTCCAGTTTTCTTCTGTGTAGACCCTTGTGTGAAGCCCTGCACTTTGAGCAGAGTAATATAGAAGTAGAAGACAAAGTCCCAATCTTAAAGTTTGATTCATAGACTGAGATGCCCCTCCTGGAAGGCACAAGAGGATGTTAATAGGCCTTAAAGTGGGTACACAGCTATCACAGAGCTGCTTCATGTTCGAGATGACCCAGCCCAGTGTGTTTAGTCTGAAAAGTGTTAAGCAGGGAAAGGATGTGGCTAATAAAACAGAAGGCACAATCTGTGAAGATGGATAGGCATTTATGAAAGCTTAGAGTAATGTGTCTCTGGCTTATTAATGATTACTATAATAGCTATTACTCATCGAGAGCCTGCCATGTGTGGGGCAAGGTGCTGGGTGCCTTGTAGACAGCTCTGCCATGTAAATGTTAATGCATTTTAAGGTGAAAATGTAAGTTAAGAGAGGTTGAGCTAGTTGTTCCAAGCTGCACAGCTAGAAAGTGGCAGCCAGTATCCAAGGAAGAGCTCCCTTGCATTAAAGCCAGGACCAAGGGACTTTATTTGGATTAGAAGAGAGATGGAATTATGGATGTACCGATGGTCATGAGGTCAACTGGTCCAGTGGAGCTGGTTAGTAGGGAGTCTTGAAATCACTAATTGACTTGGAAGGCATCTAACAGCCACTGGAGACTGAAGAGCATTCTTCTTGAAGTACATTATCTCTGCTTCCTGTGCAACAAATTAGAGGAGGGGGAGAGCTGAAGGAATAGACAAGCAAAAAAGATAGTGTGGTTGTATATGGGAAAGACCCAGGAGATGCAAGAAACAGCATTTGTCTATTCATGTATTAACAAAATCTTTTTTTTTTTTTTTTTATTTGAGACAGGGTCTCCCTCTGTCACCCAGGCTGGAGTATAGTGGCTTGATCTTGGCTCACTGCAACCTCCACCTCCGGGGTTCATGTGATTCTCATGTCTCAGCCTCCCAAGTAGCTGAAACTACAGGCGTGCACCACCAAGGCTGGCTAATCTTTTGGTATTTTTGGTAGAGATGGGGTTTCACCAAGTTGGCTAGGTTGATCTCGAACTCCTGGCCTTAAGTGATCCATCCACCTCAGCCTCCCAAAGTCCTAAGATTACAGGCTTAAGCCACCGTGCCCAACCAAGGAAATCTTTATTTAAGATTGTATAAGCACCTTTCTTATGCCAGGTATCATGCTCAGCCCTGGGGATACATTATCAGCACTAGATATTTTCAAGCCCAGTATGAGCCAAAAGGATAACATAATACATTTCCTTTAACCCATCATCCAGTCCCAACAATTATCAACATTTTTCTGATCTTTGTTTTATTACTCCTCCCCACTTTTTTTCTTTTTTTCCTGAAGTAACTTAAAGCAAAGTCCAGACAGTGTATTATTTCACCTGTAAAAGAATGTATCTCTAACAGATAAATTCTTCATTATGTGTCTCTAACAGATAAGGTGAGTTTCGGCATGGCATTTTTTGCTAATCCATAGCTTTGAATTTTAAGTTTAATTTTTAAAAGTTTGTTTATACCTCAAAAGAAAATGTGGACCTATAAGTTAGTTCTCACCCGTTGTTAATGGAATCTCAGTTATAACATTAGCAAGTTTTGAGATTGTTTTGTTGTTATTGAGACAAGGTCTTGCCCTATCACCTAGGCTGGAGTGCAGTGGTGCCATCTCGGCTCACTCCAACCTCTACCTCCCAGGCTCAAGCCATCCTTCCAGCTCAGCCTCCTGAGTAGCTGGTACTGCAGGTGTGCACCACTACACCTGGCTAATTTTTGTCTTTTTTGTGGAGACGGGGTTTCACCATGTTGGCCAGGCTCATCTGATGAGCTCAAGTGATCTGCCCGCCTTGGCCTCCCAAAGTGCTGGGATTATAGGCATGAGCCACTGTGCCTAGCCAGGTTTTGCTGATTTTGAAAAGTGTTTTTTCTATCCTCTTCATCTTCCTCTTTCTTTTATCAACAATGCTGGGAATAATAAAAGCTACCATACTAATTGTTTTACCTATGTGTGCATAAAAGTCTTACACCATTCCAAAGAGGTAGGAATTATTTTCCCTATATTGCTGATGAAGAAGATGAGGGCCATCAGTTTTTATAAAATTTATGTGAAATCTGGGACTTGCTATGTGTCCCACTTGCTACATGTGGCTATGAAACTGTGCCTTTTCTACAATGTCCAGGTGTCAAAAGCATGTCTCCTTTATAGAGGCTGAACTTTACATTATTGGTGTGTATATAAAGAAAATAGAGGCCAGGCATGGTGGCTCACTCCTGTAATCCCAGCACTTTGGGAGGCCAAGGCGGGTGGATCACCTGAGGTCAGGAGTTGGAAGCCAACCTGGCCAACGTGGCAAAACCCCGTCTCTACTAAAAAGACAAAAAAATCAGCCAGGCATGGTGATGGGCGCCTGTAATCCCAGCTACTCGGGAGGCTGAGGCAAGAGAATCGATTGAACCTGGGAGGCGGAGATTGCAGTGAGCCAAGATCTCGCCATTGCACTCCAGGTTGGGCAACAAGAGAGAAACTCCATCTCAAAAAAAGAAAAAGTAAAAGAAAATACTCTAGAGCAGAATTACAAATTCACATGACTGTGGCGTCGCTCATCAAGGCACTTAACAATGGGGTAGGGAGTGAAGGTGGTAGGAAAGGGTGGGCTTCTGGAACTAGACAGCTGGAGCCTGCTAGAGTTGACAGTCTCTTTACCACCTGAGGCAAGGAACCATTGCTGCCAGAACTTTTAATTTTTCAAGAGAAGTTGGAACTCTTTGTTTTATTTGAAGATTACTGTTTTTTATAATACTCCCTGGGCCAAACAATATTCATCATGGACTTTCTAGCCTACTGGCTGCCTGTTCATGATTTCTGCTTTACAGCAACTTTCAAAATAAATTCTAGGTAAAAATATAGTGATACTGGGCACTGTGCTTAGAGTTATTTTTTGTAATTTAATCAGCAGCATGTTCACACAACAGCTAATAGTTTACATGGAGTATTGAAACTAAATGTTTTTTGTAATTTCCATATTTATGTGACAACTGTTTCTCTAGCCCTTTCTGGTAGACAAAAGATCTCAAAAGACATGGCACCTAAAGAAGCATAAAATATTAAATGATATATTTTTACGTAAAATATAAATACTGTATTCAAATATAAAATATGGGCCCACTTCTGGCAGAGTTATGAGGGTGTTCCCTGATGGGAATATAGTCATGGCGTGAGACTCTTTAGAGATCAGAGTACCCTAGAAAGGGCCACCCATTCAACGAACATGGGACTCCACCAGAGTTTTCTTCCCTGAATTCATATCCTTGTTTCTTCTTATCATCTCCTGCCTCCTCTGCCCCCCTCACCCTCTTCTTCTGCCCTCCTGAACATCTACTCCCCACCTAACACATAAGTACACAGGTGCAGACAGACGCCACCCCCATAGAAGTCAAGGGGGAGTGTGTGGGGCTGCTCCTTCGAAGCTCCCTGTGTGTGAGAATCCCTCTCTCGTCTCTTGGGCTCTGCCTCCTGTAATGTTAGGCTTTTCTATACCTAAAGCCTCACATTCCATCAATTTCTTCCCTCTCTCACCCAGTCATCCAAGGCAAAGCTTCATTTACTATCTTAAGTATTTGGAGTTTTTTCTGATCAAGGAATGTCTCAGGTGTCACTGGTGCTCAGCCTTCTGCTAACAGTAGTGAACCCCATTCTGCATACTGGGAAAATAACCCCACAAATTCAGAAACACCAAAGAGGCATTTTGAGCATAATTTGATGACCTAGTTTTATTTTAAAATAGAAATAAGCCATAGACTTTGCATATTAGAACCAATGCCTTCTTTTTATTTCAGTAAATTCCCCTGTGGTGGGCAGACTCATTCACATCATTCCATGGCCCTCTGGCCTACATTGAGCTTTGTTGTTGCTTTGCTGGGTGTTTTTTAAGCTGTAGCATTTAAATATTTCAAGTTCTCTTTGGAGGATTTAGAAAGGAAGGGCTGATTGAACTTGATTGAGCTTGACCTTGTGGTCAGTCTCTTTTAAAAATCTGTATCTGTTCTTCATCCATCCTTGTCTTCCCGGTAACACAGGGTAAGCTTTGAAGGATAAAGTAAATCACAGAAACACTGCCCAGCCTGGGCAGGGGAACTCTTGTTCCGCTCAGGAATGATGGTGGGGTGGGAGGAGCCAGAGAACATAAACTTGAGACAGACTCATCTCTACCTCATTGCTTTATCTGAGCTACTTGTTCCTTGTTCTAAGTCTGGGGGAGAGAAAGGGAACATCTGCAGGCAGGATGGGGGAAGGTGGTATGAAATGAAGGGCCACACACCTATTTGTTGGTTGGTATCAGTACCCACAGGGGCAAAGCAACAAAAAGAAGTACCGTCTGCTTTGAAAATTGCCTTTCTGGCCAGGTGCCATGGCTCACATCTATAATCTCAGTACTTTGGGAGGCCAAGGCGGGCAGACCACTTAAGCTCAGGAGTTTGAGACATGTCTGGGCAACATAGGGAGACTCCATCTCTACAAAAAATACAACAATTAGCCAGGCGTAGTGGCACATGCCTGTAGTCCCAGCTACTTGGGAGGCTGAGGTGGGAGGATCATCTGAGCCTAGGAGGTTGAGGCTGCAGTGAGCCGTGATCATGCCACTGCACTCCGTCTTGGACACTAGAGTAAGACCCTGTCTCAAAAAAAAAAAAAAAAAACAACAACAAAACTGCCTTTCTGCTCATAAAGATGTTAGAAATTAAACTGAAAAATTAGAAACAGGCCACAGAAACATTCAGATAAGAATTGAGTTGGATTACATCAAAACAAAATTTTTAAAATAGTTGAGTTGGATAAGAGATATAAACAAAGATGGATAATTGTGTTTATTGTTTAAGGAAGGGAAATTTTAGAAAATTAAAATAATTATAGGCTCCCTCACCTCCAGCACAAATTCTGTTTGCTGGAACAAGTATTATTGTGATATTAGTGAACTAGCACTTCTCAAGGAACTGGAATATGTGGTGCCTGAGAGAAGGTATTATATCCACACCTGTGTCTTTGTTTTGGGTAATGGGAAGTGTTGGCTGCAGCATTTACTGAGCCAAGTTTTGTTTGTCCTATTTTTAGCATTTAATTCTGGCAGAGCCCCTCCCAAAGTCGGGGGAGGGAGAGACCCCCCCCAAAGTCGGGGGAGGGAGAGACCCCCATGTCATTCTAATTGTTCACATTCCTTTACAAATCCTCCAGAAATAACCAAGCAGGAACTTGGAGTCCACGGTTTACATTTAGGTTGGGACCATTTGCTCCAGAGGGAAGGGCCACTGTGTTCTGTCTCTGGCAAGTTGCAGAGTCCTGGCTGAGGAAGGGGCCCTGCCTAACAAATAGCAGAATCCATTTCTAGTTGATATTAATTAGATCTAAGACACACGGGGCTCTTTGAATGTCAGGCTTGTGAGGAAATAGCTCTTTTGCTTGGCACCCTGCAAAAGATTACAAAGCCAATGTTTAATATTAGTTACTATTATTGGAACTTTATCTCCAACACAGTTTTACAAGGACAGCTTTGGGGTCTCATTTTATAGAGGAAGAAACAGGGTCAGAAGATTCAACTGAGTTGCCCACTCACATAGGTAATTAGTCAAAGAACAATAATTTGAATCAAATTTTGTCTAGCTCCAAAATTTATGTTCTTTTCAACCCAGAGACAAGGAAGAACTTACTGCCTATGATAGAATGGTAGTTGGTGGAGTTACAGAGCTATTTATCTGAGCCTCAGACCACTTGCAGCTCAGCCACTGTGGAACTCTGGGGGACTTAATTAACCTCTCCAAGCCTTGGTTTGCCCATTCGCAAAACAGAGGTAGCAGTCTAGACTCACTAAAGTTATTGTAAGGTGCAAATGAGATGGCATGTTAATGTCCCTAACAATTGTAGGTACAATAAAACTGTCTTTCCTTCTGTCTCACAGCTAGTGTTTTTTATTGATCACAGGCATCCTATGGCCCAGTTTGAAGTAATAAATCCAGTTCTTCATCAGTAGGCATGTAATTTGCAATGGATGCTCACTGCTTTTCTGTTTGGATCAAAATACTTACCTTCCTTGAAAGTTTTTCTTTCCTAGCCAAAGATAAAACCCCATAGTGAATTAAATATGATTGCTTTTCATCATTAATGGCAGCCCCTACTAACTCTTGAATTCCAGCTTTTCAGTGCAAATAAATATTGCATCTTCATTGTTGAGAAGAATCTGATTCCACCTTTGGAAGGCACTTCCTTGGAGATAAGAAGTTTCTTCCATAAATCCTGCTTTTGTAAGGTTGAGACCCACTCACCACATTGCTGGTGGAACATGGACTGGGAAGATTCAGAGATGTCAGTGTACTCTTTTGCTCTGATTATCTGAAAGGAATGCCTGGGTCATTCCTTTCAATTCCCTGGATTAGTCCTTCCAAAACAGAAAGTAAAAGGTACTAGAAAGGCATAGTCTTTTTTGCTGTAAACTCCAACTTAGGAAATAGGATAGTTTAGAGTCCACTACACAGACTGATCTATAGAGTGGTGCTATTTATAGGGATGTCAGAAAAAAATACAGGATTAATTAATATTGATTGGGATATACTTATAGTAAAAAAGTATTCATTGTTTTCCTGAAATTCAAATTTAACTGGGCATCCTGTATTTCCTATGCTTTTATTCATTGAATCTGGCATCCCTAGCCAGTTATTGGGTGCCTACTGTGCTGTGCAGCAAGTCAGAAAGGTAAGGTGCCAGGGAGTTTCCCCGGGATGGAGCTAAGAGCACGAGTTCTCAAATCAGACGACCTGGGTTTGAACTTAGCTTTGCTGCTTACCAGCTGTGTAGACTTGGGCAAGTTAATGATTTTGGCTAAACTACGATTTCTTTGTCTCTGAAATGGGGATAGGAAGAGCACTTACTTCCTGGAATGATCATGAGGACCCCCTAAGTTCAGCAAATATTTGTTGAGCACTTACATGTGAATCAGCACTGTCCTCGGCTCATGTCCTGGTCACACAGTCTCTGCCATAGAGTAAGTGGTGATAGATTTACTAAGCAAAAACAAACCAACAAACAAAAACAAATGCAAAGTGGTGCTAAATTCAAGTAAGAAGGAACATGGCACAGTGAAGGGTGGGGACATACTGTTTCTCTGAGCGTTTATTGTTCTGGTGAGATGACAATTAGCAGAGACACAGATGCCATGGAGGACCGAATACAGTGCTGTCTGAGAGAAGCACAGAGGGGGCAGCCAGCAGCCGGTGCTCAGGCCGTGGCTGGCAGGGAGCCTGCATGATGCACTTGGGGAACATGAAGAGGCCACTAGAACTAATGAGTAAGAAGAGGTTGGTGGTGGCTGGTCAGAGAGGGCATTGTGAAAGGTGGAAAGAGCATGAAGGGCTTAGAGGCCTTGGAATTTTATCCCAAGAGAGGATGAAAAATCACTGGAATTTTAAACAAAGGAAGAGTGTTGTCTGACTCTGGTTTTAGAACCATTCTTACTACTGGGGGAAGATAATGATGCATGCCTGGAGGAAGTGCGGAGATGTATATAGAGGCTCTCGCAAGAGAGGATAGTGGCTTAGGGGTAGTTAAAAGTGGAGATGATAGCAGTGGGCAGGGGCCCGCAGCTGAAGCGCGACCCAGAGAGGCCGGAGAGTGCCAAGGCATTTGGATGCGCGGGCTCTGGTGTCCAGGGTGAAGCAGAAGTGCGACACCCGCCTGTGGGCATTGCAGAAGGATAGTGGCAGCAGTGGCTGGCTGGGGCCTGGGCTGGCAGACCAGGAGCACCCTCTGTCACTGAGTAATGTGAAAGAGCACAGCCAAGCAGATGAGGACTGTGTGGACACCGGGCCAGACACCAGGAGTAATGGCTGCTGGGGGCCTGGCTGGACTGAGATCAGGAGAAGCTGCTCAGAGAGAGTAATGAGCTGGCTGACCTGGCCCACGTGCACCCTACCAGCTGTGCTCCTAAAGGCCTGAACCCCAACCTCCTGGTGACCTGGGGCCCAGTGCTGGCAGGCTCCGGTTGCTGGTCTGTGGACCCCGCAACCCATCTGGCCACGCACCCCTGGTTGTCCCGCTCGGGCAGCATGTCCATGTGGCTTGCCGGACACCCCTGGGGCTTGGGACCTCCATCTCTGCACTAGGGCATGGCCCCTGCGTTCCCACCCAGCCTGGGGGCTCCCTGCTGTCGCCCTACCAGTTTGTCAGGGACTCCCAGTCGGGCCAGCTGTTGGTCATTCCCAGAGATCACCTGCCTCACTTTGCGGAGCTGATGGAGCGGGCCACCGTGCTGCCCCTTTGCCCCGCCCTGTACTCTCCAGGCTGCAGCCCCCTGCACCAGGCCCAGCAGTTGCAGCTCTTTTCGCTGCAGCACTTCCTGCAGCTGCAGGAGTTCCTGTACCTGCAGCAGCGGGCGGCCCAGGCCCTGGAACTGCAAAGAAGCACCCAGCTGGAGCGGCTGAAGGCGCAGAGGAGTACCAGGCAGAGATGGAGGAGAAGTGGAGCAACTGGGGCCTGGGGGCCGGGGGCAAGGCTGGCCTGGCCACCGCTTGCCCTGGGATGCTGCTGCGAAAGCCCCCCGCCTGGCTGCCGGCCCTGCGAGCATCTATGGCAAGGCGGTGAGCCCGCCGCCATCGCCCCGCGCGTCCCCCATGGCCGCCCTGAAGGCCAAGGTCATCCAGCCGCTGGAGGACGTGTCCAAGGCGCCTGCCTACACCTACCCTGCTACCCCTAGCTCCCACCCCACCAGCCTGCCTCCCCACTCCCTGCTGTCCACCCCGGGTATCACCCGCAAGGAAGAGACCCCCGACAACGTGGTCGAGAAGAAGGACTTGGAGTTGGATAAGGAAGCCCCCAGCACTTTCCAGGCCTTGTTCTCAGATATGCCGCCCAGGTATCCGTTCCAAGCCCTGCCACCACACTACGGGAGGCCCTACCCTTTCCTGGGGCAGCCCACAGTGGCCGCCGATGCGGATGGCCTGGCCCCTGATGTGCTGCTCCCAGCTGATGGGACCAAGCGCCTGACACTCTCGCCCGAAGACAAGCTCATCCTCCTGTCCCCCTCCAAGATCCCAGAGCCGCTGCGGGAGGACCCGGAGGAAGAGCCGCTGGCTGAACAGGAGGCGAAGGTGGAGGTGGAGGATGTGGACGAGCGCCCCGCAGAGCTGCCGCCTCTGGAGTTGCCGCTGCCACTGCCCGCCATGGAAACCATGGCTACCCCGAGCCCTGCAGGCGGATGCAGAGGTGGCCCGTTGGAGGCCCAGGCGCTGAGTGCCACCGGGCAGGGCTGCACCGAGCCCTCTGAGTGCCCAGACTTTGCGGAGGGGCCTGAAGCATGCGTGGATTCCCCGGGCCGGACAGAACCCTGCACGGCCGCATTGGACCTGGGGGTGCAGCTGACACCCGAGACGCTAGTGGAGGCCAAGGAGGAGCCAGTGGAGGTGCCTGTGGCGGTTCCTGCGGCAGAGGCAGCGCCGGAGGAAGGCCTGGCCCAGGCGGCCCTGAGCGAGCCCCAGCCCAGCCTAGAAATGTCAGACTGTGACGTGCCCGCCGGGGAGGGAGAGTGCCCGAGACTGGAGCCCCGGGAGGCCGTGCCTGTGCCCGGCAGCACCTGCTACCTGGAAGAGGCAAGCTCTGAGCAGTTCCTGCCCGGCCTGGAAGACCCACTGGCTGGCATGGAGGTGGCCATGGAGCTGCCCCAGGCCAGGCCTCTGCCCTCCCCAGGTGCTACTGGAGTCCAGGCCTTGGAGAAGCAGGAAGCTGCCGAGAGCCTTGTCTTGGAGCAGAGCTTTCTGCACGGCATCACCCTGCTGAGCGAGATCGCAGAGCTGGAGCTGGAGAGGAGGAGCAAGAAGGTGGGAGGTGCGGAGCGGGCCCTGGTGGCTCGGCCCTCACTGGAGAGCCTGCTGGCAGCCGGCAGCCACATGCTGAGGGAGGTGCTGGATGGGCCCGTGGTGGGACCCGCTCAAGAACCTGCGGCTCCCACGGGAGCTGAAGCCCACAATAAGTACAGCTGGATGCGCAAGAAGGAGGAGCGGATGTACCCCATGAAGTCCTCCGTGGAGGACATGGACGTCCTGGAACTGGACTTCAGAATGTGGCGGGCCGAGGTCCAGCACCAGTACAAGGAGAAGCAGCATGAGCTGGTGAAGCTGCAGCGGCGCCGGGACTCCGAGGACAGGCACGAGGAGTCCCATGGAAGCTTGGCACGCAGGCCGTGGAAACAGACCCACGCCCCCGAGAGCCCTGTCGCCCGCCCGCAAGAGGGGGAAGAACTGCAACAGTAGCGGAAAGCTGAGCAGCAAATCTCTGCCGACATCAGATGACTATGAGCTGGGAGCAGGAATAAGGAAGAGACACAAAGGGCCCAAGGAGGAACACAATGCCCTTATTGGAACAGGGAAAGCCAGGGAGAGGAACCAGACTTGGGATGAACACGAGGCTTCGTCTAAGTTCATAAGTCAGCTGAAGATTAAGAAGAAGAAGATGGACAGCGACCAGGAGCAGTTGGCAAGCAAGCTCGACAAAGGCCCTCTCCCTCACCAAGCAGGACAAGTTGAAGTCACCCTTCAAGTTTTCAGACAGTGCTGGGGGGAAATCAAAAACTGGCAGGGGCTGCAGCAAGTACTTAACTCCTTATGACAGCCTGCTGGGCAAGGACAGGAAGGTGCTGGCCAAGGGCCTCCGGCCTGTCTCTGAAATCTTCCAGAGAAGGTAAACACAAAAGGGCCGCCAAAGCCAGGAAGATAGGGGTGGGGTTCAAGGCCAGAGGCCAGCCCAAGTCGGCCCATTCCGCGTTTGCCTCCGAAGTGAGCAGCTACTCTTACAATACAGACTCAGAGGAAGACGAAGAATTCCTGAAGGAGAGTGGCCCGCCCAAGGCCCCTCCGGCTAGCTCCAAACTGATGCCTTCCCTCCTGTGTGGCATGGTGGCAAAGGACAGCAAGGCAGCTGGCGGCCCCTAGCTGACCAAGAGGGCCTGGCACACACCCCCTCCTCCGCCCCCTCCCGGACTCTGAAACCTAAGCCAGCCACCAGCAGGAAGCAGTGGTTTTGTTTGCTGCTTCGAGAGGCTAAGGTGCATTCCTCCTTCAGCGACTCTTCGGAAGATTCATTTGACTAAGGTTACTATCTCCAAACACAAAATACTTTCTGTGTTTCCTAGCGAGAGAGTGCCTGCGAGTGAGCGAGAAGGAAGCGAGTGGGCGCACGGGAGAGATGGGGGGTGAGGAGGCCCGTGCGGATGGCCGCAGGAAGGCCGCCATCTGGGTTCTTGGCAGTGTAGCCTGCTGTATCGGCCAAATTATTTTTATTTTTGCTTTGATTTGTACTGTATCGTTGTGATAATATCGCCGGCTAGCTCTTTTTGAGCTGTTATATGGACTGCTTCTGAGTCTGCATTTTTCTCCACTTTCCTTCCTCTCCGCCCTCCTCCCCCTACCCCGAGTTCCTCCCCACCCCCATACTCACCTTTTCTGCCCACCCAGAGACCCCAGGCTGTGGTCAGGCTCTCTTTGGGCACGGGCCCAGTGGGGGCTTCCCGAGAAACATTTTATAAATGGAATTCTGTCATGTGGGCGTGTGACTTGATGTTTGTACTGCGATTTTGATAATACCAAACTTTATTAAACATACTGAGTTCATTTTTAACAACAACAATAAAACAAAAAGTGGAGGTGATAAAAATGGTTGCAAATTCCTGGGGAGTAGGTATTGATAAAGAGGTCAAAGGCTCACAAAGGCACTCTTTTTAAAGCCTCTGTTTTAATACACTCATGTAACTGTTTACTCAGATCAAAAGATAGAACGTGCTAGCAACCTGGAAGTGCCCCTTGTGCCCCTTTCATATCACTGTCCATCCAACCATGGTTAATAAATCTCCAGACTTCTAAAAGCGTAGATGATCTTTGATTTCTTTTGAACTTGATACAAATGGAATCTCACGGAATATGCTCTTTTGCTTCTGTTTTTTTTTGTTTTTTTTTTTTTTGCTTAGTATTATGATTGTAAGATTTAAATATATTGTTCTTTTTATTGCTGCAAAATAGTTGATTATGTGATGATATTGCCATTTCTTTATCCATTCTGTGCATGAGCATTTGAGTGGTTACTGACTTTTGGTTAATAGTGTCACTATTAATATTCTAGCATATGTCTTTCGGTAAAGTAAAATAAATCTATATATATATAGCATATATGTATATGCTTCTTGGGGGGGTTATATACTTAGTAGTGGAATATGAGAATGTTCAGTCAGTAGATACTGCCAGACAGATTTTCAGAACGGTTGTAGCAACTGATACTCCAACCAGCAGTATATAAGAGTTTTGGTTGCACTATATCTTTACCAACACTCGATGCTGTTTGTCAGCTTTTTCTTTATCCTTTAAATATGCGAAAGGAAAACAAAATCTCAGGACCCCAAACTCAGTTTGCCAAAGGGAAAAGTTACGCTTGGAAATTGAGTCTTGCAAAAAGCTGCCTTTCCTTTTGTTCCTAGACAGATAGCTGCAAGATAGACGGCCTCATGTCTCCCAAGGGGGCCTCCCTCACCCTGACAATGTAAATTAACAGCTCTTCACAGGTACAAGACCACAGAAGACTAGAAATCACCCCCACCTACTCCCCCCCCCACCCCACCACCCTAAGATAAGGTCATATTTGTCATCTTCCTCTACGTTTATCTTATGTAAAGTGCAGATTTACTGAGCGCCAGACAAATGCAGAGTTGACTGTTCCCTCTTCCCCACCTTTTCACACAACATGTGATACCCTCCCTCTTTTTTTCCCTTTCCCCTTTCTTCCCCCTGTTGCCCCTTTTCCCCTTTAAATATTGAAGTCCTAAAAACCTTCCCTGGAAAAAGTGCAAGCCACATAGCCTCCTGTGACTTGCATCTCTTTCCCAGGCATTTCCTCAACCTTGGCAAAATAAACCTCTAAACTGATTGAGACCTGTCTCAGATACTTTTTTGGTTTCCAAATATATTTAACTATTGCAGTCACTGCTTCCATGGGTTAAGCTTCATACTTTAACCAGGGTTTCTTTGTCTTTCTTTTGCATCCCTAAGATATATAAAATCTTACAAATTCTTTCTCTGCCTTCAGATAGAAAGACTGGTTTGGCTTTTGACAACAAACATTTAGGGGGTACGAAGGAGCTTGAAGAGATGGCTAGCTCACAGTGTCTGCCATCAGGAGACACATAGCATGCATTTCTGGGCCAGATGGACAAATGCTCTTGAACCTACTGGTCAGGAGCAGGGAGACTCACACAGGGTTGGAGGTTTCTTCCAATCTTCTAGTCTAATTGTTAGCCTTAGACCTTTCTGCTAGTTGAGAAGATTCTTTCTTTGAAGCATTTGTTCATACACAAGTAGCCTTATTTAGCCCTTCTTGACAAACTTGATGACTTAAGGAAAATACATTTGACTCTGAAATTTAATTCAGCTGCTGAGCTGCCTGAGAATTTCCAGATATTTATTTCTGATTGCTCGGTGGCTTTAAAACAGTAGCTAAAGGTGTACTGTAGGATGCCCATCATATGAGAAGTCATTTCTTTGATGTGTCAAGAGTGTGTTGCAGGCATTCTGCAGACAGGACATTGTGTGCTGTAAGAGATTTTTTCAGAGACACCAATATTGCTCCTTTACAGAAATTCGGAACTATCCGGGCAGATTTGATTGAACAGATGAGATTCAAACAGAGACTGAAAGTGATCCAGACGCTGGAGGATACTACGAAACGCAACGTGGTAAGTCCTTTAAGAAGTAGCAGGCAACCTCTGTCATCTTCCTTCTTCACACTCCTGCTGGCTGTGGATTCCTGCCTGACAGAACTGAAAACAATTTGAAAGGGAAAAATTAGGGATTTTCCCAGCATGGCACTTTTTGAGTTTGTGAAATTCATTTTGCTTAATATTTTTATAGGTACGAACCATTGTGACAGAAACTTCCTTTACCATTGATGAGCTGGAAGAACTTTATGCTCTTTTCAAGGTGAGTTGCAAGGTAAATTCATGCCCATTCAAAGGAGTAAAGGAGTTCACCTTAATAATTCAGTTAGTTCTTGATTTTTCTGTTAAATTAAGGGATAATATAAATAGGAAGCTAGAGCTGAGAGTACAAAACTGTAGTACTTAATATGAAAATAAACATTCTTATAACCAATTTAAGTTGATGTTTTAGTTACCTTGCACTCCATATAATATTCTAGTTGTTTACTTGAACCTAAAAAAATAGGTTATTGCTTCATAATACTTATTAAAAACAATGGTGATCAAGTTTAAGTTCTGCTTGAATTATTGCAAATTGTGATTGCCTATGTTAAGCTATAAAAACACCCTTATGTAGTTAGAATAAAGTTGTTTAAGTGCCCAAGGAAAAGCATAATTGGTTAAATTTCTGTGATTTTCCTTTCCTAATTCAGCCCCTACCAATCTTTATTTTTTTATTTTTATTCTTTTTTGAGACGGAGTCTTGCTCTCACTCTGTTGCCCAGGTACAGCTGGGATTACAGGCGCACACCACCACACCCGGCTAACTTTTATATTTTTCTTTTTTCTTTTTTTTTTTCTTTTTTTTTAGTAGAGATGGGGTTTCACCATGTTGGCCAGGCTGGTCTTGAACTCCTGACCTCCACCTCGACCTCCCAAAGTGCTGGGATTACAGGTGTGAGCCACCACACCTGGCCCCAATCTTGATTCTTAATAAGAAAGTATTATGGTCATAAATAAAGCAAAGTACAATTTTTTCGTTTGGAAAAAAATATTTTTGTCATAGGTATCATCAGCATCAGAGGTTAAAATGTGATAATCAACAGGAAAAAAAGTTTAAAATATGCCTTTTATGCAGGTGCCAATTTCATCACAATTTCTAATTACCATCAGAACTAAATTTGGCTGTTTTGAGAATTGCAAAGATAGTACAGGAGGAAATAGAAACGAACATAAAAACTAGAACACTGGTATTCTACGTCTTACAGTCAGAAAATGTGGTTGCTTAGGACTGCCCTTGCTGATGTCGCCCACTGCCTGTTCACCACTGGAGGGCACCACTGTTTTATTTATGTTGGTGTCACTAGTGCCTGGTAAAGTGCACTAGTACTAATACTAGAGTCTCTGCCTTTGTAGGTGTTCCAAACATGTGTGTTGAATTAATAGATAAATTAGTGATTAGTTCTCAATATAACACAGTCCCTGCATTTTTCTGACGAGGAAACCGAAGCCCAGAAAGATGGAGGCACTCCGGGTGTCCAGGCTGGTTGGTGGTGCGCTTGGTGCAGCATCAGCATTATCAACAGAGTGGACAGTGGCACCCCTGCCAGCCTGCATCCGGCACTTGAGGGTGCAGTCTCTGTGGTGTGCCAGCTCATGAATATTTTATTCGTACATGTTAAGCACCTGTAGCTAATTGTTCCACATAGTGTAAGTTGGAGATCCGTAAGGCAGGAGAAAACAATGATGCAATTCAGATCAGGTTTTTAAGGGATGCTGAGGACCAGAAGAAACGTTCTCAGGGCATGGGGGCAGGGCCAGGATTCTGGGGGGAGCTAAACGAAGTGGAAGTAGCAGCTGGAGGCAGCAAGAGCATGGACAGGTAAGAGAAAGGACTGTGACAGCGGACAGAGGAGGCTGACTCGGGGAAAGCAAAAGAAGGAGGACCAGGGCTGGCTGTACAGAAGTCCTGGATCTGGTAGTCATTGAAATCACATCTTTTTTTTTTTTTCCTTCTTTGAGACGGAGTCTCGTTCTGTCACCCAGGCTGGAGTGCAGTGACACGATCTCGGCTCACTGTAGCCTCTGCCTCCCAGGTTCAAGCGATTCTCCTGCCTCAGGCTCCCGAGTAGCTGGGAGTACAGGTGCCTGCCACCATGCCTGGCTGATTTTTGTATTTTTAGTAGAGGTGGGGTTTCACCATATTGGCCATGCTGGTCTCGAACTCCTGACCTTGTGATCTGCCTGCCTTGGCCTCCCAAAGTGCTGGGATTACAGGCATGAGCCACTACGCCCAGCTGAAACCACATCTTAACCTGGGCACTGCTGCGCTCTCTGGTCTGTGTACCTTCAGATAACAGCCGTGTCATTTGAACCCTGAGAATATGCTGAGGAAAGCAGTTTTCTTATACTCAAAACCCTGCCCTAAGGGTGTGTTGAAAACACAGGTTCCTCAGCTGTATTGAGGACCCAGAAGAACCTGAGACTCGGTTGGTGTCAGGTGGGACAGAGTCTCTTCTACTAAAGAATCCAATATAAAACTTCAGTTATGGACACTTCATGGAATCATTGCAACACTTCAATTGGCTCTCATTCATCTTCTCAAACATTTATTAAGTCATCACTATGTGTTAGTTACCCTGCCAGACTTCTTAGTACTTTAAAAAGCCAATTTCTAGAGACAGGTGCAGTAGCTCACATCTGTAATCCCAGGTACTTGGGAAGCTGAGGTGGGAGGGTGGAGTGCTGGAGCCCAGGAGTTCTAGACCAGCCTGGGCAACATAGCAAGACCCATCACTAAAAAATATATATTTTTTACATTAGCCAGGCATGGTAGCATATATTTGTAGCCCAGAGGCTGACGTAGGAGGATCGTTTGAGCCCAGGAGGTCGAGACTGCAGTGAGCCAGGATCACACCACTGCACTCCAGCCTGGGCAACAGAGTGAGACCCTGTCTCTTAAATTTTTTTTTTAAGGAAGTCGATTTCTGGGTATTTTTCTGGAGATACAAAGGAATGATGTAGTCCTCCTCCCAAGGAGCTTACTGCACAGACTTTTGGATAGAACTTGAGGAGAAAAGGTTAAAGAATGCACCTTAAGGCAGATTTCATGGAAAATGTGGTTCAGGGGCCCTTTGCCCTGGTTTCTCTTGAACTCTTTCCAAATTAGCCCTTCTGTTTCAATCTCTGGGCCCATAGTCCCCAAATGATGGTCTGTGGGCTCTCAGCAAGGAACAAGGGAGATGATCTGAAGGGCATGTTTTATCCTAATGGTTGTGAGCACCATGAAAGTGCCTGCACCCATGTTCAGGCCAGGTTCAGAGCAACTTGGGGTGCTTAGGAGGAAATGCTTTGGGTAACCTTTGTCAACCGATGTAGCTCAGGTTAAGGGGTTCCCTCCCGGAATATATCCCCAACACCATGCTGCCCACAGAGGGCTGCTGGGCTCCACTCATGCTCGTTCAGAGTACAGCTCAACCCAGCAGGCCACTCTGACCTCAGCTTCTGCCTCCCTGCCACTGACACACCCGCCTCCACCCTGCAGCCAGGAATGCAGTCCCAGGAATGCAGTCCCAAAGCCCACGGAACTTTGACACAGTTTCCTTTATTCTCTCAAGGTCGCCTTGCAAAAAACCTGACTGGTTCTGCTCACCACCTCTCCTTCCTCCTCTCTTCCCTACTCCCACTCCTCTTTTTAGCTTTTTCACTACAATTCCCAATAAACAATTGTGAAAAGACATTGATCTTCTTTGCTCCTTTTCTAAGGGAGAGCAAAATAGAAATATAACATACTCACAATTGACTCTCCTCTTTTTCAGAAACCCTAGGGAAAAGAGAAGGATTTTCAAAAGTAATTTTTCTTTCTTCTTTTTTAGTTTTATTTTTTTAAGACAGGGTCTCACTCTGTCACCCAGGCTACAGTGCAGTGGCACCATCCCGGGTCACTGCAGACTTGACCTCCTGGGCTCAAACTATCCTCCCACCTCAGCCTCCCAAGTAGCTGGGACTACAGGCATGTGCCACCATGCCCAGCTACTTTTTAAACTTTTTTTTCATAGAGACAGGGTCTCAGTATGTTGCCCAGGCTGTTCTCTAATTCCTGGGCTCAGGCGATCCTCTCGCCTGGCCTCCCAAAGTGCTGGGAATATAGGAATGAGCCACTGCACCTGGCCAAAGGTGTTTTTTTTTTCTATTACCATATTTATTCGTGCTTATAGTGAAATATTCAGACAATACAATATGGAAAAAGTAAAAACGAAGTCCTCCTTTTTATGCTCCTCCTTTCTCCCCCACCTGCCACCCAGAGTTAACTATAAATGCCTGTGTGGGGTTGAGGGTGTTCTTTCAGAACTTTCTAGCGCATGCTTTTTTGTGTGGTCTTCCTAAAAGGAGTGGATATTTCTACCAGAGTCACCATGACCTCATGAATAAAGAGGCTGCCTTTTTTCCAAGGCCAGCAACAGGAAGCCCTTTGCTGGGTCTGGATCTCTATTCTGCTCGCCGGAGTGGTTCCTACGCTGATAATTTTTCTAGAGCTATTCACAGATGTGTGAAATTGGATGACCACACACTTGTAGGTTGAATACTGTGTGACTGTGATCTTATTTATGTGATTTTGGTGAGCAGGGAAGCAGGGGGTTATGTATGATACATGGGACATTAAAGCGGGAGTTAAGAAACACAAAATCTCATCATGATTCTGCTTTAACTGGTTGGTTAACCTCATATGAGCCACATAAAGTCTGGATTTTACCATTGTCACCTAGAAAACAAGGCGGTCACATTACCTAAATTCCTATCTTTTTCAAGTAGCATTCTATTTAAGCTAAAAAATTTCTTTCTCTTTATGGGAGTTAGTTCTAAAATGTATGTGAGTGTGTAGGTAAGGGGGAAGAGAATGTGGTGGGGGAGAGTTCCCTTTCTTTCTTCACCTACACCCAGTAATTGAAGCAGACCTTCCAGATGTAAACTGCAGAAGTGGTTGGTGTGGAGGCAGTGAAGGGCTGGTCAAGTGGAGGTGTATGTAGAACTAAGAGACCAAGGGGGCCCTGAGGCCACAGCCCTGCCCCAGGGGATGCACACAGATTCACCTAAAGCCCTTTCCAAACTGGAGGATGGGCGTTTTCTTTCTGGTATTTGCTGCAAAAGAGGGTCCCCAGTGATCATCCATTCTTTTTCAGGCAGAACATCTCACCAGCTGCTACTGGGGCGGGAGCAGCAACGCGCTGGACCGGCATGACCCCAGCCTGCCCTACCTGGAACAGTATCGCATTGACTTCGAGCAGTTCAAGGGAATGTTTGCTCTTCTCTTTCCTTGGGCATGTGGAACTCACTCTGACGTTCTGGCCTCCCGCTTGTTCCAGTTATTAGATGAAAATGGAGACTCTTTGATTAACTTCCGGGAGTTTGTCTCTGGGCTAAGTAAGGACGTGGTACTATTGCATGAGTTGGGATGGGATGCTGGAGTTGTGCCTAGTGTTGCCCATGCTGCCCTCAGGGCTACAGAAGCACAAGGGGAGGTTTGCAAACTGATTATAAAATGTGTTTTTCATGAACATAGTATATGGATAAATCGTTGCCTCTACATCAGACAGCCCTCAACACTAGTTAAAAGTACATTATTAGAGAATTCACAAGACAATGAAATGCCAACATAAACACTGAAACCACAGACGAGATAGTTTTACAAGAGACAAATGTTTGGGTTGGTGGATTACTACTATTTGACAAAAAAAAATAGAATATTTTATTGAATATATTATATATAATTGCATAAAACATCTATTTCATAGTAAATTTTATATGTAATTTCATACTTTCATAAAACATTATGAAATGTTTTTAATAAAGGAGCATCACAGCAGCCCTGCGGCCTAAATGGAAGTCTTTTCTCTCCCTTTTGCTGGGAGGAGGAACCTTCCAGCAGGAGCAGGCCCAGCCTCACCCCACACCTCACCACAGCATGAGGGCAGCTACCTACCAGCTCCCTGTCTGGTTTGCTCACTGCCCTGCATATGACTGCCTTTTTGGACTCTTGTTCTTTTTATAACTGGGCACAAAAGCTTCATGGTAGTGGAGCCTGGCCCACTTGACGTAAGGTTGAGAGTATAGCAGGCATTATGCCAGAATGAGGTAAGAACAATTTTTTTAAAATTCTAATTGTGCTACTCTATGACCTTGGGCCATATGCTTTAAAAAGAAGTACCCAAGGAAAGAGAAAATGTCAGGCATAGAGCCAGCATTTCTAAAGAACGTCTTTAATCTGTGAGAGTTATATCTAGAAGACATAAAGGCCAGAGGAAGCTGATGGTTTTTTAAAAAGGGAAGGGATATATGTAGGTAAGGTCCGTTGAGGTTAAAACAAAAATTGTATAAAGTACTCATCTATACGCTTAAAAGAGGGGACATGGGAGAACTCGCATTTATTTAGAGTGCAGATACTGTTGTGATACTTTAGAACTTTTACTATATTAATCTAAACAACAGCTCTTAGGTGTAATAATGATAGTGATAACTGACATTTATACAGCATTTACTGCATGCCTGGCATTGCCCTAATGCTTTTTATGTGCACAATTCACATGCATTTAATTTGTCTAAGGGCATGCAAGTATAAAGTTTGTGTTTGATTCCACGTACTCAAGAGGCACAGTTTGTGCTGTTACTCTTATGCTTCGTTACCTACCTGCTTGCTACTATTATCTCCATATTTAGCTAAAGAAATAGAAGCTCAGAAAAGTTAAAGTAACTTGTTGGAACATTAGTTTTTAGCAAACCAATAAATATCTGTTATTGAACTGAAATGAGAGGCACAGCTAATACATGCTAGACCCAGGATTCGAACAATGGCTATCTGTCCTGAAAGCTTATCCTTTTCTCACTACTCTGTACTGAGGATAACAAAAGGGCATTTTTTAGGAAGAAGGAGGCAGTATTAATTTTTAGTTACACAAGTGATATATAAGTACAGTCTGCTTTTTTAAAAAGTGGCACAAATCAGATAACACTAAAGACCCCTTTGACGCTATGCTAATCTTCTTTACTTCCAGGGTAATTACTGCTTGTCATATAGGTATCCATCAAAAGAGATATTTAAAAAAAAAAAACCTTTGGGCAAAAATAAAGAGGAGAAAAAAGAGACGGGTTCTACATGTAGAAAGTGACAGAAATAAACAAAAATATTTAATTTACTTAAATTCAGTCAACTCCAGTAAGGAGAATGCTTTTGAAAATCTTCAAGAAGGAAAAAGAGTCTTGAAGTCCAGCATAGAGAAAACACTGGAAAAGAATATTTAGACTTCAAAATGCAGTTGAGTTCCTGGGCAAAGTAAACTATACCCCAGATTAGTGGGAGAACTCTCAGATGTGGTTGCAGAGCTGTTGTCAGTTACATTGGTCAGTTATAGTTATGGAGATGGGAAAGTCAAGCAGAAATGAGAAATTCTGTCTGTGTTTAAAGAAACTAAAGAATGGGCCAGGCCCCGTGGCTCATGGCTGTCATCCCAGCACTTTGGGAGGCCGAGGTGGGTGGATCACTTGAGGTCGGGAGTTCAAGACCATCCTGGCCAACGTGGTAAGACCCTGTCTCTACTAAAAATACAAAAATTAGCCAGGCGTGGTGGCAGGTCCCTATAATCCCAGCTACTCAGGAGGCTGAGATATGAGAATCACTTGAACCCAGGAGGCAGAGATTGCAGTGAGCAGACATCGTGCCACAGCACTCCAGCCTGGACGACAGAGTAAGACTCCATCTCAAAAAAAAAAAAAGAAAAACTAAAAAATGAATTCTGAAAAACATGTATCAGTAATTTTATATCAATCCCCAGAGAGATCCCTCTAGAAATTACTAAACAGATAGATGGTCTTTGTGGAATTAGAAATTAGGGGTTTCAGGCTGAGGCAGGCAGATCATGGGGTCAGGAGATCAAGACCATCCTGGCTAACACGGTGAAACCCGTCTCTACTAAAAATACAAAAAATTAGCCGGGCGTACTGGTGGGCGCCTGTAGTCCCAGCTACTTGGGAGGCTGAGGCAGGAGAATCGCTTGAACCCGGGAGGCAGAGGTTGCAGTGAGCCGAGATCGTGCCACTGCACTCCAGCCTGGGCAACAGAGCAAGACTCCATCTCAAACAAACAAAGAAATGAGGGGTTTCTGTCAGAAGCCATAAATTAGCTGTATCTCTTTCTCCAACAGTGCGGCTGAAACTTAGAGTTTATAAACATAGCATAATGAGTTGTGATGCAGCCGGTCATTGGATAAATAATTCATTACCAATGGAAAAGGTGAAAGTATATGGAAATTGGTGATTGTGTAACTGGCTGAACACTGCACCCAAAAGTGTGATGGGCAATAAGTTCATTTCAACTGAGAGAGCATTCACTAGTACCCTTGGACCCAGTATTTGGACTCTTTGCAGTTGCATCCTTATTTGCACGATAGAGTTAACCATCAAAACTAAATGAAACAATTCAAGTAAAGTTCTAGAAGTGTGTCTGGCTCAAAAAAATGTTGGTTATGATTGTCACTATGATTATTACTCATTCTCCCCTACTGGACTCAGCGGACACCTTGAACCATGAAGGCAGAGTACACTTACTGAATGGGTGGGGCCACATGAAGGTAGAAGAGATAGCCAAGGGTATGTTAGGTGACAAAAGTAGGTTTTTAAAAATTATGATAGGCAGAAATTATAACTGAACCCAGGTTTGGCTGCTCACCACTCGAAAAACAAACTCAAGAGACAAGAGTTTCTTGGGTGGGAAGAAAACCAGGTTTATTCTGAGAGCCAGCAAATCACGAAAATGGCAGACTAACATCCTAAACTACCATCTTATGTCAGTACAGATTTTAGGCTCTTTTTGTGTTAAGGGCAGGGGAATGAGAAGCAGTTGGGATCAAGAGGTGACAGACAATGCAGATATCTGGGCACCAGCAGGGGTCCGAGAAGGTTGGGAACTTCTTTGTCTTCAGTCAGGTTATAATGCTACCATGGATCTTTAACAAAACGGTTTTTTGCATACTTCTCCTTCAATATCAGAGTTAATTTTTAAAACTACATGATTGCTGTTTTTGCATATTATCTTAGTGCTCTAAAATTATCCTAGCCTACATGCAGGTAAAGGTCCCTTAAACAAAACTTGAATTAGTTATGTTGGTTCTTTTGCTGTTTCACTGTTACAAAATGATTGGTGAAAAAAAATTGATAAGGATAAATATAAGTTCTACTTTTAAAGAAATAATTGTTAAAGAACTACCTAGGATGTCTGCATGTAGTATAATAGTGGTTTCCAGCATGGAATCTAGAGTCAGACAAATCCAGGTGCAAATCCTGGACCTGTCACTTATGACCTTGAACAAATTACTTAACCTCAATAAGCCCAATTTTTCTTATCTGTAAAATAGGAGTAATAATTGTGCCCATTTTATAGAATTGTTATGAGATATAAGTGGGATTATACATATGAAGTAATTGGCACAGGGCTTAACACAGAGTGGGTGGTTAATGTCCGTCATTATTTTCATGATTAGTTTTATTAATCATGCAAACATCCGGGAGTTTAGTTAACCATGTGATCATTAAGAAACTCCACTGTGAGAGTGTGAACAGTTGAATTCACACTTAGGCTATACTAATGGAAGAGTCAGGAACAGTTCCCCTATTTCCTGGAGTGGTCAAGAGGCTTCTGAACTCATTCCAGAGGGATATTGATTGAGAAATTAACATATAAGGTAGATGTGGATAATAATAGGGAAGGATAAACAAATCACATCATATGAGAAAATTGAAAAAATTGGAAAGATCTAATCTGAGAAGATAAAGTTGGCCCAAAAAGATAAGCTTGAGGAAGACAGGACAGCTGTTCTTAAAATCTGAAGGATTGTTGTGTGGAAGAGTTGAGACACCCATTCTGTTTTGCTTTAAAGAGTGGGATAAGAGAAAGAGGAGTAGTTCTAAACCATTTTTGAGTCATGGACTCTTTGAGATCTGATAAAGACTATGGACATTTTCTTTCCCCAAAGTAACATATGAACATAAATAAAATTTTGCATTTTGAGGGGTTCACGGACTTCATAAAGTTGAGACTACAGGTTTTAAGGGTCATTAGACTAAAAATTACAGAAGAACTTTCAGTATTTAAAGAATACAGCTTGGAATGAAATGCCTCTGGTTGTATTGAGTTCCCCATCTTTGAGAATGTTTCAGCAGATGCTGGAGTCCTGTCTCACTGGGGTGTGTGAGAGGAGATCCTACATTAAGTGGAAGGTCAGACAAGATAACCCGTAAGGTCCCTTCCAACCCAGATTCTATGATTCCTATTTTTCTTCTTTTTCCAAATCTCATTTATCTTTAGGTGCTCTCAGAATATATATTTACAAAGGATTTTCTGGTTCTAGCAATAAATATGGACTTTGAGGGGAAAAGCAACAGGATTCTTCCGATTGAAGCTATGGTGATATAATGACCAATAGGTTCAGATAAATTAAGGAAATACTTAGGAGCTCAAAAACAATTAAAAAGGATTTCTAGAATGAGTAATTTGAAGTGATATCAAAACACATCTTGAAATTATTTCTGAACTCTAATAGTTATTTAAGATGTTGTGCCCCAATCACATGACCTTTCTCATTAATAAAGCTATTTTATTAGGTGCCAGGCACTATTCTAGGTGCTTTATATGTTTTAACACTTTTAGTTCTGACATTTCGTGGAGTCCTGACATCAAGATCACTGGTAGAATCTTCTATTATCATCTCACCTTACAGAGGGGAAACCGAGGTACAGAGGGTTTAACTCTCCCAACAGTATGTAGTACATGCAGAGGATTTGAAACCAACCATCCTGGTTCCTGAGCTGTTAACCCAAACAGGTCCTGGCCAGGCCTTTCACCACACAATGTCTTGGTTGGAATGTGTATGAAGTAGACTTTTTAGAGGAACACTAGGCCTGGAGTTTATTAGCACATGTGATGCATTTCACATTGGTACTTATGTGACTTCTAGGTGCTGCATGCCATGGGGACCTCACAGAGAAGCTCAAACTCCTGTACAAAATGCACGTCTTGCCTGGTGAGTGAGCTACATGGAGCAGTACTTGTGTCTGTAACCATGACCTGGCTTGAAGTCTCTGTTTTAGGTGTAACCTGATCGTCCTCTTTTTGATATACACCATCATTCATGAGTCACTAAGAACTAACTGAACAATGACAATTTCCATAAGTTCTTGAATCAGCATGCACTTGATTGTATAGTCATTTACCTGTGTGAAGAGTGAGTTGTGGTAACAGAAAAGAGCAGGCAGGCATCTGCAAAAGAAAGAATAAATAGCACTTGGTAACACCTGGGATACAAGGATTGTGAGAGAGAAAAGGAGCGTAGGAACATTGACAGGAACAAGTGGGGAAAATGGTGAGGTTTTTTCAATTTTAAACAAGGTTGGTACCAGCTGGGATCTATCTAGCAAATACTTTTAAAAATGAGATGAGATTGGCACGAACAATAGAGGTAGGATAAAACTAGATTTGGGAATTCTCTTTATAGCGTACAGTTTCCTAAAATTTTGTTAATATAGCATTATTCCATACAACTTGGAAAATTCTTCATAACACAGAAAATATGAAGGAACACTTTGGTGTGGGGTTGTTAAAAGGGAAGGTGGAGTTAGATGGAGTTAGTGACCTCCTCCACTAAGGTTTAGAGACAGTAGGCACTCAAGGCCCCATCCCACCTTTGTAACTTTAGCTTTTCATCCCCACTTATGTCATTTTATTTAATAATTAAGCATACTTTCACTGGATCATGGCCCTACCAATATGAGAACTATGTTTCCTCCCCTCCCTAGAGCCATCCTCTGATCAAGATGAACCAGATTCTGCTTTTGAAGCAACTCAGTACTTCTTTGAAGATATTACCCCAGAATGTACACATGGTAAGTGACTTTTCTCACCAAAGATACTATATTTGTTTTCTACCGAGCCCTCCATTATTGGAAAAAGACTTGCCTCCAAAGCTAGTCAATCAAAGAAGTATGTAAATATGGTTGCCTTAATTGGTTACTTTCCTTTCCAGTTTTTGAGATTAGGCAACTATTGGGCAGTAGGTACCTCAGCCCACTGAAGGAAACATGTACATTGTTTCCCAGTAGGTTAGGAAACTTGTGTCCTATAGAGCTGTATACTTTGCTGCCCTCTTTCTGCCAGGATCAGCCTCATTAATAATATCCTGTTAGGCAGCCATCCAGAATTGGAACTAGCATTTCTGTCAGAAAGCATTCTCTTATATCTGTGTTTGCTCTATAGCAGAAGTTGGCAAACTATAGCCCGTGGGCCAAATCCAGCCCACCACCTATTTTTTACAGCCTGTGAACTAAGAATGGTTTTTTACATTTTTAAATGGTTTTTAAAAATCAAAAGTAAAATATTTTTGCCACATGAAAAGTATATGAAATAGAAACTTCAGTGCCTATAAATAGTTTTGTTGGAAGACAGCCAAGCTCATTTATATATGTATTGCTTATGGCTGTTTTCGTGCTGCAGAATTGAGTGGCTAAAACAGAGACAGTATGACCTACAAAGGTTAAAATATTCATTGTCTGGTCCTTTACAAAAGACATATGCTGGCTCCTGCTCTCTGTGGATGATAGGTCTACAAAGATGTGATTCAACTCATATATGTCTCCAAATTTATATATTAATTCATATACTGTTTTGTCTTACATTAATCTAGCATTGTCTTTTGGCTTGCTACTGCAGTAAGTTACCTTCTAATTCATCATTAGGTCAACTTTATCAACTCACCTAAGTCCAAAAGTAAATGTAGGTTTCTCCTGGGTTCTTTTGCCTCTTAAGTTTTGCCATCCCCAAATAAGCACAACAGAGACCTGCACCAAGAGACCTTACTTTTAGACTGTAAGCACCAAAGTGATTTCTGTAGAGAGAGTGAGCCAGGCTCAGTCTTATGACTGGCAATACAAGTTGAGGGTAGGAGCTTTGGACAGAACACTAGCTATGTATAGTGTTGTCTAGGTGAGTGCAGGCAGGTTCCTATGTGAGCCTCAGTTTCCTTGTGTGGAGAATGGAGATGATAGCTATCATATTGGGTGTAATTAGGACCTAATAAGAGAATGTAATAAGACATTTTGCATAGTGTCTTAGTGCATCCTACATATTCTTAATATTATATATTGGAAGTAATGGCAAAAACCACAATTACTTTTCACCAACCTAATACCATTAGCAGTCACATTCTGGCTACAAAATGTTCTCCACACATTTCTTAGTAGACATACATCTCAGAAAGGGATTCTCTTGTTTTAGAAATGCTTCAGAAATGGTCACATGCCAATAGCATGTAATATCATTGAAATATGCTTTTTGAAGAAGGTTTTCCAGTGCCAAAGATGCTATTGCTTTGCATGGAAATGTTTCAGGTACGGGTAAAATAAGTAAGCCAAAACTGTCTTAGAATCTTACCATATAAAGATAACTAATAATTCACCTTGAAATATTTCAGTTTTTTATTCAAATTGTACACATACACACCACAGATATATGTATATAGAACTGGGATCAAACTACCTATACAGTTTTGTATCCTGCTTTTTTTACTTGAAATCCAGTGAGAATATTACTTTGTCATTAAAATTTCTTTGAAAATGTGGTTTTTAAATGGCTATATAGTATCCATTGCATGGACTTACCATACATTAAATATTTTTTAAAAATCCACTTGTTGCCTACATCATTTTCAACATTAAGAGGGGAGGAATTTCCCAACAACACATAGTACACTTTCCTCACTGTGTCTTAAAAGCTACTGAGATTAATTTGACACGTAATACAGTAAAGGCCACATCTCTGTCTGACCAGCCAGCTTTGGGTGGTTGAAGAAGTGCTGGAATGCACCCTAACAGCCAACAAACTGCATGGGAAACTGAGGGCATTGTACACCTCTCTATTTTGAAGTCCCTATGTGCCCTGTAATGTCTCGTTTTAAGAAGACAAAACAGTTATAAGTGGGTTCCTTAAAAGTCATATTTTTGAAGTACCAAATTATAAATCTGAAGTAGTTTTATAGCATGTAACATTTTAGCAAAAAAAAAATTTTCTCTCTTCTGCCAACATAGATTTTAATTTCCTTGAAAGAGTGAGTTCTGGATCTTTTGCAGGGTCTGGCAAAAAAAATCTGTCTCATATATGCAAAGTTAAATGATAATGTAGAAAAGACAGGAGAGAAATCAACATTCATTGGGGCAAGCACTACCATTTTTTAAGTACTAAAGGCTATGTGGCATTATCCCATTAATTTTTTTTTTTTTGAGATGGAGTTTTGCTCTAGTTGCCCAGGCTGGAGTGCAATGGCACCATCTCAGCCCACTGCAACCTCTGCCTCCTGGGTTTAAGCAATTCTCCTGCCTCAGTCTCCCGAGTAGCTGGGATTACAGGCATGTGCCACCACATCCGGCTAATTTTTCTATTTTTAGTAGAAACAGGGTTTCACCATGTTGACCAGGATGGTCTTGAACCCCTGACCTCAGGTGATCTGCCCACCTTGGCCTTCCAAAGTGCTGGGATTACAGGCATGAGCCACGCTGCTTGACCCTCCATTAATTTTTTATTGTACACTGAACCCCAGCTGTGAGAAAGAATTCTGCGGAGGTCCTTTACCTGGAGATAGTGTTGTCAGATAAAATTATGGGACATGTAGTAAAATTTGAATCTCAGATACAAAATAATTTTCTTAGTATAAGTATGTCCCCTCTAATGTCAGGGTTATACTTATCCCCCCCAAAAATTGTTGTTTATCTGAAATTGAAATTTAACTGAATGTTTTGTTTTGTTTTGAGGAGTTTTTTTTTGTTTGTTTGTTTGCTAAATCAGGCAACCCTACTTAGAGAGTCTTCTATTTTCCACTACAAATGCTAATTCCATGGTCATATTATATAACATTCTACTTTTTTCTTCTGAACCATTTCTTGGTAGTTGTTGGATTGGATAGCAGAAGCAAACAGGGTGCAGATGATGGCTTTGTTACGGTGAGCCTAAAGCCAGACAAAGGTAAGGATATTCTCTTCTATATGTTTACCTTCTTGCTGGTTGTACACTTGTTTTTTGGCCTGTAAGCACTTATTTCTTGACATTTGGGTTGTAGGGAAGAGAGCAAATTCCCAAGAAAATCGTAATTATTTGAGACTGTGGACTCCAGAAAATAAATCTAAGTCAAAGAATGCAAAGGATTTACCCAAATTAAATCAGGTAAGTGCTTAAAGTTCAAATCATTCGCTTCAAACCTGGACACTCTTTTTTCTATGACTGAAAAGTCATCGATAAATGTAGACTCAATACCCATCAAAAATAATAACTGGGGCCTTTACTTAGTATCCATTTGGACCTATTTTGTGCATGTATTTATGCATCAAAAATATGCTCCATTGTGAAAAAACGACTTCCTCAGAGGAAATGTGAACCACAACATATTCCATTTTGAGAGTAAATGCATCTTATTGCAATCATTAAAAATACCCTCAGATACTCGAAAGACAAACACATTGCTGTTTTCAGATCACCGTGCTTAGCTATAAAGGTGTCTGCACATTTTCCTTAAAAACCTGGTGAAATGAGGAAGAAAAAAACAATATAAATAATTATAGGCTGAAAATGCTAAGTTTTGTAATTGAAGAACAGAAGTCATCTGGGTGGAGACTGAAAGCACTAAAGCATTACTTCTGTCCAGGGAGATGGGGCATGTGTCGTGGGAGGAGGGATTGGAGCTAACCTTGGAAAAATTGAGGTGCATGCTAAAGTGTGTAGACGTGAAAATAGATGAGTCTCGGATTTCCTTAAGATGTTTCAAAAAGGGAAAAGAGAACAAGAAAAAAGTTACTGAGCCAAATGTATGACATAGTCCTTCTTGACTCGAGGTGAGCTGTACATGGATGTTTACTTTTTCATTCCAACTTTCATAGATGTTGGAAAATTTTCAAATTAAAAAATTGGGAAAATAAGCTGGGTGTGGTGGCTCACACCTGTAATTCCAGCACTTTGGGAGGCCAAGGCAGGAGGATCACTTAGCCCAGGAGTACAAGACCAGCCTGGGTAAAATGGCGAAACCCCATCTCTACAAAAAACGCAAAGATTAGCAGAGTATAGTGGTGTGTGCCTGGGGGGCTGAGGTGGGAGGTTCATGTGAGCCCAGGATGTTGAGGCTGCAGTGAACCGTGATTGCACCACTGCACTCCAGCCTGGGCGACAAAGAGAGACCCTGTCTCAAAAAGAAATAAAAATTAAAAATAGAAACATCAATAGGAGACTTTAAACATGTCCATCCAGCCTAGGCGGAGGACTTTCCAGGGATCTTTAGGCGTTCTCATTTAAATGGCTTTACAGTCCACTTCAGTGCTGCCTTTCTGCTCCCCCAAGATTTCACATTGTGTTTTTCCAAATCGCTTTTCAGGGGCAGTTCATTGAACTGTGTAAGACAATGTATAACATGTTCAGCGAAGACCCCAATGAGCAGGAGCTGTACCACGCCACGGCAGCAGTGACCAGCCTCCTGCTGGAGATTGGGGAGGTCGGCAAGTTGTTCGTGGCCCAGCCTGCAAAGGAGGGCGGGAGCGGAGGCAGTGGGCCGTCCTGCCACCAGGGCATCCCAGGCGTGCTCTTCCCCAAGAAAGGGCCAGGCCAGCCTTACGTGGTGGAGTCTGTTGAGCCCCTGCCGGCCAGCCTGGCCCCCGACAGCGAGGAACACTCCCTTGGAGGACAAATGGAGGACATCAAGCTGGAGGACTCCTCGCCCCGGGACAACGGGGCCTGCTCCTCCATGCTGATCTCTGACGACGACACCAAGGACGACAGCTCCATGTCCTCATACTCGGTGCTGAGTGCCGGCTCCCACGAGGAGGACAAGCTGCACTGCGAGGACATCGGAGAGGACACGGTCCTGGTGCGGAGCGGCCAGGGCACGGCGGCACTGCCCCGGAGCACCAGCCTGGACCGGGACTGGGCCATCACCTTCGAGCAGTTCCTGGCCTCCCTCTTAACTGAGCCTGCCCTGGTCAAGTACTTTGACAAGCCCGTGTGCATGATGGCCAGGATTACCAGTGCAAAAAACATCCGGATGATGGGCAAGCCCCTCACCTCGGCCAGTGACTATGAAATCTCGGCCATGTCCGGCTGACACGGGCGCCTTCCCGGGGGAGTGGGAGGAGAGGGAGGGGAGGGATTTTTTATGTTCTTCTGTGTTGAGTTTTTTCTTTCTTTCTTTTAAATTAAATATTTATTAGTACCTGGCTTGAAGCCTAGTGTTTTCATAATGTAATTCAATGAAAACTGTTGGAGAAATATTTAAACACCTCAATGTAGGTACATTACACTCTTGTTGCGGGGAGGGGATTTACCAGAATACAGTTTATTTCGTGAATTCTAAAAAACAAAAAGATGAATCTGTCAGTGATATGTGTGTATTATAACTTATTAATCTTGCTGTTGAGCTGTATACATGGTTTAAAAAATAGTACTGTTTAATGCTAAGTAAGGCAGCAGTCATTTGTGTATTCAGGCTTTTTAAATAAAATTAGAGCTGTAAGGAAAATGAAAAGCCACAAATGCAAGACTGTTCTTAAATGGAAGGCATAGTCAGCGAGGGTAAATCCTATACCACTTTAGGAAGTATTAAAAATATTTTTAAGATTTGAAATATATTTCATAGAAGTCCTCTATTCAAAATCATATTCCACAGATGTTCCCCTTCAAAGGGAAAACATTTGGGGTTCTAAACAGTTATGAAAGTAAGTGATTTTTACATGATTCCAGAATAACACTTGTATTGACCAATTTAGACAGATACCAGACCAATTTTGCATTTAAGAAATTGTTCTGATTATTTACGTCAACTCATTAGAATTCAGTGAAAAGTAACAGTCTTTTGTCACAGAGAATCTGAAAGTAGCAGCAAAGACAGAGGGCTCATGACAGGTTTTTGCTTTTGCTTTGCTTTTGTTTTTGAAAGAGTAAAAGTACTGATGCTTCTGATACTGGATGTTTAGCTTCTTACTGCAAAAACATAAGTAAAACAGTCAACTTTACCATTTCCGTATTCTCCATAGATTGAAGAAATTTATACCACATATCGCATATGACCATCTTTCCATCAAATCAATGTAGAGATAATGTAAACTGAAAAAAAATCTGCAAGATAATGTAACTGAATGTTTTAAAAACAGAACTTGTCACTTTATATAAAAGAATAGTATGCTCTATTTCCTGAATGGATGTGGAAATGAAAGCTAGCGCACCTGCACTTTGAATTCTTGCTTCTTTTTTATTACTGTTATGATTTTGCTTTTTACAGATGTTGGACGATTTTTTCTTCTGATTGTTGAATTCATAATCATGGTCTCATTTCCTTTGCTTCTTTGGAATATTTCTTTCAACACATTCCTTTATTTTATTATACATTGTGTCCTTTTTTTAGCTATTGCTGCTGTTGTTTTTTATTCTATTTACAGGATGATTTTTAAACTGTCAAATGAAGTAGTGTTAACCTCAAATAGGCTAAATGTGAACAAATAAAATACAGCAAATACTCAGATACAGCTTTTTATCTTTGTGCTTGAGTTCCTGCCTAAGGCAATAACATTATTCTTTTGACAACTTTTGCAGGGGAAATTATATCAGGCAACCATTTTGATTAAGTAAATAAATTTTATAGGCAAACATAGAGAGAGAAATACAATTTGTAGTATATCAATGACTATATTTAAAATAAGGAATATAATTGTTATCAGTTATCTAACTTAAAATGCTTATCCATAATGATCAGTGATATTCAGCTTTTTAAAATATGCTTGTTGGTTGCATGTCTGTCTTCAAAACCACAATGAGATACCATCTCACACCAGTCATTAAAAAGTCAAAAAAGAACAGATGTTGACGAGGTTGTAAAGTAAACAACACAAATATACCGTTGGTGGGAGTGTACCTTAGTTCAACCATTGTAAAAAGCAATGTGGCAATTTCTGAAAGAGCTAAAAACAACTACTATTCAACCCAGCAATGCCATTACTGGGAATATACCCAGAGGAATATAAATCATTCTGCTATAAAGACACATGCATGTGAATGTTCATTACAGCAGTGTTCACAATAGCAAAGACATGGAATCAATCTAAATGCCCATAATGGCAAATTGAATAAAGAAAATGTGGTACATATACACCACGGAATACTATGCAGCTATAAAAAACAAGATCATGTATTTTATGGGAACATGGATGGAGCTGGAGGCCATTATCCTTAGCAAACTAATGCAGGAGCAGAAAACCAAATGCTGCATGTTCTCACTTGTAAGTGGGAGCTAAGCGATGAGAGCACATGGACCCAGAGAAGGGAACAACACACACTGGGGCCTCCTTGAGGGTGGAGGGTGGGTGGAGGGAGAGGAACAGAAAGAAATAACTATTGGTTAATAGGCTTCGTACCTGGGTGACAAAATAATCTGTACAACAAACCCCCATGACACTAGTTTACCTATATAACAAACCTTCATATGTACCCCTGAACCTAAAATAAAAGTTAACAAAAAAAAATACTCATTCCATCTAAGTAATGACGGTGAAAATGCGTCTGTTTAATCCTTATTAACATGCTATAATGCCATTTGGTTTAATCAAGTAGCTAGTCATTTATTGGACTCTAAGATTATTACACGTGACTCCATGTGTTTTTATCTTTGATGTCTTAAATATGCCTCAAGAAATAACTGCAAAATCTAATACTCTCACCCACCTGTACTTTGCCAAAATCAGAGATAGCATTGAGCGGGAAATAAGAGTGTTTTGTTTAAATGTGTAGCCCTGGATATAGAAGAGGAGCCAGCATTTTCCATTGTCATTAAGAAAGTGACAGTAAATGAGTAGCAAGTCCCTCTGAAAGCCTGTCTCTATTAATATGCTGAGAATTCTGTTGCAATCTTGTCCTTATTCGTTCAAGCACATCATAGTGCTTTTCATCACAGCAGCAATATACTGCATAATGGCAGGTTTTAGTCTGTGTTTACTTCTAAAGGATGCACAGGGAGGAGCCTGAACCCTTGAGCTGAAATTTCCAGCTTCGTCTACGAGACAAATAGGCTCGTCCTCTCATTCGCTACATCAGAAGAACATCCTGGGGGAATTATTCCGCCCTCAGCTTCCAGAAGACAGGTGACACATTTCTAGTTGTTCATGGTTGTGTTATGCACTTTTCGTGTCTCCATGGATTACTCTCTTTGATTTCAACTTGTGATTTACCATCTTCTCTGTTTTTTGGGGGGTGTTTGTTTTGTAGGGGTTTTTGTTTTGTTTTGTTTTGTTATTTGTTTTTGCTTTTGAGACAGAGTTTTGCTTTTGTCACCCAGGCTGGAGTGTGATGGCACAGTCTCTGCTCACTGCAACTTCTGCCTCCGGGTTCAAGCAATTCTCCTGCCTCAGCCTCTGAGTAGCTGGGATTACAGGTGCCCGCCACCATGCCCAGCTAATTTTGTATTTTTAGTAGAGATGGGGTTTCACCATGTTGGCCGGGCTGCACTCGAACTCCGGACCTTAAGTGATCCACCCGCCTCGGCCTCTCAAAGTGCTGGGATTACAGACATGAGCCACCATGCCCAGCCATTATCATCTTCTCTGGCCACTTTACCCCCATCTCTGTCAGTCCTTCCTATGCTAATATAATAATGATGACACCAGTGCAGAGGAAGGGCTCAGTGTCTATATCTCGGTGAGGTTCCTGCTCCACAGCACTGGGTCCTGGCCTCAGTGGAGCTTTCACATAAGAACAAGCAAAAGAGAAAGCTACTGCTACAGAAAAGGAACAAAGCAAACCATGCAGAGTGTGGATGCGGGGAAGGGATGATGCCAGAGAAACCACAGATCTAAGGATATCAGGATATCACTGCTTAAGCACCACTTTGAAGCTGATTCTAGGGAGAAGCAGGATAAGCTATGTGGTAGAACCACAAAGAGAGCCACGGCCAATAAGGAGGCTCATGTCCCAACAGCATCCTCACCCCCACCAAGGTGACGCAGGCCGAGCACCCTGGCTTCTGGGCACAGGGCAACTCCCGCAGCCTGCTCTCTTCAGGGCAAACCTCTTTAGGAAGGGTGGTGAGGTTTCTCCTCCTCACTTTCCTGGCCCCAGAGACTCTATAGGAACCTCCCAATCTCAGTAGAGTAGCCTTGGTCTGGTCTCCAGCTGAAGCGTTGTCTAGGAGCCTGAACTTAAAGAGATTCTGCTTCTTGAACCTAGCAGGGAAACTGAAGTGGAGGTGTTGGCAGCTGCCTTATTTCCACTTCCAGTTAAGGGCTCCTCTGGTTGTGTATTTGTCATTACCCATCCTGTGAAAAGGCTCTTTTGTTACAGATTCAACTTCTAACCTGAAAAGAATAACAATTGATGTGTTGAGTAGAAAGCATTTCATACTATTTTCTGCTTTAAAATGACTCCTTTACATAATGTTTAGGCCCCTGTGCCTTTTGTTTAACATGCTTTTGACAGTCTAATTCTTTAAAAGGAAAGCACGGGACTCAGACAAAGGAATTTATCGTTAGACACAAGTGAGTAGAGTAGGCTAAGACTAGGATTCTCTTTCTGTGGGCTTTGTTAATACGATCGGCTGCCAGGCAGACCGGTCTACACAGCAGCTAGAGGCAGACGGCAGAGGGCCAAGCTGTAGATTATCAGGGCTTCCTGGATTCATACTACTTCCTCCCCTCACCCTTCACAGAGAAGCCAGAAGAAGTCCACAAAGCTAAATCCTGTAGCTCTTAGAATACCTGAAGGAAACAGTATCAGCTAGATTCATGCCACATCCTAGGACTGGCCTGGAAATAATCTTTTGAGCCCTAGAATAGGTCTGGTGAATTCATTCATTTCATGACTATTGACCACCTACTGTGTGAGATATTGTTTTAGGCACTGAGAGTACAGCAGCAAATGACAATGACCAAAAACAATCCCTGTCCTTAAGGGAAATTCTATTTTAATACGGCAGACAGACTATAAGCAAGGTAAGTACCATATCTGTTATGTTAGTGGCATATGCATTAAAACAAACACAGCGGGGAACCTAGGTTAGAAATGCTGGGCTTGGGAAGGTGGTGAAATTTTAGATGGGGTGTTTCGCGAAGACCTTTCACAGAAGATGACTGTTTAGTAAAAGCCAAGGGAGCAAGCCATGCAGATGAGATGACTGGAGGAAGAGCTTTGCAGACAGAAGAAACTGCAAGTGCAAAGGCCCGATAATGGGAGTGCGCCTGGTAAGTTTGAGGGACATCAAGGAAGCTGTGGATGGAGCAGAATGAGTGAGGGGAGGTGGTAGTCAACGAATGCAGAGAGGTAATAAGGAACCAATGACAAGATGGCCCTTCACTCTGAGGGAGACGGCAACCACTGAAGGGTTCTGAGCAGAGGAGAGACATGACCCAATCAAGGCTTTAAAAATAATTCTGGCCACTATCATGACAGTAAGTAGAAGCGCAAGGATAGAAGCAGGCAGACCACTTAGGAGGTTACCACAGGAACCCAAGTAGGAGTCGGTGATGACTTTTTCACCTACCCTCAATTCTGAGGCCTAGAAGGAGCAGAGAGGCACATCCATCGTATCCTAATGGTCAAAGCAGGCACAGGCCAGGTCAGACTCAGAAAGGGAGATGGATCCTGCTTCTCAATGAAAGACATGTCAAATAATTGCTGTCCTCTATTCTGCCACATCGACCATTCTTCTGGGTTTTCCTGGGCCTTCTTGGATATTCACTAAATATTTTAGCATCTGGCTCATAAATTTCTTTTCTGCCCCAGTTTTTGCTACCATTCAGGGAACTTCTACATCTAAACCAAGAACCCAGAAAACACTTTAACCTTGATTTCCTGGATTCCTGTGATTTTCCATCCCCTTCTGTGTCTTAGAAATATGAACTCATACCTTTTCACCTCTGTCATTCCCAGGACAGTTGCCTACAGTACTTCTAGTCCTTCAACTCCTCTATTAATCCATGAGGTCTCGCACTGATTTTCCTATTGAGATATGATCCTGTGGTCATCTCTTTCACCACTATCTTTTCAGCTCTCTCAACTCAATCTGCCTGGATCCTCTGCATCTGCCATCTGTCCTCTGCGGTGGTTACTCTGTAAACCCCAAATCAGGAATTGTTATAAGCATCTGCCTTCTTCATTCGCATCTGGGCTGCTGTGTAGCAGACACTGCTAGAGGTGAAAAAATTTACATGATATAGATTTGTACTACTCCAATTTTATGATTTTTATCTTCAGATAGGTCCTGAATGCCAATTAGCAATCCATGATTGTTCCATGTCCCTGATCCAATCTTCCTAGTCCCCCAAATAGCTATTTTAATTCTTTACTAGTCTCATCGAACCCCCTAATCCCACACCTGCTTCCTCTTAGATGAAAATTTGATTCTCAGTTAACAGAAATAATTGGAGCTATCAGTTGCAGCTCTCAACTCTGAGCCCCTCAAGTGCAAATGTGTCTGCACCTGCAATCTACTTTTCTCCTTCCTCCATGTTGGAGGAAAATTCAGCACTCTTTAACCTCTTTTATCTTCAACATCTTCTTCACAATAGCCTCAGGTTGTAAGACTATTTACTCAATCCCTTAACTTTGTAACATACTAGTTATTGACTTATCTAACTGCATCACAACCAAACATGAAAGAGTGGCCTTATCTTACTACCTCTGTTTCTTCACTTCCAGTCTAACTTCAGTGCACTTCGGCATGGATTTACCTTTGCACTGAAACTGCTCTTGCTGAGGGCAAAAACAGTTTCCTAATTGCTAGCTCCAATAGATCCTGATTCTTAACTTACTTTCTCTTTCTGTGGTATTTAGATCTTTTGACACTCCCTCATTAAAATTATCTCCTCCTTTTCAAGGTGTCCGTGACACCAATATCTTTGCAATTCCCCTTTGTTTCTCTAATAAATTCACCATGAACTTTCCTGGGCTGCTTTCCTTTGCCCACCTCTTACATGATGGTCACCACAAAGATCTTCCCAAGGTGCTCCTTTCTCATTGCTTGCCCTGAAAGAGTGCACCCACTTCAATAACTTCAACCCCTATCTGTCTACTACTGACTCCCAAATACTAAGTCAGCTCAGGCTTCTCTCTGGAACTGTTTCATTTAGTCCATATGTATTGAGTGCCTTGGGTGTTCCAGGCTTTGTGTCATGTGCTAATAACAGCAGTGACAATGAACAAAAGAGGCACAACAATGCTCTCACTTCCTGAACTTATATGCACTTCAAAAACTGGACTCTTCTCTCCCCATAAAGTTTCCCTTTATTATTCCCTATTTAATTAATAACAGCAATATCCATGTAGTAACTGAAGCCAGAAATGTATGTCATTCTTGATTCCTCCAAGTTGTTTATGACCCCATTTTTTTTTTTTTTTTTGAGACGGATTCTCACTCTGTCACCCAGGCTGGAGTGCAGTGGCATGAGCTCAGCTGACTACAGCCTCCATCTCCAGGATTCAAGTGATTCTCCTGCCTCAGCCTCCCGAGTAGCTGGGACTACAGGTGCACACCACCACACCTGGCTAAGTCTTGTATTTTTAGTAGGGACAGGGTTTTGCCATGTTGACCAGGCTAGTCTCAAACTCGTGACCTCAGGTGATCTGTCCACCTCAGCCTCCCAAAGTGCTGGGCTTACAGGCATGAGCCACTGTGCCCAGCCCCTATCCATTATTTTTTTTATTTTTTATTTTTTATTTTTTTTTTTAGATGGAGTCTTGCTCTGTCACCCAGGCTGGAGTGCAGTGGCACGATCTCGGCTCACTGTGAACTCTGCCTCCTGGGTTCACACCATTCTCCTGCCTCAGCCTCCCGAGTAGCTGGGACTACAGGCACCCGCCACCACACCCAGCTAGTTTTTTGTATTTTTAGTAGAGACGGGGTTTCACCATGTTAGCCAGGATGGTCTCGATCTTCTGACCTTGTGATCCACCTGCCTCAGCCTCCCAAAGTGCTGGGATTACAGGCGTGAGCCACTGCACCCAGCCCCGTTATTTTTTATAAACACCATTCAATCTCTGCTCCTCGGTCTATTCTCAATTATACTGACAGTCCAGCTTTGTATCTGGCAATAGGTTCAGAAGGGTTTTATTAGGTTTATATATTAATATTTGATCTATCTCTTCAGTCCAGACTGTATTTGTATAGGTTATCCTTAAGCAAAAGTATCAATCCTATTACCTTCATATAACAAAAGGAAATTGATTGCTTTTTACTTAAAACAAAACAAAACATTTCTTGGCTTGTTGTGGATTGAGCAGGCTCTCAGCTTCTTGCTTCTTCTTGACACCTTTGCCCAATATGTGATGATCCAACTGCCTCAAAGTGTGACCCAAAGGGAGAACTCAGAGGTTGGTGCTCTGATGGAAGCTTACATATGCATTTATAGTCCCTGACCTTGGCAACTGTAATAGTTTCCTTAATTGGGTCTGCTTTCAGTAACTGGAAGGCAGTCATTCATTTTTTCTTTTTTTTTTTAACTTTTATTTTAAGTTCAGTGGTACACGTGCAGGTTTGTTACATAGGTAAACATGTGTCATGGAGGTGTGTTGTACAGGTTATTTCATCACCCAGGTATTAAGCCTGGTATCCATTAGTTATTTTTCCTGATCCTCTCCTTCCTCCTCAACTCCACCCTCCAATAGGCCCTAGTGTGTGTTGCTCCCTTCTATGTGTCCATGTGTTCTCATCATTTAGCTCCCACTTATAAGTGAGAACATGCAGTACTTGGTTTTCTGGTCCTGTGTGAGTTTGCTAAGGATGATGGGCTCAAGCTCCATCCATGTCCCTGCAAAGACATGATCTCATTCTTTGTATGGCTGCATAGTATTCCATGATGTATATGTATCATATTTTCTTCATCCAGCCTATTCACAATAGCAAAGACATGGAATCAACCTAACACTGCATCAATGATAGACTGAAAGGCAGCATTTTAAAATGGCCCTTTGGCTATTTGTCAATCTGTGTGTGATATAATTACTCTTCTAATTGTTGGCAAGCAAGATAGAAATGCGCAAGTCTGTAAATTCATCATGTCACACTTTCCTATGTGTACATGAATGTTTGTAGCAAGTGTTTGAAACAAACTTTTTGGATTGCAACAAAGGTTGCTGGATTGTTGCCATTTTATTTTTTGCCCCTAGTCCTCCCTCTCACACTCCTCAGTTATTCTTTTAAACTATCGCTTATGTGATCTTTTGAAAACTTTAATGTAATCATGTTTTCCTCTGTTTTAAGCCTCTCACCATCCCACCTTCCTACAGGATAATAGACAAGCATATATGAAAGTTTATGATCAGTCACTACCTATGTATATACTATTTCTCAACATTGGTTGGTATCCTAACAGGTAAAGGACCAAAAATATCCAAGGTATTAGAGTATATTCATTTTCCCCTTTTGGTTCATATTTTACAGCATCCTTTGTCATGCTGTCAAATTCTATGAGCCAGGTGCAATATTTCAATCCCTCCTTCAATTCCTGCTGCAAATTTAGACCTAAGAGTAGGAAATGGGGAAGAGTATTTACTTTTGAAGTTTCAAAAGTGAAAGAAAGTTTGGTATAAACCAAGAAGTGATCAGTATGAAATTTCAAAGGACAAAAATGAAACCCTAGCAGCAGAATTTGGATAATATAACTCTATAATTTGTATTGAATTGTGCAGTATTTTCAGTGTAATGCAACACAATATCTCTTCTCACTGTGAGAAATAAAGAACTGTACTTAATAATGAGGAAGTAAATAAGGAAGTAATACTTGAACTTGCCAGATCCTTCTTAAATGCTCATGTAAACTGAGAAGATATTTGGAAGAGTCTATGAAAAGATAAAAACGCAAAATATTTTGAGATAGGGCACTGGGTTGTTTCAACAGCTTGTCTCATAAACAAGAGAATTTGTAAATAGCTGCTGCTATGGAGTTAACCTGGGTATATTGATTTTCTAAAAGACTTAAGCAACCTATGAAATTATAAACTTTTTTGAAAATGAGTAAGATGAAATAGCTTTAATAGTATACATGGGTTAACATGAATATTTCAGAATCTTCTTTGGAATTGTATCTTTGCTCCAAATGGGAAGGGGCAAAAAATACCATTTTAGAGCAAAACTGTCTCTTGGGTGGCTTGCCCATGTCCAGGTGTTTGCTGTGAAGAGACACAGTAGTTGGAATCCTCAGCCTACACCGTCACTCCCTGCAACTCTCACCACCTGGTTCACCATGGCTCACTCTAGGGGCCCTGAGTACACATGCTGAGTCAGGCAATGATGAAGCCACGAGGCCAGAAAAAGATTCTGACTATCTGGGAAATTACAGAGCCATTCATTTCTCCAGCACAATGTTTACCCATGTGTTGAGATTTCTTGGAAATAAAAAAAAAGACAATTGATGAAGGACTTGTCACTGGGCTTAGCCTTGCCGCTATGCTAAATTTAAACTCTCTTTGTCTTATAGTAGAGAAGTTTCCTTTGAAATATCGTTCATCTGTATGAATATCACATAATAGTGTTTATTTTTGCTTACTTTTTTCCATACGAGTAATACACAGACACAGCAAAATGAATTCCCAGATTGACCAATAAGAAGTGAGGCAGAAAGAAAGTCTTCCTTTATTAACTTCTGTACTCCTACTTCTCTCCTTGGAGGTAAGTATTATTAATAGATTGAATTTCATTTGTTCTAGAAATTTCTATATGTGTCTACATACACATACGCGTTTTTTGTGTTTTGTGTGTGTGTGTGTGTGTGTGTGTGTGTGTGTGTGTGTGTGTGTGTGTGGTGTTTTTTTTTTTTTTTTTTTGAGACAGAGTCTCACTCTGTCGCCCAGGCTGGAGTGCAGTGGCGCGATCTTGGCTCACTGCAATCTTTGCCTCCCAGGTTCATGCCATTCTCACCTCAGCCTCCCGAGTAGCTGAGACTACAGGCGCCCGCCACCACGCCTGGCTAATTTTTTATATTTTTTAGTAGAGACAGGGTTTCACCGTGTTAGCCAGGATGGTCTCGATCTCCTGACCTTGTGATCCACCCGCCTCGGCCTCCCAAAGTGCTGGGATTACAGGCATGAGCCACCACATCTGGCCACATACACGATTTTAAAACATACACACAAAAATTGAATCAAACTAAAACTTATTCCGTGATTTCATGTTTCACCTGAGGGTCATGGAGATTTTTTCCATAGGTGTATATGGAGTTCTGTCTCATTTATGTTAATGTCAGCACAGTATTCCATGAAAAGGAAATGTTCCGTAATTTATTTAGTTACACCTATGCTGCCCCACCCTCTGTCTCAGTTGATGGACTTTTACTTATATGTAGGCTTTTCTTATCATAAACATTGTGGCAAGGAATATTACTGTAAAGAGATCTGTGACATATATAAGAATATCTTTTGGGGATAGGATTGAAAAGGTAAACTTGCTGGATCAAAGCATATGTCCATTTAAAGTCATGACAGATCCTGTCAAATTGCCTTCAAAAGTCCTTCACTTGTTTACATTCCCATCAACAGCTAGTGCTCCCTTCTTACATACCTTCAGCAACATTTGAAATTAACACTCTTTCTATTTTTGCTAATCTGATGGATAAAAGATGATATTTCATTTTAATTCAAATTCCTTTCACAGTGAAGCAGTTGAATTTTTTAAATCGATACATAATATTTTACACATTTATGGGCTACTTTAAACAATGTTTATTGCTCCTTTAGGTTCTTTTGAATTTGCCTTCTAACTTTTGGTGTCTTGCATTATATGACAGTGTGCATGTTTTATGAAATCAAATCTGTTACACTTTTTACACATGACTTCTGTGCTTTGTTTCTCCAGTTCTTAAATGCCATTCACTATGACAACAACGAGAGAATAAAATGAAAGAGAAAGAGGGGGTTATTAAGCAGAAGGAATTGCTCCACGCTCACTGAAGGCCAGTGGCTTTCCAAAGAGCTGGGGAGATGCATTTTTCCATGGGGCCTTAACAGCCACTTGTATCTGTCACAGAGCAGGCCCAAGCCAGAGCATCTAGTTACACCCATTCAAATGCATCCCACATAACCTCATTAATATCTATTCTATTTTATCCCACTAGGGGGTAATGTTGGGCTAAAGACCATTCCTGGTGACTAAATTTGAAGCCAGCGTTCAACATGTTCTGATTGAAGTTTTATTTCTGTGGTCAAAACTAAAAGGATCCATTCCTCCCTTAATGCTAGAGACACTTAGGAAAAAAAAAAGAGAGAAGAGCTTTGAATTCAAGTGTAACTGAAATGATATTATCAAGAAGAGCTTGACAAAAGCTTCTGCTCCAGACAGCACTCAGCAGAGACAATGGATTATTCTATTACAGACACAGGAAGCCACGGACAAAAAGAGGAAAAGATTCAATGGAAGAGAGATGATGTCCTTCATGATGCAAACATCACCTAACATTAAATATTTCCACAGGATTTTATTTCTGCTTAAAATCTAATTTCCTCTTGGGTTCATGGCCTTAAGCTGGCAAAATCCCCTCCTAAAACACTGCCAACGTCATATTCCTGCAGTGCCAGTGTCTCATGGGTCACAGAGCCCTCCTCCATGGCCTGCCTAACTGGCACTCTTCCATCAGAGCGCCAGCCTGTGGGAACAGGTGACTCCCCAGTGGCCTCACTCACAAAGCTCATGGAGAAACACAATGGGTGGAGGCCATTTTTTTTTTCTCTGCCCCCTCTACAATCACGTACAAAAGCACCTTCTAGGATCACCCTTCAAACTTCCAAAGATCTCCCCCTCTCCAAGGGCACTCAGTGTCATGGTACACTTTTAATTTTCTCTGCAAAGGAGGCAAACTCAATTCCTCTTTTAACAGCTCCCTTAAAAATATTAAAGATCTGAATAAAGAAACTTAAAGGTCAAAATGATCCAAATTAAATGAGACAATTGTTTAAGGATTCAAGGGTGTTACTTTTTTTTCTTCTTTTCTTTTCTTTTTTTTTTTTGAGACAGAGCCTTGCTCTGCTGCCAGGCTGGAGTGCAGTGACATGATCTCAGCTCACTGCAATCTCCACCTCCCGGGTTCAATTAGTTCTCCTGCCTCAGCCTCCAGAGTAGCTGAGACTATAGGTGCGTGCCACCATGCCTGGCTAATTGTTTTTATTATTATTATTTTTAGTAGAGACTGGGTTTCACCGTGTTAGCCATGATGGTCTTGGTCTCCTGACCTCGTGATCCGCCCGCCTCGGCCTCCCAGAGTGCTGGGATTACAGGCATGAGCCACCGCACCCAGCCAAGGGCATTACTTTTAAAACAATACAGCCTGGACCTTGTCAGAAAGATGGAAGCAGGGTGGGCCTTCCAGTATTCCACTAAGAAGCTCACAGACAACACCACCAGCACACAAAGTAGGATAATTTTCTTTCCTAGATTTGGTGAGACAAAGAGGAAGAGAGAGAGAGAGAGAGAACTGTACACATGTGGGAGAAAGACATAAAGAGCTCACTAAGTAAAAGAGCTAGGCTGAATTTCAAGAACATCCAGAGTAAAGGAGGCCAGCCCCCTTAGAGATTTTCACATTCTGTTTCTTTTCTTTTCCTTTTTTTTAAGAGATGGGGTCGTGCTATGTTGTTCAGGATGGTCTTGAACTCTCAGTCTCCCAGGTAGCTTGGATTATAGGTGTGAGCCACAGCACCCAGCTACGCATTCCATATCTTTTTTTTTTTTTTTTTTAGACGGAGTTCCACTCTTGTTGCCCAGGCTGGAGTGTAGTGTCATGATTTTGGCTCACTGCGACCTCTGCCTCCCGGGTTCAGGCAATTCTTCTGCCTCAGTTTCCGAGTATCTGAGTTTACAGGTGTCCCCCACCACATTTTTTAGCAGAGATGGGGTTTCACCATGTTAGCCAGGCTGGTCTTGAACTCCTGACCTCAAGTGATCCACCTGCCTTGGCCTCCCAAATTGCTGAGATTACAGGCGTAAGCCACCGTGCCCAGCCTACACATTCTATTTCTGACTGTCACCTTTAGCTCTGACTGACCCCAAGGTATTGAGAGGAGCAACAGGGCCAAGCTACCTGAACCAGGCGTCAGCAGGTAACACAGTCACTTGTCTACACTTCCATGGATATTTTCTACGGTTTTCCTTCCCCATCTACAGACGGACAGTTTGGAAATGGGAAGACATACTATGCCCAGTTTAAAGTCTGTAATTTGAGAGCCTGGGGATGGGGTAGAAAGGGAAGAGTAGCAAAAGAGTCAGCAAAGCGGAGCACAGATCACTGGAGCCCTCTCCTGGGAATAAATGTTCCCTCCCCACACACATCTCTGTCCTTCCTAAATGGACTCCCATCTCTATCTTTTTCCCTCCCTCCTCACTAACTGCAGCTGCCAATTTGAAAGTCTTGTGAGTCAAAAAAAACAAGCCTGGAGATTTCTGTGAGCTCTCTGATTCCCAAGAAGAGGAAAGGAAGAAAATTAGTAAAATGGCTTAGTGAAGCTAAGCCTGTGGGCAGACTACCCTGAGTTACCTGTTCTTCACTCTGCCTGTATTTTTCAATATCTATTTATAATACTGCCTGAAATGCCACTAGGCAGAGCAATTTGGGTTTAGTACTGTCCTCAGACGTGGGCAGTTGGTGTCCTGCCTTGGGCCTCAGGCTTTAGTGGGCTCTGCCTTGTCCAGCCACTCTGACTATGCTGCCCCCACCACGCACTGCTCTGGAAGGACCAAGGAGACTGATGTCAGGGGGACTGTGCCAGTCACCTTGTCCAGACCACACTCTGGTAACCAGAATCCCATTACCCTGCCCAAACAGCTCTGAGTCCCTCCTAGGACCTGCCCAGTCTTCTCCTCATGCTCGTGAGAGCAGAGCCATGTACCTAGGCATGGCACCCTGGGCAGAAGGGTGCCTAGGAGTTCCCTGTTGGGAGGATTGTTTACAGACCCTCTATATATAAGCTGGGGTGTCACATCCACATGCACAACGCCATCCACAGTGAGATAAAAAATGGTGGGGGGTGGGCCTAGGGCCTCCATGTGTACTCTTCCCCGACCCAAACATGCTTTGGGTAGGCCAGCTTGGGTTAGCAATATTTCTTTTAAAAGGGACTACAATACTAACTCATTAGTATGAAATCAGTTTACAAACTCACCATTGGACTCTACCACTATACAAAATGTCAGCAAAAAAAGTCAAACTCTGTAAAATATTTGAAGAGGTTTATTCTGAGCCAAATATGAGTGAGCAATACCCATGACACAGCCCTCAGGAGTCCTGAGAACATGCGCCCAAGGGGGTCAGGCTACAGGTTGGTTTTATGTAATTTAGGAAGATATAAGCTATCAGTCAATACATGTTAAGATGTGTATTGGTTCAGTCTGGAAAGGTGGAACAACTGGAAGTGGTGGGTAGGAGGGTGCTTTCGGGTCATGGGTGGGTTCAAAGATTTTGCGATTGGCATTTGGTTATTATCTAAAGACTTGGAACCAATAAAAATGAACGTCCAGGTTGAGGTAAGGGATTGTGGAGACCAGGCTTTTATCATTCAGGTGAAGACTCCAGGTAGCAAGGCTTCAGGGAGAAAAGAATGTAAATGTTTCTTATCAGACTTAATTAATCTGTTCCATCAGTAATTCTGAAAGGGAGGAGGTATAATCAGGCATGTCCAACACCACCTTCCCATCAAGGCCTGAACTCGTTTTTCAGGTTAACTTTGGAATGCCCTTGGTTGAGATAAGGGATCCATTCAGATGGTTGGGGGACCTGGAATTTTATTTTTCATTTACAATAAGCAGGATCAAGAAGAGGTGGAGAAGACACTGAGTTATATGCCTGGGTCCTGTACCAATGCTGTGCACAACCAGATATCTAATCAATGACTCTAGCCTTGGGCTGACACCCTGAATGACGTTACTATTCACCTCATGACAAGCAGCCCAATCGCAAGCCTAATGCCGAAGACAGGCATGTCTGACAAGTTTCTTGTGTAAGCCAAGTCCTGGCTTGTGTGTTTTGTTGGTAAGGATTCTAACACATTTTCTGGAGTCACAAAAAAGGGGTGCCATGATCACTTAGCCAGAACCACAATTGGAGCCAGATAGAAAAATAGCCACACATGTGCCAGGTCTTTGCCACCCTTGGTCAAACAGAAGTATTTGAAACTTTCCTGTGGGTATTAGTCTTTAGACTCAATCCTTAGACTGGAAACATCCTAAAGAGGCTAAAATAAAGACTAGAATCCTAACTAAAATATCTGGGTTTTTATTTTCTGAAAACCAGAGTTACCTTCTTTCTGCTAAATCTAAGTCGAGCGGATGGTCCTTAGGAATATGCATAAAGGTGATTGCCATATTCTTCTCAACTTTTCCTCTTAAGTAATTTGTCAACTATTCATCAGTGCAGGAGCAAGAGGCTCAGAAGCCAAGCAAAATGGCTCTCAAAGAGGCGAAGATGCTGAACAGAGCTTTTGGTAGTCTCTTGATGTTAGAGAAATAAAAGTAGTGGTTTGAGAATGAAAAGAGAACAAGGATGTAAGAAGCCAAAATCCTGGAGAGAAAGTAAATATGGAGAAGTTAACTCTGAATGGGTACCCCTCAAGGCGTTTTCTGACTCTTAACATGCAAAGCAGCAGGTTAGGAAGCTGAGTCAAACTTCAGGTATTCTCTCTGAACAGGGAGATAAAAATTATTTCAAAGTCTGCCAAGGAGTTGAGATCCTAGAAGATGCCCCAAACTATTAGTTGGGACTCCTGAAAATCTATATCTTAAAAGTACATATGGGCCAGGCACGGTGGCTCATGCCTGTAATCCCAGCACTTTGGGAGGCCAAGGCGGGCAGATCACGAAGTCAAGAGCTCGAGACCATCCTGGCCGACATGGTGAAACCCCGTCTTTACTAAAAATACAAAAATTAGCCAGGCGTGGTGGCACACACCTGTAGTCCCAGCTACTCGGGAGGCTGAGGCAGGAGAATCGCTTGAACCCTGGAGGCGGAGGTTGCAGTGAGCCGAGATCGCACCACTGCACTCCAGCCTGGTGACTGAGGGAGACTCCGTCTCAACAACAACAACAACAACAAAAAGCACATGTGAATAAAAAATAGTCTTTATCAAAGCTGAAACCCAGAAACCAGTTTAATCACAAAGATAAAGAGAGCTGTGCCTATTTTCACTGCATGGCAAAAAGAAGCTACATCTTCTCTGGATGAATATAATATTATCCAGATCCTATATAATTTTTCATATATATGTATGACATTTAATTTTAAAAGTATCAAGTATACTATGGGACAGGACTAGAGAAAAAAACAGAAATAAAATCAAACCCACAGATGATCCAGATATTGGCATTATCAGATACACACAGGCTTTTAAAAGATTGTATTTAATTTGTTTAAGAATATAAATTAGATGGAGAATTTCATGAGAAGAATGGAATAAAAATTGAATGCAAATTTCATAACAGATAAAAATAATAACTGAAGTTAAAAACTCAATGGATGAGCTGTGTAGAAAACTAGACATAGCTAAAAATGTCCAGCCCTTTCAGGACCCATATATGCTATCCACCAGGTCTGTATATATTCACCCACTAGGGGCCTGGGAACTGGGGAACTACCTATCGCATTCCAACTCTGCTGGCACCTGACCACTTCCTCCAGGGCCTGAGGTCAGGCCAACCCACCCACCCAACACCACCACAATGAACGCCCACTTACACGGGCCTAAAGGGGGGGGTCCCAGCTTTGCAAGAAGCAGCAATACTGCCACATCAGAGAACAGGCGAGCCTTAAAGCTATCTGTATCAGTTTGAGTGACGGGGTTATGTCTGAAACCATGTCCTTGGAGAGTCACAAAACAGACATTTCCCATGGCTCTCAACCACACTGTGGTCTGGAGATAGACTACAATGTGCATTTAAACTAGGAGTCAGGAGAAGAGCTTCGGAAGACGGCAGATAGGAGGCAGGGTTAACGTGCATCTCCCACTTGGATGGACAGAACAGTGTGTGGAGATTCACACTGTGAACTTTTGTTCCAAGAACCACACACAAATGTACCAGGAAAACTGAAAGAATTGAGAGATCTTTGAAAGAAATGGCACACTGCTGCAAACTCAGAAAGACAGGTCAATATGGTTGGCTGTGTCCCCACCCAAACCCCATCTTGAGACGTAGTTCCCATAATCCCCACATGTAATGGGAGGGAACTGGTGGGAGGTAATGTAATCATGGCGGCAGTTACCCTCATGTTGTTCTCATGATAGTGAGTTCTCATGCGATCTGATGGTTTCATAAGGGGCTTGTCCCCCTTTTTGCTGGACACTTCTTTCTGATCCCACAATGTGAAGAAAGACCTATTTGCTTCCCCTCTACCATGATTATAAGTTTCTTGAGGCCTCCCCAGCCATGGTGAACCGTGAGTTAATTAAACCTCTTCCTTTATAAATTACCCAGTCTCGGGTATGTCTTTATTAGCAGCTTGAGAACAGACTAATACACAGGTGAAAAGCTGTGAATTCCCAAAGTGTGAGCGGGGGAAACCTGCCTCTGAACACACATCCCCACTGGGGAATCTGAAAACCCAGATCACCAGAGAAGGACTTAACCTTACCTACAGCTTGAATGGATTTAGAGAGCCACACGAAATATAAAAGTAGAAACAGCAGTGGGAAGAGACTTGCAGCCACTCCCAGTCTCCAGCTCAAGCTAGGGGAAACCAACCCTGATTCACAGGGGTCCTTAGGGAAGGCAGCCAGCAGAATTAGGGAGGGGTCACAGGGTGAAAGAAGCTTCCAAGTGAATTTTGTGATAATCTCTATTGGGCATGGACTTCCTTGAATAGAATCCAGGATGGAGACTAGTGGGGGAGTGAACAGGAACTGCTGCAGATACAAGTGCAGAAGCTGCCACCATTGTGAGCAGATGGGGAGGGGCAAGGCCTGAAAGCCCTGCTTGCTTTCTCAGCAGGGAATCTTATGGCCTGGGGCAAGTCTGAGTTCTCTGTGCAGGCTGCCCGGATATAAACTCAGTGCCATTAGCGGGGCACCGTGGGAGTGAGATTGGCCTCACCAACTGCATAGGAGCTGGGTAAGGCCTTTTGCTACCAGCTATCCCCTACTTCCCTGGTGAACAATACTGCTAAGTAGAGGCAGCCATACTTTCCCCTAGAACATAACTCCATTGGCTTCAGAACCACCCCTCCTTCCCCCACAGTGGCCATGGCAAGCCCTGTCCAAAAAGAGTGAGCTCAGGCCTGCCTAGCCCTCCCCCAACCTGATGGTATTTCTCTACGCACTCTGGTAGCCAAACACAAAAGACATAAACCCTAGGGAGCTTTGTGCCCCCCTTCCACCATTGCGTGAGAAACCAGAACACTTCCCCTAGCCAATGTAGGGCAAGCTTATATCCCACTGCTAATACTGTAGCTGGTGCTCTCTTCCAAGTGCTACCTCCTGCCTGGAGGCCAACCAACTCAGCTGATTACAGAAACTCATGACAATAACACTGCTCCCAAGAAGAAGAAATCAACAGCTAATTCCACTGCCTACAACATGTGGGCTAACCAGAGGTCCTGAGTCCATCTGAGTGGCAACTTCACTGCTAGCATAACCAGCATTTGAGAAAGCACACTAAACATATCTACAACCAAAGATCCTCACAAAGTCTATGTTTCTCCCCTGCCACCTCCACCAGAGCAGGTGCTGGTATCCATGGCTGGGAGACCTGAAGCCTGGTCACATCACTGGACTCTTTGTAGGCATTCCCTAGCACCAGCCCAGTGCCTGTTAGCTCTGCTGGGTGGCTGGACACAGAAGAACAGTAACAATTGCTGCAGTCCAGCTCTCAGGAAGCCGCATCCCTAGGGGTAGGGGGAGAGCACCATATCAAGGGATCACCCTGTAAGACAAAAGAATCTGAAAAGCAGATATTTTGGCTGGTGGGTAGTTTCTCACAGCAAAGACCCAATTGTAGTGCTGGGTGCAGTAGGGAAAGTCTTGTAGGATACGATGAATTTCTGTGAGTTTCTCTTCAAAAGTTTAGCCTGCTAACTTCCTTGCCCTTTGTTCTCAAATCTAACTTTCTTGTTCTACATGCCACCTTGCTCCTAGTTACTGTAAACAGCCTACCCCCTTTCCGTCAGCTCTAATCAATAGCTCACATCTTTTCTCTTAGTTACCTGCACCCATTGTTCCCCCAAAACTGTACATCTCACATGCTTCACCACTGTACCTCATGTCCCCCTTCCCTTCCATATTTAGAAAAATATTTACAAGTAGCTAATCAGGTCAGTTTAGATTGTGTGGTCCAATCCCAGCCCATGGGGAAGAGACACAGAGGTAGGAATTGCATTAACTATAAAAACCCCCTGCTTTCCTTTGTTCCCTGTGCTCTTGCGACCCTGATTGACACGAGTAGCACCCGTCTGCAGAAGTAAATTGCTTTGCTGAGAAAACTTTTGCCTGAGTGCTGGTTTCACTTTGTGGTACCAAGCATTTATTTCTAGAGCATTTTTATCTCCAACAATCTGGGAGCTCATCCGGGATTCCCATTCTCCTCTGGGGGCTTGTGCAGGTTTCCCATTCTCCTCTGAGGAAGGGCCTCTAGTCCTCTCCTGTGAGGAGATGTGCCCTGCTGCCTAGTTGTGGTGGCCTCAGGGGTAAAGGAATGAGACCCACACAGTGAGACAAATAAACCCAAACTCTCAGCAATGCAAGGAATAAAAAAGCTGGCAACTTGAAGAAATGAGGCTCACATACCGTGGCAACCAGGTAACTCTGTGCACAGACTAAAGTAAGAAAAGTCACAGGGGCAACAGAGTATTTCCTTGGTGGTCAGAATTCTGGAGGTTGAAAGTGTGTATGAATGATCACAAGCGCTACTATTTGTGGTGCTGTTTGTGTGAGTGGTACTAAGCACTACTGCTGTGCAGAGTGAGTGAGTCCAATCTGCAGTTCTGTGGTCACCTTATACAGCTTAGGGCAGCCCTTTGGGGGTCCCATCAGGGGTTTATACTGACCCACCATCAATGCTAAGAAGGACCTGAAACATTCCCGCCAAGGAAGCAGCCAGAGTGGATGAAGTGAAAGTAAAGTGCAAAGACCCTCCAGCAGGTAAGGCTAAAGGATAGGCATGAAATCCTTAATATGAAGGATTGAGCCTTAACAAGTCCCCCAAGGAATAATAGGCAAGAAATTTCTAATATGAAAAATTGAGCCTCAATAAGCCTGCAGAAAAGGATAGGCAAGAAATTTCTAATACGAGGGACTGAGCCTAACTAGGACCCAACATAAGACATACCCCAAGCAAGACAAGGAATAAAAAAGATAAAGATGATACTAAAAATACCTCCTCCAATAGTCCCCTAAGTTTCATGTGAAAATGTTAGAAAGATAATGAAAAGTTAGAAAAGCCATTTCCCATGCCTAAATACTCTAGCACATAGGATCCCCTAGACCGTCTTCCCCTCTCAGTGCCCTCAACCCTTCCCCTCAAGCAGTCGTTTCTGTCCCTGACCCCACTTCAGATCCTTCGCCTGTCCAGGCACCTAGGTCACCAGGCAGCTTTTGTTAGGTTGTCAGTGTCAAAGATCTGCCACAATGTGTCGTCGGCATTGTCTGGCCCCTGTTGCACCCCCATGATTGGCAGAGCCCACACTCCTGCCTCCCAGCTGGTCCGGCGTGCAGGCACCATGTCAATGGCGCCTCCACAGGACATGCAGATCGGGCCACAGCCCATACCCTGAGCAGCCTGTATTATAGGACGTCTGCCTTACTTCTGCCAGGGCCAAGTAGTGCAAGGCTTCAGCTGAAGCTCCAGGCAGCTAGGCACCCCCACAGCTAATTTTCCTAAGCAAGTAAATAATCTTCCAGCTGATATATCCACTAGCATTTGTTGTAGTTGAGCCAGTGTTAGAAGTAGAAATGTACCACTAGAAAAGTATTACTTGTGTGTAAGTATGAAACTATTCTATTAAAAAAAAAGGATGATTTACGTTAACTACTAATACTTCACTTGACCCAGCAAGTTTCTTAACAAGAGATCCAAATCTAGGAGAAATTCCTTTCAGGATGAGACAATACTTGTTTATAGGTGATTCCTCCCAAGTGATTGAAGGAAAAAGACACAACAGGTGTTCAGTAATTGATAGAGAAGCTCTTAAAGAAATAGAGTCAGGAAAATTGCCTAATAATTAGTCTGTTCAAACTTGTGAGCTGTTTGCACTTAGTCAAGCCTTATACATTTAAAAAAGTTTTAGACTGAATAAAGTCTTATTAATAGTAAAGGCCAAAACCTTGTTCATAAGGAGTTAATCACCCAAGTATTGAATAACCTTCAGTGCCAGAAGAAATAACTATTGTCTGTCCATGTCCCTGGACACCAGAAAAAGCTTGTCTTTCAAGAATCAAGGAAATAACGTAGCAGATCAGATAAGTCAAGCAGGCCGCTGTTTCTTCTGAAATGTCTGTTTTCCACTTAACTCCTTACCTTCCTCCTCCTACCCTGATCCCTGTTTTCTCTGCCACTGAGAAAGAAAAGCTAATGAAAAATAGATGCTAGAGAAAGCTCAGAATGAACTTTCTCTATCTTGTTAACAAACAGGACAACAAAAAGATATCCTGTCCCATCTGCATCAGAAGACCCACTAGGGACCCCAAACCATGTGTAACACAGTTCTTAAAATTTATAAATGTATGAGAATTTATACCCTGGCCAAACAAGTTACAGATAGTTGCTTACTGATAAACGAACTACAAAAGAAATTACCCCTCAGGAGAAGGAGTCCAAGCTTAAGACCACTCCAAAGTACCTAAATTGATTACAGAGACATCTCCAATAAGTCATCTAAAATACTTATTAATGGTAATAAATCACCTCACTCACTAAGTCAAAGCTATTCCCTTTGCAGATGCAATAGCCAATAATACAGTTATAGCATTAATTGAAAATATAGTGTCCAAGTTTAAAATCATTAAAAAGCTATCCCAAGCCCTAGACATTAAATATCATACTCCTTGGCACCCATCTTCATTAAGGAAAGTAAATAAGACAAATCAGATTTTAAAGAACCACTTAACCAAATCAGTTCTAGAGACTCAGTCACCATAAACCAAATACCTTCCTGTTGCCCTGTTAAAAATCTGGACTGCCCCTCAGAAAGTATAAGCCTTTCTCCTTATGAGATAGTCTAGAGAGTGCCTTATTTACACTCCACTGCTGACATTCCCACATTTAAAACAAAAGACCAATTCCTCAGGAATTACATACTTGGTCTCTCCTCTACTTTCTCTTTTCTTGAAACCAAAAGTCTCATAGTATAAGTGCCATCTCTAGAGTTCCCGGCACATCAGCATCAGCCCAAGGATCACGTCCTCATCAAAAGCTAGAAAGAAGGAAAACTCAAGCCAACCTGGGAGGGACCTTACCTAGTGCTTCTAACCACTGAAACTGCAGTCTGGACAGCAGAAAAAGGATGGACCCATCACACCCAAGTCAAGAAAGCACCGCCACCCCTGAAGTCATAGGCCATTATCCAAGAGGAGAACTCCCTCAAACTAAAGCTAAGAAAAGTTTAACTCTCTTTCATCTATTCTATTATTCTTTCTTCTTTCCTCATTCTATTGCTGACCTTGTTATCAAGGTAACTAAGTCAGACTCACCCCATATCATTACCTTTGATGCTTGCCTTGTTATACCTTGTGAGGAGTACGAACAATGGCAAAGGCAAATCTCTACTTTAGAAAAATATCTCTACCACTTCAGAGAAGCCACTGACCCTGCGCCTTGCTCATGGCGGAGGTACCAAGACACCCCAAGTTAAGAAATATGTTCTCAAAAGGCAGATGTCATCCTAACCACCAGAGAACATGGCAGGACTTCCCCACAAAAGGCTGTACCAACCTAAATCTTACCTCTGCCTTTCCAAAAGAACCACCCCCTCTAACTGTCAACCTTACCGTTGGATCAGTGATTATCTCCATTAATGCCCCTACCTCCACCAACCCTGCACCCCCTTTAGAATGCTTTTACAGCTTAGGAGCAGAGGACAATAGATACGACCCTATAGGCTTTTTCAAAATATGCTTTATTGCCCCCCTTCCCTTCTCCTTCTAAACCTTCTACCCTGCCCGACAACAATGCCAAAGTAAATATTGTAGAAGTGAAGGATCTAAGACAAACTCTAGCAGTTGAAACAGGATATCAAGATGTAAATGCCTGGTTGCAATAGATCCAATATTCCATCCACATGTTAAACAAAAGCAATTGTTATGCTTGTGCGCATGGCAGACCAGAGGCCCAGATTGTCCCCTTTCCACTGAGACAGTCCTTCAGTCTACCAGACATAAGCTGTATAGTAGCTCTTTTCCAGGATTCCACAGCCTGTGGCAACAAGTCATGCCAAGCTCTCTCTCTGTTACATCCTGAAGTTCAACACCCTGAAGGCAGCCCCCAAGGGCCATCCAGCTTCCATCTCCCAACATCAATTTCACCTTGTGTCTCACACAACAGGGGGAGAACTTGGTATTCCTTAGAAGCTTAACAAGATGTAGTGAGCTCAAGCCCTTCCAAGAGCTTACCCATCAGTCTGCCCTTAGTCATCCTCGAGCAGACGTATAGTAGTATTGCAGTGGACCCTTAATGGACACTCTGCCAAGTAACTGGAGCAGCACTTGTGCTCTTGTCCAATTGGCTATCCCTTTCACTCTAGCATTTCATCAACCAGAAAAAGAAAAACCACAACACTGAAAAATAAGAGAAGCCCCTTATGGGTCTTTTGACTCTCAAGTTTACATAGATGCCATTAGAGTCCCACAGGGAGTGCCTGACAGATTCAAAGCCCATGACCAAATAGCTGCAAGATTTGAATCTATATTTTTACAGATAACTATTAATAAAAATGTAGCTTAGATAAATTACATCTATTATAATCATCAGTGGTTTATTAATTACACCAAGGATGCTATCAAAAGAGTAGCTGGCCAATTAAGGCCTACTAGCCAAATGGCTTAGGAAAACAGAATAGCTCTAGACATGTTATTGACCAAAAAGTAGAGTTTGTGTTATGATTAAAACCCAATGTTGTACCTTCATCTCAAACAACAATGACCCCAATAGGAGCATAACAAAGGCCTTGCAAGTACTTTTCGCTTTATCCAATGAATTAACTAAAAATTCTAGAGTCAATGACCCTATTTCAGGATAGCTAAGAAAGTAGTTTAGTAAATGGAAAGGAATCATAGCCTCAATTCTTATTTCTCTTGCTGTCATAATAAGTGCATTCATTCTTGTTAAGGTTGTGTCATACCATGCATCTGTAGGCTCATACAAAGGATTGTACAAACAGTACTTACTAAAGCTTCCCTTATTTCTCTTCCACCTTATTCAAGTAAGCTTTTCCTTTTAGAAAATCAAATCGAACGGCAAAGCCAAGACTTGTTAAAAAAGTTTGAAGAGGCCGGGCATGGTGGTTCATGCCTGTAATCTCAGCACTTTGGGAGGCCGAGGGGGGGTGGATCATGAGGTCAAGAGATGGAGACCATCCTGGCCAACAGGGAGAAACCCCATCTCTACTAAAAATACAGAAAAAAAAAATTGCCAGGAGTGGTGGCAGGTGCCTGTAGTCCCAGCTACTCGGGAGGCTGAGGCAGGAGAATCACTTGAACCCAGGAGGCAGAGGTTGCAGTGAGCCAAGATAGTGCCACTGCACAATCTTGAAGATAACATCAGAAAAACACTTCTGTACATTGGCTTATGCAAAGAATTGATGACCAAGAACCCAAAAGCAAATGCAACAAAAACAAAAATAAATAAATGGGATCTAATTAAACTAAAAAGCTTCTGCACAGCAAAAGAAATAATCCACGGAGTAAATAGACAACTCATAGAGTGGAAGAAAATATTCACAAACAATGCATTCGACAAAAGACTAAAATCCAGAATCTATAAGGAACTCAAACAAATTAGCAAGAAAAAAAAATTCCATCAAAAAGTGGGAAAAGGACATGGATAGACAATTCTCAAAAGAAGATATACAAATGGCCCACAAACATAAGAAAAAATGCTCAACATCACTAACTATCAGAAAAATGCAAATTAAAATCACAATGTGATACCACCTTACTCCTACAAGAATGACCATAATTTAAAAATCATAAAATAATAGATGCTGGTGTGGATGTGGTGAAAAGGGAACACTTTTACACTGATGAGGGAAATGTAAATTAGTACAACCACTATGGAAAACAGTATGGAGATTCCTTAAAAATTTAAAAGTAGAACTACCATTTGATCCAGCAAGGAAAAGAAGTCATTATATGAAAATGACACTTGCACATTCATATTTACAGCAGCACAATTTGTAATTGCAAAAATATGGAGCCAACCTAAATGTCCATCAACCAATGAGTAGATTAAAAAAAATGCAGTATATATACACCATAAAATACCTCTCAGCCATAAAAAGAAATGAAATAATGGCAATTGCGGCAACTTCTACGGCGTTGGAGACCATTATTCTAAGTAGAGTAACTAAAAAATGGAAAATCAAATATCGTATGTTCTCATTTATAAGTAGGGACTAAACTATGAGGATGCAAAGGCATAAGAATGATATGATGGACCTTGGAGACTCAAGGAGAAGGGTGGGGGGGATGAGGCATAAAAGACTAATGGCACAGTGTACACTGCTCGGATGACAAGTGCCCCAAAATCTCAGAAATCACCACTTAAGAACTCTCCATGTAATAAAAAATCACCTATTCCCCAAAAACTATTAAAATAACAAAATTTTAATATAAATAAATAAACTATGAATCAGAAGCCCTGTAACAGGGGTGTGATAGGGAAACGAATCAAGTTCCTGCCTACCTAGGATGGGGAGCAGGTACACCACCCTTACCCCCTCTCAGAGGCTCCAGGCACTTCACCAGGAGCTCCTCCCAGCCACCCTCAGCAGGGCTGGTGCCTGCACTTGCCACTGGGGTATTCATGGGCAAATCAGGGCCTCAATCTCTGCCCAGCTGTGTTTCCCCACTCCCACAGAACAGGAAGCTCAGAGCACCAGGCACTCCACTGTCTAGTCCTTCACCTGAAACAACAGAGAGCACCTCACAGTAAACAAAGAACAGGTACACACCTACCTGCTTGTGCTGCAGCTGACTCTTACCCACAAGCACCATCTACTGGCCTGTAGGGCAAACCACACAGCCCAATATAAAATCCGCCAATAGAAGTGCATAGGGCTATAGAAACAAAGCCCAAAGACTCTACCCAATCCACTCCTCTCCAGATGAGAAGGAACCAGTGTAAGAATTCTGGCATCATGAAAAACCTGAATGTTGAGGTACCACCAAAGTATCACTATGTCTCCAGCAATGGCCCCTAATCAAAATGAAAACCCAGAAATGACAGATAAATAATTCACCAGCACTTTGGGAGGCCAAGGCAGGCGGATCACAAGGTCAGATCGAGACCATCCTGGCTAACACGGTGAAACCTCGTCTCTACTAAAAATACAAAAAATTAGCCAGGCGTGGTGGTGGGCGCCTGTAGTCCCAGCTACTCGGGAGGCTGAGGCAGGAGAATGGCGTGAACCCGGGAGGCGGAGCTTGCAGTGAGCCGAGATCGCGCCACTGCACTCTAGCCTGGGCAACAGAACGAGACTCCGTCTCAGAAAAAAGAAAAAGAATTCAAAGCGTGGATTGCAAGGAAGCTCAACAAGATCCAAGATGGGGCTGAAAATCAACACAAAGAAACTTCAAAAGCAATGCAGGAAACGAAAGAAGAGATAAACATCTTAAGAAGAAATCAATCACAGCTACTGGAACTGAGAAACTCATTTAAGAAATTTCAAAATATAATGGAAAGCATTAACAAAAGGCTGCATGAAGTAGAAGAAAGAATTTCAGAGCTTGAAGACTGGTCTTTCAAACTAACCCAGCTGGACAAAAATAAAGACAAAAGAACATTAAAAAATTAACCAAGTCTCCAAGAAAGATGGGATTATATAAAGCAATGAAACCTGCAAATTATTGGCATTCCTATGAGAGAAGGAGAAAAAATAAACAACCTGGAAAACATATCTGAGGAAATAATTCAAGAAAATTCCCTAATCTTGTTAAAGAGGTAGACATCCAGATACAAGAAATCCAGAGGACACCTGCCAGATAATATACAAAATGAGCATCACCAAGGCATATAGACAGAGACTAAGTTCAACCCTAAAGAAAAATTCTTTAAGGCAGCTAGAGCAAAAGGTCAGATCACATACAATAGGAACCTCATCAGGCTAAAAGAGGACTTCTCAGCAGAAACCTTACAAGCCAGAAGAGATTGGGGGCCTCATTTTTAGCATTCTCAATGAAAAGAAATTCCAACCAAGAATTTAATATTCCACCAAACTCAGCTTAATAAGCGAAGGAGAAATAAAATCCTTTCCAAACAAGTAAACTCTAAGGGAATTTGTTAACACTAAACTAGCCTTATCAGAGGTCCTTAAGAAAGTTCTAAAGATGGAAATGAAAGAATAAATCTGGTACCACAAAAACACACAAGTGTATAACCACAGAACCTATGAAGCAACTACACCATCAAGTCTACAAAACAACCGGCTAACAACATGATGACAGGATTAAAACTACACTTATCAGCCGGGCACAGTGACTCACACCTGTAATCCCAGCACTTTGTGAGGCCGAGGTGGGTGGATCACTTGAGGTCAGGAGTTTGAGACCAGCCTGGTCAGTATGGTGAAACCCTGTCTCTACTAAAAATACAAAAATTAATTGGGCATGGTGGTGGGTGCCTGTAATTCCAACTACTTGGGGGAATGAGATAGGATAATTGCTTGAACCCAGGAGGCAGAGGTTGCAGTGAGCCGAGATCACACCACTGCACTCCAGCCTGGGTGACAGAGCAAGACTCCATCTCAAGAAAAAAACAAACAAACAAACAAAAAACCCTCACTTATCAATATTACCCTTGAATGTAAATGGTCTTAACACCCCACTTAAAAGGTACAGAGTGGCAAGTTAGATAAACAAGTCCCATGTGTCTTCAAGAGATCCATCTCATATGTAATGATACCCAGGGCTCAAAGTAAAGGGTTGAAGAAAGATCTATCACACAAATGGAAAACAAAAAAGAGCAGAGGTTGCCATTCTTAATATTGATAAAACAGACTTTAAACAAACAATGATCAAAAAGGTCAACAAAGGGCATTAAATAATGATAAAGGGTTCAATTCTACAAGAAGACGTAACTATCCTAAACATATATGCACCCAACATTGGAGCACCCAGATTCATAAAACAAGTACTTTTAGACCTATGAAAAGACATAGACAGCCACACTATAATAGTGGGGGACTTCAACATCCCACTGGATTGTGTTAGACAGATCATTGAGGCAGAAAACTAACAGAAATTCTGGACTTAATTTTGACACTTGAACAACAGGACTTAACAGACACCTACAGAACACACAACCCATCAACCAGAGAATATACATTCTTCTCATCTGCACACAGAACATACTCTAAGATCAACCACATGATCAGCCATAAAGCAAGTCTCAATGGATTCAAAAAAGTTGAAATCATACCAACCATACTTTCAAATCATAGTGGAATAGTAATACTAATCAATACCAGAAGATCTCTCAAAACCACAGAGTTACATGGAAATTAAATGACTTACTCATGAATGACTTTTGGGTAAACAATGAAATTAAGGCAGAAATCAAAAAATGCTTTGAAATAAATGGAAACAGAAGCATAACATACCAACATCTCTGAGATGCAGCAAAAGCAGTGTTAGAAGGAAAATTTATAGCTATAAAGGCCTGCATCAAGGAGTTAGAAAGATCTCAAATTAACAGTGTAATATTGAACCTAGAGGAACTGGAATAATAAGAACTAACCCCAAATCTAGTAGAAGAAAAGAAATAACTAAAATCAGAGCAGAACTGAGTACAGTTGAGACCCCAAAATCTATACAAAGGATCAACAAAACTAAAAGCTGGTTTTTTGAAAGGATAAACAAGATCAATAGACCACTAGCTAGATAATCAAATAAAAAAGAGAGAAGATCCAAATACGCACACTCAGAAACGACAAAGGTGTCATTATGACTGATCTCACAGAAATACAAAAGATACTCAGAGACTATTATGACCACCTTTCTGCACACAAACTAGAAAATTTAGGGGAAGTGGATAAATTCCTGGAAACACACAACCTCCCAAGGCTGAATCAGGAAGAAATCAAAACCCTGAACAGACCAACACTGAGTTCTGAAATTGAATCAAATAAAAAACCCAGCAACCAAAAAGAGCCTTGGACCAGATGAATTCACAGCTGAATTCTACCAGACATACAAAGAAGAGCTGGCACTAATCCTACTGATACTATACCAAATAATTGAGGAGAAGAAACTCCTCCTCAACTCATTCTACAAAGCCACCATGACTCTGATACTAAAATATGTCAAAGACACAACTAAAAAAGAAAAATACAGGCCAATATCCCTGCTGAACACAGATGCAAAAATCCTCAACCAAATCCAGAAACACGACAAAAAATTAATTGGCCATAATCAAGTGGGCTTTATTCCTAGGATACAGGGTTAGTTCAACACATATGCAAATCAATAAATGTGTTTCACCACATAAACAGAATTAAAAATAAAAACCATATGATCATCTCAACAGATGCAGAAAAAGCTTTTGATAAAATCTGACATCCATTCATGATAAAAACCCTCAACAAACTAGGCTTCAAGAGAACATACCTCAAACTAATAAGAGCCATCTATGACAAACACAGCCAACATTATACTGAATAAGCAAAAACTGGAAGCATTCTCCTTGAGAACTAGAACAAGACAAGGATGCCCACTACCTCCACTCCTACTTAACGTGGTACTGGAAGTCCTAGCCAGAGCAATCAGGCAAGAGAAAGGAAGAAAAGGCATCCAAATAGGAAAAGAAGAAGCCAATTTTCCCTTTGCTAATGATATGATTGTATACCTATGAAACCCTAAAGATACTGCCAAAAGGGTCCCAAAATTGATAAATGACTTCAGTAAAGTTTTAGGATACAAAATCAATGTACAAAAATCAGTTGTATTTCTATACATCAATGGTATTCAAGTTGAGAGCAATCAAAATGCAATTCCATTGACAGTAAACACACACACACACACAAACACACACACAAAATATCTAGGAATACAGATAACCAAGGAGGTGTACAGATAACCAAGGCATATGTACCCTCTGAACCTGAAAGTTGACATCAAAAAATATTTTCATTAAAATAAAAGCTTGACCTAATTGGCTTATGTAGAATCTCTTCTCCAACACCTGGTGAAATATTAAACACCTTTCTCCTAAGACATAGACAAGGTTGACCTCTATCACCACTTCTCTTTAATATTATTGGTTGGTGCAAAAGTAATTGCAGCTGTAGACTGTGAATTTTAAATCCTTATAACTAGGCTCATCTTTATTAATCAGAATAGAAACGATTGCAAACAACACACTTTTGCCAACAAGAAATTTGTTTATTCCTCTAGCATAAAAAATCTGTGCTTCAGGATTTGACAAACTCTTGGAAAGCATTTTCTGCATCCTGCTGGTTGTGAAGTATTTTCCCTGCAAAAAGTCATTGAAATGCTTGAAGAAGTGGTAGTCCGTTGGTGAGAGATCGGGTGAATATGGCAGATCAGGCAAAACTTCATAGCCCAATTCGTTCAACTTTTGAAGCGTTGGTTGTGTGATGTGTGGTCGGGCATTGTCCTGGGGAAGAATTGGGCCCTTTCTGTTGACCAATGCCCGCTGCAAGTGTTGGAGTTTTCGGTGCATCTCACTGAGGCACCCACTTATCGAGCTTTTTCACCTTTCCAATTTGCTTCAAATGCTGAACAACCATAGAATGGTCAACGTTGCTTTCTTTGGCAACTTCTGGTGTAGTTGTAAGAGGATCAGCTTCGATGATTGCTCTCAATTGGTTATTGTCAACATTCGATGGCTGGCCACTATGCTCCCTATCTTCAACTGTCTCATCTCCTTTGCAAAACTTCTTGAGCCACCACTGCACTGTATGTTCATTAGCAGTTCCAAATGCATTGCTGATGTTGCGAGTTGTCTCCACTGCTTTATGACCATTTTGAGCTCAAATAAGAAAATCACTTGAATTTGCTTTTTGTATAACATCATTTCCATAGTCTAAAATAAACATAAAATAAACAGCAAGTAATAAGTCATTAGCAAAACAACATAAAGTGAGAAATGCGCATTAAAATGATATATAACATAACCCCATTTATTTAAGAATTATTCCAATATCAAACGGCAAATGTCAACAATGCAAAAACTGTGATTATGTTTGCACAAACTTACTAAAGGTCCTAGCTGGGGCAAGAATTCAAGAGAAACAAATAACATTGTAAGGATTAAAAAAGAAGAAGGAGAAACAAAACGGTCACTCTTTGTAGACGATATGATGGTGTAGCCAAATAATCCAAAAGCTATTGAAATTAATAAGGGGATTTAGATGGTGGCTGAATATAATCAATACACAAAATTTATTTTAGTTATTTACACCAGAAACAAACTAGCAAAGAAACTTTGAAAGCCATACCACCTACAGAAGCGTCCAGAAACATAAATCTCAAAATAAATTTAACAAAATATGTGTTAAGACACTCCCAGCCAAGTTGGGAGGATCGCTTGAACCCAGCAGTTCAAGAATAGCCTGGGAAACATGGCATCTCTACAAAAAACGCAAAATTAGCCGGGGTTGGTGGTGCACACCTGTAGTCCCAGCTACTTTGTAGACTGAAGAGGATCACCTGAGCCTAGCAGGTGGAGGTTGCAGTGAGCTGTGATCGCCACCACCGCCCTCCAACCTGGGCAACAGAGTGAGACCTTGTCTCAAAAAAACCTCAAAAAACAAAAAACCTCTACACTGATAATTACAAAATGGTTTTGAAGGAAGGTAAAGAAAACTTACACAAATGGGAGAATATATTTAAGGAAAACGGCTGTGCTTTGATCAAGGAATAGGCTGACGCAGACACCCGGGCCAGAGTTACTCAGGGAGTTTAGAGTGCAGGCGTATAACTCCACTTGTTATCACAGCCATGTAGCCATAACATGGGAAGGCCATCTCTCGATCCTATGCCACTATTGTCTGTAAAAGGTATAATTGCCCTGCTGACACTGCACAGGCGCTGATGCCAAGAGAAAGAGAGAGCCAAAGCTGTCGGTCTTTGCAGATACACATAGGGGAGTCAGAACACAGCTCTGCTCACTCATGCCCAAAGAGAGAAAGAGTTAAGCTGCTGACCCTGAAGGCAAGGGAGAGCTGGCCATGCACGCAGCTATGTGGGAGCTGCGGGACTAAGCAGCTGAGACAGGGCAGACAGTGTGAGAAAGCTGTTGATGAGAGCTGCTGCTGAGTAAATTCATCTTTCACCTGCCCACAGCCTCCTGAGTGTTCTTTCTGCTCATCCACCCACTCCCTTCGGACCTCAATATGACATTTGGCGTAGTCATGAACCTGACAATATATTACATTCATGGATTGGAAGGCTCAATATTATAAAGATGTCCATTTTCTCCTAATGAATCTATAGACAAAACTCCAGTCAAACTTCCGTTTCGTTTTGTTTTAGTGGAAATAAACCTGGTTCTAAAATTAATAGGGCAATAGCCTAGAATAGCCAAGGCAGTCTTAAAGAGCAGAGTTCGAGAACTACTGAATACTAAACCTTATATTTAAGTTGTAATAATTAAGACAATGTGGAATTGGCACAGGTGAAACAGACCAATAGAATAGATTGAAGAGCTCGAAACAGACACATACATAAAACGTTTGATTTAGTACAAAAGTTGCAATGAAGAGCATTGGAGAAAGTTCAGTCTTCCCAACAAATGGTGATGGTCAATCCATATGAAAACAGACTTTTCCTCATTCCCTCAAGGTCAATATTGGTGGTGCTTATTTAGCAAGTTCAAGTAGAAATCCCAAAAGGATTTTTTTTAAACTTTGCCACAGTTGCCACACCATATGGAGCCTGAGTATCAGGGCTTCTCACGTCCCATCCTCTCTGAGATTCAGAAACAGCTGGACAGCCCTTGGCCTCAAGGAGACAGATTTGTAGAGCCAGCACTCATGAAGGTCAGGCAGTTCCACTGGCAAGTGTCCTCATCCAATAAGGTCAGGTGTCCCAAGAGGCAGTAGGATCACTGCTAGGAAGCCTCTAAGAAAGTCTTCTGTAGGTTTCCAGGAAGATAAGAAGAGTAAGGGGCCAATAATCCCCTAAATCTTCTTAGTATTTGAGTTTTCCTGGGCTTTAGTTTGTCCTGATGTTCCACTACTAGAGCTTTCACTGATCATTCATATTGATCTTGTCTACATCTTTGTTCATTTCCCTCCATAGTTCTAGCAGAAAGCTTTGAATTTGACAATAGCCCTTACTTTCTGTCTATAGTAATAATAATAGCTTCCATTTAGTGTGTATGCAATGTACATCAAGAAAATTATGTTCAATATATTATTTCTTATTCTTGTAACAATCCTCCTAGGCTAATATTTATTATTCCCATTTGACAAAAGGGGAAAAGTAAGGAACTTGCCCAATCTCATCTAGCAAGCAGGCAGTAAAGCCAAGGTTCAAATTCAAGCCTTTTTGATTCCAAAGCCCAAGACTTTCCACTGAAACATACCGCCTCCCGTGTCATCGATATGCCAGGGCTGAGACCCTAGGGATTTGCCTGGCCTGGGGTGAAGGTGGTACTTACTGGCTGCAGAACCCTTCACTGCATACTTCTGAGCTCAGCGGGGCAGTCCTCACCCACAGGAGGAGGGACTCGCAGGTGGGTGAGCTGACACACTGGGAAGGCAAAGGTCCCAGGATGTGCAGCAACACACGCAGTATACCTGTTTTATTACTTTATTCTCTTAACTAGTTTCTTTGGATCAGGTCTACATTTCTGATCACCTCCTGAATTTACAGGCACCTACTCAAAACTTTATGAACAGCTATTTGAAACAAACCCCTTGGCAACAGAGACATCGTTCTCTGTTTCTCCAACTAGTACCTTGCTGGTCACTCCTGCTCAAGTCTCCTTTGCTGATTCCTTATTATCATCTTGATTTCCAGTGTTGGAGTGCCCAGGTCTAGGTCCTTTGTCCTTTTTTTTTTCTCCATTTGTGCTCACTAGATGATCTCATTCAGTCCCATGCATTAAATACCATCTGTATGTTGATGACTTTCCCCTGATCGAAGAATCACACACCCACTTGTTTGATTGAAATTATGACTTGGACATCTAATAGACGTAGTAAATCTGATATGTCCAAAGCCGAATTCTTTATTTCACCCACTCCCTTAAACCTGCTCCTCCCATGCTACCTCCATTCTTCCCTTTGTTCAGGCCAAATTATCTTGGAATCATTCTTGGCTGTTCTTTCTTCTACCTCCATTTCAAATATGTCAGAGAATTCTGTCAGGCCTGAACTATTCTAACCACCTCCACTGCTATTCCCCTAGTCCCAACCACCATCACATCTTACTTGTATTTGGCAAATACCTCCTAATTGGTCTATCTGCTAGGATCATATTCCCCTACAGTTATTTTTATTTTTTATTATATATGTATAGATATATATGCATACACACACACACACACACACACACACACACATATATATATATTTTTCTTTTTTTTGAGACAGAATCTTGCTCTGTCACCCAGGCTGGAGTGCAGTGGTGCAGTCTCGGCTCACTGCAACTTCTGTCTCCCAGGTTTAAAAGATTCTCCTGCCTCAGCCTCCCGAGTAGCTGGGATTACAGGCACCCACCACCACGCCAGGCTAATTTTTGTATTTTTAATAGAGCGGGGTTTCACCATGTTGGCCAGGCTGGTCTCGAACTCCTGACCTCAAGTGATCTACCTGCCTCGGCCTCCCATAGTGCTAGGATTACAGGCATAAGCCACTGAGCCCAGCCTACAGTTATTCTTTTTAAAAATGTAAGCCAGATCATACACTTCTCTGCCCAAATGTCCAGTAGCTTCCTATCACACTAATAATCAAATCCAAAGTCTTCACCATGGCCCAGATGCTCTAGCTCTGGTGGCTGCTCTAACTGGTCACTTACTGCTCTGACACATCCGCCTTGTCCCTCTGGTCTCTTTGTTGTTGCTTGAACATTCAAGCACATTCCTGCCACAGAGCCTTGGTGATTGTAGTTCCGTATGCATGGACTACACTTTTCTAAGCTATAAGCATGGCTTGTTCCATCACTTCATTCTGGTCTCTGTTCAAATGCCACCTTATTAGTGAGGCCTTCCCAAGTAATGCATCAAAAACAACAGCCCCCAATTACTGTATGTCTCCCTTATCTTTCCTCATAGCACTTATTTATTGCCTGAAATATTACCAGTGTATTTATTTATTATCTTTTTTACCCTTTCCCCTACCCCTAGTGTAATTCCATGAAAGCAAATATTCTTTCACGTCCTGAAGGCCTAGAACAGTGCTGGAAGCATAGAGAGTATTGAATAATATTTGTTAAATAAATGAAACTTATATTGAGCTCCTACATGTATAAAGCACTATGCTAAAGGATGAAATAAACATGAAGTAAACACAGTTAACAAAAATCCTGTTATAAATGAGGACAGGATTATATACTCAATCATCAATTAGATTAACCCTAATCATAACTAAACAGAGGGATGGAGGGGATCCCTCTTTTAAAAGCTATACAGGGGATTGAAAATAGTAAGTGATTCCAAGTCATTACATATGTTTATTTTATGTAAAGTTTTAGAATCCAGCCTCAGAGGATGACCAGATTCTAGTGGTGCCTTAACTGGCTCTGGGGGCAGGAGAGCAGGCCGGGTGAGGGGCTAGTCTAAATTTTCATCTTAGGAGCGTGGTGGAGGGAAGAGAGTATTTTCAGGCCCAACAGAGATACGAAACATTTCAATCATCTTCTCCTACCCTTCTTTCAGCTTCTGTGAAACACTGTTCTCATGGACAGTGACAATGCCTCATACTGAAAATTCACTGTTTGATTTTTTTAGTTGAATTTTCACTAGAAGAGGCAAGCTTAAATTCCCAAAGAGAATAGCTATGTATAACTCTTCTGAAACTCAGAACATAAAACTTACAGGGCAGAGGATTCCTTTGGAGAAACTTGGAGCTTGATAATCTGGAGTTTAAAAAAGGTACTAGAAAAGGAACGTTTTCTCCTACTTTCCTGAGCCTAGAGTTTTCTGTTCCTTTTCATTATATTCATAGAAACTTCTACAAGTAATAAATGTCTATATAGTAGCAACTCTAAGTACTCATTTCCAGGCTGGCACCCCCAAACCATGAAAAATTATATACTGGTAAAAGTTTTGGTCAGTACTTAAAGGACTGTTTGAAATTTAAGGACCTAAGTTATTTAGCTGATTAAAATTAAGACCATATATGACAAAGTATACATGTCACAATATGGATTCTAAAGCAACTTATGAAATAAAATGAATCTAATGTGCTGAAGAGGATTGGAGCCAAGAATCTCTGAAACAGTGGTTGCCAGTTGTTAAGGACATGCCTGGAACACATGATCTAAAGGAGAAAGGGCACTTAGTTGCCCTGCTAGCTGGCCCCAGTCAAGTTAGTTATGCACATAAATTAGTTCATTTAAAATACACATTGTGCTTATGTGTGTCAGACAAGTGGAAGACACAGGAAATACGTTGATGTAGCATTCTGATCCTCAAAGAATCTCCCAATCTATCAGAGGATATAAATGCAAAATTAACAATTACAAAACAGTGGGGAAGTGCAATAGAAGGGACTTGTGCAGGAAATATGGAATCACTGAAAAAGTGTCTAACCACCCTGGGGGCAGGGTAGGGAGGAATAGTTAGGGAGGAAGAATGGGGAAGGCGACATCTCCTCTGAGTCTCAGGGGTGAATAGGAGTTGGCCAAACACGGAGGAGAGAAGGGCATTCCGCACAGAAAGAAGAGCATAAGAAGTGAGGCAGAAGCAAGAGAGAACATTTAGGAGGAATGAAAATCAGTTTAGTGTTGCTAGGATGTAAAAAAATGTTTCTGCTTTTGCTCCCTGTCTCTTATTTTAACTCTATCTATCTATCTATCTATCTATCTATCTATCTATCTATCTATCTATCATCTACCTGTCTATCTATATCTATCATGACTTTTCATTCAGAAGTTTTAAATTTTGATCCAATAAAATTTCTCAATAGTTTCCTTTATTTCTTTTACCAACTTTGTCTGATTCAAGTATGCTTTCCCTATTCCAAGTTAATAAAAAAAATCTTGTATATTTTGTAGTGCTTTTATTATACTTTTTTCTTTAATAGTTAGGACTTTAATTCATGTCTTTTCGTGAATGAGATTTAAAAGAGATTTCCCCCCATGTTGGAAGTGCCATTGTTTTTCATATATAAAATTAAGAGTAGACTGTAGCCAAATTGTACAGTGTCCTAGAGGATATAATAAAGACCTTAAATTTTGTTCAAAGTCTGATGACAATAGATTTAAGGGTTTTTTTTATTATTTTAAATTTATTTCGTATCCAGATATAGTAAAACACAGTCTTTTTGGTGTATAGTTCTATGAGTTTTGACAAATTCATAAAGTCCTGTAACCACCATTGCCATGACTATGATACAGTAGAGTTTCATCACTCTCCAAAAACTCAACCCCTTTGTAGTCAAATCCTTCCCTGCTCCTGAGAACCATTGGTCTGTTCTCCTCTATAGCACTGCCTTTTCCAAAATGTTATACGAACGGAGTCATACAGTGTGTAGCCTTTTGAGTCTGGCTTCTTCCACTTAGCATAATTCATTTGAGGTTCCTCCATGGTTCCTCCATGTTTCAAGTGTCAGTATATCATTCCTTTTCATTGCTGAGTAGTATTTCATTGTTCTATAAAGATACCACAGCTTGTTTATCCATTCACTAATTGACTTTCTGAGGCCCTCCCAATTTCCAGTCTCTGAAAACTGGGGTTTAGGGACTAAGGCTATTGTTCAAATATTATATTTTTTGCATTTCATGTTTTCTCTTTTAAAAATCATGTTTGTGCTGTTTTATAAACATGTTGATAACAACATGTAAATTTGTTTAACTGGCTTCAATGCTCACTGCCAGTCCTTTCGTATTCCAACTTCTTCATTTTTTTAATTGTCTAAAATGTTTAAGTTTTTACAATTTCAAAGTCATTAGTAAATCTCAGGTTAACATAAACAACAGGTATTCAATAAATTTTTGATTAATGTAAACCTTAATATGGCCAAATACATTCAGTTTGATTCTATGTTTTGTCTTAAGAACAAATTTTGGTGAATAACTTTCCTGGACAAGTGTAAAACTTGCCTTGGAATTATTTTGTTTCACTTTGTATTATTTCACAAACAAAATCACAATCTCAAATGGTATTTTTTGAATAGATGGAAGTTGCAAAGGGAACTTAAGCTCAAATTTAGTTTTTAAATTTCAAGTATAAAAACTCCAATTACCACTGTACCATGAATATTGACTAATTCATCTAAGTAAGCATTTTTTTTAACTATACTTTAAGTTCTGGGATACATGTGCAGAACATGCAGGTTTGTTACATAGGTATACACGTGCCATGGTGGTTTGCTGCACCCATCAACTCATCATCTACATTAGGTATTTCTCCTAATGCTACCCCTCCCCTAGCCCCCGACCCCCTGACAGGCCGGGTGTGTGATGTTCCCCTCCCGTGTCCATGTGTTCTCATTGTTCAACGCCAACTTATGAGTGAGAACATGTGGTGTTTGGTTTTCTATGCATTTTTATATGTTTTGAACCATCATTCTCAGGAAAGTCTAGATTTTTACAAAATCTTTGAGTGCAAAATGTTTAAGGTTATTCTCCAACTATTTAGATATGACAAACACTTTTACTTCATTTTAACATGGCAATTTATTAACAGTTTTTTAATCTAAGTTTTTCCATTTATTCAAGATCATGGAATTTAAATAAAATAAAGCTGCATTTAGAGCTGATAAGTGGATTCACAGGTGATACTTTGCCTGTTAAAATGAGCTTTTAGGCCAGGCGCGGTGGCTCACGCCTGTAATCACAGTACTTTGGGAGGCCGAGGTGGGCGGATCACTTGAGGTCAGGAGTTCAAGACCAGCCTGGCCAACATGGTGAAACCCCGCCCCTACTAAAAATACAAAAATTAGCCAGACACAGTGGCGCATGCCTGTAACCCCAGCTACTCGGAAGGCTGAGGGAGGAGAATCTCTTGAACCTGGGAGGCAGAGGTTGCAGTGAGCTGAGATACCACCACTACACTCCAACCTGGGCGACAGAGTGAGACTCTGTCCCAAAAATAATAATAAATAAAATTTAAAGTCAGGCACGGTGGCTCACGCCTGTAATCCCAGAACTTTCGGAGGCCAAGGTGGGCGGATCACAAGGTCAGGAGATCGAGACCATCCTGGCTAAAACGGTGAAACCCTGTCTCTACTAAAAATACAAAAAAAATTAGCTGGGCGTGGTGGCGGGCACCTGTAGTCCCAGCTACTCAGGAGGCTGAGGCAGGAGAAAGGCCTGAACCCAGGAGGTGGAGCTTGCAGAGAGCTGAGATCGCACCACTGCACTGAAGCCTGGGTGATAGAGCGAGATTCTGTCTCAAAAAATAAAATAAAATAAATAAAATAAAATAAAATAAAAAATTTAAAAATTAAATGAGCTTGTGGCACCTTAACTAGTAAACTGTAAAAAGAAGAAAACTATTGATAGAGATGTTTATCTCAATATAGGCTGCAATCTATACTACTAGAAAAAACGTTATTATTAAAACAGTAAATATAGTGTCCCATTTCAAAAAGACACAAATAATAAACTAGGGTCTGATCACATCCAAAATGAATCACATCCAAAATGAATAGGCTCATTCACATTGCAAACTATCTGTTAAGCAGAGCACTGTGAACCAGTTATCAGTCCCGGGGGAGCAAAGCATCATACTCTGATTACCAGTTCCAGGGAAGGACTCTAAATACTTCTGCCCTTTGCATATTGACATCAGAGTAGGCAAGGGAAACATAACAAAGTCAAGTGCTGGATGGAGCAACGGGTTAGCTTTAAGAGAAGAGACAGAGCAAGACCAGCTTCAGTAGTGTGTTATGATCTCCCATGCCCAGTGGGTCTCTTCTGGCAGCTGAAGTAGGGCAGTAGGCTACACGTGCCCCTCTCCTGGGGTTGACAAAGGACCCCAACCTCCCAGGGGAGTTTGAAATACTGAAAGCTGGTGGCATGCCTAAGGGCCACTAACGCATACGCTTATGCAGAACAAAGGAGTACATATTGAGTCTAAAACAGGGAAAGATATTCCTATGCAAGGTGATAAGCCCAGTGCAGGTTGTGTGGGCTCTTAGTAAGCAAGTGTGCCCAGCCCAAGGCCCTTTCTTATGTGGCTAAGCAGGAATGGAGAGGCGGCATGCACAATGGCTTTCCCAACACTATCCTTTTTTTTTTCTTGCTTGCTTGCTTGCTTTCTTGCTTGCCTTCTTTCTTTCCTCCTTCCTTCCTTTCTTTCTTTTTCTTTTCTTTTCTTTTTTTTTTCTTTTTTCTTTTTTTAGACAAAGTCTCACTGTCACCCAGGCTGGAGTTCAGTGGCGGGATCTTGTCTCACTGCAGCCTCTGCCACCCAGGTTCAAGCAATTCTCCTGTCTCAGCCTCCCAAGTAGCTGGGACTACAGGCGTGTGCCACCACACCCCACTAATTTTGTATTTTTAGTAGAGATGGGGTTTCATCATGTTGGCCAGGCTTGTCTCCAACTCCTGACCTCAGGTGATCCACCTGCCTCAGCCTCCCAAAGAGCTGGGATTACAGAAATGAGCCACCACGCCCAGCCACCCAACACTATCCTAACCAGCTGTACCTGGGTGACAACTTCTGCTCAACAAGACCGTAAGTCTGAGTACCTCTATGGTTTAACCCTTGACCCTTTTTCTTTTAAAAGCCATACATGTGAAAGCCATCACATAATTTTTAAAAAGATATGGGCAAAAATGAAACTTATGTGAATTCAGACTTTGATAGGTAGCTGCATCTCCCAGAACAAATATGGAGATCATAAAACAAATTAAAGTTACTGTAGGAAAATGAAATATCTATCATGCATATATAGAAACTTGATGGGTTTTAAGTAAATTTAGATAATAAGCCAAACAATTTACTAATGTAAAAAGCCACAAGTAAAGGACATAATTTGAACAGACAGCTATTTAATAACTCACTGAAGAAATATACAAAATCTTGAAACGTTTACCAAAAGTTAAAGATTGACGAATGCTATTGAAATGCAAAAGATTCCATAATATTCTGACAGGCTTTTTTTACACTCCTATCACGAAGATTTCCATTATGTTTTCCCAAATATAATCTCGAGAACACCGGACAGCTCTCACCCAGAGGCTGGTTAGGTTGACAGCTCTGGTCCTGAAAAGAACACTTCCCTCAGGAAACGGTAGTCACACCCCTCAGGTTAAATTTCAGAAGTCCTGCTGAAATACATAGAGATATAACCCTTGCGTTGCTTTATTTTATTTGTTCTAACTTTTCCAGCAGGTATTTCGAACGCAGATGACATTTCTAGGTTAATTATGATGTTATTTCTATTCTTCTACCGCTTATTATCTTGTCTCTGTACATTTCCGGGAGCTAGGGCGCAAGGGGGAGTTTGCTCTCCCACCTGCCCGGCAGGTGATAGAGGCAGGAAGGGAGCGCCGCCCGCCTGGTCTTGCACCGCGCGGGCATAGGATGCTTGGCTGGAGCTGGCGCCGACGCTGAAGGACTCGGCGCGATGCCACGAAGCCCGCGCACTTGCCCTGGATCCCTTCAAGCCGAAGCTCTGCTGCGGCAGCCAGCGCAGGTCCGGGGAGCCCCCAGCCAGCTGGAGCGGCCCCTCCAAGCCTGCAGCAGTGCGCCTCCTCCAGCCTCTTGGGCTCTTGCTTCTGATCCATAATCTCTCCATGAACAAGCCTGCATGTTCAGGTGATTTTTACCAAGTTCTGAGCTTTGCAATATCTTATAATTGGATCACTATTCTCTTTTTCATATTTATCATTTCTCTAATCAGTTTTCTTGTCCAATGTCCTCCACATTTGGGAAGTTTTCTGGTCTGTTCTCCAATCACTGATTTAAATTGCATTAGCCCCTCTAAGACAATGGCAAGTTCAGGAATGCAACTTCATTTCTGATCCAGAGTGCCTTTCTGCAGGTTTGGCATAAAATTTATTCTTAGTTATTCCTATGCTTTCTGCATCCTGGGGTCGTGCCATGCATCTTGCACAGTGCCAAGGGTGGGAAGAGGCTCTTCAAGCAGCCTGTCTCTGCTGCTTTCATGCCACATGTAGGGCCGGAGAAACTGCTCTGTAGCTGCCTTTCTTTCCTCAGGACCTAGGGCTCAGGGAGGAGGAAGAGGACAGGGCATGTCTGTTCTGGGTTAAACTGTTCTTGGAAGCCATTTTACCCCTACCTGGGAATTCTGTCCCTTTCTGGACTTAGGTTTTGGGAAGTAAAACATAGAAAGAAAGAGTTTTCAGGACAATATACCTTTCCATCCTATCTCATATCTCCTAAAACAATAGGCATAAACCCAACTACCTGCGTGAATGAGACAAAGGGAAAGGGGGAAAATAGGGAGGGAAAAACCTCACTGTATTACTTTTGAATATAGTAATATTTCAAAATGCTAAGTAGCCCTCTGCAAATTGTTTATGTCTTCCACCAAAGCCCAAGTCAGATTTCCATTTGGCTATTTAAATTTTGATTTACCTGCATTTCCTTCTTGTCTCTCCAGATCCCTTTTCTTCTCAACTTGTCTGCATCTTATCTTGATTTTCATTGAAGCATGATTTCTCTTTGGGCTTTCTGCTCCATTTTTCAAAAATCATGTCTTCTTTACATCACTTTTAATATACTACACAATTTTTCTGAAATTTTCCTCTGGCTCCTGAAAAAAATAAGTTATATTTGTTACCATGCTTCTTTTTTTTGTTTATTCGTTCTTTTCTTGTCGTGTTTTGGAGGTGGGGTGTTGCTGTGCTGCCCAGGCTGGCATGCAGTGACTATGCACAGGTGCGATCCCTCTACTGATTAGCAGGGCAGTTTTTACCTGCTCCATGTCTGATCTGAGCCAATTCACCCCTCCTTAGGTAACCTGGTAGTCCCATGCTCCCAGGAGTTCACTATTTGGTGCCTAACTTATTGCAGACACCCGATCGGCATAGCACACCATAGTCCAGAACTCCTGGGCTCAAGTGATCCTCCTGCCTCAGCCTCCCGAGTAACTGTGACAATAGGCATGCACCACCACACCCGGCTTATTCATTCTTAACCCAAGGGTGACAGACTAAAGTCTTGCCAAAAGAGGCCTATGCAGCTTATCATTGGCACTTGCTATGGGTTGAATTGTATCTCCCCCACCACCCCCCCCAAATTCATATGTTGAAGTAATAACTGCCAGTACCTTAGAATGTGACCTCATTTGGGAATAGGGTTGTTGCAGGTATAAAGATGAGGTTGTCAGGGTGGGCACTATTCCAATATGGCTGGTGTCCTCACAAAAAGGGGAAATTTAGACACAGACAGACACCCAGGGAGAACACCATGGAAAGATGATGAACACAGAGACTGGGGTGATGTTTCTGTAAGCCAAGGAACTCAAACCTTGACCGCAAACCACCAGAAGCCTAGGGAGAGACACGCAACAGAGTCTTCTCAAAGCCCTCAAGATTTCAATCCCAAAGCCACTCAGATCTATCTAAAACATAAAATTACCTTTGTCACTTCCTGATTTAAAATCTCCTCATTATTTATGAGATAGGAGGATCAAAGCCCCTGGATTTGCTCTGCCTCCTCAGGCTCAAGTCCAGTCTTTTGCTTTCCCCTGCCTTGCCTTTTATGGTCCAGAAATACCAATGAGTTTTTTTTATCCAAACTTACCATGGTGTTCCTTGACTCCTTGTCTTGGCTGTGCAGTCTCATCTGTCTGGCATGACCTCACTCCCACTTCCCATGCCCTCGTCTCTTGTCTGGGTAACTCCTTCTCACTCTTCAAGATTCGGATCCCTTTGCACCTTCTTTGGGAAGCCCCCCAGATGCCCACAGCCAGGGCCAGAAACTCTTCTTGTCTAATCCCGATTCACCTGGAGACATCTTTAACATTTTATTTGCCATGTTATATCATAATCATCTACCAATGTGTCAGTATCTCCAGACTTTAGCCCAGGGTATGCAGTGGGTGCTCAACACATGTGTGTGGAATTAGACATTTATTGAATAAACAATTGCTCCAAGAATGTTGGAACAGCTCTGCCCAATGAATAGATACCCCAAAGGCTGATCCCCTTCATCACTTACCAAGAAATCTTGAATAAGAATGTTTCTGGCAAAGGATCTAAACACAAAGGGTGCACCTCAAAAGGACAAAGATCCAAAAACATGAGGTGGAGATCATGCCAAAGGATGGCTTCTAAGGTGAACTAAACTCCAAGTACTATACGTCATTATGAAATTCAGCAAGGCAAAGAAACCCTCCAAGAGAGTGATCATAAGGTCATTCTACAGATCATAGGAAAATAATAGAAAGGAAACTTTACTCTTTTGTCTCCGAGATTCAGACATTCTAAAACAAGTCACATATGTGTTTCCAAGTAATAATTTTAACCACATGAGTAAATGTAAAAGAGTGAGCTTTTGGCCAGGCAGGTGTCTCACGCCTGTAACCCCAGCACTTTGGGAGGCAGAGGTGGGCAGATCACTTGAGGCCAGGAGTTCAAGACCAGCCTGGCACCATGGCAAAACCTTGTCTCTACTAAAAATACAAAAATTAGCTGGGCGTGGTGATGCGTGTATAATCCCAGCCCAGCTACTGGGCGATTGAGGCAGGAGGATCGCTTGAACACATGAGCCCTGATTGTGTCACTGCACTCGCCTGGGCAACAGAGTAAGACCCTGTATCAAAAAAAAAAAAAAAAAAAAAGTAAAGAAAGAAAGAATTAAAAAAGAGTGAGCTTTTATGGAATTTTAGGCATACAAATATATTTGTACACCTAGGTGTTTTCTCCCTCTGCTTTTCCTTCAGACGAAGCACCCTGGGCAGCTCAGATGTGTGAATTCCCTGCGGGAGGTTCCCCATTACCTGCTCACCATATAATGCATTTCACTTACTGTATAATAGCTCAAACAACAAAGTGAAAACTGTTGAAGGTAATGATTTCTTTTCTGTATTTTGCCCTGTTCCATCATGCTGTAGATGAAATAAAATCCTTCTTTGTCCTGGTGTGGGAGCTTCATCTTTCCCAGACACTCAGGATCAATAGACGGACACAGGAGGGCCTGCAGGGGTTTGTTCATAGAGGCAGGGCACTGGCTGAGAAGGCCTCCTGGCTTGTCCCCTGGCTTCCACATAGTGCTGGAAATAGGCAGACGACCACAGACATCACAAAGAATGCTTCCAATGTAACCTCAGTTCATCTTTGCTCCTTCCCCCACTGTCTGCCTCACATTCACTCTAGGGCTGCAATTCTTCACCTTTAACCAAGTCCTTTCTGCCAGGCAGGACGCACCACTCTGCAATTTCCATTTGTCCGGGAGATTAGAAAGAGGAGGGACAATGGAAGGAGAGGGCCCTGTCATTGGGCTGTGACCTCTCACCTGGCAGCCATGTCCTCATCTGTACAGGGGCCCTATAGTCACGGCATACCAGGAGCCTTGAGGCTTATTGTTAGCTGGAATGTCCCCATTTCACCCTCAGACCGTTCCTAAAGGGATCTAGGAGCCAGTCCTGCCACACCTCCCTGCATAGAAACTGTGTCCCAGCGTGGGTCACAGAATCATGGACTTGTAGGATCTCAGGATGTACAGGGCCTTTTTATGTTTTTTAGTGAAACCCTTAGTTCAATCTTTTGGTTCCCTGCAACAACCTACAAAGTGGTCATCCAAACTGTATCAATAGAAAATATAATTATAACTATCACTTATTATGCCCTTTCCAGGTGCCACTCTAGTTACCATGCTAAGATCTTTACAAGTATTCTTTAATTGCATTTTCACAATATCACTATAACAATAATTACTGTCCCCATTTTATAGACAGGAAAACAGGAGCTTTAAAAGATTAAAGAAGTTGCCTGAGGTCACATAGCAAATGGCACACTCAAATCTATATCTTTCTGACAATAAATCTAATGCTCTGAATGAATACTACATCAAACTGCCTGAAATATAATACCTGCATTGATAGAGAACTCATTACCCCAAATAGCATCACATTCTATCTCTGGATCACCATTTTTACACTTATCTAGAATTTGCCCACCTGTAGTTTCCACTCTTCGGCACTAATTATTTTGCTTAATTGCGTACAGAACAAATCTACCCCGTCCACTGTCTATGCCTTCAAGTATCTGAGAACAGTAATGTCCTGTTCGGTAAGTCATTTTCTCCTTTTCACTCTCTGGTCCTTCCATGGGGCTTCAATCCCCATACACCTCTTTTTTCTAAATTTCATAGGTCAGTTTTCCTGTCTCTTCTACCAGGTTCTACTGAAGATGAAAAAAAGTGCTTTTTTAAACCAAAAGTATTGCAATGTTTATTTTATCTTTGTAAGTTCCTTAGTAATATATACAAATCAAGTAAAAGATATATGTTGCATGTGATATTTTAACTTTTGATATGACTTATTGAAAAAATATATAAGGATACATAGCCATTGTGTGTCTTCAAATCATAGGAAAGTATCATGTCGCGAATGTATTGGGAAGGCAGTTGGGGTATCACGTAGTAGTTGAGAGTTAGGGGGTCAGGCAGATCCTCAGTGTACCATTTACTGGTTCCGTGACCTAGGAGAAGTTATTTAACTTCTCTGAGCCTCTGAGTTTCCTCATCAGTGAAGTGGGAATAACAATAATATATGCCTCCAAAGGCCGCAATGAGGACTAACTGTGTTAAGTTTTGTAAAATGCCTAAAATATTATAGTGTCTGGCACTTGTTCAATGCTATGTATTTGTTAAATACATGACATGAATAAATCTTTCATTGAGTTATGAGGATTAGGTACATCAGGTGCTTAGCATAAAGAGTGATTTATTAATAAGAATAGGCTCATGATGCAGGAATATTCATCACATATGTAAATAATCTGAAGCTCAGAGAAGTTAAGTAATTTGGCCATGCTTACCCAGTCAGTTATTATCTTAGTGAGAATTTGAACATGGGCCTCCTGGTCTCTTAATCACCATGCTATACCACTTATATCAGCATAGAAATGGAATATTTTCTCCTTAACGCAGAGTTTGATAGTCTTTGTCTCTTTGTATTGGGCTGGACTAAGAAAACCCAATCCTGTCCTCTTTCTACTTTTTCTCTGTTCCTAAGAGCACTCCCCTTTCTCTGTTGTATATCAGTTCCTAATGGTAGACACTTGAGCACCACTATTCTGTACAGCTCTCCGACAATCCCACATCTAGATGCCAAGCTGAGGTTGGCATTCTCACTAATTTGCTGTTATAAATATTAAGCTATCATAAGCGTTAGCCTACATATGACTCTTTCATATGTTAGTTAATTATTTTAGGGTAGAAATCCAAAAGTGGAGTTACCAGAAGTGGATATAGACATTCTGGCTGGGTGTGATGGTTCATGCCTGTAATCCCAGCACTTTGGGAGGCAGAGGCAGGCGGATCACTTGAGGCCAGGAGTTTGAGATCAGCCTGGGCCAACACAGCGAAACCCCATCTCTACTAAAAATTCCAAAACTAGCCAGGCATAGTGGCACATGCCTGTACTCCCAGCTACTTGGGAGGCTAAGACACAAGAATCGCTTGAACCCGGGAGGGAGGTGGAGGTTGCGGTGAGCTGAGATTGTGCCACCGTACTCCAGCCTGGGTGACACAGCTAGACTCTGTTTCAAAAAAAAAAAGAAAAAGAAAAGAAAAAAATAGACTTTCTCTTGGCTCAGTGTATACTGCCAAATTGTTTTCCAAAAAAATTGTGTCAATGTATAACACCATCACTAATATAGTATTGATATTATGGTTATTACATTTTAAAATTCATAATTTGTAATTATAACATTCATAATTTATTACTATTTATAATATTAATGTAAATGTATATTATATATAAATGTTATAGTAATTATAACTTTGGTAGTGACAAAGTATTAATTTATTAGGTGAAGTATATGCTTTTTTATTAGTGATAATAAATATATCCTCTCTCCCATTATAAAAGTTTGTATTTCTTCTTTTAGAAATTGATTCTTCTGTCATTTGCACATTTATCTGTATAATTATAACAGGGTATTTCCCAGTGGTGGCTAATGAGAGAATTATGGGAAAGTATAGAACACTATTCAAATGCAAAGCACTGTATGATTTTTATTTAATAGGAAGACATTTTGTGCAGCGATTTCTGATTGACCACAGTTTGATCAAGTGCATTTGTTAATGTGTTCTACATTTTCAAAAAGGAAAGGAGAATTTGTTACATTCAGAACTTGCTGCCACTCCTTTGCTACGTCATAAAGGGTCAGTTGCCCTTGCTCATACTGACCTATTCTTTACCTCTCTGCTTCTTCTTTGTGCCAGAAGAGTAGAAATCTGACCCTTTGGGGATACCACCCTCTCCCCTACTGCTCTCTCCAACCTGAGGCAAACTTTCTCCTACTTCCCAGAGCCTGTCAGAAGTGGTGAAGCCAGCCTGCTCCTTGGAATCCAGAACTACTTTCAGAATCTTGAACTTCTGTGACCTCTCAGGGTCCCCTTGTGTGAAGTTTTTGACGTCAGCTTCTCCTGTGACCCTTAGAAGTCACTCTTGTGTCTAGCACATCCCAGGTGCTCAGTCACCATTGAACTACAGTCATACTATCTCCTGGCAAAGGCTCTTAACTGTCCATGTTAGCCTGATATTAATATCCTGGAAGCTTATACTGTCGTTCTTCCTTCCAGGTTTAAATAAGGCAGCCCCTTTATCCTGTCACAGGTCCTCTCTCCCTACCTATCCTTACCTGTTTTGGATAACAACCTTTCTTATTTCTAATAGATTTATTTATTTCTCACATTTCCTTCCCTTATCATAGTTTTCCTCTCACTTTCTCCTCTAGTTTGTCATACTCTGGCTTTAAAACATGCAAACATGTGCCTTATGGGGAAAAAAAGACAATTTTAATTTACCTTGCTTCTTCTTTACAAATGTATTGTGGCTTCTTCTTATAGTCCAAATCTAAAACTCTTTACCCACCCACTGCCTTGAACTCCTTCCTCGTTGTGAAAGTAGGATGGGGCAAAGAGAGAATGCATGCCCCTCCCAACTGCTCAAACAAGTAAAGGTGCTGTTACAGTTATCTTTTGCTACCTTAATACAATAATTATTTTATTATATCTCACAATTTTATGGATCAGGAATTTAGACTGGGCTCAGCTAGGCGATTCTTCTGCTTTACTGACATCATAGGAGATCACTTGGTGGTATTCAACTGTCAGGTAGGCTTATCTGGAGGGTCCAAGATAGCTGTACTCTGGTGCCTGGTGCCTTGGTAAAGAGGGATGATGATGTGGGGCCTCTCCAGCATGAACAGCCTCAGAGAAGTTTGCTTTCTTACATGCTGGCCCAGGGCTCCAAGAGCAAATGTTGCAGTGAGTAAAGCAGAAGATACAAGGACTTTTATAATCTGGTCTCAGAAGCCACATGGCATCAGTTCTGTATTATTCTATTGGTCAAAACATTCATAAGCCTGCCAGATGCAAGGGGAAGGCATATGTACCCTCATCTTTTGATGGGAGGAATGTGATGGATTTGCAATTATGTTTTAAAACTACTACAGACAGAACCACTGAGAAAGATTCATGGGTAGCTTTGGGGTGAGGACTGGGAATTAACCTGTTGATAGCAGAGGTTCACTAGAGTCAACAAGGAATAAGGTCTCCTCTTGTACACTTTAGTCATACTATACCAACATTCTTAACCACTGCTTAGCCATCAGCCTCACAACATAACAACTCCATCATAGTTGTACTCCCTAAGATCACCAACAATGTTAGAGTCAAATCCGGTAGGTTTTTCTTTGTTTTTGTCCTCCTGACATTTTTTCTAAACTTGACACTGGTCAGACCCAATCTTTCTTTAATCATATTCTTAAATACCAGTTCTATCACTGGATATGTTACTGTTTCTTGTTCTCACTCTACCTTTGACAAAGCCATTCTTTCCAGACTATAACTCTGGGTCTGGGTCCCCCTATGGTTTGGCCCTTGAATTCTTTTCCTAGTCCTATTTGACTAGCCCCATTTTCCCGTGAAAAGCATGCCCCTTTCATTGCATCCATATCATGACTACCAAATACCTCCTCTATTTCTTCCTCTTTTAGCATGTTAAATGCAGCTTCCTAAGCTCTCTATCTGGATATCAACAGTATTCTCTCCAAATAATTCTAAGACTTTAAAAATTGGTTTAATCTTCTTACCCCTAAAATCACCCCCCTTACCAACTGCCTCATGACAATCATTGGTACTGTCACTGAGCTTGCAACCCATGTTCTTAAACATAGAGTAATCTTTGACTCCACATCTAATCATTCATAAAGCTGTATTGTCTATCAAATTAAATCTGACATTTATGTGAGAGCACTTCATAGTCTGTAAAGCACTACACAGGTGATAACATGAAGCTACACTCATAATGGATTTGCAGGCTCTGCTTCTCATTTGGCTTCTACAGCCTCATCCCTCACCAACTTCTTGCCCTACCTCTCTCTTTCTTCCCCATCACCCAATTTCCCAGTCAGTCAGGCCAACAGAATGCATTCTATATACGCGACTTGCTTTCCCCAACATCTTTGCCTGTATGCATGCCACTTATTTGCCTCAGTTGATCTTTATTTCAACAAGTGTTTGCAGAGGAGAAACCTCGCTGGCTCCTTCTCCTTTCTATTTTTTTTCAGAGGCTACCCGTCAGGTCAACATTGCCTTTTTCAGGGAAGCTCTGCAAGCCTGACCTCCCTTGGAAGTGCCTTAGGACTGGCTTCTTGCACAGTACACAACCTTTACTTATAGAGGGTTTGGAGATTATTCTTTATTCATGTCTTATTTCTCCTGCTCCTGGAGGAGATGACTCTGACTTCCACTGACTCTTTTGGGGGGCTTAAGTCAGGGTTGAGTACCAGAGGCCCTAAATAGCTGGACGTGGATTCTGGTAATATCAAATCCATCTTTGGCTTAACTGAGAGGTTCTGAAAGCTGGGACCTGACCTTGTCCATTTCCCTCTTTCTCCAGTTTCCTATTATTTCCCACTGTTTTTTTTAAAAGTTTTTTGTTTTCTTAAGTTTTCACAAGAATAAACATTGAAAATAAAATTTGCACAAAGATCGAACTAGGAAAGGCCACACAACCAACACATATTACATCATTATAGGTAAGTTAGCAGGGAGATTTCAGACCTGGGCTAGCTCTGGAACCACATTTTACACTGTTGAAAATAAAAGCTGGAGTACAGATGACTTTCCCAGGTTCACAGAGTTGGTAAGCTGGAGAGCTGCACCTGGAGCCAAGCAACCTGCCCTGTCCTTTCCACTGCACCCTCTAAGAAATCTAATTAGAAGGAACAGGTGGTATCTCATTTTGTACGGTGCTTTAGCAATGTACTATTTGCTTTCTAGTGTGTCTATTGTCTCGTTTGACATCTTCTCTCAAAAAGTGATGAAACGAAACGCTCTTTTTGACAAGTTCAGAGTGCTCTTGGTTCCTGTGTGGGATTCTTCCAAGTCTGAATTTGGTAGTGGGAAGAGAAGGAATCCGGAGGAAGGAGGATGAGAAGTTTAAAGGAGAGGAAAGGGAAGCAGAGAAGGCCGCAAGGTGCCTGCAAGATGTCTGGGGAGTTGGAGGAATGGAAGAGTGCCCCGCTCTTCCTTCTGGGAGAGCTCCAGCTAGGCAGAACCTTTCACCAAGGCTCTGATATCGTGCTGGTTTCCGAAAGCCCCAGCCGAAGGTGTGCAGCCAAAGGGTGACAGAAGGTGAGGCACGTGCGGGGGCGCGGGTGCTGACCGCCGCGGTGCGCCCTCCCTCCGACGTGCGGTGTGCGGGGCGCAGACAACCAGCGGCCGGCCCAGGGCTTTCGGGGAGCGAAGCAGGGCTCCCGAGGCACCGAGCGAGAATGGGAATGGGAGGGACCCGGTGCTCCCGGACACGCCCCCGGCAGGTCCCACGCCCGGGTCTTCTGAGACCTCGCGCGGCCCAGCCCGGGAGCGGCCCAGCTATATAAGTCCCAGCGGAAGACCGGAACGCAGAGGGTCCTGCTGGCGCGAGGGTGGGTAGGAGGGGACGCGGGGACTCGGCCCCCAACACCGCGCTCCGTCTGCAGCCGCCGCCTCTGCACCGCCGCTGCCCGGCGGTCGGTTCAAAAAACAGAAATCGGGTTTGCTGCCCGGCGGACAGGCGTGAAGAGCAAGGGAAAGGAACTTCCTCCACCTTCGGGGCTGGAGCCCTTTTCCTCTGCATCTCCAGTCTCTGAGTGAAGATGGGGGGCCTGACAGCCTCGGACGTACACCCGACCCTGGGGGTCCAGCTCTTCTCAGCTGGAATAGCGGCGTGCTTGGCGGACGTGATCACCTTCCCGCTGGACACGGCCAAAGTCCGGCTCCAGGTAGCTAGGCAGAGGGGTAAGACAAGGGGTCTCAGGACAGAGGGGACGCTGTTGCGTGCATTCCATTTATTCTCTGCTTTGGTGTAACCACTGTTTCTAGGTAGGGTAGGTGACCTTCCAAAGCAGTCTGGCCTTGTCCCAGGGCTGGTGCTTTAGGATGGGAAACTGGAACTTTTTCTGGGATTAGCTGAAGAACCACCAGGGCCACAGAGAATGGGTTGACCATGACTACTACCAAATTCTCCCAAAATTTAGGGTGCACTTAGTATTTTAAGAGCTGAGAATATTGGCCTCTCCTGAGTTTACTAGTCAGGTGCTTTTTCCTTTCTTTGATTCTTCGGGGGTTCTGTCCTATCCTACTGCCCTAGGGGTTCTGGAGAGTTCCTGGGGAGGGGGATATTCAAAATGTGCATTGTAGCCAGCCTCCCTCCATCTGCGCGTGAGCGAACACACACACACACACACACACACACACACACACACACACACACACACGGTAGAGGGAGGTGGATGGAAGAGGAATGTTGCTGAGAAAAGAAACGGAAAATAGGAACACAGGGGGAAATCTTGGCTTAAGAGTGAACTCAATTTCGCTCCCTTCTGTTCTGCACCTTTCTTATTTCCAGGTCCAAGGTGAATGCCCGACGTCCAGTGTTATTAGGTATAAAGGTGTCCTGGGAACAATCACCGCTGTGGTAAAAACAGAAGGGCGGATGAAACTCTACAGCGGGCTGCCTGCGGGGCTTCAGCGGCAAATCAGCTCCGCCTCTCTCAGGATCGGCCTCTACGACACGGTCCAGGAGTTCCTCACCGCAGGGAAAGAAAGTAAGCCGTGAGCGTTCCTGGGAGGGGCAGAAAAGCCTTGGGCTCCGCTCTGTTCCAAAAAGTGTAACACACAGAGGAGTGGTTTTCATAACAAATTGGCGAGAAAACATTCATATTTGAACTCTCCCTTCCCCAAACATTAGCTCATTGTTCATAGAAAAAAGTATGCAAAATCGATTTTTTAGATGCAGATATATACTTGTAAAGGTCACCCAGTCATGGAAGTTTTGTGCCCAGTTTGGATCTCCATCTGGAGAATATGGGTGGGCTACAGAAAAATGTTTAACTTAAAGTTCTCCAAAGAGGGAAGTATATCAGAAACATCTATGGAGCTTGTCAGAAATCCAAACGAGGACTACCATGGTCCTCTGAGTCTGAATCCTCAGGCTAGAGACCAGAGTGTCTTTCCACAAGCTTCCCTCATCATTTGTGTATGCAACAAAGTTCAAAGCCTTCTGTTTGAAGCAAAGAAAGCCAGACTTTGTGAAGAGAGTTGAAAGGACAGGAAAAGACATATTTCCTCTTAAGAGGTTCCTCATCAGGTCCAGGAAAGACCAGAGCAGAAAAAGTGGACGAATGCTGCAGGGAGTTTGTTTAGGGGAAAAAGAAAAGGAAACATATTTCCTGAGTGCCAGTGCACTCTAAGAATTCCTGTCACTTTAGGTAGCATTTATTTGAGGGCTTAACTATGAACCAGACATTGTTCTAAGTGCTTCAGATACATTATAACTGGAAGGGTATTAGTACCATTATCCCTTGGCAGATGGGAAAACTGAACACAGAGCAGATTCATCACTTGCCCAAGGTCACACAGCTGGGAGGGGGCAGAGCCAGGGTTCAAACCCAGGCAGTCTGGCCTCGGACTCCAGGCTCCTAACCCTGTTCTCTACTGCCTTCTGCACTTCTCATATGATTCTGCCCATCATTCAAACCGCACAACACTGCTGTGAGTAAAAAGTGTTAGCCGAATATCAGGGTAGTTAAGTAACATGCACAAAATCACACAGCTAATCAACATCAGAGGCACTTTCATGTGGAGTAGACAAGCCAGAGAGAAGATGTGCTGATGGCACAATGAATACATTAAGTGAAATCCACCTTGTAGATTTCATCATTTCTGCTGTGAGTAACCTTCAATACTATAATTTTATGGGATAATTTATAAATGTTGTCTATACAAATATATAAGTTATACTTATCCACACAAGTACTTTCAAAGTGAAGATAAAGTCTGGATGTTACTAGATCAAAACTGCATTTTTTTATTTATAGATGTAGCAAGAGAGGAAACACAAAGGAGGTAAAGCTGCCCGTTCAGGTGGTTTTCTTCACAGATTGACTGTTCTACCAATTGTTGTGGACTTTGGGCACCAAATTAATAGGATATATGTTGGCAGTGTTCTATGTTATATAGATTCAGTTTATTTAGTAGGCTTTATTGAACTGCCATGTGCCAGTAACTATGTTAGATGTTTAGATGGCAGATGTGTCTCTAGACAGAGCTTACAGTTGAGAGTATGGGTTGTGTGGGGAGAAGTGAATAGATGACTATATTCCATGATACATGCTGTATTACAATACAGTCCTACTTCACTTAACGATGGGGATACATTCTCAGAAATGAGTTAGGAGGCAAATTGGTTGTTGAATGAACATCACAGAGAGCACTTACACAAACCTAGATGGCATAGCCACACCTAGGCTATATGGTATAATCTATTGCTCCTAGGCTACAAACCTGTGCAGCATGTTGGTATTGAATACTACAGGCAATTGTTACATAAAGTTAAGTGTTTGTGTACCTAAAAATAGAAAAGGTAATGCATTACACTACAGTCTTATGGGGCTGGGATGTCACTAGGTGATAGGAATTTTTCAGCTCTGTTCTAATCTTACGGGACCACCATCATGTATGCAGCACATGACTAACTGTAATTACAAGATGGTGGCTATATTAAACAGAACTACTTAAGCTAGCCATGGAGGTATGGTCCGTGAGATTTTCCTGAAGAATTAACGTCTGGATCAATTCTGGAAGGGCCAGCAGGAGTACTCCAGGCAAAGGGGTGAGAAAGGAGCTTCCAAGTAGAGTGAAGGTCATGTGCAAAGACTCAGTGAGGAGTCGAGTGAACATAGCACAGGGAGGACATGTTGGTGAGGAAGGAGGGGTGAAGCCACAGAGACAGGAGGGAGCCAGATGACAGAAGGCCTTGCAGGCGGTGCTAAGGAGTTTGGATTTTATCCTTACAGTGGTGGGAAGTCATTGTAAAAATATTAAGCAAGGGAGTGGCATAAACAATTTACATTTTCAAAAGATCACTTTGGCAGCAGATAGAGTATATATGTAAAAGGAGTAAGAAAGAGGTAAGTTAGAAAGCAAGAAATGATCAGGGTATGCCCTAAAACACTGGCAATAGGGAAAAAGAGATGTCAATCAGAAAGATTGAGAAAGTATAATTGAATTGACTTGGTGAACAAATAGAAGTAAGGCATAAGGGACAGGTAGAAATATGAGATGACTTCCAAGTTTCTGTTTAAAGATACCCTTTATTGAGAGAGGATGTATAGAAGCTGTCTTAGGGGGAAGACAAGAAATTTGGTTTAGGCCATGTCAACAGGTAATGGCCAGTAGGCACATGATTCAGTTTATTTAGTGGGCTCCTTTTAGGAGAAAATCTGAGCCAGATTCCAGGAAGTCACAGCAGGGACTACCAATAGGGTCAAACAGCAGAGAGTGTGGAAAGGACTGAAAAGTGATCATTGTACATAACAAATAGAAGCTCACTGATTTTCTAGCAAAAACATCTTCAGCAGAGTAGCGTGGTATAAGCTATATTGTAGGGGACTGAGGAAGAAATGGGCTCTGAGAAGTAAAGACAAACAATATGTTTTGTAAATAAATTTCTTTTAGTTCTTAAAAAAAAAGCCTCTTTTCCAGCTTGATTGGGAAGTGAAGAGAGGGATTTGAAAGTTGGAGATTGGAGGATAGGATGAGTACATCAAGATACACTACGTTGTAGTGCAGTGCATTACAAATGTGAGCTAAAAGTGAAGGCATTTGTAATCATATGATATTGCTAATTAAAAGACAGCTGTCAGTCATATGCCCAGCTCCTGGTAAAGCATGATGAGAAGAGTACAATCATGGTAGTGATTTAAAAATTGCTGCCAGTTTTGTGGATTTTCTTTATGCTAGACAGTGTAAGCTCTTTATCAATATTATTTAACTCACACAACTCTAAGAGGTAGATATTATTATCCCTTTTTGACAAATTAGGAAACAGAATTATAATGACTGAGAAAGTCTCTGCTGAGTAAATGTTACTGAACCTTAATTTTATGTTTACTTAATGATAGAAATGAATATTGGGCTTCAAGACTATTTGTACTTAATGAAATCTGTCTTGAGCAACATAAGCTATTTTTTTCAAAATTTTAAGACAAAAATCACTTTCTTCTCTCCTGTCTTCTTATTTTTGTTCCCTTCACATGTTGTAGCCTAACACTACTTGATGGCCCATTTTGGTGCAGTTTGTCCACTGGGCTTCATCTAAGGCCACCAAGTCCCATAATTAACATGATCATTCGTGGGAGAAAGATCAAGCCTCATTGGTGATGGGTGCCTCCTCACAGTCGGATAATACTGAAAAGAGAGCTAAATGTGGGAAAGAACCAAGTTGAACACAGGAAAGAATCAGGCCACTGTGAAAATAAGCATTGTGTTTTCTTGTTCCTTGAAAGTCTTCATTTTTAAAAAATTTCAGACACCTGAAGTTTTCTAGCCTTACTCTGAGTTGACGCACATTTAGTACATGATCAACACATAAACAAGCATTAGAGAAATAGAAAAGCTGTAAGAATACAAAAATATGGGCCAGGTGGGTGGCTCATACCTGTAATCCTAGCACTTTGGGAGGCCGAGGCAGACGGATCACCTGAGGTCAGGAGTTCAAGACTAGCCTGGCCAATATAGTGAAACCCTGTCTCTACTAAAAATACAAAACTTAGCAGGCTGTGGTGGCACGTGCCTATAATCCCAGCTACTTGGGAGGCTGAGGCAGGAGAATCTCTTGAACCCGGGAGGCGGAGATTGCAGTGAGCCAAGATCACACCACTGCACTCTAGCCTAGATAACAGAGCAAGACTCCATCTCAAAAAAAAAAAAAATACAAAAATATGAACCACTGAAAATTAAAAAGACATGCATGCATTCTAGGTCTTTAATTTTTTTTCTTAATAATTTTTTTTCTCTCTGGATAGCAGCACCTAGTTTAGGAAGCAAGATTTTAGCTGGTCTAACGACTGGAGGAGTGGCAGTATTCATTGGGCAACCCACAGAGGTCGTGAAAGTCAGACTTCAAGCACAGAGCCATCTCCACGGAATCAAACCTCGCTACACGGGGACTTATAATGCGTACAGAATAATAGCAACAACCGAAGGCTTGACGGGTCTTTGGAAAGGTAACTAACTTCAAAATGGGTTTTATAACCACCAAAGCACATACATACAACTAGCAACTTATTGTAAAGTAGAGTTAATAAACATTTTCTTTTTTTTTTTCCCCAGGGACTACTCCCAATCTGATGAGAAGTGTCATCATCAATTGTACAGAGCTAGTAACATATGATCTAATGAAGGAGGCCTTTGTGAAAAACAACATATTAGCAGGTAACTTCCCATTTCATATAACAAACAGGTCTGCACCTTTAGAAGTTCATCTTGGAGCTTCTGCAGCCACCTTATACTCAATCTCTTAACTCCAATAGTTTTCTCTTTTTAAAAATTAAGTAATTTTGAACCATATATAACTTTGTGAGAAGCAGGAAAAGACCAAAATATTAAGTTTAAGAAGTTTTGCCACAACAAAAATATTTTGCAACAAAAATAACAGGCAATTTCATGTCAGCATTATTCTCATTTAATACTAATATATGGGACTTTTGTTAGAATCTTATTCTTTATACAGCAGAATTCAGGAGGTAAGTCCATCCTGCATACTATATCCAAAAGATCTAGTTATAAAAGGAGCTTATCAGTGGTCTCATCCAAAAAGTAATACCATAAGATAGGTTCTTAAAAATAATATTCTAACAACTTCTAGAGACATTGAAATTTCCCTTATTTCAATAAAAAAGTATTAGATGCTCATATATTAGGCATTATTACAGGCCTTAAAGGCACAGAGGAAACTAACAGTTTACTTTCCTAAAGTGTTAACAATCTATTAAGCCATTTACTCTTTACCTTCTTTTTCTAGTGCAATACCTTTCTTATTTTATTTTATTTATTTATAAGACATCTTCATTGACCTACTGTTATCAATAGGTTTATAAAGATATGACAGATAACTAAATTGCAAGCCCCCAAAAGTCTGATGTTGACCTGTTTCATCGATCCATTTTAGATGACGTCCCCTGCCACTTGGTGTCGGCTCTTATCGCTGGATTTTGCGCAACAGCTATGTCCTCCCCGGTGGATGTAGTAAAAACCAGATTTATTAATTCTCCACCAGGACAGTACAAAAGTGTGCCCAACTGTGCAATGAAAGTGTTCACTAACGAAGGACCAACGGCTTTCTTCAAGGGGTAAGATATGATCTTGTGTATCTGTAATGTGTTCTGGCTGTCTGTGTGCTTTGGGACACTCTCATGTCAAGCAACCGACATTTAGCTTACAAGCCTTAGTATATTCATATACTTAGTATTGACTTTTCCTTGCCACAGATTTCTCCAATCCACCAATTCCACTGTGCCAGAAAGTAAAAAGCCATGATATTCAAATTTTCTCAACTTTGATCAAAGGCTCATTCAAGACCAGTGCCTTTTCCACTGGTCCCAATCTACTGGAAATGCAGACAGTATTTTGCCTTCTCTGGGCAAGAAAGTTATAAAGTAGAGGGAAATCATAATAGAGAGCTATGAGAGAACAAGATTTGATTTGATTTAATTTGATGGACTCAAGTTTTAACATTGTAAAACTAGAGATAAGACATCACCACCAATCTAGAAAAGTGATGCAGAAAAGTATTTGATTTGGGTAATTATTACACTCACCTAGAAACAAGTGTTGTGTAATAGATTACATATTTCCATAATGCAATGTTGTATCAGAAACTACCTTCCTAAGAAAATATAGTATGGGCTCGGCGTGGTGGCTCGCACCTGTAATCCCAGCACTTTGGGAGATGGAGGCAGGAGGATCACTTGAGCCCAGACTGGGCAACAAAGCGAGACCCTGTCTCAACAAAAAATTTAAAAATTAGCTGAGTGTGGTGGCACGCACTGATGGTCCCCTCTACTTGGGAAGCTGAGGCAAGAGGATCTCCTGAGCCCAGGAGTTCAAGGTTTCAGCGAGCTATGATTGTGCCACTGCACTCCAGCCTGGGAGACAGAGCAAGTCCCTGTCTCAAAAAAGAAGAAGGAGAAGGAGGAGAAAATACAGTATTAAGTAATCTGTCAATATATTCCACAAGGATTACACTAGTGGTTTAATAATAAAATTATATTACCTTTTTAAATTGTAAGGCCATTCCTCAAGCTTTATAAATTAAGCATGAATGCATCATACACATTTTATAAAAAGTTCCAACTCATCATAATCTGTACTTATGATACATTAATACAAATGAAGTTCATTATAAAATTAACTTAAAATGGATATACCAGTTATTAAACCATTAACCATTTAATAATTTTATTTTTTTCAAATTTAAAAACCTTTTGGGGAAGAAATACTACAACATGGATGAACCTTGAAAACGTTATGCTAAGTGAAATAAGCCAGACACAAAAGGACAAATACTGTATGATTACACTTAAATGAGGTACCTAGAGTAGTCAAATTCATAGAGACAGAAAGAATAGAAGTTACCAGGGGCTGGAGGTAGGAAAAAATGGAGAGCTGTTTAATGGGTAGAGAGTTTCTTTTTGGGGTGACAAAAAGGTTCTAGAGATGGATAGTGGTGATGGTTACACACAATGTGTGTGTACTTAATGCTACTGAAATGTAATTTTATGATTTTTTTTTTTTGCAGCAAAATACCCCACATTGGGAAGTGAAGAGAAACATGTTAAGAGACTTGAAGGAAAAAAATTGGGGCAGAGGGGTGTTTTTTATAGGTTAAACAATAAAAGCCATTTAAACAGTAACAATTTCTCTAAGGACAAGAATCGTCAAGATTGAGACAGCACTGATTTCTTGACTCTACTCAATACTTCTTTGGTTTCTCTTCTTCCTTCCCCCTTCTAATAGTTTCCTACCTCCCATTCAGAAAGCAAAGCAAAACAAGCAAAAATTCCCCCTTCCCTCAAAAAAGGAAAGAGTTTTTGAAAAAGTTCATGTCAGTGAAGAAAAGACATGTTTTGGGAGTGAAGGATATTTGTGGATTTGTATAGATGTGATCATCAGGGCTGTGTTGTTTTGAAGTAATATAGGACATCTAGAGGAAAATTTATTTTCAGCAGAGGAGGGAAAGATGAAGAGTAGGTACTTTTAAGCATCTTCACTTGAGGAGTGGCAAAATGAGAAGCATAACCTGCTATAATCACTTTAAGAATTTCAGGCTGAGTGTGGTGGTGCAGTCTCTAGTCCCAGTTACTCCAGGAGGCTCAGGTGGGAGGATCACTTAAGCCCAGGAGCTCGAGGTTGCAGTGAGCTATGATTACACTACTGCATTCCAGCCTGGGCGGCAGGGTGAAGCCTCATCTCAAAAATTAAAAAAAAAAAAAATCAAACAAATTAATCGAACGATGACATGCACTTTTCTAGGTTGGTACCTTCCTTCTTGCGACTTGGATCCTGGAACGTCATTATGTTTGTGTGCTTTGAACAACTGAAACGAGAACTGTCAAAGTCAAGGCAGACTATGGACTGTGCCACATAATCAGCTTCAAGAAAATGATGTAACATACCAGTGGGAATCTTGCTGACTGGATCATAAAAACAAACAAAACTTATTCACTTATTTTAACCTAAAAAGATAAAGGAATTTTGGCAGAGAATTTTGGACTTTTTTATATAAAAAAGAGGAAAATTAATGCCTATTTCATATAACTTTTTTTTTTTCTCAGTGTCTTAAGAAGGGGAAAGCAAAACATTCAGCATATACCCTGGCAAATGTAATGCAGATAAGCTACTGCATTTGACCATTTCTGGAGTGCAATTGTGTGAATGAATGTGAAGAACTTTAACATGTTTTAATTACAATTCCAACTGGTGGAAAAGAAACTGAGTGAAATGCAGTTTATATTTATAAATACTTAAAAATGAAGTTATTAAAAATATTAGTTTTTATTAACCACAGTTGTCAGTTAATATATTCAATAAAGTATTGCTAATACCTTTTAAAGTTTGTCTTTTGAGATCTATACCTGGGTGTAAGAGTCAAGTTCACTAGAATACAAGACTGCCCAATAGCAAATGCAGGTCTTTAGAATCATAGGCATGAACCTACTCTGAATGTTATTAGTATAGATTTTTAATGTTTAGAGTCCAGATTTGATGACATCTCTAACAACTTCTAATCTAAGACACTATATTCATTTTGGCAGGATTGCTACTAGAGTCTTGGTATCTGTGCTAGCATCACATAATTTTAGAGCTGGAGGGTACTTCTGGGAAGACAGAGGAACAGTTTGAGATTCCTACTGAGATGAAAACGAATCTTCATGGAATCTTTCAGCAAAGCCAAATTCAAATTCATCATTAGCACCTGTAGTAACCTTTTCAATGCCTACAAACTGCATGCAGAAGAGATAGGGAAACAGTAAAACAGATATTAAAAGAAGTTTTTAAGACAAAGCCCAGCCTGATTTTAAGCTAAATCCAAGGATTGGCAGCTTGGATGAGCAGGAAGGTTACAGGCTGCCAGACATCATTCTAGTTCTGTTTTAATCAACTCCATGTTACATTTACTATCAGGGATTCTCACCTCACCCTCATGCATGTCTTCCCCATTCATTACCCGCAAAAGTGTCTTGTAGCAGATGTCTTCTGTGTCCCATACATACCATTTTGCTCTTTAGTGCTTGCTGGCCTGACTTCCTATTGTCATGTCAGCATCTGCCCTTTTTAGGGTCTCTGGCCACCAGAGCCAGCTTTACTCACCTGTGCATGGCATTCTAGAAGAGCAGCAGGGAAAATAACACAGCCCCAGTGCAGCCCTTAACCACCAATAACTGGTAGTAGTTGGTGTACAAATATCTCAGTTCCCTCAACTGTCAGGTGGAATACCGCTGAGGGATCAAACTCTAGTAACACACAGTAGTGTTTTGCTTACTATGGTTAACTAAAAAATCACAGGGTCTTCATGCATTTGGAAAGGATACTTTATTTCTTACAAAGGGTTACAGCCTACAAGGTGGTCATTCTGCAGGCTAGAAAGCGTAACCTCCAGCAAAGACCGGAGGCAGGCACTTCTAGGGAAGGAAGAGTAAGACAGAAATTTAAATTGAATGGGTTGGCCAAGTATACATATTCAACAGGCTACAGGTGGATTCATGAATATTCATGAAGGCAGTCCTGATGCATGCATGTTACACCTTGGGGTGGAGGCTTAACATTTAAATGTATTACAGTTAGGCCCTATACATGAAAAGGTGAAGCAGTAACACGAAGGCACACAATGCACCATTTCTGTAAACAGGCCAGAGCCAGTTCACAGTGGTTGGTCTCTTATCATGAGAAAGCTACTAAAATCCTCTTGTCCAGTTAAAACTGTAGTTATGGCTGGTGGAAAATGGGCTGGAGTCAGTCAACACTTGGTGAAGCTGCAGTTGCTTCAGACACTCAAGGCCAGTGTTTGTTTAGCTGCTCGAGAAAAAGAAAAATCTTGTGGCAGTTAGAACATAGTTTATTCTTTAAGTGTAGGAGTGTGTGACTTAATCCTGCCTGGCATGTCCTTAGATCCTGTTTATAATTTGGCATCTTATAGCTCACAAGTGATATGAATGTGTACACAGAAAATCCAAAAGAATTGGCATACATAATAAGAGTTTGGCAAAGTGGCTAATAAAATCAATATTTAAAAGACTAGATACCTAGATTTCTACATACCAGCAAAAGGAAGTTAGAAAATAAAGCTGTAAAAATGTGTAACAGCATTTTAAAATAGTACCTGGGAATAAATATAACAAAAGATGTGTCATATCACTATGGAGAAGACTACATTGCTACAAAGAATATTGCCACAAAGTGTCTGTTCCATCAGTCTGTGATCTCTATTTTAACATTCATGCTGGTCAGTTGCGTCTAAGCCATCCAACGGAGGGAGTATAACAAAGCATGTCTGACCTTCCATTCTATCATGGCCAGGAATTCAGTTTTGAGGGTTTCTCTGGGGTCCCCTTGACCAAGAGGAGGTCCTTTAGTCAGTGGGAAGCTTTAGGATTTTATTTTTAGTTTACAACGTTTGTGGGCTGACTTCTATTCCCTGTCTCAGTTCCCTACTCCTTTACCAGTGTTTCCTGGGATCACCTCCCAAATGAATTGCAAATCCTTTCCTCACGGTCTGATTCACAGAGAATTCAAACTAGGACAAATCACAACCTTCAAATAGCATGTTTCTTTCAAGAATAAGGAAGAAAACATATAACTTTATTTCTTTGCATGGGACCCTGGTCAGGCAACGGGCAGTTGCAAATGGAGGGAAGCAAGTTGGCCAATTCCTGGTACAGAGAAATGTCAGTCATCAGAAGATATTTGAGGATCTGCTATGCTCTAGACACTGTGCATACTACACAGTGGTACATAAAGCAAGCATAGGCTCTGCCCCCATACAGAAGGAAATATAAGGGAATCAATCTGGTATCAGATGGTACCTGGGGATTTACCAAGTGCTTTGATAACAGCCTAAGTGAGCTCATCTGATAGGGACACAACTGTCGGGGGAAAGCCCCTACAGGCCTAAGAATCACCACAAAGTTTTTCTTTTTCATGCAAAGTAAGTGGCAATAACCACAATCTGTTCCTTGTTTAACAAGGCAAGCCGTTACTTGAAACAAGGTAAGATATAAAGTCTACAAATCATTCTTGCTTCTTTTTGTCTTCATTTGTTAAAATTGGAAAATTTTCATTGTGGAATATAACCCACATACATGAAAGTGCATAAAGCAAATGAATATTTTAATGTATTATTACAAAGTGAACTAACAGGTAACCAAAGTGGAGCTCAAGAAACAGAAAATTGCAAGCACTGCAGAACCACCTCCACCCACGGGATCACAACTTGAGACCATCTTAACTTCGCTTTCATGGTAAATGGTTTTCCGCGTGTTTTTATATGGATTCACTATTTAAGTATACATCCCTAAATTATATGGCTTGTCTATTTTTAAACTTCATATAAATGGAATCATCCAGTATGTTTTATGTGTGCATCTTTTGACCAATATTACAAATTTAGAATTCACACAACAGTAGGCTAGTTAGGCAGCTGTGCTAATCTTAGCTGAATTCAGTTGGCCTTTAAATTCAGGCCATGGGTTTTTGACCAGTTCTGATCAACTCCATGTGGCTCTGATTCATCTGGTACCCATGGACAAACTGAGGCATGCTCTTTTTCATGGTGATGGCAGAGGCGCAAGAATAAGCCCAATTGCTCAAACCTATTTCAAGCCTTTGCTTATGTCCACTAACATTCCATTGATCTTGGCAAGTCACATGGTCAAGCCTAACATCAAGGAGCAAGGAAATGCACTCGTTATTGGGAAACGGAGAGGACTGAATATTTGCTGAATAAATCCAAACTGGCACAGCACATCTATTCAACATGGTACTAGAAGTCCTAGCTAGTGCAGTAAGACAAATAAATGGATGGAAAGAAATAAAAGTTACTGCTCACGAGTGATATGAATGTAGACACGGAAAATCCAAAAGAATTGGCATATATGAGTTTGGCAACGTGGCTAATAAAACCAATATTAAAAAGTCTATATACCTATATTTCTATATACCAGCAAAAGGAAGTTAGAAAATAAAGCTGTAAAAATGTATTATATAAAAGCATTTTAGGCCGGGTGTGGTGGCTCATGCCTGTAATCCCAGCACTTTGGGAGACGGAGGCAGGTGGATCACCTGACGTCAGGAGTTCGAGACCAGCCTGGCCAACATGGTGAAAACCTGTCTCTACTAAAAATACAAAAATTTTAGCTGCTCATGGTGGCGGGCACCTGTAATCCGAGTTATTCGGGAGGCTGAGGCAGGAGAATCACTTGAACCCAGGAGGCAGAGGTTACAGTGAGCCGAGATGGCGCCATTGCACTCCAGCCTGGGTGACAGAGCAAGACTCTGTCTCAAAAAAAAAAAGCATTTTAAAATAGTACCTGGGAATAAGTATAACAAAAGATGTGTGGTATCACTATGAAGGCTATAATTCTATTGAAATATTTTTTAAAACTATATAGGTATATAACATACTCTCAGATTGGAAAAAACTGTTTTCACATTTATCTTACAGATTTAATGCAATCTATAGAGTCAAAGCATTTATTTTTCTCATTAATGGTCTGTCCCTAGAGGGAAATGATCTGCATCAAACTGCTCCATAGGTCTCCAGTCTTTCTAAATTTGATTCCAATGTTTTACTGTTAAGTGTATTTGTTGTAGTTTATAAGGATATACTTTATAAAATTAATCACTATTTCTCATTTACTATTTTTTAAACATAAGTGGTGAATTTTTATCAAATGTTTTTTCTGCATCTAAGACCATCATGATTTTCAAATGTTAATATGAAAAATTACTTAGTTTTATTCTGGTGATCAACTGAACTGAGCCATAATTGATCACATATTAAAGCAATATATCTATATATGCAGGTCATTAATATATTTAGTAAGCTTCCAGATTCAGTATGCTAACATTTTGTTTATAATTATTGCATCTAAAGTGACATTGGCATACAATTTTTTTTCACACTGTTCTTGTTGAGTTTTAGTCATCAAGGTTATGATAGTCTCATGAATTGCAGTCTACACTCTATCATTTGCAAGAGTTTGTGAAAAGCGATTTTACTCCTTAGTGTGTCATTCAGCTCACTGATGCAAGCCATATAGAACTGCAGTTTTTAGTGGAAAGGGTTTGAATTGCTAATTCAGTTTAATAGGGCTAGGACTTTCCCCCTTCCTTGTACAGTTTTGGTAAGCTGTATTTTTCTAGAAATTTTTGTATTTCATTAAAATTTTCAAATTTTTGAAAAAATTAATTTTCACCATCTGTAGAATTTGTAGTGATGTCCCATATTTCATTGACATTATTGCTTTCTCTTTTATTCTTAACTAGTATCAAGTTTATCAATACTAGTCTTTCCAAGCAAAAGCTTATTTCTGTTGATCTCATATGCTTGTTTTCTATTCTATGCATTTTAAGCACTTATCTTTAATTCTTTAATATTTCTTTGTCTATTTTCTTTACGTTTATTGTGTTCTTCATCAAACTCCTTAAGATGGATGTTTTGTCTTTAATTTCCAGCCTATTTTCGAATATATACGTATATTTAAACCTATAATTAGCACTAACTTTAATAAAGTTAGTACTAACATATTAACGTAGCCTTATCCAACCAGATCCACCTATTTTTATTTCAAAGTAAGATATACACACATACACACACACACACGCACACAGAAATGCTATGCAGCTGTAAAAAAATGATGTATTAACATGTAAATAGATCCACTTTATGATGGATAATAGAACTTTTACGTAAAGTTAAGAATAAAACAGCGCAGTTTAGCATGAATTATTCCTACTCTTTGTAAGAAGGGGCAGGTGGAGGTGGTGGCATCTTTTTAAATAAAGGAAATTTTCAGTCTCATAACCACTTGTTTCTCATTCAACACTGTAAATAGGTAATCAGCAGTTAACAAGTCAAGAAAATCAAAACTTTTTTCTGTATATTCTGATTTACCTACAGCAACACGATAAGAAAAATAAGAAAAATGTTTAATGAGCATGAATGACTAAATGAGGGAATATGGAAAAAAAGAAGTATCAACAGGAAGGCTTACAACAATTTCAACATGTTTTTTATTTGCTCACTTAACATTCCAAACAAAATGACATTTTACACTATTGCTTTTACTTAAGAAGTCAACTGCCTTATCCAAAGTAGACAAAAATCCCAATTCCTTTAAGTGTCCAAGTGGTACTTTTTCCCCCAGAGAAAGCTACTTGAATACTTTAACAGAAACATAGAATCGTCCTATAATAGTAAGGTAGTAGTTGGGTCTAACCTGTACTACATTTAAAACTTTTCTCATTAAAAAATGAATACAGAAAAAAACCCCAAACACCTCCAGTCATCATTCCTCTCAGATTTTTAACAATTCCACTAACCTTCATTAAAAATTGCTTTTGTAGAGAGGTGTATAAATATGAAAATGGAAAGTAAGCCTCCCCACACCTGTTCATAGAGAAGTGGGGTAGAGCATTTATCCTGAGAAAACTGCTGCTGGTCCCTGTTATTTCAAAAAGGATAATAAACATTATGGCCCACCAAGTCAAACCTCCTATCTTCTGTGCCATGATCATGTGTAACCTTTTCTGTTCTGGCTACGAGCATCTACTTTTCACACTCATGCGATTCTTCTCCTTTGAGCAAATCTTTGATGAAGTTGTATTTCACTGAATGTTCTCAAAGGGGAGAAAGAGTGCATGAGCAATTATAGTACTGGAACAAAAGTGAAGAGTACATATATTTTCACGTAGAAAAAATACATACAAATCCAAGTAGCTCCTAAAAATAGAAATCAGATGGGCATTTTTAAGAAAAAGATTGTTTTCTAAACTGTAAATGGTGCCAGTAAGACACTGATTTTTATATCTAGCTACATCACCATATTTATGTACAAAGAGAGGTTGGTATAGGTTCACTGATACCCCCAATTTCTCCCATTTCTTTAAAGATTGTCTTTCAGATCCTATTAAAACCATAACTGTTAATTTTTTAGACTACTTCCTGTCACTGGCACACTCTCTTCAACCTGGCACATACAAAAATTCATTTCAACATCTATTTACTTTTTTGATGCTAAAACTAACAATTTTTCGGCTACTTCAATGCCACAATATTCTATCACTACTTTGGCATTTTACTAATTATTATAGAAACAGGTAAGATTCTAAATATGGATTTTAAGACTATGTAAAATTCCAACTACATATGTCAAAAGGGAAAGTAGGAAGGTAGACACAATTATATTTTTGTTTTCATGTATATCATTGTCATGAGTCTGAAGCCTCATGTTGCATTCTAATTTACAACTGACATTGGTGACAGTTTGCTTGGCTTCTAGACTCAAACCCTAGAATTTATTAGTGGCTTTTAGATCAATTTGCTGTAAAACTATCTGAAATGGTTGCAGATTATTTTAAGCAAAAACAGAATGATACCTATAATGTACAAATGGAGGTGGATTTAAAGAACATATTATTGAGCAAGCTCTATAATGACATTTTCTTAACATCATCATAGTTTTTCTTCCTAGAAGGGAAAAAACTTACTTAAAATTTTCCCCTTCTTTACTTAAAGCATTCTTAAGTATATTGACAAATGTTTAAATCAGTTCAAGCTCTCAGCTGTTGGAAGATCAAAACACAAAGATAAGCATTTTCAACACAAACATCAAAAGATGAACAGAATTGCTTTCCATGTAATAGTTAATACCTTAATACAATGAACTTGTCAGGATTTTGCGACATATTGTATAGCTGGACAATAAAGCATGAAAATATTTTTTAAAAATTAAGTGAAGATATTCCCAAAGTTGAGATGTCCCCTACAAGAAACCAATTTTTAAATTCCTGTAATACTGAAAAGCTAAATTGCCACTATTGTAATAAAGTGAACCAAATTTTTAAAATAATTTTATCTTATTGAGAAACTAATTTTAACGCAAGCACTTTAAATGTATGTGCTATACAACACTGCATCTTATTTTCCAATTGGATATGTCTTACCACTCTTCTAACAAGTTTGAAAGAAAGAGGTCTGTCAACAGACACGAGCAAATACTTATAAAGTCTCAGGTCTTGCTCTATCACATACTAGCCAGTCCTTAAACACTTGATATATACCCACATTAAAAGGTGTGCTAAATATCGTCATGTTTTAGATGAAATTATGTCCTTAAAAGGTTGGTTTCTGTAGGATTTAAGGAGAACTTAAACTTTGCTGCTTTAAACTTTAGTTTTGCTATCAGTACAAATGTGTAAAACGCACCAAGAAGAAATCATTCCCATAAAAATCTCATCACTATATAATCGTTGACAGCACTTGCTGCCCTCCTGAGATTTTAGGAGAATAAAACTATATAAAATGCACAGTCATCAAGTCATCTTCAAGCTATTTTAGTATCCCACAAACCATTAACATAAAGTTCATACATGGTTATCTAAAAACACCATGGAGTCAAAGAGAAGCAAGAGTTAACAGTAAGTCAAATAAACCAATGATGTTTAACTGAGATTTTTTTAAAACTTAAGCTTTCTTAAGTTTCAAAGACAGTTTTACTTAAACAGAAACTGTCTTTTATAATCTTTTTGTCTTTTATATAATCAAGATTTTCTTGGCAAATACATCTCTTTTCGTAAACATACATAGGTAGAGAAGTTTCATATGTAGGTAGAGCGGTTTCATAAGCATACATAGGTAGAGAAGAAAACACTAAGGTTCTTTTCTACAACTGATAAAAAGCAAATACTGAAGATGAGAAAATGCCTTTAAGCTTTCAAATAACACTGTGGCATTTTAAAGTGTGTTATTTAAAAACAAAAAAGCTAGTCACCAATACTGTCATTCTCTCATCAGTTATGCTCAATAATCACAGAAACCCAAAAGGAGGCCCTAATTCTTTATTCTCTCTGCTGTATCTCTGCTCTATTTGCTACTAATGAAGCAACGTTATGACATGTAATTAAGATGCAAACAAAGAAAACCATAAAGAAACACTTGCTGTTAATTAACCTAGAAATAAAAATCAGACAAAATTAAAAACAGCCATTTCCAAACTAAAAACCAAAAAAATCTTAAAGAGCTTTGAAAAAGATACCAACTTGACCCTATAACACATAAAAACGAAAATTGATTTTACACATTTTAATCAATTTAATACAAATACCTGATTTATACTTTTACACCAACGGGCTAAGTCCCAAGTTCCAAACTGTAGTTCGCATGACTCTACAGAGGGGATCTTTGGAAGGATAAGGTACCTTTGGAGAACAGTGTATAAACAATTGTAAACATACACTGATTGTCCACTAGCTTTCTTAAATAGAATTTCTGAAATATTTTTGTAGGAAATTATATATAAGAGTGTAATTGATCAGATAATTCCTATTACAACATATAAATTCTGTTGAATGTGCAAAATGTGGTAGAAATAGAAGATACAGTGGATGATTTATACTTTTAAAGTAAGTGCTACATTACAATCCAGTAAAAGTCCTTTAATCTTTTCATGAAACTTCTCTCTATACAAATTGAAATACATAATGCTTTCTGGTTCTTCTTCAAACCAAAACTTGTCAAATTCATAGACAAGATAACCTGCAGTTAAAGAAAAACAAAACATTTAATCCTCAATGTTGAAATCACATTCAAACCGTCTCATCTTTACAAAGTATATAACCATCCTTTAAATTCCATATTAGAATACAATAATCAAAAGTAATCTCAAAACTATTAGAAGCCTGAGGGACTTAATAAGACTTAATAAACGATTTAGTGTATATTTACTATTTGTCTCAAAAATCAACAACGTCCCTCAAGTTTAAAAGATATAGTACTTTCACCTGGGAGCAGTGACTCATACCTGAACTCTCAGCACTTTCAGAGACTTAGGTGGGCAGATCGCTTGAGGCCAGGACTTAAGAGACCAGCCTGGGCAACATGGTGAAACCCCATCTCTGCAACAAACACAAAAATTAGCCAGGCATGGTGGCATGCGCCTATTGTCCCAGCTACTTGGGAGGCTGAGGTAAAGGTATCACTTGAGCCCAGGAGGTCAGGGCTTCAGTGAGCCGTGATTGTACCACTGCATTCCAGCTTGGTTGAGAACCTATCTCAAAAAAAAAAAAAAAAAAAAAAAAAAAAAAGATGTAGTACTTTCAAAAGATACCTTGAGAAAAGTTTCCCGAGAAACTTCCAAAGCACAAAAATGCAAGTAACGAAAAAATGTTGGATAAGGTTAAAGTGTAGGAAAGTTATTTCCTACTCGATTTCTAAATCTAAGAGTTATTTCTACTTTTTTTTCAATGAACTATCAGCATCTTCTCTTTTTTAAAAAAATACATCCACTCTAAATCGGCTTAATATTTTTGGCTTTCAATATCCTCATTATGGTAGCCAAATTAACCCCCAAAATGTTAAATGTATTTCATGAAACCGAACTTGTTTATACACACACACACACACACACATATATGTAAACTTAAATGTGAATTTAAAACCACCCAACATCAAAATATCTATCAACAAGTACATAAACAATGTGTAGCATATAATGGAATATTGTTCAGCAATAAAAATAAATGAGCTAATATGTCAATTTTTAAAAAATAACAAATAAAAAAGCTATTAATACACACAACAAATTATGCAGAAAGAAACCAGACCAAAATGAGTAAAAACTGCATGATTCCACTTAAATACAATTCTAGAAAATAAATGCAAACTCATCTATAGTGACAAAAAAATTGTGGTTCCTAGGATGGTGGGGGGAGGAGCAAGAGGCATGGATTACCAAGGAGTACATAAAAACTTTCAGAGGTGGTGACTATATTCACCATTTGGATCATGGAGATGGTTTCACAGGTGTATACATATGTTAAAACTTATCAAATCATACATATTTAAATATGTGCAGTTTATCATATGTCATATAATATGTGCAGTTTATCATATACCTTAACAAAGCTGTTAAAAAGTAAAGCAAAAAATAAAACCACCCCAGTCCTACTTTGTATGTAATCAAATGTATTTATTGAATTATTTTTTAAAATATTTCTACAGTGCTCACTAAATGCTCATATACTGTCAGAGCAGCCCTAGGATGCAAGTACTATGTTGTTATTCCCACTCTACCAAAGATGAAAGAGAGGTGCAGAGAAGTTAAATGATGTGCCCCAAATCACACAGTTTGTAAGTGGTCTCTGTTGCAAAAGTCAATGACTTTACACAAAAGGGTGGCTAGACTATCATGATTGCTTACTATGTAAAATGGAAATCCCATTTTAATAATATTGGTCATACAGCAAACATTAATGGTTAAAATCATCATATTCCCACACTGAAATATCATTTCATAAGAAGGCCAGTTTAAGAAAGATTTTTGGATTATTCTCAATATATGATAAAACAGATTTTTGTCAACCATGATATATGGGTAAAATCAAGAAATGAAGCCTCTGGAGAAATACCATCTGCTATCTCTATCCCCCATACACTGTTAGGGATGTCTAATTAATACATTTAGAGATTAATGTTCTGCCTAGTATGATAAGGCAGATAGCTATCCAAATTTTATGGCCATACCATTTGTTTCAGTATATCTGGTTATTATGTTTTAGATATTTACCATTCTTATGTCCTTTAAATTGCTTTTTCATTACTGTCAGTAATGTGGCCCATTCAAATGACTACATGGGCCTGGAACAAACTGCTCAAGTTAAAGCACTAGGAACTTCTTGCTTCAGAGTGAGGCTATTGATCTATAATATAAATCAGTGTCAGAGAAAGACTAACTTGAAGAACGGAGACTATAATAGCTAAAGTGATTTAATGTGACATCAGGAAACCACAGGAAAAAATACTGAAATTCTAGGAAACTGGCAGGGCCATCCTTGGCATAAGAATCCCAAAGTTTTGCAAAAAGTGATGGAAAAGAGCTGTTTTCCATGATGCACATATTTTGTCCTTTTGAGTCCAGATGTTTGGAATACTTAAGACTCTGTAGAAATTACCATATGAAATGTCTAAACCTGAAATTCCCTGCATGAATTTACTGCAGAGGTTAAGGATTAGAAAATCATAGGAAGGGGGATTAACTGTAAACCTGTATCTCACTGGGGTGATGAAAATGTTCTAAAAGTGGATTATGATGATGGCTACCCAATTTAGCTCATTAAAATCCATTTAAGTGTATATTTAAGATGGGTAAATTCTATGTTATATAAATTATACCTCAATAAAGTTGTTATTGAGACATAACTTTATTATACAAACTTGAGGTGTTACTATTTTTTTTTGGAACCACCAAACCAGAAGTCCAGCTAAAATTTTGGCCCTACAAAACTAGAATGGAGACATCCTAGACCGGAATATACAAAAGACAGAGGTCCCAAAATCCTGAGCCCTCCTGCTGGACTAGTGGTAACTTCCCAGAATCATGGCGGATAGCTGCTCACAGTTTGGACGTACAAGATGACAATGGAGCTAAAAAGCTAAACTACAAACGTTTCCAGCCCTTCCTACACAGGACGCATTAAAACAAAGGCGATCAAAGGAAAAGAGGGAGATGAAGGCAGATCATAGGGAAACAAAAAATGTGGAAACTCATCTCTGAACTGTTCTTCCTTCTGGAGAGAAACTATGACCTTGGAACTAATTTGTGCAAACTAATTTATCCTACTCCTCTACCAAAAAAGTATGCACATTCAAAGACAAGGTTTCAAGTTATTATTCTAGTTAGAACAGGTTCCTCTTAAGAAGAAAAGCAGAACCTTATTTAAGATGTGAAACTTCCAATGGTAATGGGTATAAGAATGAAGTTTTTGGGAAACTTCTGCTTAAAAGGTACATAGGTATATGCATATGTGCATTTTAATGTCTCAAAATAATTGAAAATCATAAGCTTCACTGTTTCCAGGATGATCTACAGCTCTTATAGATTGAGCTGACAGGAGGCAACTGAAAGGGTTCTACAATGACTTTTCTACCTCAGATATTACACTTTAATGTCCTTCCTATAGAGGAGCCAGCCGAGATGGTGTCAGGGTGCTGGAGAGCAACAGTTCCCACAGATCCTCAAGTTCCCTGGTCTTTAGGGGAAAAATACTGCACAAAGGTCATTCTGCACTGCTTTCTAACCTACCACCCTCCTGTATATATTGAGATATGGGAAACTGCTTAATTGTTTGGGGAGTTTTCAAATTCTTTTTTTTTTTTTAATTTTATGAAGATTTATTTTTTAAGTTCTAAGGAACTTTAGTTTTCTTATTTGTAGCTAATTCTCTTCTTAAAATTTATTTATTTTTTACATTAGTCTCTTTACATTTATTTATATATATTTTTATTATACTTTAAGTTCTAGGGTACATGTGCACAACGTGTAGGTTTGTTATATATGTATACATGTGCCATGTTGGTGTGCTGCACCCATTAACTCGTCATTTACATTAGGTATATCTCCTAATGCTAACCCTCCCCACTCCCCCAACCCCACAACAGGCCCCGGTGTGTGATATTCCCCTTTCTGTGTCCAAGTGTTCTCATTGTTCAAGTCCCACCTATGAGTGATAACATGCAATGTTTGGTTTTCTGTCCTTGCGATAGTTTGCTGAGAATGATGGTTTCCAGCTTCATCCATGTCCCTACAAAGGACATGAACTCATCATTTTTTATGGCTGCATAGTATTCCATGGTGTATATGTGCCACATTTTCTTAATCCAGTCTATCATTGTTGGACATTTGGGTTGGTTCCAAGTCTTTGCTATTGTGAGTAGTGCCGCAATAAACATATGTGTGCATGTGTCTTTATAGAAGCATGATTTATATTCCTTTGGGTATATACCCAGTAATGGGATGGCTGGGTCAAGTGGTATTTCTAGTTCTAGATCCCTGAGGAATCACCACACTGTCTTCCACAATGGTTGAACTAGTTTACAGTCCCATCAACAGTGTAAAAGTGTTCCTATTTCTCCACATCCTCTCCAGCACTTGTTGTTTCCTGACTTTTTAATGATCGCCATTCTAACTGGTGTGACATGATATCTCATTTATGTTATTTATGTTCAATAGGTAGCTAATGAACAAGGGATATATTCATTTAAAAAAAAAATTAGAGGCAAGTTAGCAAAGTCCCAGCAACAACACTTTGGAATGGTAAAGGAAAGCATCTCACGCCTGCTAGAAATCTTCAGTACACTTGGGTAGAATCATCAATGCTGTCCTTAGGAACCTGAAATCTGTTCCCTCCATTTAAAGACATGTTGCATTGGCTCCTACTTTGTTTAAGCATCCTCATATGATTCTTTATCCTTATCCATTAAGGGAGAAAAAGGATCTGGACATACAGTTGCTGGGATTAAAGCAGAGGTTGGGCTGAAGATATACATTTTGGCATTTAATGCACATTTGGCATTTCAAGCAAGGGACCAGATGGTACCACTTAGGAAAAGTATGAGGGCTAAAGAGAGGAGTGGGCACAGGGCTGGGCCCTGAGGTGCTCCCTATATCTAGTAAGGCAGTGGATGTCTACAGGAATTCCTGTGGGGCAAAAGAAAAGCCAGGAGAATGTGGCATCAGAAAAGTCATGATAATGTTTCGAAAAGAAACGTGTGGTCATTTATGCCCAGTGCCACTAAAAGGATCAAATAACATGAAGAAAAAACATGGCGATTGTATTAGGCGGCAAAAAAAAGTTGGTGTCTGAGAAAAATCAGTGTGAGCAGAGTCATGGAGAGAGAAACTAAATTGGAATTAGATAAAAACTGGAGATGAAGAAATGAAAAAGCAATTATTGAAAAAGTTTCATGAACAAAGAGAGCAGAGAAATGAAGCAGTATCTGGAGGTGGACACTGCACTAGGGGGAAGTTTTGATTCTGAAGATGACAGCTCCTCACCAAATGCAGTGACTTTGTCTTCTTCTCTGCTACATCCCCAGGGCCTAGAACAACATCTAACACACAGTAAATGAATAAACTTCCCAGAGAAGAGCACGTCTAAACTGAGATTTGGAAGGCGAGAAGGCATCACCTGGAAAGAACAGAGGGAGCTGGAACAGTGTTCAGGCCAAGTGAATGTCACTTGCAAAGGCACAGAGTCAAGAGAGAGCATAATATATTTGAGCAACTAAAAAGAAGACTGGGATGCCTCCACTATAGAGTCTGTGGGGGTGAGAGGGGGGCTGGTATATGGCAAAAGATGAGCCTGGAGAGGTTACCAAGGTTCAGATTATGCAGGGCCTTATAATGGGAATCCTTTGAATAATTTTTGGGAGTGGAGTAAAACGATCAGATTTTCATTTTAAATAACTATACTTTCAATGTGGAGAAGAAATAGAAGAGTGTTACCACAAAAAAACTGCTAAAGGCCATTATAGTAACCTAGTAACAAAGGCCTGATATTGTACAGTTACAATGGGTATAGAAAGAAACAGACACATGCAAGAGAAAGTTAAGATGCAGACAAAACTGGAATTAGGGTGTAAGAAAAGGCAGGAAAGTTTCTGCGAAAAGGAGACATGGATATTTTCAACAATGGAGATGAAGAAATTATGATTTGGCCACCTATTATCTAAGTAGTTTCTTATATGCTACCAACATTCAAATGACATTCTAAAGACATAAAAAGATCAAGAAAAGTACTGTGTGAAGAAAAACTAGATTTGAGTTCTTTGCTTCTGAACAATAGCTTCAGAAGATGGACTCATTCAATTAAACCTTCAGTATTCAAATATTATCACTAAAAGTGAATGGAACAGAGAAAGTAAAGACAGCTTTAGGAACAGTTACTCAGTACCTCTAACCTACCACAAGAAAATTTGGCCTTGAAATTCAAGGCAGGGGGAGGCGAAAAGTTCCTCTAAATTAAATTTCCTTCCAAAAGTAAAAAAATAATCTGCAAATGGTCTGTCCTTAACAGCATTCATTAACCAGCATCCAAGAGGGAAAATACATTTTGTAGTTAGCTGGAAAATGAATGCCTAGAGAAAAATTACATGAATCTTAGATGTGTCTACATGTGAAATATTGCCTTTTATAATCAGCAAATATAAAAACTGAAGTATGGAATACTCTTGGGGACCCATCTTCCACTGTTTTCTTGTTTTTCAAAGACCCTAAGTAATAAAATGATAAACATAAGTTATATACTTCACAGAGACAACAGATTAAAATATATATTATACATTCCTAGTGGTTTAAGAATTATCTTAGAAAGATCTAGTTTTAACTCATTTTAATACTCACAGTAAAACTGATGAAAGTGTTCCATTGTTGGTATACCAGGAACAAGGTTATAGAGATGAAACTTCAAAGCTTCACTCTTCAGTAAGCTATAAGCCATCTCTGTAAGATTGATTCCAACTATTGCATAAGAATACCTATGTCAGAAACATTACCAGTTATACCAGCTAGCCAAATAACTCATAAAATAAATTAAAATTATGTTAGGAATTAGTAGAAAGTGACTTCAGGTTTAACACAGTATTGATTTTATGATAATCTCTACATGGTAAGAAAAATATACTAGAAAGAATTTAACATTTTTGCTTTTTAAAGCCTGTATATTTTTCTGGATATAATCTAAGAAATAAAAATAAAGCTCTGTTCACATGATATCTAAAACTAAAATTCTTAAATAAAAAAGGGGTCAGGGGGACTATAGACACCAAATCTCATTGATTTCTAAAATACACTGGATAATCTGGATAATCTGATATTTTCTTCTCCATTATCAGGGTACTTATTTTTATGATCTAACATTGTTACTATGCTTTTTCAAAGATTAGATACCATCAGAATATTTTTAAAAATAACGGTAAAGCTAATAAAACCACCTCAGTTTGAATTTCACTTTACAATTTTCAAAGCTATTTCCTATTTTCCTATTACTTTTCCAAACTATTTCCTCTTCCTATCTTCAAATCTATTTCTCAAAAGCATTTTATAAGGGCCCTTATCTCCATTGTATAGATAAACTATATCTTGTGATAAAAATATACTGAAATACATACAAAATTGGTTTACAATCACATTTTTCCTTAAAAATAATGTATCATGTAATATCCTTTAAAAAGTTCTTATTAAAATACTTTATTTTAAGAAATACCTTGATATACCTTCAAATTCATTAAATCATCTAATCATTATAAATGCAAGAGATTACGGCTTCTTTAATATACCCAGCTTACCCTAATTTTGGATGATTTGAACGGGAAAGAATCTGATGAGCTTCACTAGTGTAATTTTCACTGAAATACCTAAAAAGTTTAAGAAAAATAATCAAACAAATGTACGCCATTCAAATGTAAGATATCCAGAACCAATTTAAAAAGCTACTGTCAAAATCATAGTCCTAGTATTGCCATGAGTATCCTGATATCTGTCTCAAATCACTTCAGTGATTCACAAATGCTTCTGAATCAAAATTTCCCAAGCTATCAGGCCTATGTAGTACAGAATATAGGTCATTGACAAGACTGTAAAGTATTTTAATAAATAGATAATATAAAAAGAGACTACCTTAAAAAAAAAAAACAACCAAAGTTCTTTTTGTTTCTTTGCTGGTTCTATTTCTATGAAAGAGTCAATATGTACCTGTTAGGACACTCTTCCTTACACTTAGGTTCATTCCTTCTACTACAATTTAAGTCTGTGTTGTTTAGTGCCATTTTCAGTGCAATCAGAAGGGAGTCAACAATCTTTTTGCAATGAGAAACCTCCTTCATCAATCATATAACTAAAATACTAGCTATAAAACAGAAGTATTAGCAGTATAAGAGAGATGTATATGAAACTATCTATTTGTAGGCACATACATCCTTTTGGCCTACACCAAATCTATTTAACCTTAGGATCACCTCAAAATGATAGACACACACACAACTAGATGCTCACGTGAGGATAAAAATAAAAAATAAATGTCCATGGTTTATTTACATTTTAGAGGACAAAATCATTGACATTTTCATAAAGCATAGAAATTTCTAATTAACTCTTCCCTCTTTATTCTTCTAGAGAGTATTAATATACACTTCCTTATTTCTTCACTGGCTCTAATTTTCAACCCATTACACCAGGGGCTGTTAACTTAGAAGTCCATGAATTAATGATAATTTATGAATGAAGGGGAATCCAGGAACCATCTTACATTATGGACTTTTTCTATATATATATTTCCCGGGGAGAGAGTATACAAAGCTTTCATCAGATTCCCTAAGGGATCTGTAAACACCAAAATAGTTTTAAAAGTCTTGCTTAATGCAATGCTTTCCTAAGTCTCTAATTTTTCTACTTTATCCCTAGATTGACTCTAAAATGCCCTCAGTTGACTATTTATATTTCATTTTTGTAATAATTCAGCATTGCATTTTAATAGTCAAACTACTCTTAAAATATTCAATCTGTAATATAGAACAACTTTTAATTTCCTTCCTGAATTTAGTTAACCTCAATCTTAACAGTATCAAATGGTGAAAAATAAACATCTGTAAACAATTAAAAAAACCATCAATATTAACCTAATTTAGCCAATATCAGGATTTTTTCACAGTAAGAATTATCCAAACTTTAATAGTCTAGCCTTCCCATTCTAGACATTTTATAGTCTATAAATCACAATTTCATGGACAGACCCAAACACTACAATTTGTACATTTGCATATCCTTATAGGAGGAAATTAATCTTCCAGGCTATCTTCTAGAATAGTTTTGTCTATCAATTGTGACTTCACTTACATATTTGGGGATTTCGATACATGTAGCTAATCGTAAGTATTAAAGAAGATAAAGGAGAGAAAGTTCATACGGTAGTCTATACCAAGTCAGGAATGCAGGTAGGTAAGTTGTCACAGGTGGTGAAGAACATATATAAAGAGACTTTATTATCACCTTATCTGGTTATATTTGCCAAAATAGAATCAGAGAGCCGAGAGAGAAAAAGCAAGTGAATAAAGGCAGTAGGAGCATACATAATTCTTTAAGAGGTATCAGAATGGAAATCAGAAAGAAAAAGGAGAGGAAAGCATTGGTAAGTAAAGAAATCACATACACAATTATATTTCCACCAATGTCTTTTTTTTTTTTTTTTTAAAGACAGGGTCTTGCTCTGTCACCCAGGCTGGAGGTGGCACAATCATGACTCACTGTAAACTTGAATTCCTGGGCTCAGGCAATCCTTCTGCCTCAGCCTCCCAAGTGGCTGGACTACAGGCAAATGCCACCATGCCTGGCTAATTATTTTTGTAGAGACAGGGTCTCACTATATTGCTCAGATTGGTCTCAAACTTCTGGCTTCAAGTGATCCTCTGGCCTCAGCCTCCCAAAGTGCTGGGATTACAGGCGTGAGCCACTGTGCCTGGCCTCCAATATCTTCATATTGTTGCCAACACATTAGCAAATACTTCCAGCACTGCAGTTATTAAAATTCAGAGATAGTATGAATCAACTAGATCACTTCTTATTAGAAGTAACTAGATCAGAGATTAAATGTAATTTCATTTAGGGAAGAAAAGAAAGTTTACTTTCACTTACACAAGATTGATTAACCCAAGTATGCCCATGCCTCTGAAGTCTGTCTTGGGATCATCACCCTGAAAACCAATTTCAGCCCACTGCTTGGAGATTCTAGCGTTTAACTTCTTCGTGGGCATTAGAAGATTCCAAAGCTGTACAAATATATTTCCATTATTAAGACATTTTCTTTCTCATAGCTTGTAACTAGTAATTTAATGCTATCAAATAACTTTTGTAGAAAAACCATAGGTTAAGCAAAGACTTTAGAACATTTTTCAATTATCCTAAAACACGCAGCACATTTATTCCCATTAAAAAGACTGGTATAAAGAACAGATTTTGAAAAGATAACAAATAATACAGAAAAATATTAAACAATGAGATGTCTTTATTTACTAATTAATACAGATATGCCCAGAACTGGTAAACTGCTTGAGAAAAACACAGTATTTTAGGAACTTAGCCCTTGCTTCAGATACTGTATAGTTAAATAGGCTCTATTATAATGGTGGGTTAATAGTCCCTAATCAGAATGAAAATAGGTATAAGACAGAAGAGCATGAAGAAATGATACTGATAGCATTCCAACTTGTTTTACAAATTTTCAGTTTAAAAAAATATGATTTGGTTTTAAATAAATATCTTTAATGATGAGGATTTAAGAAAAACTATCAAGCTGGGCATGGTGGCTCATGCCTGTAATCCCAGCCCTTTGGGAGGCCGAGGCAGGTGGATCACCAGGTCAGGAGATCAAGACCATCCTGGCTAACACGGTGAAACCCCATCTCCACTAAAAATACAAAAAATTAGCCAGGCGTGGTGGCAGGCTACTCAGGAGGCTGAGACAGGAGAATGGCGTGAACCCGGGAGGCGGAGCTTGCAGTGAGCTGAGATGGCGCCACTGCACTCCAGCCTGGGCGACAGAGCAAGACTCCATCTCAAAAAGGAAAAAAAAAAAAACAAACCAACTATCAAATATTACATACCAATAAACTACTCAATGCAAAATAAAGAAAATTTATTGTTTAAATTCAATACCACAAGCCATCAAATGAAAGAAACTTACGGAAGTTGACTAAAGAAGGTTTGCGAAAATTTGCAAAACAGAAATACTTTCATTTTTTTCCCATTTCATTACCATTTAAAGCACTGTTGAATAAGGACCCCTAATGAAAGGAGTATTCTGTTACCTAAAATAAAATGTGAAGTGACCTTGCTTTAAAACAGGGTCAAGACTGGCTCTGAAGCTAAATCCAATCATTACATTAGGTTTACCTGGTCACTACTTTTATTATCAACACCTGTGACTTGCTTACATTAGCCTCTCTCCATGAATTCTGCAAGGAGTTTGATTATGCCAATGATAAGGCCTCAGTGATGTGGTGAGAGCCACAGTGTAGAACCACTAGTATTAAAAATTTAATATGCATGAATATTGAATTTCTGGGTTCCATTCCTGGAAATTCTAATTTTCTAAGTCTAAGGTGGAACTTTGGAGTGTACATAGTAAATGCTATTTAACGCTAGTAAAGGTGGTCCTTGGACTACACTTAAAGCAAGACAGATTACATAGCTCTTCACCCAGTAAGACTGCTGAGTATGTGTAGTGTAGAACTGAATTTCACCATGAAGCACCAAGGTAAAATTCCCTGGACTAGAGGGCTAGGACTTGTACTTTTTTCCCTCAAAAGGAAAGGTATCGTGTAGCAAGGGCCTAACATGAAGGGAAAAATGATGACAATGGGGACAGAAATAGCAGTTAATCCTCAGTAAGTGCCAGGTACTATTTTAAACACTTTAAATATAAAAACTCCTCCATACAATAACCCTTTGAGATACATATTTGTATCATCCTCATTTAACAAAATACACTTTTAATGAAAAAAAAGCCTTTATTGTTTTTAAACTTGTATCGCTTAGTGTTATTTAGATAGTATCAATGTTGTTTCCACAGTACTTTTTGTTATAAAGAACTCCTAATTCCAACTGCAATGCGCTATTTTCTTTAACGATTTTAAAATAAAATTGGAATAGGTGTAGAGGATGGGCAGGAGATTCAGCTCTGTTCCAGGCCCTACCATTCTAGTACTAAAGCAAATTGCTTCATCTCCCTAGTCCTTAGAGTCTTCATCCCTCAAACAAAGGGACTAGTCTAGATGATCTGTAAAGCTTACTCTAGGTCTATTACTCTTTAATTTTGGCACCTCATTGGCTTTATGCATTTATACTTTAGAAATAAGAAAAAGGAAAATTCTAAGTAAATAATTTTTACTTTCTTAAAGTTTAAATCTTTTGTGGCATTGCTTGGCAATTAACATTCCATAAGTCCCAAAAGATTGGACAAAATAATCTGAAAAGGGACACACATGTTTTCAACTTGTAAGTAGCTGAAAAAATGCTTAACTTATATGAGCAATTTGTATAAAAAGTAGGAGAAAAATCTGAAACTTGTAGACATATACTTTTTGGTTGAAAAGATCTCTATAGGTTTTTATTTCAGAAATAAAAACATTAAAATAAAATTTATTTGAATATATTTATTCATATAAATATATATTCATTATATATTTATAATAATGCTTATCAGAAAATGATAAAAATACCTAACTAAAAATCTTTCCATATCAGTGAAATCCAGCATAATAAAATTCTCTAAGGGCAAAGAAACCATATAAGCCTAGCCATATAAGCCTCTAGAATTTGCAGACTTTACTTAGCTGAAGCCTGATTTATTTTTCTAGCGTTCAACAACTCCACATAAAGAAAACAGAAATTTACCTTCATGAGTAGCTCTTCATGCTGTAGGTTATCAGAATCATATGGCCTTTTCCTCACACTTTCTACATCCAAATACAGCTGTTTATAACCAGTTATCTGCAGTAAGCACATCTTCATGCATATTTTAAAACTAAAAATGATAAAATTATTTTTAAAAAGCATACCCTCTTATCACAATAAAGTCTTTCATAGCTTGTGGTTCATATGTCTATTTAGAAAGCATTTCCTGGCTTTCAGTTTAATATAAGACCCACCAAAGGCCACCTTAAATACAAAACATTATGTAAAGTACTATATAGGATACAAGGCCTAGAAAGAGGGCAAGACATGGTAGGAATGGCAAACTTCACAACTGTAAGGATTTGTGAAGGATTTTCTCTTCATGTTTTCTCTGGGCAATCCTATACATTCCTAAATCTTTATTGCCAGATATCACCAGTAGACTTAATTTTCCGAGTATATATAAAACAAATAGCTCCACAACAGGTTATCTCAGCTCTAAATAAAACTGCTTCTCTTCCCTAAAGAAACATGCTCTTTCTTTAGTGTCTAGATCTATTAATGACATCGCTACCCATTAGTTCCCCAAGCTACAACACTCCAAGTTCTGACCTGCCTCTCTCCATCACAATGTATCAAAAGATCCCCATACGCTAAACCTTTCTATCTCTGAAATGTCCTTCAAAGCAATCCTCATAGCACTCTTTCTCCTACTGTATTTATGCCTTTGTCATTTCTTACCTGAATAACTCAAATTTCCTATTCTTTATTCCTTCTGCCAGCCTCCCACATTATCAAATCTACTCTCCATCTTCCTAAAATACATATCTAAAAATGTAGCTTGTTTGCTTAAAAACCAGAGGACAACATCTACATCCTTCAGTATGGCATACAAGACTCTGCAATGTATCAATCTAGCATTTCACTCATTTCTCCAGCCACTACTCTGCTCATATTCAATGATCCAGCTACAAATAATTCCCTATCATTCCAGATACAAAAGTATTAATATTTCTATGTCTCTGTGCCTTGTTGGCACTGTTCCCCTACCCATTCATCAAGGTCCAGTGTAAATACCACCTCTTGGGTGGAACTATCCTCAGTTCCCTCCTAGACCGTTCCTCATCTCAGCTGAAATAAATTGTTCCTTCCTCTATATTCACATAGAAAATGCTGAATGAAGGAAAAAGTGTGAAATACTATGTCAACATACCAGCGCTGGGAACACAGAAATGGGATAAGTCCTCTTCTTATGGAACTTAGAATTTACAGAGGGAAGGACAAGAGTTAATCAATGACTATAGTACAATGGGTTAAATGGTATGATAGCACTATGAGATGCCACAGCAATGCACCTAACTCAGAATGGAGGAGCCTGGTAGGACCTTACTAGAGGAGGACACAGGAACTGTATTTCAAAAGACATAGTAGCCAAAGTTATTAACCTTGGGAAAGTCATGGTAAGACATCTTGAAGAAGGCAGATGATATACTGGCATTAGTACTGGACTGGAAACCAAGAGATACAGGTTCTAGTCCCGATTCTATCACTGCCCTCTCTGGATCTCAACTGCTCCTCTTGTGAAGTGAGAGCGCTGAATCAGATGATCTCCACAAACCCTTCAGCTCTAAAGTGTTACAACAGTGTGTGATATTGATACCTCACAGGCTATAAATGCATAATAAAAAAGAATAATGTAAAAAACGCACACCTGGCATCCTTCTCAGGGTTAATATTCTTTTCCTTCATAATATCATCTACATATTTGTCCACTTCACTCTGAACAACATGTGTCGCCTTCTGTAAAACCTATTTATGTAAAAGAAAGCCAAATGAGAAAAATTCTTTGTAGCTGAAAAAGACATAGTTGTGAGACATTTAATCAACCTTACAAAGTAGATATTAAAAATGCAAAATAAACCCAGTTTGTTTCAACCAGTTTATTTCACATTTTCTCTAGGGCTAAATTCACATATATATATATAGTTTTATAATAAAAGAACAGCAACATGATGTACCAGAGGAAGGCTTCCTCAACTGAGTCAACAGGTTCTCAGCTGATGAGTTCTCAGCAAATGAGCTGCCACCATAGTGTTTACGAAGTAGATATTTTAATTACATAATAAAAATCTTGAATGCATAAGTTTAAAAAATTAAATGCAGAAAAGAGTTGAATCTCAAAATCTTGTCTCCAGAGATCACCACTGGTAACAAACTGGCATTGACAAAAACAAAATCAGATCAAATTTGAAAACTGTAGGAATTTACTGTGCATACTGAAGAACAGTTCACAAACTAAGACTTCAAATCAAAAATGGTAAGAAAAATAAAAATAGAGTCCTTAGTTTAGATATACCCCAAGGCGAGAGAGAGAGAGAGAGAGAGAGAGAGAGAGAGAGAGAGAAAGAAACAGATTTCCCCAGAGAAAAGTAAAAGGTGAGAAGAAAATGGTCAAAGATCTATTAATAACAATCAGTAAAGATACAGATATGGTCAACAAAGTCTAGCTTGTCCAATCCTGAGATAATATGAGTACAGGAAGAGTGTTGAAGCTTAAATACCAGCACTGGTAAAAGGACTACCTTCGCCATGGGTAGTCATGGCAAAAGCCATACCTTTTGCATGTATTACAAACTCCTAAAACATTAAAAATCCAGTTCAATGTCACTTCCTCTGTGAAGTCTTCCCCAGCCCTAGAGTTACCTACTTCCTTTCACAGTCATACTTCAGTTAGAGAGCACTGACCACACCATATTTTCTCTATGTTCTCCACCAGCATTTGTCTCTCTTATTTACTCTTATATCTTGAGCGTCTAGGATAGCACATTACTGATTACATGCTCAAAACTTTGTTAAATACATTATGAACAAATGACTGATTGAATGAACTTGCCCAAGGCATATATAAATTTAGGGCAGAGTCAAGACGAGAAACCACATCTAGTTTCTAAGCAAATACTCTTTCCTGTATATACTATTCCATTACTTTTTTAAAAATTGATTTATAATTTAAATACAGTGAAAGGCACAGATGTTGTCTGATCTGTTTTGACAAATACATACATCCAGATAATCCACATCCCTACTATGATACAGAACATTTCTATCATCCCAGAAAGTTCGTTTATGCCCCTTTTCAATCAATTCTTCCTTCAAGAAGCAACCACTGTTCTGATTTCTACCACCATAGCTTAGCTGTATGCCCATAAATGGAATCAAAGTACGTACTATTTTGTGTCTGGCTTCTTTTGTTCAACATAACGTTTCTAGGATTCATCCACATTCTTACTCATATCCACATTCTTTCTCATATCTGTAATTTGTCCCTTTTAATTGTTGAGTTGTATTGCATGAATATACCTCAATTTGCTTATTCATTCTCCTGGTACTGGAAATTTGCATTGTTCCCAGTTTGGGACCATACTTTATTATACTTTTGGTAAATATATATTTTCATTTCTTAGACACCTAAGAGTGAAATTACTAGGGCAGTATGTGTTTAACTTTGAATGAAATTGCCAAAACCACTTCCAAAGTGATAATATCATCTTCTGCTCCAACTGGTGTTTCCAACATTAGTGTTGTTCGTCTATTTCATTTAGGTAACTTTTAGGTATGTAGTGTCTTCTCACTGTGATTTTAATTTGCATTTCCCTGATGACTAATAATGCTGAGCACTTTTCCAAGTGTGTATACATACACACACACACACACGTATATATACACTTTTGTCATGTGACTGTTCAAAGCTCTTGCCCATTAAAAATTCTGTTGCCTTTTTATTACTGAGTTATAAAAGTTATTTACTAGATACAAGTCCCTTATCAGATACATATGCTGCAAATACATTCTCAGTCTGTGGCCTGCCTATTCCTTTCCTTAAAGGTATCATTGATAAGCAGTTTTATTTTGATGAAGTTTAACTTTTCAATTTTTTTAAGTGGCAGCATAACTCAAGGTGGAAGATATTCTCCTATGCTTGCTTTCAGAAACTTTAAAGTTTTAGCTTAAACATAGGTCTAACATCCGTATTAAATTAGTTTTCATGTATGGTAAGAGATTGAAGTTGAGGTTTCTTTTTTCCCCCATACATACCCAGTTGTTCCAGCACTATTTATTGAAAAGACTTTCTTCTCCTCATTGAATTGCTCTGATACTCTTGTTAAAAATTGTGACATATTAGGTGTGGTCAATTTCTGGTCTCTCATCTGTTATATTCATCTTTTGACTATAAAGTCTTAAAGTCAGGTAGTAGGGGTCCTTTTAGAAGGTTACGTGGGCTATTCTAGGTTCCTTCCATTTCTTTACAAACTTTAGAATGAGCTTGTCAGAATCTTCAAAAGTAGTCTGCAGGGGTTTTCACTGGAACTGCATTGAATCCATAGATCGATTTGGGAAATAACATCTTAATACTGAGTCCTCCAATGGATGAATACAGTGTATGGTTCCATTTTCATCTTTCTCAGCAATTTTCTCTGGGAGTTTTAGTGCAGAAGTCTTATGCATCTTTCATTAAATTTAGCCCTGAATATTTTATGTTTTCTGGATGCTTTTGTAAGTGGTATTGTTCTTTATTTTCCAAAAGTTTGTTGCTAACATACAGTAGTATACCATGTCCTGTAACACTATTAAATTCATTTACTAATAATGCCAGTAGTTTTTGTAGATTTCTTAGGATTTTCTACATTCACAAAGTACGTCATCTGTTAATATAATTTATTTCTTTCCAATCATTATGTCTTATATTGCTTCTTCTTGCCTTATTGCACTACTTAGGATCTCTAGTATGATGCTGAATAAAAGCAGAGAAAGTACATATATTTGTCTTGTTCCCAGTTAAATGTGGTGAGCATTCAATAATTCAGTGTTATGTATCATGTTAGCTGCAGGTTTTTCACAGCCTTTCATAGGTTGAGAAAGTTCCTTCTATGCCTAGTTGAGATTTTTTAATCATGAATTGGTACTGAATTCTGTCAAAACAGTTTTTCAGTATCTGCTGAAATGTCCATATTTTTCTGATTTACTCTGTTAATGTGGTAAATTACATACATTGATTCTGAAAACTCAACATGACAGGCCAGGTGCAATGGCTCATGCCTGTAATCCCAGCACTTCAAGAGGCAGAGATGGGTGGATCACCTGATGTCAGGAGTTTGAGACCAGCCTGGGAAACATGGTAAAACCCTGTCTCTATTAAAAATACAAAAATTAGCCAGGCATGGTGGTGTGCACCTGCAACCCCAGCTACTCGAGAAAGACTGAGGTGAGAGAACTGCTTGAACCCGGGAGGTGGAGGGTGCAGTGAGCCGAGATCACGCCACTGCACACCAGCCTGGTCAACAGAGCAAGGCTCTGTATCAAAAAAAAAAAAAAAACAACTCAACATGACATATTATCCTTTTTATGTATTACTAGGATCAATTTGCTAGCATTCTGTTAAGGACTTTTGCACCTATATTCATGAAGGACATTGAACTGTAATTTTCATATATTATATTGTCTATATCTGGCTTTAGTATCAAGATGATACTGGCCCCATAAAGTGTGTTTCTTTCTATTCTATTTCCTAGGAGTTAATGTAATAGTGGTATTATTTCTTCTCCCTTAAATGTTTAACACTTCACTAGTGAAGCCAAGATTAGAGATTTGTGAAAAAATTTTAAATTACAGTTTCTATTTCTTTTGTAAGTATACTACTATTTAGATTTTTAATCTCTTTTTGTGTTAGTTTGGTAAGTTGTTTTTCAAGGACTTCGTCCATTTTGTGTAAAATCAAACAATTTACTGGCATAAAGTTGTTCATAGAATCCCCTTATTATACTTTGAATGACTATAGGCTGTAGTGGAAAAGTAGAGGCCCAAAAATGCAAATGTGCATCACTATAGCATTAAAAGAAAACTAAACTAATGCCGTAAAATGTATTTATTATTCAACTATTTAACAGCTACATTATTATTTAAACCCTAAGACGGCAGCTGCAATAAAAAGACAGCCACCAAAAACACCAATAGATTGCCAAAGTATTCCTCCCTAACTTTCAGAAATTCAAATGCCTGTATATGCGTAAGTACAGTGGAGCTTTGCTCCATTGTCATATATTGCATGGAAGCCAGACTTCTTAGCAGAATATTGAATTAGACTCCTCAAATTCGAATAAGTCATTAATTTTTATTTATAAATCCCAGTTTGTTAACCCTTAATATCTAATTGATAAATAGTCCTTAATCTAAAATATAAGCAAATAAGATTCAATTTTTAACAAAGAAAGAATGCACACTGTGGAACAGTGCACAGTCCAACATGATCATACTTCAAGATCACTGCTTTAGGGAATCACTCTGAATAGATTAAAATCACTTTTATTCACAGCAATCATTGGTAATGCTAAGTACTCTCAAGTACCAAAGAGGTTTTCATGAATATCAAATTTCTAAAATGATTATGGTATATATTGGCTTAATTATATTATCATTAATATTATTAGTAACCACTATTTGTTGAATACTTACTAAGTATTGGGCATTCTCTTAGACTGTTTTCATAGTAATATCTCTAATTTCAAAACAACTATGTGGGTATGAATAGCTTTTAGAATGAGAAAATAAGTAACTTGTACACAGTCAAACAACTGGTAATTGATAATATCAGGATTTGAACCCAGACTTTTTTATCGAATAAAAATGTAATTAGGTAAACCAAAATATCACAAAATGAGAAATAGATTTACCCTACAAAGTAAATGGAATATACAAATTAGGTGCAATACACACATAAATTATATTTTTAAATTGATAAGGCTACCTCTGTTTATTGGAAAGTTTGTCTTAGATTTAAAACCTTAAAAGAATAAATCGTTAAGTGATTTAATTTCAGTATTTACCCATTTGTTGACCACTCTCTTTGCAGGATGCCCTCCAAAGTACTATAGCAATTTCTATTTTTGAATAATGAAGTTCATAAGAATACAATTTTAATGTTTACTTTTCAAGTGAACTTTTTAATAGCAAGAAACAGAGGTAAAAAATGATGAACATTTTATTTTTCTTTAACTTGTAACCACTACTTTAAAATCCCCAAACACTCTAGTCTACATTTACCTCTTCCTTCTCTAAACTTCTACTTACAATTACATTCAATTCCAGTCTTCTTTTGTATATCTTTTGAATATCCCAAAGACCCTGGTTGAATACTGAACATGTGGTAGTCATTCAAATCCTTGGACGGATTTGACCAAGGCACTGGAGTTCTTAAATGTAGCATCTTATGTATTGTTCCACTTAAGCTTGGCATGATTTTACCACACATACAATCCCATTAATAAATTCTGTGACCAAAACTGTTGTTACAAATGCAGTTATAACAATTACACTGATAGATGTGATACTGAGTCCCCAGTTCCAGAACCTCTACAGTAAATTAGTAAATAAAAGAAACACTACACTCTATTCTGAAAAAAGTTAATTTTCATTTACTTATTATTCTTTATCCTCTTATTTTTCTCACTTATTCATTCATTCACTCAATAAATATTCAGAGCCTTATCACATTCCAGGCACTGTTTCAGGTACTAGAAAAACATCAGTGAACAAAACAACAACAAAAAATAAACAATGCCTTTTTCTTTTCAGGAATGGAAAAATAAGTAAGTAAAATATTTAGTACGCTAGTGATGGTCTGTGCTATGGTGAAACAATTAAGGAAAGGGGATCATAAAGAGAGACAAAGGTATACCCTTAGGTAGAGAATGGTCATGGAAAATCTCATAGAGAATGTCATAACTGAGGAAAAACCTGAAAATGAGGAAGTGAGCTAAGCTTTTAAGCGGGAGAAGATAATTCTACTTAAACAGAAGACCTGGTGCAAAGGTCATAAACCAGAAGCATGCTGATGTGTTTGGAAAATAACAGGCAGCATAGTGGTGATGACCAGTGAGCAAGGCAAGAACAGTAGTAGATAAAGTCAGAGAGTAATGAAGGGGACCAGATAAGAGTTTTAGTGGACAGCAATGGCAGTGTTGGACAACTTCCAGGCTGAGAGATGTCAAGGTTATTTGGAGGAACACACTACTGAAAAAATTGGTTGGAAGCTGGGATTGTGGGTATAACATAAAGAGCTCAGCTATGGTTTTACTCTCTTTACAATGTCGAGGCTTAAAGAAAACAGATTTCACAGAACAATTCATTCTAGAGGGTTCAGCACCCAAATAGTTCCAAACCAACTTGTTTAAGGTCAGTTTGAAAAACATACACAGTTTCCTATCGAAACAAAGTTAAAGCAGTTATGATCCACAACAGTCCCCAGACAGCATACTAATATGCTATTAGTGCCTCAAGACACTGCCCTCACCAGCAGGAACGGCTGCAGCAGTATCACCTGGGAACATGTTAGAAATGCAATCAGAACCAGACCAGAAATTCCGGGGATGGGGCCCAATAATCTGTGTTTTAATAGGCCTCCAGAAGATTTTGATTCTTCCTTAAGTTTAAGGACTACTCTTGTAATGGACCTGAAATATAACACCTCCCCAAGTGCATCTGCTAAAATTTGTAATATTGTTACTTTGGGAAACTGCATCCTATGTTTCAAATAAAGGAACTATACAAATAAATAAGGTATAAATAAATTTTGAGAACCAGCAACCTGTTAGCTTTCAGGACCTCCACATCCTCATTTTAAAAAATATATTAATCACTCTCTAACAATTCTGAACAAAGGAGTGTAACTCTGGACTCTTCCCCCAAATATTCACTTATATATATGAGTTATTCTTAAATAGACCATTCTTAAAGAGTACAACTAAATCATTAAAGTACCTATTTTAAAGGTTACTCTTCAGAACATAACAGATATGCTTGCAACTCTCAAGAAGGTCTATTTTATTTCTGGCACGATTCATAATACTAGACAGTAGCAAATCAACATTTTTGACCTTGAGCCACATTTTACATCATGATCAATAACAAACATTCATGTGGATGTCCAAAATACACACAGATGTACACAGAAATATTTAAAATAATTATAATAGTATAAAAAATTCCTAAAATATATTTAACCATATTATGACCAATGGTTTCTAAATATTTTCTGTTCTATTCCTATTATTGTTTAATACTGGTTGTGTTCTATTATGGGATTTCAAACAATGGTCTAGATGACCCGTATTCTATCCTTGCCACACCAAATAATCTACATGTAGACAAAATTGTGAACTACAATAGGGAAGTAACAGCATGTGGTAGACTGAATTATTGGTCCCAATTCTTCATTACCTTGTAATTGAATTATACAACCTACTCCCTACCATAGCCTTACGGTGGGCATATCATATTTCTCCACCCCTTGACTTGGGCTTGGCCATGTAACTTGTTTTAACTAACAGGTTGCTAACAGACATGACACAAAGAGACTTAAAATATATTTGTGTAGTTGGGCCTTTAGTTATCCATGGTGAAAACATTCACCAGATACCTGTTAACCCCCTACCTGAGTCCCAGATGAGACAAATGGAATAGACAGGAACTTGGCCCCAGCTTGAAGTAAGGCTTCTCCAGCTGACCCATAGACATATGAGCAAGAAACAACGTATCGTTTTATGCCCCTGAGATTTTATTATAGTTTGTTACACAGCAAAAGCTGACTAATACATAGCATGAATTATGACTTATTTTAGCTCAAAAGGTACACAACCCAGGGTTTTCTCTATCCTAAGTTGCTTTTCTCTCATATAATCTATCCTGAGGACACAGTCTAAAAGACGACTTTCCTCCTAAGGCCCTGCTTTCCTAAAAGCTATCAACTCTTAAAGCAAAATAAACAAATAAAACCTCAGGACAGGACAAATTATTCAAGTATTTTCTTTGAAATACACACGAAAAACACATATATAGAGAAATGTTTGAAAACAGAATATTACCTCTAAACGGGGAAAATTTCACTCAATGCTCACTATAGAAAACACTCTTCTAGCAGGGCACTTTTTTTTTTTTAAGAAAAAATATGTCCACGTTAAGTTTTCTAGAGTTACCACCTTTATGTTATCCTACCTTATTCTTGGAGTATGTCAAGGAATTTTCTGAAATGACAAAAAAAAAAAAAAGATGTTATCACTTAAATGCTGTTTGTCAATTACCCTATAATAAACAACTAGTAAAAATATCAAACCAGTAACAAACTAATAGTTCCAGGAGATATAATTTCTATATAACAGGAAGCATTTTAAAATTTAATCTTACAGTATAAACATATGATTTCAAAAAACTCAACCAAACACAAAATACCTATTCAAAGAGGTGACACCAACCTCATTACCTGGGGTCATATGTTTCTGTTTAGACCCCAAAGTGTCTACTAACCACTGCAAATTCACCCATAATTGTGTCACAGTAGCTCAGGTCCCAGAAACTCATCTTAAGACTACAATGAGAGTGCTCTCTACTGCATTTTCATTTGTTAGCCTGAGCCTTTAGATTTGAGGTGATAGCAACCAAATCGTACAACAAATAGGCAAGGACTTCAGATTATCTGGTCAACCCTTCTGTCACCAGACAAATAGCTTCTCCATTCCTGGTTTCTATATCAAGAATCACAGGAACATTTTTATTGGTCTATTTAAAAAATTTTCTGGCACATTTACGAATAATCTTTTCTCAGCAATTTGAAAAATTTAGGAAAAATGCTTTTGCCACAAACAAATGCCTTTATATATATTCTTCCCCCACACTATAAAACACCAACCCATACTGCCTGAAGAGATTTCTTATCAAGAGGTACTTTGTTCTTTTGAGTAGTCAAAAGGGCAAATTAAAAGAGCAGCAATAATTTAAGTCAACCATGAAGTTGTAAGAAAACTAGGAAAGTAATTAAACTTAATCAACCAGCTGCTATGAGGCAGCGTCTGTCTGTCATTCTTCCGATGTTGTCTTGGATACAGGTTCCATTTGCCAATACTCCACTCTCTTAACCTGACAGGGGTTGATTTCTCAGTCGAAGCACACTTGATCAACACAAAAAAAAAATCTGGCTAATTCACAATTTTCCGTTTAACACAGAGAGCATGAGCTAGAGCACTTCTCTGCTCTTCCTTACCCTGGCTGAAAAGAAGCGACTTCAAAACACAGTTCTTACTCATCTGTGTTCAAATTTTAGAGTAAAATTTTCAATGAAGCACTGAAAACTGATGTATTTTAGAAGGTAACAGAGCAACACTGTTCAACAGAAATATAACACAAGCCAAAATGTGACCCATTTGTGTACTTTAAAATTCTGTATAGCCACATTAAAGTAAAAAGAAACAGATAACATTTTAATATATTTTTAACCCAACATATCCAAAATATTACCATTTCAACATACAAAGAATATAAACAATTACTGGGACTTTTTACATTTTCTTATAAGTCTTTGAAATACAGTTTATATTTTACACTTACAGCACATCTCAATTTAGACTAGCCACATTTCAAATGCTCAATATAATGTGGCTATTGGCTATGGTATTGGACAGTGAGAATGAGTCTAATAATCTTTCCTAGAGACCACTGGATACATAATTACAGGCCTTTCATAAGTAACAGTAAGAAAGTAAAAGACTGATGAAGGATCCTAAGTATAAAAATGGATGTAGACTGAGGCACTCATTCTTCCCACCATGTGAGTGAAAATTTCAAAGGGATTATGTAAGTATAGAAATTTTTCACCAGAAAATAGGTTGCAACTATAATCTAAGGAATAACCGATAAACTTCAGGAGCCAGAGAATTCTTTCCACACATAAGCAATTAAATAACCACTTTTTCTATAAATTCATACAATTTTAGAGCTGAAGGAGTCAAAGCGGGACTTCAGAGCTTATGAAATTCAGTTTAAGTGACTTGTCAGGATACAAAAGAAATACATCTGTCACTGTGAGTCCTGAGAAAAACACTCCGTTAAACTTTTATTAGTACTTTTTCTTTTTGAATAACATTACCTATCCTGTGTGTCCTTTGTGCACCTACATAGGTATCAAATATTCGCTGCAATTCACACTTCCCAGTCATCTGTCGTAATAGCCATTTCATCCAAAATCGAAAAAAGTGCCCATAGAAGAACTCCCACAAAGAAATAAACATTTTTTTTTCCTGGAGGAGGGAAACATACAAGACAAGCTTAATGACCTTAAACTGAATTTTAAAATTTAAAAAGTTTATACAACTGATCAAATCTCAAATTATGTATCTATCATTTCATTGTGTCTGTTTTGACAGTTTAATTAGGCATTTAAAAACAATGGCAGGTGTAATATATACCGCTATTAATTGATGATCAAATGGCCAATTAATCACTTTTTCAAAACTAAAATTCAAACAATGTACTCAAACTATTCAATGGCTTGAAAGAGTAACAGAATGGTTTGCACTTTTTGCTAAATAATTGTATTTCATATCTTAGTTTCCTAACTTCCCATTCTTTGAGAACTGGGGCTCAACAGTTCAAGATCAAGAGGACTCCAACTAATCAACAATTAAAATATATACCAAAACATCAGAGTTGTTTTTATAGAATACACTCTTCTTATCCCATGTGGATAATTCGTTACAACTGTCCCAGTCAGGTGATGCCAGCAAATAAAAACACTACAAACTTAAGTATACAAGTTGAACACTGAGTATATAACACCTTAGCTCATTCTTGATTTTCCATTCAATAGGTCAAGGGCAGAAATACTAACAAGTTTTTGTTTTGCTAAGTACACACTCGATACAACTATATCTTATGCCATAAGAAAATTCTTCAGCTTCTAAATGAAAAAGTCAGGGAGATACTAGTGAGAGGGAGATACTTAAAAACAAAATTGCTCGTCTCCTTCCTGCCTTAAACATTCCCACAGACACGTCACCTCTGGACTAGGGCCTGAGGAGGGACTGTCGAAGTTCGAAGTACCCGCAGGTCAGTGCAGAAAGAGCGCATAGCACAGCTGGGTTGATCATTATCTTGAAAATCAAGCCATCTAGTCCGCGCTCATTAGGACAAAAGCGCAGAACTGCCGAGCAGAGGGGATGCACGCGTAGCGGCGCCTGAGCACCCCAGGGCTCTGGGCGTCTCTGCGCCGACCCCCCTCGCGCGCCGCCCGCGAATGGGAGGGCAGGGCTCGCACAAAGACCCGCCGGCCCAGGCGCCCCCGGGTTCCCGCAGAACCCCGCGGGGCTCGCGAGCCCGCGCGCTCTCAGTGCAGCCGCACCGAGGCATCCGGGGCAAGAGGAAAAGAAACAGCAGCCACCTCACAGGAGCGGAAGAACTAGGGGGAGCAGGAGCTGCCTCGGTTTCCCCACTGCAAACAGCCGGCAACGGAAACGACGGAACACTCCCTTCAAGCACCGCGACCCGGAAGTCAGGGAGCGAGGCCGCGGACCCGCCTTCCCAGGGCCACTGCCCGCCCCGCCCCTCCGGCCTCTTCCGATTGGCCCGCGCTCCACCTATTGCTAACGCTGGAGAGAGGTCGAGCTGAGTGGCCCAGGCGCGAGGGCTCAGATACTAGGGACGCCCAGACGGTTTCCCTGGCAACGGCGGCCAGGAGCCCCGCCCCGCGCCGGAGTAGCGCCTCCTAGCGCTGCGCTGGAGACTTTTCCCTCCTTGAACCTCAGGTCCTTAGCGCGGGTTGACACCTTGTACTATTCCTAGGCTCCAAGCGCGGAAGAAACCCTGTGCTTACGGTAACTTATAGTGCCTTAGTTACAAAAGCGCTTTCATCTGCATTGAATCTTAATTCTGTGAAGTAATTATGAATAACTCCACTTTATGCACGAGAAAAGGGAACCGGCTACTTGACTGTGGCCAATACGTGGCAGATGAGGAAAGTCCATGTGTTGAGAAACGAAGTTTGGACTTTATCCTATAATACTATAGGTCTAAAAGTTAATTTATCAAATGTTTATTCCCTAACTGGTTGTTTTTGTTGAAAAAGTAATTTCGTGATTACTTTTTAAAAACCTCAAGCAGTAAGTTTCTTAATTCAACAAGTATTTGTTGATTGTTAGCACAGGCAGTGTTCCAAAAGGCAGTCAAACACGAAACAAACAGCCAAATATTTAATATGTCAGATGCTACTAAATGTTAAGGGTATAGGGGTTGTTAGCTAAGGGGTAATGGGGAGTCTGTGGGGGAAGTCATTGCATACAGTGTGGTCAAGGAAGTCTCATTATTAACGTGGCATTTTGGCCTCATTGAACGAAGTAAGGGAGTTTACTGTGGGAGTATCTGGAGGGAGAGTGATCCAGGCACCAGAATGACAAGTGCAAAGACCTTGAATTGGGAGGGTTTTTGAAATGTTGGAGGAAGAGCAAGAAGGCCGGGGTGGCTGGAGGAGAAAGAGCAAGGGGGAGAGTAGAATATAAATACAAAGGACAACTGATACTGAAAACAAATTTCCCCATCCACCCAAAACTCCTGATACCTCCGTCACCTTGCTCAGAAGCAACCAGTATTACTTTCTTGTTTCTAATTCCAAAAATATTATATGCAAGTGTATATATGTATATTCCTTCCAACTCCTTGAATTGAAGCAAGTGATACATACTTTCCCACATCTCAACCAGCGTTTAAAAAATGGACTAATTGTAGAACACTAGCCATGTGCAGGGTGCATAAGCCGTCATCCCTGTCCCATACCAACAATGAACTTGGTAATGAAGTCTGGATAGACACTACAATAGTAAAATCACAGAATCTTAAATCTTAAAGAGAACTTATAACTATCATCTAATGTAATTTTTAAAATTATAGATTAAAAGATTTAGAAAGGCAAAGTGCACAGCCGATTTGGCAAATTGACCTGTAAACTAACTTCTATTTCAGGAGGATCTCCATTATTACACAAACTTTTACATAGTAGAAGGTGAGATAATTCTATATGTAATCCTTTTGCCTTTTCAAAGTGCTATACTAAGTGTAGGCAGTGCAGTAGAGGAACTCTCTCCTCCTTGTTTCCCTGCTGCCTGTTTGCCCACTTCCATTTATGTCTTTCCCCAAGAGAAGAGAATGCTGATATGTTTTGTCAGAACCAGAGAAATTGATTAAGCTGCATTTATTATAAGCAGGGTCACTGTACATTAAAACTTCTTATGCATACCTTTTGCCTCTTCCCTTTTCCACTAATTCACTTGCATGTAACTGGCAGATACATTAAACAAATCCTGTTTCTCAGGAAAGATTGTCCATCTCTATTTCTTATTCTCTTTGGTTTTCTTCTTTCTTGTGGCTAGCTAAAGGTTAATTATATCCTAAGATTAAGATTCTGGTTTCATGGAGAAAGTGGGACCTTCTCCATCTAGGTCCCTAGGTCTCTCAACCTGTGTGCATCTACGTGGCCTTATCAGATACACCTACATACAAACCAAAGGCAATAGAGGAAGGAAATTTGGTTATATTTTTTAGTAGTACTGAGGAATCTCTGCTTTCTTGGATTCTCAGACTAAACAGCCATGGAACTGTTGATTTTAGAAACTGCTTATTGGAAAGAGTTCTTTGGTATGACTGTTTTTTGTTATTATACTTTAAGTTTTAGGGTACATGTGCACAACGTGCAGGTTTGTTACATATGCATACATGTGCCATGTTGGTGTGCTGCACCCATTAACATGTCATTTAGCATTAGGTATATCTCCTAATGCTATCCCTCCCCCTTCCCCCTTCCTGTCCCCGGTGTGTGATGTTCCCCTTCCTGTGTCCATGTGTTCTCATTGTTCAATTCCCACCTATGAGTGAGAACATGCGGTGTTTGGTTTTTTGTCCTTGCGATAGTTTGCTGAGAATGATGGCTTCCAGCTTCATCCATGTCCCTACAAAGGACATGAACTCATGATTTTTTATGGCTGCATAGTATTCCATGGTGTATATGTGCCACATTTTCTTAATCCAGTCTATCATTGTTGGACATTTGGGTTGGTTCCAAGTCTTTGCTATTGTGAATAATGCCGCAATAAACATACATGTGCATGTGTCTTTATAGCAGCATGATTTATTGTCCTTTGGGTATATACCCAGTAATGGGATGGCTGGGTCAAATGGTATTTCTAGTTCTAGATCCCTGAGGAATCGCTACACTGACCTCCACAATGTTTGAACTAGTTTACAGTCCCATCAACAGTGTAAAAGTGTTCCCAATTTCTCCACATCCTCTCCAGCACCTGTTGTTTCCTGACTTTTTAATGATTGCCATTCTAATTGGTGTGAGATGGTATCTCATTGTGGTTTTGATTTGCATTTCTCTGATGGCCAGTGATGGTGAGCATTTTTTCATGTGTTTTTTGGCTGCATAAATGTCTTCTTTTGAGAAGTGTCTGTTCATGTCCTTCGCCCACTTTTTGATGGGGTTGTTTTTTTCTTGTAAATTTGTTTGAGTTCATTGTAGATTCTGGATATTAGCCCTTTGTCAGATGAGTAGGTTGTGAAAATTTTCTCCCATTTTGTAGGTTGCCTGTTCACTCTGATGGTAGTTTCTTTTGCTGTGCAGAAGCTCTTTAGTTTAATTAGATCCCATTTGTCAATTTTGGCTTTGGTTGCCATTGCTTTTGGTGTTTTAGACATGAAGCCCTTGCCCATGCCTATGTCCTGAATGGTAATGCCTAGGTTTTCTTCTAGGATTTTTATGGTTTTAGGTCTAACGTTTAAGTCTTTAATCCATCTTGACTTGATTTTTTATAAGGTGTAAGGAAGGGATCCAGTTTCGGCTTTCTACATATGTCTAGCCAGTTTTCCCAGCACCATTTATTAAATAGGGAATCCTTTCCCCATTGCTTGTTTTTCTCGGGTTTGTCAAAGATCAGATAGTTGTAGATATGCGGTGTTATTTCTGAGGGCTCTGTTCTGTTCCATTGATCTATATCTCTGTTTTGGTACCAGTACCATGCTGTTTTGGTTACAAGCATTCTTATACACCAACAACAGACAAACAGAGAGCCAAATCATGAGTGAACTCCCACTCACAATTGCTTCAAAGAGAATAAAATACCTAGGAATCCAACTTACAAGGGATGTGAAGGACCTCTTCAAGGAGAACTACAAACCACTGCTCAAGGAAATAAAAGAGGATACAAACAAATGGAAGAACATTCCATGCTCATGGGTAGGAAGAATCAATATCGTGAAAATGGCCATACTGCCCAAGGTAATTTACAGATTCAATGCCATCCCCATCAAGCTACCAATGACTTTCTTCACAGAATTGGAAAAAACTACTTTAAAGTTCATATGGAACCAAAAAAGAGCCCGCATCGCCAAGTCAATCCTAAGCCAAAAGAACAAAGCTGGAGGCATCACACTACCTGACTTCAAACTATACTACAAGGCTACAGTGCCACATTTTCTTAATCTAGTCTATCATTATTGGACATTTGGGTTGGTTCCAAGTCTTTGCCATTGTGAATAATGCCACAATAAACATATGTGTGCATGTGTCTTTATAGCAGCATGATTTATAATCCTTTGGGTATATACCCAGTAATGGGATGGCTGAGTCAAATGGTATTTCTAGTTCTAGATCCCTGAGGAATCGCGACACCGACTTCCACAATGGTTGAACTAGTTTGCAGTCCCACCAACAGTGTAAAAGTATTCCTATTTCTCTACATCCTCTCCAGCACCTGTGGTTTCCTGACTTTTTAATGATCGCCATTCTAACTGGTGTGAGACGGTATCTCATTGTGGTTTTGATTTGCATTTCTCTGATGGCCAGTGATGATGAGCATTTTTTCATGTGTTTTTTGGCTGCATAAATGTCTTCTTTTGAGAAATGTCTGTTCATACCCTTCGCCCACTTTTTGATGGGGTTGTTTGTTTTTTTTCTTGTAAATTTGTTTGAGTTCATTGTAGATTCTGGATATTAGCCCTTTGTCAGATGAGTAGGTTGTGAAAATTTTCTCCCATTCTGTAGGTTGCCTGTTCACTCTGATGGTAGTTTCTTTTGCTGTGCAGAAGCTCTTTAGTTTAATTAGATCCCATTTGTCAATTTTGGTTTTGGTTGCCATTGCTTTTGGTGTTTTAGACATGAAGTCCTTGCCCATGCCTATGTCCTGAATGGTATTGCCTAGGTTTTCTTCTAGGGTTTTTATGGTTTTAGGTCTAACATTTAAGTCTTTAATCCATCGTCAATTAATTTTTGTATGAGGTGTAAGGAAGGGATCCGGTTTCAGCTTTCTACATATGGCTAGCTAGTTTTCCCAGCACCATTTATTAAATAGGGAATCCTTTCCCCATTTTTTGTTTTTGTCAGGTTTGTCAAAGATCAGATGGTTGTAGATGTGTGGTATTATTTCTGAGGGCTCTGTTCTGTTCCATTGGTCTATATCTCTGTTTTGGTACCAGTACCATGCTGTTTTGGTTACTGTAGCCTTGTAGTATAGTTTGAAGTTAGGTAGCATGATGCCTCCAGCTTTGTTCTTTTGGCTTAGGATTGACTTGACAATGCGGGCTCTTTTTCGGTTCCATATGAACTTTAAAGTCGTTTTTTCCAATTCTGTGAAGAAAGTCATTGGTAGCTTGATGGGGATGGCATTGAATCTATAAATTACCTTGGGCAGTATGGCCATTTTCAAGATATTGATTCTTCCTACCCATGAGCATGGAATGTTCTTCCATTTGTTTGTATCCTCTTTTATTTCCTTGAGCAGTGGTTTGTAGTTCTCCTTGAAGAGGTCCTTCACATCCCTTGTAAGTTGGATTCCTAGGTATTTTATTCACTTTGAAGCAATTGTGAATGGGAGTTCATTCATGATTTGGCTCTCTGTTTGTCTGTTATTGGTGTATAGGAATGCTTGTGATTTTTGCACATTGATCTTGTATCCTGAGACTTTGCTGAAGTTGCTTATCAGCTTAAGGAGATTTTGGGCTGAGACAATGGGGTTTTCTAGATATACAATCATGTCATCTGCAAACAGGGACAATTTGGCTGTCTCTTTTCCTAATTGAATACCCTTTATTTCCTTCTCCTGCCTGATTGCCCTGGCCAGAACTTCCAACACTATGTTGAATAGGAGTGGTGAGAGAGGGCATCCCTGTCTTGTGCCAGTTTTCAAAGGGAATGCTTCCAGTTTTTGCCCATTCAGTATAATATTGGCTGTGAGTTTGTCATAGATAGCTTATTATTTCGAGTTACATCCTATCAATACCTAATTTATTGAGAGTTTTTAGCATGAAGGGTTGTTGAATTTTGTCAAAGGCCTTTTCTGCATCTATTGAGATAATCATGTGGTTTTTGTCTTTGGTTCTGTTTATATGCTGGATTACATTTATTGATTTGCGTATATTGAACCAGCCTTGCATCCCAGGGATGAAGCCCACTTGATCATGGTGGATAAGCTTTTTGATGTGTTGCTGGATTCGGTTTGCCAGTATTTTATTGAGGATTTTTGCATCAATGTTCATCAAGGATATTGGTCTAGTATGACTACTAATCATCAACTTGTCACAGTGTACAGTATTTGATCCACAGAAGACCCAAATTAAATATCAATGCCCCTTTGGGAGTGTGTGAAAAGGGGCATTGATATTTAATTTATACTGAAAAGGAAAACTTTATATCCATTTTGTTAACAGTGAAACTGTTGCTTCTGTGGAAGCATTAAAAATATAAAGGGCAGTGGCAACCCTGCTTGGTTTTATGATGATTAGTGTTGAGCTTCCCTGAATAATATGCCTCTGCCCCAAACTATTGCAGAAATTGTGATTAGGGGGAATCCCTCATGCATAGGTTCCCAGTATGATACTTTTAGTGAGAAAACAAGGATTCGAATATACAGAATGCCAAGGCAGATTTGTTCTCACAGCTACCGATAATGGGTTTTATCAATAAAAAGAAAGTTTAAGCTGTTCAGAAGAAAGCTAATGGGCTGGGGTGAAGATACTGACCAGAATAAGAGAAATAAACATTTAATGAGGTAGAATGATCTTTAAAAATTTTTTGAAGGGCAAGTGAAGGGAGAAAATAGAGAAGGAAGAAATTGACGGGATCCCTACAAAGGGTTTGACAGCACATTAACAATAGCTTACAGAAGGGAAACCTACTCTAGCTCCTGCATCCAGCTCACCTAAGCTACCCTATCAGATCTGTTCCAGTTATCCCAGCCTGGAGGAGTTTAAAGGCAGCAATGATGAAAAAAATAGGAAAATACAGTGTGTTTAGCACAGGGTAATGATTTTAACTTGTCTATTAAGGTTGTGGGTAAAAGGATAAATAATGAGGGAAGGATGGGCACAGTGGCACATATCTATAATCCCAGCACTTTGGGAGGCTGAGGTAGGAAGATCACTAGAGCTCAGGAGTTCATGACCAGCCTAGTGAGACCTCTTCTCTACAAAAAATAGAAAAAATTATTCAGGTGTGGTGGTGCGCACCTGTAGCCCCAGCTACTCAGGAGGCTAAGGTGGGATCACTTGAGCCTGGGAAGTCAAGGCTACAGTGATCCATGACGGCACCACTGCACTCTAGCCTGGGCAACAGAATGAAACCCTGTCTGAAAAAAAAAAAAAAGAAAAAGAAAAAGAAAAACTTGAGAGAGAAGAAATCCTCATATGACCCCTGGCGGGGGGTCCAAGGTTGTATAATATAAGTTAATGTTGAGTGGCAGATGATAGTGGAAACCTTTTTTGGAATTATTGGATGTACCATAATGATGGTGCAAAATGTACCATAATAGCAGGGGAATAAAAAGACAATATTAAGGTATGAAAATGGAAGTTTGGAGCATATCGAAATATTACAGTAGATAACACCAGAATCACTGTGAAGCTACAGATGAAGAAATAAAAAACAAAAATCAAATTCCTGCCTTTACCTGTGTTGATGGAAAGCCAAACTCAGTAAAATATTTTAAGACATTTACTCTGAGCCACATGTGAGGACCATCACCTGTGACATACCCCCAGAGGTCTGAGAACATGTACCCAAGGCCACTGGGTTACAACTTGATTTTATACATTCTAGGGAGACATAAGGCATCAGTCAATACATGTCAGGTATATATTGGCTTGGTCCAGAAATGTGGGAGAATTTGAAGTTCTGGTGGGGAGGGGTTTATAGGTCATGGGTAGATTCAAAGATTTTCTGATTGATAATTGCTTGAAAGAGTTGAGTTATTATCTAAAGACCTGGAATCAACAGAAAGGAGTGTCTGGGTTAAGATAAGGGATTGTGGAGACCAAGGTTCTTATTATGTAGATGAAATCTCATAGGTGGCCGCCCTTAGAGGCAATAGATGGCAAATGTTTTTTCTATTTAGACATTTAAAAGGTGCTAGACTCTCAGCTAATCTCTTTAGGATCACAAAAACACCTGGAAAGGGAAGGAGATTCTCTACAGAATGCAAATTTGTCCATAAGAAACAGCTTTGCAGGGACATCTCAAAATATTTTGGGGTAAAATACTTTGATACTTCCAGGGCCTGCTATATCTGTTGTGTGATGCTATACTAGAGTAAGGTTGGAATTTGGTATCGTACTGCTACAAAGAGTCTGCTTTTTCAGTCTTAAGATCTCTGTTTTAATATTAATGCTGATCAGTTGTGCCTGAATTCCAAAGGAGGAGAGTATAATGAGGGATGTTTGACTCCCCACTTCCCATCATGAGCTTAACTAGTTTTTCAGGTTTCTTTGACATCCCCTTGACCAAGAGGAGGGGGTCCATTCAGTTGGTTGCAGGTGCTTAGAATTTTGTTTTTGGTCTACACCTGAATATGTAATGAGAATGGATGTGATGAAAGGTCTTGTCCTTACCAGCTTAAAGCCAAGCAAAATGTCTTTAAAAGGTAGAGAAGTCTGCCCTCCACTTGGTTTTAATTAGTCAGGCAATATAGAAGCCTTGAGACTCGCACAGACCCTCCTTTGTAGTAAATAATCAGGCAGTGTCAGATTCTGGAAGGACACAAGAAATCTTATCTTTCATTAAGAAACAATGGGAGGGAGAGTGCTAATCCCCACTAATGCTTTCTATTAATCCTATGTGGCCCAGGAGAAAAAGAACAGGCTTTGGAAAGAACAGTTAACTATCATGTTTTAAATAAGGTAGTTTCCATGATTTAAACAAGTGTCTGTTGTGCTAGGCATTGCACAAGCTGTACAAGAGGTCCAGCAAGATAAATTTGACTTTTTTTTGTGCTAGATTAGGCTAATGCTATCCTTTTGATCTCACTCAGAGAAGTCAAGCACAGTTTGCTGTTACATGAGAAGGAATGTAATATATCTTTAGGGTCCTTCCCCAAGGATAACCAACTGCTCCAACTCACTGCTACAATTTGGTGAGATTATCATCATTATCATCATCAAAATGAAGTTAATTCATTATATTGACACTGTGAGGATTTCCTGCTTTGAGGAAAAAACTCAAGGAGAGTTGAGGGCTACAGTGGCAAATAAGACTAGTGGGATGGTTAATCAATCTAGCTGAGATTCAGACTTTAGCCCAGTCCATAAAATTTCTAAAAATAACTTTGGGCCACCAGAGATATTCCACAAACAGTATTATGTTCCCTTTAGGACCCTGCCAATAGAAAGAAGACACAATATCTTGAGGGACTGTTTGACGAGCTGTGAAAATTTGTAATGGGCAGTGGCCCAAGTATGCTACTGGGACCTTAGGATTCTAGCACATTCACACATGATTTTAGAAGTTTCTGACACTGGAATACAGTACATGCAAACCACCTTGTGGCAGCCACTGAGATTTTTTTTAACTCAAGAAGTTCCTGATAATGGGGCTAGAGAGCCCACTTGCTGGCATGCTACTGGACTCCACTGAAATCAGTCCCCATAACTTAAGAGCATCAAATTATATTAAGACTTGAACTAACTGTTATATCACAAGTGATATAAAAATTAGGTTGTAATAAAGAGGAAGCTGCACAACACAATTTTCAAAAGGATTCATGTCAGGAGAGGTGTCTCTGGGGAGTTATAATTCATATGTGAGCAGGTGGCATCCTTGCTTTAGAACTAACTAATTAGGAGACCCCTTCTGTTGCTGAATGATCTAAACCTCATGACTCTCCACCAAATAGAACGAGTTTCTCGGTTTGTCCATGAGAGTTCCTGTATAGCAGGAATGCCAATATAAAAGTCTGCTATTATTTGCCTATGCCCAGTAAAAACTCAGTCAAATAACACAAGGTAAGTTCAGGCAATGGGCTGAGAGCAATGTTCATGACAGTGGAGGAAGAACCACTTAGTTGTTTACCTCAGGGCAATGTTTGGATATTTACAGAGTCAGATAGTAACCAATAGTCTAGCTATGTGGTCAGGAATTTGATTTTTTTCATTATACTTTAAGTTCTAAGGTACATGTGCACGACGTGCCGGTTTGTTACATATGTATACATGTGCCATGTCGCTGTGCTGCAGCCTTTAACTCGTCATTTACATTAGGTATATCTCCTAATGCTATCCCTCCCCACTCCCCCAACTCCATGACAGGCCCCGGTGTGTGATGTTCCCCATCCTGTGTCCAAGTGTTCTCATTGTTCAATTCCCACCTGTGAGTGAGAACATGCGGTGTTTGGTTTTCTGACCTTGCGATAGTTTGCTCAGAATGATGGTTTCCAGCTTCGTCCATGTCATCCTTTTTTATGGCTGCATAGTATTCCATGGTGTATATGTGCCACATTTTCTTAATCCAGTCTATCATTGATGGACATTTGGGTTGCTTCCAAGTCTTTGCTATTGTGAATAGTGCTGCAATAAACATACGTGTGCATGTGTCTTTACAGCAGCATGATTTATAATCCTTTGGGTATATACCCAGTAATGGGATGGCTGGGTCAAAAGTCCCACCAACAGTGTAAAAGCATTCCTATTTCTCTACATCCTCTCCAGCACCTGTTGTTTCCTGACTTTTTAATGATCGCCATTCTAACTGGTGTGAGATGGTATCTCATTGTGGTTTTGATTTGCATTTCTCTGATGGCCAGTGATGATGAGCATTTTTTCATGTGTCTTTTGGCTGCATAAATGTCTCCTTTTGAGAAATGTCTGTTCATATCCTTCGCCCACTTTTTGATGGAGTTGTTTGATTTTTTTCTTGTAAATTTGTTGAAGTTCTTTATAGATTCTGGACATTAGCCCTTTGTCAGATGGGTAGATTGTAAAAATTTTCTCCCATTCTGTAGGTGGCCTGTTCACTCTGATGGTAGTTTCTTTTACTGTGCAGAAGCTCTTTAGTTTAATTAGATCCCATTTGTCAATTTTGGCTTTTGTTGCCATTGCTTTTGGTGTTTTAGACATGAAGTCCTTGCCCATGCCTATGTCCTGAATGGTATTGCCTAGGTTTTCTTCTAGGGTTTTTATGGTTTTATGACTAATATTTAAGCCTTTAATCCATCTTGAATTAATTTTTGTATAAGGTGTAAGGAAGGGATCCGGTTTCAGCTTTCTACATATGGCTAGCCAGTTTTCCCAGCACCATTTATTAAATAGGGAATCCTTTCCCCATTTCTTGTTTTTGTCAGGTTTGTCAAAGATCAGATGGTTGTGGATGCGTGGTATTATTTCTGAGGGCTCTGTTCTGGTCCATTGATCTATATCTGTGTGTTGGTACCAGTACCATGCTGTTTTGGTTACTGTAGCCTTGTAGTATAGTTTGAAGTCAGGTAGCGTGATGCCTCCAGCTTTGTTCTTTTGCCTTAGGATTGACTTGACAATGCAGGCTCTTTTTCGGTTCCATATGAACTTTAAAGTCGTTTTTTCCAATTCTGTGAAGAAAGTCATTGGTAGCTTGATGGGGATGGCATTGAATCTATAAATTACCTTGGGCAGTATGGCCATTTTCAAGATATTGATTCTTCCTATCCATGAGCATGGAATGTTCTTCCATTTGTTTGTATCCTCTTTTATTTCCTTGAGCAGTGGTTTGTAGTTCTCCTTGAAGAGGTCCTTCACATCCCTTGTAAGTTGGATTCCTAGGTATTTTATTCACTTTGAAGCAATTGTGAATGGGAGTTCATTCATGATTTGGCTCTCTGTTTGTCTGTTATTGGTGTATAGGAATGCTTGTGATTTTTGCACATTGATTTTGTATCCTGAGACTTTGCTGAATTTGCTTATCAGCTTAAGGAGATTTTGGGCTGAGACGATGGGGTTTTCTAGATATACAATCATGTCATCTGCAAACAGGGACAATTTGGCTGTCTCTTTTCCTAATTGAATACCCTTTATTTCCTTCTCCTGCCTGATTGCCCTGGCCAGAACTTCCAACACTATGTTGAATAGGAGTGGTGAGAGAGGGCATCCCTGTCTTGTGCCAGTTTTCAAAGGGAATGCTTCCAGTTTTTGCCCATTCAGTATGATACTGGCTGTGGGTCTGTCATAAATAACTCTTATTATTTTGAGATATGTCCCATCAATACCTAGTTTATTGAGAGTTTTTAGTATGAAGGACTGTTGAATTTTGTCAAAGGCCTTTTCTGCATCTATTGAGATAATCATGTGGTTTTTGTCTTTGGTTCAGTTTATATGATGGATTACGTTTATTGATTTGCATATGTTGAACCAGCCTTGCATCCCAGGGATGAAGCCAACTTGATCGTGGTGGATAAGCTCTTTGATGTGCTGCTGGATTCAGTTTGCCAGTATTTTATTGAGGATTTTTGCATCCATGTTCATCAGGGATATTAGTCTAAAATTCTGTCTCTTTGTTGTGTCTCTGCCAGGCTTTGGTATCAGGATGATGCTGGCCTCATAAAATGAGTTAGGGAGGATTCCCTCTTTTTCTATTGATTGGAATAGTTTCAGAAGGAATGGTACCAGCTCCTCTTTGTACCTCTGGTAGAATTCAGCTATGAATCCATGTGGTCCTGGGCTTTTTTTTGGTTGGTAGGCTATTAATTATTGCCTCAATTTTAGAGCCTGTTTTTGGTGTATTCAGGGATTCAACTTCTTCCTGGTTTAGTCTTAGGAGGGTGTATGTGTTGAGGAATTTATCCATTTCTTCTAGGTTTTCTATTTTATTTGCATAGAGGTGTTTATAGTATTCTCTGATGGTAGTTTGTATTTCTGTGGGATCAGTGGTGATATTCCCTTTATCATTTTTTATGACGTCTATTTGATTCTTCTCTCTTTTCTTCTTTATTAGTGTTGCTAGCAGGCTATCAGTTTGGTTGATCTTTTCAAAAAACCAGCTCCTGGATTCACTGATCTTTTTTGAAGGGTTTTTTGTGTCTCTATCTTCTTTAGTTCTGCTCTGATCTTAGTTATTTCTTGCCTTCTGCTAGCTTTTGAATGTGTTTGCTCTTGCTTCTCCAGGTCTTTTAATTGTGATGGTAGGGTGTCAATTTTAGATCTTTCCTGCTTTCTCTTGTGCACATTTAGTGCTATAAATTTCCCTCTACACACTGCTTTAAATGTGTCCCAGAGATTCTGTATGTTGTGTCTTTGTTCTTATTGCTTTCAAAGAACATCTTTATTTCTGCCTTCATTTTGTTATGTACCCAGTAGTCATTCAGGAGCAGGTTGTTCAGATTCCATGTAGTTGAGCAGTTTTGAGTGAGTTTCTTAATCCTGAGTTCTAGTTTTTGATTGCACTGTGGTCTGAGAGACAGTTTGTTATAATTTCTGTTCTTTTACATTTGCTGAGGAGTGCTTTACTCCCAACTATGTGGTCAATTTTGGAATAAGTGCGATGTGGTGCTGAGAAGAATGTATATTCTGTTGATTTGGGGTGGAGAGTTCTATAGATGTCTGTTAGGTCTGCTTGGTGCAGAGCTGAGTTCAATTCCTGGATATCCTTGTTAACTTTCTGTCTCGTTGCTCTGTCTAATGTTGACAGTGGGGTTTTAAAGTCTCCCATTATTATTGTGTGGGAGTCTAAGTCTCTTTATAGGTCTCTAAGGACTTACTTTATGAATCTGGGTGCTCCTGTATTGGGTGCATATATATTTAGGATAGTTAGTTCTTCTTGTTGAATTGATCCCTTTACCATTATGTAATGGCCTTCTTTGTCTCTTTTGATCTTTGTTGGTTCAAAGTCTGTTTTATCACAGACTAGGATGGCAACCACTGCTTTTTTTTGTTTTCCATTTGCTTGGTAGATCTTCCTCCATCCCTTTATTTGGAGCCTATGTGTGTCTCTGCACGTGAGATGGGTCTCCTGAATACAGCACACTGATGGGTCTTGACTCTTTATCCAATTTTCCAGTCTGTGTCTTTTAATTGGAGCATTTAGCCCATTTACATTTAAGGTTAATATTGTTATGTGTGAATTTGATCCTGTCATTATGATGTTAGCTGGTTATTTTGCTTGTTAGTTGATGCGGTTTCTTCCTAGCATTGATAGTCTTTACAATTTGGCATGTTTTTGCAGTGGCTGGTACTGGTTATTCCTTTCCACGTTTAGTGCTCCCTTCAGGAGCCATGTAAGGCTGGCCTGGTGGTGACAAAATCTCTCAGCATTTGCATGTCTGTAAAGGATTTTATTTCTCCTTCACTTATGAAGCTTAGTTTGGTCGGGTGTGAAATTCTGGGTTGAAAATTCTTTTCTTTACGAATGTTGAGTATTGGCCCCCACTCTCTTCTGGCTTGTAGAGTTTCTGCGGAGAGATCCACTGTTAGTCTGATGGGCTTCCCTTTGTGGGCAACCCGACCTTTCTCTCTGGCTTCCCTTAACATTTTTTCCTTCATTTCCACTTTGGTGAATCTGACAATTATGTGTCTTGGAGTTGCTCTTCTCACGGAGTATCTTTGTGGCATTCTCTCTATTTCCTGAATTTGAATGTTGGCCTGCCTTGCTAGATTGGGGAAATTCTCCTGGATAATATCCTGAAGAGTATTTTCCAACTTGGTTCCATTCTCCCTGTCACTTTCAGGTACACCAATCAGACATAGATTTGGTCTTTTCACATAGTCCCGTATTTCTTGGAGGCTTTGTTCATTTCTTTTTATTCTTTTTTCTCTACACTTCTCTTCTCGCTGCATTTCATTCATTTGATCTTCAATCACTGATACCCTTTCTTCCACTTGATCGTATCGGCTACTAAAGCTTGTGCATGCATTATGTAGTTCTCATGCCATGGTTTTCAGCTCCATCCAGTCATTTAAGGACTTCTCTACACTGTTTATTCTAGTTAGCCATTTGTCTAATCTTTTTTCAAGGTTTTTAGCTTCTTTGTGATGGGTTTGAACATCCTCCTTTAGCTCGGAGAAGTTTGTTATTACCGATCGTCTGAAGCCTTCTTCTCTCAACTCATCAAAGTCATTCTCCATGCAGCTTTGTTCTGTTGCTGGTGAGGAGGTGCGTTCCTTTGGAGGAGAAGAAGCACTCTGATTTTTTAGAATTTTCAGCTTTTCTGCTCTGGTTTCTCCCCATGTTTGTGGTTTTATCTACTTTTAGTCTTTGATGATGGTGATGTACAGATGGAGTTTTGGTATGGATGTCATTTCCGTTTGTTAGTTTTCCTTCTAACAGTCAGGACCCTCAGCTGCAGGTCTGTTGGAGTTTGCTAGAGGTCCACTGCAGACCCTGTTCGCCTCAGTATCACCAGCAGAGGCTGCAGAACAGCAAATATTGCAGAACAGCAAATGTTGCTGCCTGATTCTTCTTCTGGAAGCTTCATCTCAGAGGGGCACCCGGCCATATGAGGTATGAGTCAGCCCCTACTGGGAGGTTCCTCCCAGTTACGCTACTTGGGGGTCAGGGACCCACTTGAGGAGGCAGTCTGTCTGTTCTCAAATCTCAAACTCCATGCTGGGAGAACCACTACTCTCTTCAAAGCTGTCAGACAGGGACATTTAAGTCTGCAGAAGTTTCTGCTGCCTTTTCCTCAGGTATGCCCTGCCCCTAGAGGTGGAGTCCACAGGGGCACGCAGGCCTCCTTGAGCTGGGTGGGCTCCACCCAGTTTGAGTTTCCTGGCTGCTTTGTTTACCTACTCAAGCCTCAGCAATTGTGGATGCCCCTCCCCCAGCCTCGCTGGGGCCTTGCAGTTCGATCTTAGACCGCTGTGCTAGCAGTGAGTGAGGCTCAGTGGGCATGGGACCCTCTGAGCCATGTGCGGGATATAATCTCCTGGTGTGCCATTTGCTAAGAACATTGGAAAAGTGCAGTGTTAGGGTGGGAGTGACCCGATTTTCCAGGTACCATCTGTCACGGCTTCTCTTGGCTAGGAAAGGGAATTCCCCAACCCCTTGTGCTTCCCGGGTGAGGCGATGACCCGTTCTGCTTTGGCTCACCCTCCTTGGGCTGCACCCACTGTCCTGCACCCACTGTCTGACACTCCCCAGTGAGATGAACCTGGTACCTCAGTTGGAAATGCAGAAATCACCCATCTTCTGTGTCACTCACGCTGGGAGCTGCAGACTGGAGCTGTTCCTATTCGGCCATCTTGGAACCTTCCTGTTTGTTTTTTTTTTTAAGAAATGTTGTCTTTCTCTGTCACCCAGAGTGGAGTACAGTGGCACAATCATAACTCACTACAACCCTGAACTCCTGGGCTTGAGCACTCCTCCCACCTCAGCCTCTCAAGTAGCCAGGATTACAGGTATGAGCCACCATACCCAGGAGTCTGAGAATCTTGGTAAGTTAACATTAAGAATACCCCAGTGCAGGGGATTTGACTGTGGAAGGCCCTACGGGATTTCCAAGGAAGGATGATAGTGGGTCAAACAGATGCCCAAGATAAAAATCAAATTGATTCTGAAGATGAAGAAAATGTGAAGATGATCACCTGCCATTCCCTAGAAGTAGTCACCTTGGCAATTTCCAAAGCCATGCAAGAATGTGTGAAATAATTATATATTCCACCTGTTCCTTACCTAAGCCACTAATACGACAAGAGACCAATGAATGCTAACCCAAAAATAGCCATTTAAAAACACCATTTGGGAAAATCTCCTGGGCACAGAAGTCTGAGCATATGGGCCAGTGAACTATATAGGATTACTATTTGTAGCCCCCCCAGAGGATTCAAGTAAGCTTAACACATATGTCATCTTGAGCTAAGGCTGCAGCCACAAACACTATCAAGGACTTGGAACAGTGTATTATACAACCATTTGGTTCCCTATCATACATCTCACTGTACAAAAGAAGGTATTTTATGCAGCCACTGTGCAGAACTAGCCCTCTCCCCAGAAAGAATCCTAACATGATATGGTCATGTCAATATCATATTCCACCTATGGAGTAACTGTCAAATTACTTTTGACATGAGAACAGATAATTGAAATATTTATTATTGAAAATACAGTATAAAACATGGGATATGAAGGGCTGGCTGGCTCATTCAGGTGACTGTGTGCTCTGTCCACATACGAGGGGAAGTAAGGGAGAAACAGATTTAAAAAGGCTTTTTAGTGCTAGAGGAGGGAAGGAAGAGGTGGAGGATGCTGCTCTGCTAGAACTCTCTCTCTTTCTCTCTTGCATTTGGATGATCCAGTGGAAGAAAAAATTGCTGCCCAAGACACAACTTCTATTGCTTTGAACATATATGTACATATTTTTCAGGAAACCCCTATGCTGGGTAGTGACTTCATATCATGTGGCCAAACAAGGATTGGCTGTAAGTTCACCCATTTTTCCACTCACCCCATGTAGTGGGAATATAGCTATGTTGCACTTGACTGAGGCAGCCCTGCCACTTCTTCCCAAGAATGGACAAAAGGCAAGGCCCTGGCAAGTTTCCTACTGCTGTCTTCTTTATGGGTTGATGGTATGACTGAACCAGAGGCCCCTGCCTGGGAGACCACATCTATGTTCTGACAGGTGACAAATGGAAAAAAGGTGAAATATTAAGAGAAGGAAAACAGGAGAACAAGTAAATGATGACTCTGGGGAAAGTACTGTCACTCTTAGCCCCCTAGAGTGTCTCAGGGTGAGAAAATAATACACCTGTGGCTCAGGTGTAAGGACACATCATGGTTGATGATGGAATAAATCTTCAGAACTGTTCTCCTCCCAAATCAAATTAAAGCTGATTTCCATGACTCAGGATCCCTGAACCCCTGCCTGAATGGTTGCAGATTGGCACTGTTTTTTCGGTTGTGATTTATGGGTTATGCTTATTTTTCTAGTTCTTTTCTAGGTACTCTATGTGGTTTCCTAGCCTTCATTGGGACCAGGGATGTGCCTTAGGCTTCTCTCACTGCTTCCAGGGGCAGTTGAGGCTTCAGGCAGCCTACACGATGCTTTTTTGTTAATTAGAAAAAGATGCACTCCTTACTCTAAACAGACACAGTCCTGCACCACAGTTTATTTGGAGCAAGTGCCAATCTTTAGCCTTCACCTTAGCCTTCCTTCAGGGCCCCTTTGGTAGGACACAACTCATATAACTATACTCAGTGATCCTGGGGCCTGATGTCTTATTTCAGAATGCCAACCTTGCTGGAAATTGTGTGTGTTTGTTTCTTCCTGGTGCTGACTGCACCTAGCTGAATCTCCAAGTTGTCTCTTATTTATAGATTTTCTATTACTGTCCTATACTTACCTGCTAGGTTCCCTGTATTAGTCAGAAGTCTTTCAGGTACAACCTATAGAAACCTTACCTCAAGCTGATTTAATTGATGAAAGAAATGCATTAGCTCATGCAACTAAAATAACCATATATTAATATAGATTTAGGCATGACTGGATTTGGTAGGTAATCAAATGAAATCCTTCAGAGCTGCTTCCACCCTAGTCAGCATTACCCTCTGGCAAGCTCTCACTTCCTACAGACAAGATGGCCCTAAAAACTCCCGGTCTAGATTGAAAGGTCTCATAATTTAGCCTCTTTTGGCTGATTTAAGTCAAGTGCTGAACTAATCTCTGTGTAAAGGGTCAGAGACTATGATGATTGGTCGGAGCTAGGATGTTTGTGAACCCTTCCTGCATAAAGTTGGCAGAGAGGGCATTAGTTCCTCTATCACTCACCTGTTGCTGCAAAACAAACCATTCCATATGTTGTGGCCTAAAATAACAATTTCTTATAAGTAGGTGGGTTTGCTGAGCTCAGGCAGGCAGTTTTTCTGCTGGTTTTTCTGGAGGTCTCCTATACAGCTGCATTCAGTTGGAGCTTGGCTTGTGCTGGAGTATTCAGGTTGACCTCTCATCACAGTGCTCCTCTCCAAGGAGCTTCTAATCAGTCAGTCGTTTGACTTAGACTTCTTCATAGCATGGCAATTGGGCTCCAAGAAGGAGGATGCAAAAGTTTCCAGTCCTCTTAAAGCCTGGTTCAGGAGACCCAGAATATCTCTTCTGATAATATGTATTCATTAAGGCAAATTATAAGGTCAACACGGAGACTTCGCCTCTTCTTGCGAGGCGCAGCACACAGAGATGAGAATTGTTAGTGAACTACCACAGTTCCCCTAAGAAAAACCAAAGTCATGTTACAGTGGGAAGGACAGTTAAAAGACCACATCAGGGCTGGGCACGGTGGCTTACGCCTGTAATCTCAGCACTTCGGGAGGCGGATGCAGGTGGATCACGAGGTCAGGAGTTCAAGACCAGCCTGACCAACATGGTGAAACCCTGTCTCTACTAAAAATACAAAAATTAGCTGGGCGTGGTGGTGCACACCTGTAATCCCAGCTACTCAGCAGCCTGAGGCAGGAGAATCACTTGAACCTGGGAGGTGGAAGTTGCAGTGAGCCGATATCGCACCACTGCACTCCAGCCTGCGCGACAGAGCAAGACTGTCAAAAAAAAAAGAAAAAGAAAAGAAAAAAAAATCAGTCCCTGTCACTCTCTGTTGGACGCTCTGATGCTTATTACTGGTCTGTACCCTATTCCTGTTTCTGTTCATCCAGTTGTTGGACCACACGTTCTGCTGACTGGAAGGGGCATCCTCCTTTTGTCTGCAGCTCGGACTTTCAATTTGGGACAATCCTAGAACCTGATGCCTCTAAAATTACTGTGTCTTTTTTCAGCTAATCAGGCCAGTCTTGGTATGTCCAAGGATAGTAGAGATAAATTTTTGTAAATATTGTTAAATTCCAGAATATAATGGCCAAGGGACATGATGAAATGTCCCTCACTGGCAGCAAGAAATGTGGTGTTGTTATTAAATAGGTGTTTGGGGATCATTTTGCCAAAGGGGATGGACTGGGTTTTTCTAAGTCTGATCTATGATTCTATGGAATGCTATTGTGCAATGATTCTCAAAGTATGGTTTCTGGACCAGCTGCATTAATAGCATGTGAGACCTGTTAGAAATGCAAATTTTGGGGCCCCAACATTAACTTACTGAATCAGAAATTCTGAGGGTGGGACCAACCATCACCTTGTGTTTAACAAGGTGATTCTTATGCATGCTGAAGTTTAAGAAGAATGGCTGTCCAAAGTCATTATCTTTCAGATTGTTTTCACCTTCAGGATCCTACATACAGATGACACTAGAAAGATCTGTCTCCACTAAGTTTACTTTTCTGTGCTAATAATAGTTATGAGACCACCATTTAGATTAAGGTTAACTAAAGAAGCCTTGATGGGTGTTTGTGACACTGGTAATATCCTCAGAGGATACTCTTTCCATTCCTATTATTTTAGCAAATATTTATCTTTAGCCTGACAGTTCTTGACTTCCCATGGTCTAGATGTAATGTTAACTTAGACAAAAATCACAAAGGAGAACTCTGAAGGTCCTTGAGGATGTTACTGCATCCTCTATCTGGATTTCCTGGAGTAAAATTTACTGTTGGCTTAACTGGTTTTAGGTAGGTTGACTGTAGGTGGAGGCTTATGTTTCAATCAATACCTTTGATCTGTAAGGCACCTTGAAATATGTAGTGTGGAATATGGTATGAAAATGTCAGCCAGGCACGGTGGCTCACGCTGGTAATCCCAGCACTTTGGGAGGCCGGGGCGGGCAGATCCCTTGAGGTCACAAGTTCGAGACCAGCCTGGCCAAAATGGTAAAACCCCATCTCTAATAAAAATACAAAAATTAGCCAGGTATGATGGCACATGCCTGTAGTGCCAGCTACTCAGGAGGCTGAGGCAGGAGAATTGCTTGAACCTGAGAGGCTGATATTGCAGTGAGCCAAGATTGCGCCACTGTACTCCAGCCTGGGTGACAGAGCAAGACTCCATCTCAAAAAAAAAAAAAGAAAAAGAAAGAAAGAAAATGTCATGATCTCTGTCTTCTAGGGACTCATAACATGGTAGAGGAAATAAAACGTGCATAACAATTATATATAATGCAGATTGAGGGCTCTGAGAAAGGGTCCAAGGGCTACAGGAGTTCAAAAAATGCTTCATGGAGGAAGTCCCATTTCAGCTCAGTCCTGACTAGTTTTGATAGGCAGGAATATGAATGTGTTTGGGGTGCAGTCTACATTTGAGCATAAAGAGGAAGCTGAAGTCAAGAACTAGCAGGTGAATATTTATATCCCCAGCACCTCATTCCATAATTGGCACAGAGTAGATGCTCAATAAATATCATGTGTCCTGGTTCATAGACAAACCATTGACCCATTGGCTGAGTAGCAGATTTTTTTGTTTTTTGTTTTTGGGAAAAAAAAGAAGAAATAATATGTTAAATGTAAACATTGATTGGAAGATACATTCTGATTTCAAAAACCTTAAAATGTGAAAGGAAAGTGCTTTTCTGAATTTTGAAAACATGGTATTTAGTGAGTTTGAGCAGAGTAGAACTTTTGAGTACTCCAACAGAGGCATATGCAGCTGGAAAGGCAGATGGAATCAGATTATGGAAGACCCAGGACTCTAGGATAACACTTTTGATTTTTCAGAAGGAATCACGGGAGGATTTTTGAACAGGTAGTCTGCTGTAGGAGAAGTAATAGAGTCAATAAGAAAATTATAACTGCTTTGTATGAATAGCAACAGAGAAAAAAAGAACAAGAACGTATTGAGCACTTACATTAAGACAGGAAGTATGCATATGCTAAGTTCATTTTTTAAAAAATTAAACAATGTTAACATTTTGCCTTTTCCTCCCAATGTACTTGTGTATGTACATGTGTGTATTTGTGTGTGTGTGCTGCATCATATGTATATATATTTGATACAGAATATTTGTACATATTTATGGAGTACTTGTGGTATCTTGTTACATGTCTAGAATGTGTAATGGTCAAGTCAGGGTATTTAGGATATTCATCACCTCAAGTATGTATCATTTCTATATATTGGGAATATTTCATGTCTTCTGTTTTGAAACATGCAATACACTATTGTTAACTATAGTCACCCTACTCTGCTGTCAAACATTAGAACTTATTCCTTATATGTAACTGTATGTTTGTACCCATTAACCAACCTCACTTCATCCTCCTTACCATTCCAAGCCTCTGGTATCTATCATTCTACTCTCTGCTTCCATGAAATCAACTTTTTTAGCTTCCAAATATGAGTGAAAACATGGATATTTGTCTTTCTGTGTGCCTGGCTTATTTCACTTAACACAATGACCTCTGGTTCCATCCAGAGTGTTGTTGCAAATGATATGATTTCATTCTTTTTAATCGCCAAATAGCATTTCATTGCTGAATTATTATGAATGTTATTTAATCTCAGCCAATTTGAACAGATATTGTCTATCCCCTCTTACTGATCAGGAACCCAAATTTAGGGAGGATTAAAAACTCTTCCCAACACTATGTTGCTAGTGAATGATGACACTGTTTACCTTCAAACAAAGTGTAAAAAATAGTTACATATTTAATATGGACATTCTGTTTTCCTTTCTAATAGCACTGTACTCCTTAGTTATACTAATTTCTTGAATCCAGAAACTAGTAATTGACTTATTTGGGAAAGAGGGAGATATTTTGAGAAACATTATCATTTTGATTTCAGTTAAGGTGATGTGTCAGAGATGGATGGCTGACCACCAAAGTTTTGTAATTGGCTTGTGTGGTAGAGGTGTGCAGGGGAAGCAGCTAGCCAACCAGAAACTAGAGTTTCCACTTCTTTTGCCTCTAGTTTTCTCACCAATAGAATTTGAGCAGAATTAAGTTGTGTCAATTCTGGTCAAACTTTCTTCTCCACATTCTTTTTCCTAATCCTCTGGTGGAATGAAGAGGATTTCTAAACCTTAGAGGAGAGAGGAAGCAACAAAATGGAAGGGGCTGTGCCTCTGACTGATCACGTGGAAAGCTACAAACCAACTGGAAACTCTGGGATTAGACATTACTTGAGCAAGAAAAAAAAACAACTCTATTACGCCATGGAGGTTTAGGAGTTTAGTTGTTCCTGGAGCAGGTATTAACTAATTTGTTGCTGATATGTTTGAATCAAAGTTAGGAAGCAAATAAATAGCAAATATGAAGAAAACGTGTTTATTTGGATTTGTGACTTGTATTAGTTATAAAGATTTGACTTATAATGGTATATAGTTTATATTAAAATGCCAAATGTATAGAAAATTTTAAAAAGCAGTAAGCTTTCCTTTTCACTCTTTGGATCTAAAAATATTGATCCAGTTCTAGTGTCTCTGCATTTAAAGAGTTTTGTCACATAAGGTCTCAGTGGTTTGATTAATTATTCTTCTGTGCTTAGCACCATGGTCTCTTCAGGTTTTCCAGTAGAGATGGACTATGTGGATAAACTAAAGCACTAGCTTTAGATAATTCTACTGGTTTTCTCCCTCTGATACCAATGAAAATCTACTGACACTCAGAAGCAATTAGAAAATCTATTGATATTCCCGAAGCAACTTAGAAAGATTTAATAACCAGAACCTCTTGATTATTAAACTAATTTTCCTCAACTTAGCAGTGGAAATGATCCCAGAACTTTATTTTTTTAGGCATATGTACTTGTCCTAGTAAACCTTTTAACACTGCAGTTTTTCTTCATACAACATTGGCCTTGTAAGCTATCGAGATGATTAAGCTTATCAAAATTTTGTTTGGTTCCCACTGTTTGGACTGACCCTACCCACATTATGTATGCCGTCTTGTTTCAATTATTTATTGTTTACTTGATGGCATTAGTTCTCTTTTAGAAATTTCTTTATTTTTAATAGACAATAATTGTATACATGTATGGGGTATAGTGTGAAGTTTTGAGGCATGTATACATTGTTTAATGATCAAATCGGGCTAATTAACATATCCATCATGTCACATACTTATTTCTTTGTGGTGAGAACATTTCAAGTCCACTCTTTTAGGACTTTAGAAATGTACAATACATTATAATTGACTATAGTCACCATGCTGTGCAAGAGATCAGTGGAAATTATTCCTCCTGTCCATCTGAAACTTTGTTGGGAGGGTTAATTCTTAAGCAGCTTTTCCTTCTCTGTTTCCCATGCTCCCTTGTAGAAATGGGATGTCAGCTTCTGCCCACAGCCAGGTCTTTTTAGAACTTGTGTATCATGCATGACTACACAGCAAAGGAATGAGGGAACCCTCTTTTCTCAGGCATCTACCGCAACTATCCTTCCCTAGACCTCCATAACCATTTATGCTAACACGTGTAAGTACATTTCTTTGGACAACTACCAGTAATTCAATCTGCTTTGAATATATTTCTCCCTCAACCATGGGTGTAACTTAGGATCATTTTGGAAGCTCCTATCTGCAAGTACCTAGGGATATATATCAAAATGAAAGGCAGAGGCTTTACATCACCTTGTCCAACCCATGGCTGGTGGGCAGCATGTAGCTCAAGACAGCTTCGAATGCGGCCCAAACCAAATTCGTAAACTTTCTCAAAACATTATGAAATGTGTGTGTGTGTCTGTGTATGTGTGTGTGTGTTTTAGCTCATCAGCTATCATTAGTGTTAGTGTATTTTATTTGTGGCCCAAGACAATTTTCCTTCCAATGTGGCCCAGGGAAGCCAAAAGATTGGACATCCCTGCCCTACATACTAAATAAATTCAGAGAAGGGGAAATCAGAGTGGTCTGCTGTAGCCAGGTTTTGATTCATGAAACAGATGAAACATGAGACCTGACGATGTGGAAAAAATTTCAATGGTCAGAGAGGACACTGGACATTGTGGGCAGGGGGCAGACATAAAGAGAAAAGGCACAGAAGGAGAGAAGTGAACATGACATGTTCAGAGTAGGATTGAAAAAAGAGTCTGGCAGGTGCCAGAGGCATGTAAGGGCGCCCTGGGAGATGAGAAAGCAGTGAGTGGCCTTCGATTGAGTGGGTCCATTTTCATTCAGGAGTGGAGCTACGTAAACAACAGTGACAGCTGACTGTGGTGAACTAGGAAGAGTATCTGGTATTGAAGTGTGGATTGCAGAGGGTAGATCCTGCAGACAGTGAGACCAGTTTGAATGTCACTGTGATCATCTGAGTATTGGGGATAGTAGCTAGCAACAGAAACACAATCCTTTAGGTAACTAAAGATTTTATAAATAATGAGATATAATGAACCAGAGTCCAAATGATTGTAAGAAGAACTATGATGCCACTGATAAAATCAAGGGACTCTGGGAAAACAGCTATTAATAGCTTGGTGAGGAAGTTTGGACATCTTGAATCTGATGTGGGACATTCAAGCTGAAGGGCTGGGTAGGCAACTGAAAATGCAAAAACTGGACCTCAAGTAAGAAGGCAGTGAAATGCTGAGTATGGAGATCTCTCTTTATGCTGAATAGCTTCCTTCTCCCACCCTAATCTTCCCTACGTTTTCTCCAACCTGCTCCACAGCCTAGAAGCCAGGTTTGGACCATCCAGTACATCAAGCTGAACTTTCTTGTCTTCTGGTTTTCAGTAGAGCTCAGCCAAAGGCAAGCACCGGCAACAGACTGAAGGGGTGAAGGAGAACATAGTTGAGGTGTCTCTCCTGGCTCCTTGTTTTGAGATCTGGCTGGGTCCCGGCTCAATGGAAAGTCACAGCTCCTAGCCATTAGCACATGAGAACACGCAGGCTATAGTGGCATCCTCAGGCTGGGGTATGTTCAAATCTTTCTTCCCCTTCAAGGGGACAGAAGCCAGCCCTTCCAACGTGCAGGGCTGATTTGAAGTAGAATGTTCAGATATTATAACAGACTGCCAGTGAGTCCTCAATGAGAGGAGAGCTTAGAGGGGAGAGATCAAGGAGTCCATAGAGAGTCTCATCCTACTGATGCTCTAGTGTTTCTCAGCTTGGGTAAAGCTTTGATAAGCCACTCGAGGAAAGTCACCTAACAGTTATTGCGCACCCACCACGTGCCAGGCAATGGGGCGCTTTCCCTAGTTTATCGTTTTTAACGACCAGTAGCCCTGGCCAGCGGTTTATAGCACGCGCTGAACCCTAGAGCAGGAAGCAAAAGGTGCAGAAGTTCTGTGGCAAGGCGGCTTCCCAGGGCGGGTGTGCTGGGGACCCACGCGGCACCGCGGGGAGGGGGCTCTGCGCGCTCAACCCCGTCCCTGGCATTATCCGCCGCCTCCACCCGCCGGCCTCCCGCAGCCTGGCCAGGGCCATGAGGACCAAGCAGGTGAACTTGCTGATCACCCTGGTCGCCGTCGCGTTGTTCAGCTTCTCTTGCTTCTCCATCTACAGGATAACTCAAACCAGTAAGCGGCGGGCCCTCCTCCCGCCTCCTTTCCCGCCGCGGGGGCTTCGGGGCTGCAGGAATGCAGGCGGGGCAGGGTCGGCGGGTGCGGAGGCGATGCGGGAAGCTGGCGGCGGCCGCCCGCGCTGGCACTGGGAGGCCCGCGTCGGTGCCTTCCCGAGGCCGCGCCTACCCCGGTCAGCGGCGGCTGGGCTGTAACCCGCGCCCCGACCTCCTCCTCCAGGGCCGCGTCCGGCCTGCACGCGCGCTAACGCATCTGGCCCAGGGTACCCGCCGCTCCCTTTTCCTCAAAGGTTCAAGGACCCCGTCTGTGCACTGCTTTTCCCCTCTCCTGTTCTTCCTTCTCGAAACTATGGCTGTCTGACCCCAAGAACTGCTCTTACACAGCCAGCATCTGTCCGCATCTTTCCTCCTTCGTGGTCTGGGTTACATCACCAGGCCCCGCTTCATGCCTCCCTCCTCCCTGGAGTGTTTTTTGCGTACCTGAAAAGAGGTGGTAGAAAGGAGAGGGACGTCCCTGACCACCTACAGCGCCGGCCCAGCGCCTGGACTTCTCCGATGGACCGCAGGCCTGTGTTCCGCTCCCACACACACTCAAGATGCAATTTCTCCTGGCCCATAGAAGTGCCAATTTAGGAAACAAAGGTACAGGTTGCCCAGTTTAATTTCAATTTCAGATAAACAATTATATATTAGTATAAAAAATTGCATGGGACATAATTATTCTAAAATATTTACGTCTTTTTTATTTTAATTTCAAATTTAACCAGGTATCCTATATTTGATCTTTTAACCCTAGTTGTCCGCGGTGTAAAATTTTAGCATTCAAGTAGTTAAATTTTTCAGTTTAAGACTTAGGAACCCTGTAAATTATGAACCCAGCCTTCCACGATTGCTCTTACGTTGTTTTCAGTTAAATTTTCGTTTATTTACACATGTATGACTTAAGTGCACACAAGGTAATCTTGGTAGGAGTGCTGAGGTTGAAGTTTGGGAGTGGCTTCATGTTTTAGCCCTCCAGTTAATACTAGATTTTATCATCATATACACAAAATATTCTATATCCTGCTTGTTTCAAAGATTAGGAATGCATATTAATTTATCTGCATTATAATATTTCTACTAATCTTTATAGTCATTTGACATAGTTTCCCTCCTCTTCATTTTCTATAAAGAACATCATCCAAATGTCTATTTTAGCACAATGAACAATAAGCACACTTATAACAAAAAATAAATGATTTCTTTTAATTAGAAAGCAAAATGTAAAGTTTTATAGTAATTTTTTTTTTAAGACAGAGTTTTCACTCTTGTTGCCCAGGCTGGAGTGTAGTGGCCACTGCACTGCAACCTGTGCCTCCCAGGTTCAAGCAATTCTCATGCCTCAGTCTCCTGAGTAGCTGGGATTACAGGCATGTGCCACCATGCCCGGATAATTTTTGTATTTTTAGTAGAGATAGGGTTTCACCATGTTGGGCAGGCTGGTCACAAACTCCTGCCCTCAGGTGATCCACCCACCTAGGCCTCCCAAAGTGCTGGGATTACAGGCATGAGCCACCACACCCAGCCTAGTAATTTTGGAAGGTAATTTAGAATGTTAACCTCAGAAGTTTTAATACCATTAATGATTTTATAATGAAACTGTAGACTTTGAGATCCTTACAATCATTTTGGTGTGTTTTCTGGTTATGACAGGGAAAAAGAAGTTCGATTCCTCAAAGCATTTATGTCATCATCATTCATATGTTCAAGTTCAGAAGCAAGATACTGTTCTTGAGAATGAAACACTCTTAAAATAACAGACAAATCAGATTTTTTCATTTTTTAGGTATGCCTTTCTGTGGAACTTAGCTCTAAAATAATTAGGATATCAATCCTATAATGAGCTGTTCTCACATCAACAAAAGAAAACACATACTTCACTTAGTTTCTGAAGTAATGATTTTTATAAAGCACCAGAGATAGTCCCAATGTCTTAAAAATTTAATCTATAGTTGTCATTCCTATCAGTGAAAATTTGGGAACGTTTATTAGAAAGATGGCCACCACCTAGTGCTTTATTTTTTCTCCCTCTTTAAAATTAACTAAATTTTGCCAGGCGCAGTGGGGTGGCTCACACCTGTAATCCCAACACTTTGGGAGACTGAGGCAGGTGGATCACAAGGTCAGGAGTTTGAGACCAGCCAGGCCAACATGGTGAAACCTAGTCTCTACTAAAAATACAAAAATTAGCTGGGCATGGTGGTGTGCCTGTAATCCCAGCTACTCAGGAGGCTGAGGCAGGAGGATTGCTTGAACCCAGGAGACAGAGGTTGCAGTGAGCCGAGATCACGCCACTGCCCTTCAGCCTGGGTGACAGAGCAAGACTCCATCTTGGAAAAAATAAAAACTAAAAAATAAATTAAATTAAATTAACAAAATTTTATGGATAGATAACCTTTTTGTTCATTTTTATGAGCTCATAGTATTAACAGTTCATAATTTGATGAACAAATATGCAAGCTCTGTGAGGACAGAACATACTTCCTGTTTTTACCTGTTCTGTTGTGTTCACTACTGTGTCCCAGCATGTGGAAAACTACATGGCATGTAATGAGCATGCTAAATATTGGATGAATAAATGAATGGTTGAAATAATGAAAGACTCAATGAGTTTAATAACTACCTATTCATGTTGTAGGCACCAAGTGAACGGCATCAAAGGACACCCCCTCCCTTTCATGAAGCTTACATTCTGCTTACGGGAAGTAAACAACAAACAAATGATATAATTACTATATGATATCAGGTGTTGGCAGGGTTAGGGAAAGGAAAGTGCTGTTTTAAAGGAAAGGGCTGTCAGAGAAGGATTACCTGAGCAAGTTATATTTGAATAGATTCTCAAATGAAACGAGGAAGCATCATGTGTGGATATCTGGGGGAAGAGTATTTCAGACAAAGGGAAAAGCAAGTACAAAGGCCCTGCGGTGGAATCTCCTTGATTTGTTCGAGAAACAGCCAGGAGGCCAATGTGAACAGGGGGGAGAGTGTTAGAAGTATTATATCATGGGGACCATAGTAAGGACTCTGCATTTTATTGTGAGTAAGATCGGAAGCCATCAGAGTTTTGTGCAGAAGAGTAACATGATCTCACACATACATTTAAATATTATTGGATGTGTGCTATGAAAGAAAGAAGAGAATTGCGGGATGCTCCAAGAATTTTTAATTTAAACTAGGGTTTCTCAACCTTAGCGCTGTTGACATTTTGGGTTGGGTAATTCTTTGCGGGGAGAGGGCAGTCCTATATATTGTAGAATGTTTAGCAGCATCCATGGGTTCTATCCAGGATATGCCAGGAGCAACACCCCCTCTCCCGTTGTGACAGTGTCTCCAGGCATTGGCAAATGTCTCCTGAGGGAGAAATCATCCCTGGTTGAGAATGAGTGGCTTAAATAATTAGATAAATGGAGCTGCCATTTACCGAAATAGCAAAGGCTGGGGTAGGAGCAGGTTTGGGGGTAAGGTCACTATTTCTCTTATGTATGAAGTGCTTATTAGAGATCCCAGTGAAAGTGTTGAATAGGCAGTTGGATATATCAGTCTGCATCAGGATTAGCAGTATAAAGTTGAGAACTGTTAGCATATAAAGCCATGAAATGGGATGAGATCCCCTAGGGAGTGAACAAAAGGAGTAAGTCTTGGGGAATTTCAGTATTTCAAAGTAAAGGAAAAGCTAGAAAACTGAAAGAGCTAAACCAAGAAGATATTTCAAAGAGGAGCGTGCAATAGTGTCAAATAATGCTGCGAGAACATTCTCTAGTAATGAAAAGCCATCTCACTCACAATCTTTGAAGTTATCATTCCCACATTCTTAGTGAATGCAGCAGGCCCTTGATCGCCAGAGTCTCAGTTTGAGTAGTACTTCATCCGGGTCACCTGGAGATGATAATTAAGGTAACTGTTTTGCCAGTGCCTGTCATGGAATTCTAGTGTCCTGTTTTCCATGGGCAGTGTGGTGGGTTGTCATTGCATTTAAGCTCAAGTACATCAGGTAACCAATTCCAGATTTTCTTCTTTGAGAGTGTTTCCTGGGTAATGCAACCACTCCAGGAGCCCCTAGTCATCTGCTAGCTACCTCCCTTGGAAAAGCCAACACTTGCCTGCCACTTCCATTGACAATCCTGGCCCTGTGGCTGGCCTGCTACTACTCTTGCCTCTGGCCACTGCCTCAATGTCTGACACCCCAGCAAAGGCTGGCAGTTTGGTGGAAGAATCACCAAAAGGAGAAATACTACCTCCTTTCATACACCCTCTATTTTAGCACAACTGCCTCCCATTGGCAAAATATAATGAGAATACCACTTGCAAGGAAATCTGGGACAAGCAACAGGTTTCCAGTTTGACCATACAAAGGAAATTTAGAGGGGCCTATAAAGACAGAGTGTCAACAGACACAATTTTTAGAAACTCTTGGAACAAAGAAAACTAAACAGCATCTTATATAGGGACATCCATAAGTATGATAAAATTACATTTTAAAAAATAAAGGAACAGGCCAGGCACGGTGGCTCATGCCTGTAATCTCAGCACTTTGGGAGGCCGAGGTGGGCAGATCACGAGGTCAGGAGATCGAGACCATCCTGGCTAACACAGTGAAACCCCATCTCTACTAAAAATACAAAAAATTAGCCGGGCATGGTCGTGGGCGACTGTAGTCCCAGCTACTGGGGAGGCTGAGGCAGGAGAATGGTGTGAACCCGGGAGGCAGAGCTTGCAGTAAGCCGAGATCGCACCACTGCACTCCAACCTGGGTGACAGAACGAGACTCCATCTCAGGAAAAAAAAAAAAAAAAAAAAAAAGTAAAGGAACAATAAACAGATACAGTTTGGGAGAGTACCGTAGTATCATCATGAGATGGGGTGGGAGAGGAATCAGAGGTGGTAGCCGAGGCATCGGGTAACTTTCAGTTATTAGCTTGAGTGATGAGCTATTAATTTTACATTATGTTGCGGAACTTACCTATGTATTACATGTCTTCTTTTGCATATATAACTTTTTAATCAGTTAAAAGAATTTGTATAGTGGGAATAAGGAAGCAAGAAAATGGAAATGATAGACATACAGTACCCAATTCACTTAAAGATGTAAAAACAATAAGAATGTATTTTTGAAAAAGTTCAACTTGGGATATAAATACAAATGACTTTTTATTTTTCCAGTAACTCCTCATATGTGTTCTATTGAGCCCCCTTCTCTGCTTAGATGTTTAGAGAGACAATGAAGACTTATTATGTGTCTTTTTTGGTCACTTTCGGTTATTCAGTCTCATTCCTGTTTTTAAAGAGCCTGTTTCATTATTTTTAAAACTTTAATCTCCTAGTCAACTTGAAACTTTCTTTTCCTTTCCCTGCTGGACAGGCAAGACTTGTGGTTCAAGGAAAATGGAATGGCAAATGAGAAAATGGCAAAACTTCCACAAACACTAGTGGCTTTAAACAATCAATTTTTTTTTTTTTTTTGAGACAGAGTCTTGCTCTGTCATCCAGGCTAGAGGGCGGTGGTGCAATCTTGGCTCACTGTAATCTCCACCTCCCAGGTCCAAGCAATTCTCCTGCCTCAGCCTCCTGAGTAGCTGGGACTACAGGCGCGTGCCACCACTCCCAGCTAATGTTTGTATTTTTCATAGAGACAGGTTTCACCATGTTGGCCAGGCTGGTCTCAATCTCCTGATCTCGAACAATCACTTATTTTAAACTCTTGATTTAGTAATCAGAAATTCACGAAGGGCTCCACTGGGCAGTTTATCTATAATCTGAGGTGGTGTCAACTGGGACATTTGGAGCTGAAGGCTCTACTACTAAGAAGTCTTTTTCCCTCACAGCTCCAGCATCTCTCTCTCCTCTCCCGACACAGTGGTGCATCCTCCAAAGCCTCTCCTCGTGGCTTGTGTTTGTTTCTCACAACATTGTGGTCTTAGCAATATTATACATTTTCCCCCCCACAAGGCAACTACCTTTTAAAAGGCAGGAAGTGGAAACTGCCAAGCCAGTTAAAGGCTGTACCCCAAGCTAGTACTGCATTACTTTTGCTATATATTACTATAGTGAAAGCAGTCATAGGGTGAACTCAGATTCAAGGAGGTAGAGAAATTGACTTCTTGATGACTGACTGGGAAGGTCAAAGTGCACAACACCATTTGACCTGGAGGCTATCTTTGGAGAAACAGTCTGCTGCACCCCCCTCCTCCTTTCTTGTGCTTCCCTTGTGGTACTAGGGTGGGAAAGAGCTGGGGGGACAGAGGTTTTCTTCCATGACAGGAGCCTGGTGGTTTCAATTTCTCTGGAAGACACTTGGATGTGGCAGATATCTGATGCTCTTGTAGGGGTAGTTTGTGGCTGCTTCTGAGGGCCTGCTGTGGTGTCTCCGCTCTCTGTTCCCTTAAGGGATATCCATCTCCTGCTTGAATTCTTCCTCCCTACCTCTGCCTTTGCCAGAGCCCCTTGTTGCTGGGAATCTTCTGCCTGGCAGATGACCTTCTTGTAGATGACCTGCAATATTCACTTGAGCCACAGCCGACTCCTATGTCTTTGGTGCTTCAAGCTGCATGCCTGCAGGCTACTTCATATGTTCCCCCTCTTGGCTTAGTAGGATCTCTCCCTTTCTCCTGCCCCTTTTCATCTGGCAGCATGAGAATTTTGGTAGGTCTAGCAGTTCCACAATTTTCAGGGTAAAAATGTTCCTCAGCCCCTGAATTGGTGAGGAGAGGGCTCATTCTAGAGCACCCAACTTTATTTCTTGGGGATCTCTCTTCCCTTGATGGAAGGGAAACACCCTCATCTCCATCCAGTTGGGGGAGTGTTTCACCAATGTGTATGACCTTGTGGGAATATGCCGACAAAATAGATTGTTATTACTGTCCATGGGGCAGAAGAGGAGTTCTCAGACGCAGCTGTAAGTAAGCAGAATCCAAGGTCCAAATGTGGGTTATTCAAGAGAATAATTGAAATGTCCTGTGGAATTTAAAATACATGTACAATAACAGTGTATGCCAGCAATTACAAGAAAAGGTAAGAGAGGGAAATGGAGTTAAATTGTACTAGACTTGTAGAACTATTGAGAAGTGAGAATGTAAGAATTGGTATTTGACTATTAAGTCGAGGATTCATGTTGGAATATCTAGTTGAACCACTAAAATAATAGTACAATAGCATAACTATATCACTAATTGCATTAAGTGTCCCAAAAAAGAAATTAAAATATTTCCTGATTGGATATATGACAAAATTCAACTTGATGGTTACTAAAAGAGACATATTTGAATTTTAAAGACAGAAATTTTGGAAGAAAAGGGATGGAAAAATACCCACAAACCCAAACCAAAATAAAGTTGATGTAGCTGCATTATGTTATCAAGCAAATGGGCTCATGGCCCAATGTATACAGAAGCCAATAACTTTAACACTGGCTTTTGAGAAAAGAAATTTTTTTTTGCAAAACCAGCCAGCAAGGAGATCAGACTCAGGCTCAAATGTTTGTCTCTTATTGGGTCTGGGCCAAGTTTTAAGGAATCATAGGACAAGGGAAAAGATTTAGGAACTTTGGCTTGGCAGGGTCTAATTGGAGGGCTTCCAGTCTGGCCATTGATGGTAAGGTATGTTGAGGCAAATTTTAGCTCCAGATCTTCTGGGCCAACAGACCCATCGCATATGAAAGAGTTCCAGCGTTCAGGTTCTGGTCACGTCCCAGGCTTCTTGATTCAGAGGGAGGATTCTTTGGTTCTGGGTGTGGTTAGAGGTCAAAGATTTTGCTATTGCACTTGCCCAGGCTATATGAATTGCAATTTTGGGCTCTGCTACACCTACAAGGTAACTGGACACCTTTCAACAAAGTAGGTCTGGTTTGGGCTGGTCTTGTGGTTTATCAATATCAGCAAAGAAGACTCTAAAACAAAGTGCAACATAAATGTTGAATAAACATAGAAAAACCACTAGCAATCAAGAAAATGCAAGTTTAAAACATGAGTTACCAGTTCATGCTATTCTGTTCCTTAAATCAGGAAATTGGACATTTAGTGAGAATGTGGAGCTTTGGGAATTCAAACTTCCCTTGGAGGAGTACACATTCAGTCTCTTCCGTTATGAAACATATGCCTTTCCTATGTCTTAGGAATTCCACTACTAGTAGGGTTGAAATGAGTGTACAGCCTTATCAATGGTTTATGGCCAACATATGTTCTCACTGATCAGTACCTATACCATATATGTTGTTAAATATTTTAAATAACATCTCTACCACCAGATATATCCTAGGGAAGCTCTTGAACATGTTTACTAGGAGACATGTACCAGAATATTCTTGGTAGCATTTCTTATAATTGTTACCAACAATAGAAGAGACAAACATGTTGTGGTATATTCAGTACATTGGAACATTTTACATCAGTAAAAATGAATAAACTACAGCTTGATTCGTCAATATAAATAAATCTCAAAAGCATAAATTGAGCTAAAGAAGCAAGTACAGAGTTTTATTTATTAAGGTATAAAACCAAGTGTAAGTCAGCTTGCAAAAATAGTAAAACTGTAAAGGAAAGCAATAAATGATTAATACAAAATTCAGGATTCTGCTTATCTGGGGGTAGGGAGGAAGGGGAATTGGATCTGGGAAGGAAACAAGTAGAATATCTAAGGCTAAGGTAGTTTGTGATGGGTTCATGGATGTTCATTTTTATTATTATCCTTTAAACTGTCTTATATACGCTTTGTAATGTCTAATATATTCTGCAATAAAACCTAATGCACAGAGGGGCCACTCACAGGGAATTTAAAGGGCTTAGTACATAGTTTGATTTGATTATTGCAAAGCATACATGGGGGGAGTAATCTGAAATGTACTTTATGTTTTTAGTTTCATCTTCTAGTAATTACCTTAGATATTCTTTATTTGGAACCACATTGGGTACAAGTATACTAATAATAAATTTAAAGTGACCTGCCAATGCTTTATCATTATACCTTTTGCCCTTCTATTTACCCCCTGAGTGACTTACGTACGTTCCCCATGATAAACTGTAGTAGGCCATTCTTGCATTGCTATAAAGAAATATCTGAGACTGGGTAATGTATAAAGAAAAGAGGTTTAATTGGCTCCCAGTTCTGCAGGCCCTACAAACATGGTGCTGACATATGCTTGGCTTCTAGGAAGGTCTCAGGGAGCTTTTACTCATAACAGAAGGCTAGGCCAGAGCAGGCAGGCATGTCACATGGAAAAAGCAGGAGTGAGAGAGAGTGGCAGGGAGGTGCCACACACTTAACCAGATCCCAAGAGAACTCACTATCATGAGGATAGCACCAAGCCATGAGGGATCATCTTCCCCCATGACTCAAATGCCTCCCACATTGGGGATTACAATTCAACATGAGATTTGGTGGGGATAGATATTCAAACTATATCACATACCATACCATTTCACACTCTATGCACTTATGGTGTTGTTTTCTGAGGCTGGAATGCCCTTCCCTTCTTTCTGCTGTAGGCAAGCTTCTGTACATACAAGTTCACAAGTCTTCCTTCTTCTCTGAAACCTTCTCCACCTCTCCTACTCCTCAGTTCTCCTTAAGAATTAATCATTCCTGCCTTCCTGTGCCTGTGGCACTTTGAGGATAATTCCATTTTAACAATATATTATAATTAGTAAAGTTTAAATATATGCACCATTCCCACATTCCTTGCAGTCTGATTGTCAGGAGCCAGATTTTATTCATATCAATTTAATTTAGAGCAGAAACCAGATTTTATTCATGTTTATTTACCTACCACATACATAGCACATGGCAAGTATTTAATGGAAGAATAGAAATCTCAGCATGCTTCTTGCTACTGGAGGTGTTTAGTGAATGAAGTGAGGTCAAGTCACGTTCATGGCCATGTTGTATAGGACCTGGTAGACCAGGGCAAGTAAGCACTCAGGGAACTATTTATAATCTTTGAGCAGTGTTTCCAGAAGATTAATCATTGATTGGAGATGAGAGACCAATTAAGAGGCAATTATAATAGTGCAGCTAAAGGCAATAAAGCTTGAGCTATGGTAGTATCAATGATGATAAAGAGAAAACCATGAAAGTGGTCTGTCACAGCCCTTCTCAAATTTTAATGTGCATAGTAGTCAACTGGGAATCTTATTAAAATGCACAATCTGATTGTCTGCATCTGAAGTCTGGGGTGAGGCCTGAGATACTGCATTTCTAACAAGCTCACAGCTGATGCCGGAGACTTATGCCATCCAGTGTGGTAGTCAGGTGGCTTTGAAGCACTTGAAATGCAGCTAGTGAGTGCACCTGAGAAACAGCATTTTTTATTTTATGTTAACTAGTTTGAGTCTACATTTAATAACTGAAATTGTGCAAAATATTTCTCCATTAAGCAAAACTGTACTGTTTTGGTAGGATTACATTTCACTGTAATTATTAAAATTTAGCATCTGAATTGAGATGTACTGTGAGTGTAAAATACACGCAGGATTTAGAATATTTAGTACAAAAATGTAAAATAGCCCATTGTTTACTTTTATGTTGAAACATTTTGGATATATTGTATTAAATAAAATATATTGTTTAAAATTACTTTCACTTGTTTCATTCGTTTCTTTTCACTTTTTAAAATGTGACTACTAGCAAATTTTAAATTACAGATGTGGCTTGCATTTTATTTCTACTGGAACACAATGCCTTGGAGCCTTGCTGTGAGAGGCACAAATCAGTGGCACTTAGGATCTAGCCTGGAACCTATTTTTAATGTGCAGAAGTCACATTCACCCATTGCACACTTGAACTGGTGTTTGTTTTCATAATTTCACTACAGAGATGCCCAATTGACTCAAAGCATCTAATTATTGTTTATTTCAAACCTTTGCAAAATAGTGTTATAACATTTCATCCTCACTAAATACCTGGGTAAATATGCAAGTAATTTCAATATTTTAAATAGAATATTGATGAATGAATTACCAGGGAAAAATGTACAAGAAGCAGATCTAAGATTAGAGATTATGTCCTTTAACATTTCTTTATGATTGTTGCTGTAAATACTGCTTCCTCTGGAGAAAACTCTTTCTTTTCATGTTTACCAAATTGATCCCTAGGGACTGACCTACAATGTAGAAACCCACATAGGTTGCATCACCCATGATATATTAACTCGGAACACACAATCCATTTTGCAGAGAGAACATTACCTGGGAAACCCTAATATCATGAGCTTAAACTACATCTCCCTCTAAGGTTTGTAAGCATCTTCAAATAGTATCTACAATATGAATATTTAAGGCTTATCTGGATAGGTGCAGTTCTTTTGATTAAAGCATGATTCAGTTTAAGAATCACTAAAATTAGTTCTTATACTGACAAGTCCATTCATTTCATTATTTATTCATCGAGCATATATTTGTATAAGAACTATATGCAAATCGCTGTTTCAGATAGTTGGAATTTAGTAGTAAAATGTTCTCGCTGCTCTCATTCTAGAAATCTCTGGAGTGAAACATGAAAGCAGTCAATACATAATATGAAGTGGTGGTGATAAGTTATTTGAACAATGAGAACACATGGACACAGGGAGGGGAACATCACACACCGGGGCCTGTTTCGGGGTGGGTGGCTAGGGGAGGGATAGCATTAGGAGAAATACCTAATGTAGATGACAGGTTGATGTGTGCAGCACATGTATATCTATGTAACAAACCTGCACATTCTGCACATGTACCCCAGAACTTAAAGTATAATTAAAAAAATAATAATAAGGGAAAGACGGCTGTGCTATCTTACAAAGGATGGCAGGGTAGGCTTCCCTGAGGTGGTAATGTCTTAGCAGAAAACAATGAAATTAGGGACCTTCTGCCACAACAGGATATGTGATAAAACAATGAAAGGATATGGGGGAAGAGCATTCAGTGCTGAGAACACTGCAAAAGCCAAAGCCCTAAGGTAGGAGAGTGTTTGGCTCGTGTGAGGAACAGCAAGGAGGCCAGTGTGGGTGATGCTGGGCTCCCTCAGAGTGAGGCAGGAAGGGTAGGAAATGAGACCAGGGAGGAACTCAGGACTGATCACACAGGGCTTTGTGGGTCATGGTAAGGACTTTGGTTATTTTTCTAAGTGTGATGAGAAATATTTTGGAGGGTTTTGAGCAGGGGAGAGGAATTATCCAATTTTTGCCACAGGCTGTCCACTTGTGTGCTCTTCTTCAGAAAAAACAGATAAGTGAAAAAATATTAAATGTTTCAACCCAAATGTATCATCATTGCTTTTTTTTTTTTTTTTTTTTTTTTTTTTTTTTTTTTTTAAGACAGGGTCTTGCTCTGTTGCTCAGGCTGGAGTGCAGCAGTGCAGTCATGGCTCCACTGTGGCCTTGATCTCCTGAGCTCAAGCAGTCCTCTCACCTTGACCTCCCAAAGTGCTGGGTTTACAGGTGTGAGCCATAACATCCATCCAACATACTGACTTTATTTCCTTTGAATACATAACCAACAGTGGGATTGCTGCGTTATGCAGTTCTATTTTTAATTTTTTTAATAAAATTTATTTTTATTTTTTAATTATTATTATACTTTTAAGTTTTAGGGTACATGAGCACAATATGCAGGTTAGTTACATATGTATACATGTGCCATGCTGGTATGCTGCACCCACTATCTCGTCATTTAGCATTAGGTATATCTCCTAATGCTATCCCTACCCCCTACCCCCACCCCACAACAGTCCCCAGAGTGTGATGTTCCCCTTCCTGTGTCCATGTGTTCTCATTGTTCAATTCCCATCTATGACTGAGAACATGCAGTGTTTGGTTTTTTGTCCTTGTGATAGTTTACTGAGAATGATGATTTCCAATTTCATCCATATCCCTACAAAGGACATGAACTCATCATTTTTTATGGCTGCATAGTATTCCATGGTGTATATGTGCCACATTTTCTTAATCTAGTCTATCATTGTTGGACATTTGGGTTGGTTCCAAGTCTTTGCTATTGTGAATAGTGCCGCAGTAAACATACGTGTGCATGTGTCTTTATAGCAGCATGATTTATAATCCTTTGGGTATATACCCAGTAATGGGATGGCTGGGTCAAATGGTATTTCCAGTTCTAGATCCCTGAGGAATCGCCACACTGACTTCCACAATGGTTGAACTAGTTTACAGTCCCACCAACAGTGTAAAAGTGTTCCTATTTCTCCACATCCTCTCCAGCACTGTTGTTTCCTGACTTTTTAATGATCGCCATTCTAACTGGTGTGAAATGGTATCTCATTGTGTTTTTGATTTGCATTTCTCTGATGGCCAGTAATGATGAGCATTTTTTCATGTGTCTGTTGGCTGCATAAATGTCTTCTTCTGAGAAGTGTCTGTTCATATCCTTTGCCCACTTTTTGATGGGGTTGTTTGTTTTTTTCTTGTAAATTTGTTTGAGTTCATTGTAGATTCTGGATATTAGCCCTTTGTCAGATGAGTAGGTTGTGAAAATTTTCTCCCATTCTGTAGGTTGCCTGTTCGCTCTGATGGTAGTTTCTTTTGCTGTGCAGAAGCTCTTTAGTTTAATTAGATCCCATTTGTCAATTTTGGCTTTTGTTGCTATTGCTTTTGGTGTTTTAGACATGAAGTCCTTGCCCATGCCTATGTCCTGAAGGTAAGGAGCCTCCATATTGTGTTCCATAATGGCTACACTAATTTATATTCCTGCCAACAGTGTGCAAGAGTTTCTTTCTCTCCATATTCTCACCTTTTGTCTCTGATAATAGCCATTCTAACAGGTGTGAGATGGTACCTTGTTTTAATTTGCATTTTGCTGATGATTAGTGGTATCAAGCACTTTTTTATGTACTTGGCCATATTCATGTCTTGTTTTGACAAATATCTATTTGAATCTTTTGCCAATTTTTTACTTTTTTTTGCTATTGTTTGAGTTTCTTATATATTTTAGATATTAACCTCTTTTCAGATGTATGGTTTGCAAATATTTTCTCCCACTGGACAAATTTTAACCCATAGATTGTCTCTTGGGTTGAAATATTTTCAATCCATGTTGTCTCTTCACTCTGTTAATTGTTTACTTTGCTGTACATAAGCTTGTTTAACTTGATGTAATCCCATTCATTTATTTTGTCTTTTGTTATCTGTTATTTTGGAGTCATATCTGAAAAATCATTGCTCAGACCAGGTCAATAAGCTTTTTCCTAATGGTTTCTTCTAGTAATCTTACAGTTTCAGGTCTTACACTTAAGTCTTTCATCCATTTTTAGTTGATTTTTTATGCGAGTTGAAATAAAGATCTAATTTCGTTCTTCTGCATGTGGATATCCAGTTTTCCAAACACGTTTTTATTGAAGACACTGTTCTTTCCCTATTGTGTGTTCTTGGAAACTTTGTCAAAGATCAAGTTACTGTAAATGCGTGAATTTCTGGGTTCCCTATTTTGTTCCATTGGTCTATGTGTCTGTTATTATGCCAGTACCATGCTGTTTTGATTACCATAGCTTTGCAATATATTTTGAAGTCAGGTAGTGTGATGTCTCCAGCTTTGTTCTTTCATTCAAGATTGCTTTGGCTTTTTGGGGTCTTTTGTGGTTTCATATGAATTGCAGGGGTTGTTTTTCTGTTTCTGTGAAAAACGTAATTGGATTTTTTTAAGGATTGCATTGAATCTGTAGATTGTTTTGTGTAGTATAGACATTTTAACAATATTCTTCTAATCTACGAACATGTGATATCTTTCCATTTATTTGTGTCTTCAATTTCTTTCACCCAGATTATATAGTTTTCAGTGCACCATTCTTTCACCTCCTTGGTTAAATTTATTCCCAAGTATTTTATTGTTGCCATTGTAAATGGTGTGGTTTGACTGATTTCTTTCCTGGATAGTTTGCTGTTAGTGGATAGAAACTCTACTGTTGATTTTGTATCCTGAAACTTTAGTTTATGTGCATCAGCACTACATCTTCACAACAGCTCTGAGGCAGAGATTTTTATGTATGCATTTACACCAGAAGGAGCAGAGGCAAATAAAAATTAAGCAATTTTCCCCAGATAACACAAATATTAAGTATATTATACATGATTTGACATCAGAGCCATCAGAACTCTTAAAAGAATATTCTGTAATTTATTTAGCAAATGTCCTACTGTTGGGCACTTTGGTCAGTTCCAATTTTTAAAAATAATGCTAAATACTACGGCCTATGTTAAATATCCTTAGTCCAAATCTGTGTACATATTCCTCATAATTTTCTTCAGATAATTTCTTAGATGTATTTTTGGGGGGTTAATGGGATTACACTGTAATACAAATCTGATACACGCACACCATGGAAAATTTGTAAAACAAAGAAGAGCACAGAGTAATAAAGGAAAAAATCATTTATAATCCCACCTTCCTCATATCACTATATTTAACATTTTGTTCTTTCTTTCCAGTCTTTTATATTTGTACCTATGCACGTATTTACACATGTGGTATATACTATATGTATATAGTACTGTATATATACACATATAATACATATATAGTACTATATATAACTATATTGAAACTTATACTTTACATTCTTACCTATTATAGAAAATTGTGTGACACCATTGCTACATGTACAAATATATACATATGTTTTCATTGCAGATAATCAATTAATTAACTGTAGAAACCATATTTTGGAGTTTAAAGAAAATATGCTACACTTAAGAAACAAAACTGAAAAAAATACCCAAGAGATGATGAAAGTTTTGAATCGAATGAAGTATGAAATTACAAAGAGAGAAATTTTGTCAGGAAACTTAGGTTTGTGTTGATTTTGTTTGTTTTGTTTTGTTTTTGGAAATGTAGATTCAATGTCTTATGATTTTAGGGCCTCTTCTCTCTATAAACTTAACTATATCAGTACTGGTTCTTTTATTGTGAGACGTGCAAAAATCAGGTAAGAGATATCACTGACCTACTTCTTCTCATCTTGACCTCGAAAGTAGTCTTCCTGTGCTTTGTGGCTCCGTGAATTGCACCACCATCCATGATCCATTCAAGAGATGCAACCAGAAACCTGAGGATCACCTCTGACCCCTCGCTCTACCTCTTGCATACTTCCATGTCAGTAAAAGCAATCCTGGTTGATTCACCATTCTATATATCTCAAAAATTTGTCCACATTTTCCATCATCATTTCTGCTACATTAGTCAGGCAACCTTCCTGCTTTACCTGAGTGACTAGTAACATACAGCTAATTTTTCTCATATAAACCTTCAGTGGCTTTCCATTTCTGCAGGACAAAAAGTCCTGCCTTATGCATCCCCTTTGTACTCCAATCCTCCCCCTACTCTTAATCCCTGGCAACCACTGCTCAGATCTCTGTTCTTATTGCTTTGCCATTTCCAGAAGCCATGCAAATGCAATCAAACAATGTGTAACCCTTTGAAACTTGCTTCTATCACTTAGCATAGATTTTCCCAAATTGTCATGTCACCAATTGTTCTGTTTATAGTGCTGAGTAGCATTTCGTTGTATCGATGTTCAATGGACATATTGTTTATCCTCTCACCAGTTGAAAGGCATTTGGGTTGTTTTCAGGTTTGGGCAATTACAAATAGATGTTACTATAAGCATTCATGTACATGTGTTTGGTATGAAGAGAAGTTTTAATTTTTTTAGAATTCATATGTAGAAGTAGGATTGACAGGGCATATGTAAGTATATGTTTAATGTTATAAGAAACTGCCATACTGTTTTCCAGAGTGGCTGTGCCATTTTTCACTCCCTCCAGCAATGTATGAGAGTTTAGTCACTCCAGTTTATTATAGCCATTTTTTTTTAAAACAGGCTCTTGCTCTGTTGCCCAAGCTAGAGGGCAATGGTGCAATCTGGCTCACTGCAGCCTCCACCTCCTGGGCCCAAGCAATCCTCCTATCTCAGTCTCCCAAGTAGCTGGGACTACAGTCATGTGCTACCACACCTGGCTAATTTTATTTTTTGTAGAGATGGGGTCTCTCTATGTTGCCCAGGCTGATCTTGGACTCCTGGCCTCAAGCAAGCCTCCCACCTCAGCCTTCCAAAGTGCTGGAATTACGGGACCATGCCTGTCCTATTATAGCCATTCTAATGTCATGATATCTCATAGCTTTATGTTGTATTTCCCAGAAACTAATGATGTTGAACATTTTTACTATTTGCCATCCAGATATCTTCTTTGGTGAAATGTCTGTTCAAACGGGGAATGCAATGGCACAATCATGGCTCACTGCAGCCTCCACCTCCTGAGCTCAAGGGATCTTCCCACCTCAGCTTCCTGAGCAGCTGGGACTCCAGGCGCATGCCACTATGCCCCACTGCGTGTGTGTGTGTGTGTGTGTGTGTGTGTGTGTGTGTGTGTGTGTGTGTGTGTGTGTGTTTAGAGATGAGGGTCTTGCTATATTGCTCATGCTGTTCTCAAACTCCTGTTTTGCCAGTTTCTTTAACTGGGTGATTTTGTTTTCTCATTGAGTTTTGAAAGAGTTCTACATATTATCCTGGATACATATCAGATGGATATGTGATTTGGAAATACTTTCTTTCAGTTGGTGACACTCTTTCATTCTCTTTCTGATGCTTTCAGGGGGCAAGCATTTTTAATTTTTGATGAAGTCTGATTTGTGAATTTTTCTTTTATGTATTGTTTTGTTTTTTGTATTGTTATATTGTATCTAAGATCTCTTTACCTATCTCAGGGTCATGAAGGTTTTCTTTTTTGTTTTTAAAAAAATTCATAGGTTTATGTTTTACATTTATGTCTATGAACATTTTTAGCTAATTTTTATAAACAGCATGAAAAACAAGTCAATGTTCAGTTTTTTCCATGTAGATGTCCAAGTGTTCAAACACCTTTATCAACTGTCTTTTCTGCATTCAATTACCTTTGCAACTTTGTCATAAGTCAGTCAACCATATTTTTGTGAACCTACTTCTGTATTCTATGATCTGTTCCATTGTTTATATATCTTTTTTTATATAATATCACACTGTTTTGACTACATTGCTATGTATTATGAATTAAAATTGGGCAATGTGCGTCCTCTAACATTTTCTTTTTCAAAATTGTAGAGGCAACTTCTAATGAAGTTTACAAATATAGTCATTAAATTTTAGGGGCTACAAAGCAAAGTTATAAAGATACAAATTTAATAAAGTGATATTAATCAAAGTAGCAGAGTAAGCCAATTACAGCATGTTTCAGTTATACTTTTTTCATTTGGAACTGACAGTTCCATTGTCCTCTGTGTATCTTATAATTCTAGGCTTAAATTACATATTACTTTATAAATAAATATGAATAAATAATAGTTGAGCTATATTTAGCATTATTATTTTAATAATTTACATTTTAGAGTATTTCTTTTATATATTAAATGCCAAATTAATCTGTGAGTTTATTAACACCTCTTTGAAAAAATTATTCCAGGGGGAGAAAAATCCCTATGATCATATACTCAGAAGCATTATTTTTTTCTTTCAGTTGCACAGAAAGCAGACATATTAAATAAAAATGAAACAGTATCTAATACATTTGAAGACTTAAAGTTCTTTTTTCCTCATCTAAGGAAAGAAGGTAGAATTTATCCTGATGTAATCATTGGCAAAGGGAAAACTGGTGGTAAGAAAACTTAGAATTGGAAAATTAAATAAAGGTATTTTGATCTTTGGGGACATACTTTTAAGTTTTAAGATGTAATCCATTATTATCTTAGATTGATATGCAGACTACAGCCTATCTGGCATTAATTTGGATTACTGGAAGTCAGTATATTGTCTGGCAGAAAATAATAGTTTCATAAACACTTGGTGACTTGAATTCAAATTTAGCATAACACAAATGCTTTGAAAATAAGTAATATAAGTCAAATATACATTAAGTATATGCCAAATGTTTGGCAAATCTTTTCTCGTTGTTTTTGGTAAATCTATTCTTACCTGGTTATTTTACTGTTTCCCAGTCTTTCTGGAGACCAAGGTCAGTAATAGCCTTATACAACAGGTGATGTTTGAGGTAAGCCTTGACAAATGAGTTCAAGTTCACCAAGTATACAAGACAAGAAGAAGCTTTGGAGTTTGAAGCAGGAATATTAAGCTAAGTCTCAGGATACCTGCCTTTCCTATAAACCTCACTCATTCCAGTGAGTGAGTCACTCTAGGCCAGGCCCATTGGCTCCATGTTTTAACATACAGTTTTGTTGGAACATAGTTATGCTTATCCATTTACTTGTTGTCTATGTCTGCTTTTGTGCTCCAATGGCAGAGCTGAGTAGTTGCAACAGAGATGGTATAACCCAATAGCCAAAAATGCTTACTATCTGCCCCTTTATTTAAAAAAAAAAAAAAAGTTTGCTGACCTCTGCTCTAGGCAGTTCCTTGGGAATAAGTAGTGTTGTTTTGTATCATATGCCTCTGATGACATCGTTTATCTATTGCATTCTGTGTTCCACTTACTGAGTTCTATGTTTTCTTACATTATCTCATTTAATCTTCACAATCCAATGCAATAGGGCCTATTACTGTCATCTCTGTTTTACACCTGAAAAAACTGAGGCTTAGAGAAATTAAGAAACTTCTTGAGTTCATACTTGTAAAACTCTTTACCTGTATATACATATACATGCATATGTGTTGTGTGAATGTATGAGAAAGTACATGCTAGACAAAAGCTGTAGTTTATAGGATGAGGAAAAGTTGAAAGACACACGCAAGAAAAACAATGCATAGAAATGATAAGATATTAGACACCAAGAATAAACATAACCTTGCATAAGCATCAGCAAATGTAAGTGGAAGCCCATGACACAGAGTGAAAGGAAGGAGAGAGAGACATGGTGGTGTTTGGGTGGAGCAATAGACCTCCTTGTGTAGGGGGTTGGAGGGTTGAGATAACCCAGTTATCAGAGCTGTGTTAAATCCAGAATAATTTTCTAATTCCCCAACAATTTATTGATCTCCAATCATGGTGTACGTATTTATCCTTCTTTTGAGGCCCTTTTGGTGGCTTTTCTCAATTACCAGAAGGGATTTAAGGAAGATTCTGTTCCAGGCAACTAAAAAAATCCTAACACATGAAACATATGTAAGAGGATTGAAGCCTGTGGCAAGGCCTACTAGGGAATCCATCATCAGTCTTGTTTATTCTGTATTCTAATAGATCTTGGATAATTTCTGCTCTCTGTAGCCCCTCTATAACTATTTTTTATTGAGCCCCTCATCATTTTGTGCCTGGTTTATGGAAACATATTTGTAATTTATCTTGTGATTTTAGTATCACCAAAGTCAATCCATTCTTCATACTTTCCTCGAAGATATGTTAGTAAAATTCATCACTGATCATACTTGACTCTTGCTTAAAATCCTTCAGTAGACCCTCAGTGCACATGAGGTGAAGTTAGCCCCTTGGCAGGGTATATGCAGAAAAGGCTGTATCTTTCAAATCTCAGTCTCTGCCATGCCTCTCCTTTCCAGAAACCACAAACCACTTGCAGTTCTCACAAATAGGCCAAGCTCTTTGAGAACAGATAGGACAAGCTTCATATATTCTGCATGTGCTAACCACTGCCTATAATGAACATACCTCCTCTGGCAAACCATAACTGATTTGTAATGTGACTCCCTTATCCAATATGACTTTTCAGCTTAAATGACAACTTCTCTGTGAATTCTTCCACGTCTCCTCATTTAATAAGCTTCTACTCTGTTCTGGGCACTTCTTAGGCCCTGGGATATGGGGTGAATAAGACATAGACCCCACCTTCATAGAGACAAATGATAAGGTAATTATAATATAAAGTGACTGGTGCTGTGATAAGGGAAATACCAGGGTGAAGCCAAAATCCTATGCTATGCTTTCTGGAAGAAGTGTCATATAAGTGACATGAAGGGCAAAAGAATTGGAGTAGACTAAGTAGGGAAGTGGTAGGTGGTGGATAGCGGAAAGTAGAGGGTGGTCATCCAGATAGAGGAAAAGAAACATGCAAAAGTCAGATGGCAAGAAGGCCTAGAAAGGATGTGTGTCTTGCATGCACTATTGGGGCTGGAGGGTATTAGTAGCAAGACCATGGACACAGGCCAAATAATAAAGGGGCTTGCCCCTTTATTATTTATTCAATTTCAATTTATTATCATTACCATGTATCAGTCTTTATGTTAGTGCTGGATTTATAATATAAGCACACATGAAGGTGTCTGCTGTCATCAAGCTGACATTCTAGATAGGAATGAGTTACAACAAAAGGAGTGATGAGTACTATGAAAGATAAGGTAAGAATTCATAGCTGGTGAAAGGATTAAGCATCAATTTGTGATCAAAATGACTAATATTTAGTTGAATCCTGAGAAATAAGTAGAATTATCAAAGGAAATTAGAGGAATAAGAGTATTCTAGGCAAAAAGAATGGCGTGTGCAAAGGCTTCGAGGTAAGAGTGGTATTTGGTCAATTCGAAAAGTGTGGGTAGTTGAAAAAAAGGGATAGATCAGTACCAGGTCACTAAGGGCCTTTTAAATTCTTGTAAATGCATTGTAAGGCATAGGAAGCCATTCCAGGAATTGCTTTCATACTGTATCTTACAGCTTGAAACTTGATTCCTGCCTCAATCTATCCATAAAAATCAATTCCAGGTGGATTGCAGCTCTAAATATGAAAGGCAAACAATAAACTATTAGAAAATCACTCAGAAGAATGTCTTTATGACCTGAAGATAAGCAAAGATTTCTTAACAAGACCCAGAAAACCCAAACAACAAAGAAAATGGATGACAAATTGCACTACATTACAATTAAGAATTTCTCTTCATCAAGGGGCAAAACATTGAAAAGGGAACCAAGAGTGGGAGATAATATTTAATAACACATATAACTGACAAGGGGTTCGTATTCAGAATATATAAAGAGTATCAATACAATCAATAAGAAAAATGCTGACAACTCATTAGAGAAATGGGCAATAGCTTAAACAAGGATTTTACAAAAAAGAATAGCCAAAAGCCAATAAGTGGCCAGGCACAGTGGCACATGCCTGTAATCCCAGCACTTTGGGAGGCTGAGGTGGGCAGATCACTTGAGGTCAGGAGTTCGAGACCAGCCTGGCCAACATGGTGAAAACCTGTCTGTACTAAAACTACAAAAGTTAGCCGGGCATGGTGGTGCATGCCTGTAATCCCAGCTACTCGGGAGACTGAGACAGGAGAATAGCTTGAACCCGGGAGGTGGAGGTTGCAGTGAGCTGAGATTGAGCCATTGCACTCCAGCCTTGGCAACAGAGTGAGACTCCATCTCAAAAAAAAAAAAAAAAAAAAAAGAAAGCCAATAAACATGTGAAGATATGTTCAAACTCAATAGCAATCAGCTGTTCCTTCCAAAGTTCCATAGTTTTTCTTAAGTAAGTACTTCTCAGTTTATCAGGGCCCTGAAATGACTGTTTTGACCTTTTTTTTTTTTTTTTTTTGCAGTTTTATTACCGCTTTCTAGAAAGAGGATTTTCTGAGTTTCTCACTTAGCCATTCTGGAAGTCCTTATCCCTATCTTAAAGAGGGGGACATAAGGCTGGAGATGTTGTGTATCTTGCCTAAGCCCATATGGCCAGGTACCAGTATAGTTACGATTGGTAGCCTCAATCTTAGCTGCACCTGTACAGCCAAGATGTGTACATCTTGGAGCCCTAGTGCTCCAGCTATTCTTGGGCAACAAAAGTTACTTAGAGATGTGGATTCATTCCATCAAATCATTTAGAAATTACTTCATACATTCTTTCACAGATGAAAATATTTCATAGTAATTTTTTCCTGTTTTGGATTCCAGTGTCTTGTTAGGAAAAGAAGAGAGAATCGACCAATATGTGACATTTTATACTCAGTTAGATGAACCTATAGTAAGTGGAAAGTGGTTAGTTTTATTTTTGCTACACCAAAATCTTTTAACATAAGAACATCTTGGAGTCTGTTTAGTGCTTTTACTAACAATCCACTGCAAATTTCCTCAAAAAGAAAATGAAATATGTGATAAAAATTAACATAGTTTGGATTATTTTTGTAATACAGTTTCAAACACTCATTTTGTTACCGTAAGACTAACCCAAACATAGGAATAAGCATAGAATGAATGGTAAACTATGTTTTTCTCTGTGGTATGGAATGATGATTTCATACTCCTATGTCCACAGTTTCTTTTGCGCTGGGTATTTCCACTGTTAACAGAGGAAATTATAGTTACCTGAAACAGACACTGACCTCTGTTGTCTCCAGGATGACGCTCTCCCAAGAGAAGGATTCTGTAGTGATTGTCTTGGTTGCAGATGTACGTATACAAAATAAGGAGCTCTCCTTATCCTCACCCTATGGTCTCCAAATTCCCTTCCTCAATGGTAATAATCATTGTACCATGTTGAAAACTGTTTTCTTAATTTTAAAAAGCTACCCATAGATGCCTTTTTTGGATACCAGACAACATACTTAATACTTCTTCGATACTGCTGAGAAGGAATTAAATATGTAAATCTAAAAGGACAACATAATGGCTTCATGTGGGAAATATAAGATTGCTAAATTTGAATTGCATTTAATATAGAATCCCTGAATCCCTGCCTACTATATGGCTCAGAAGTTATATTTACAAACAAAATTAAAATTATTAAAATCGATGCTAGTAATAAAATGTGCCCAGTCCAATAAGAGTTTGGTATATGAATCAAGAGATAATTTGTATTAAGCAACAACACCTATGATTGAGAGACTTTCTTATGCTTGAGAGATTGTAGATGATTTTTATACACATTTATAACCTGCATTACATCCCTGTGAGGTAGCTATTACTGTCCTGATTTTAGGGATAATGGACCTAGATCTTACAGAAGGTAAGTAACTTGCCCAGTAATTAACAGAGCAGATTCAAGCCTAGATCTCTCTAATGACCCCAAAGATTTCCACTGTTCCTAATACCATTTAAAACTATATAGTACTGTGTGAATATTAGCACCATAAGACTTTTTGGAGAGAAATTTGGCAATGTGTGTTAAATTTAAATGTATATGTACTTTGTCTCAGAAATTCAAATTCTGGGAACTTATCCTAAGGAAATAATCAGGCAAGTGTATAAAAACAGTAAAAATGGTGGGGCATGGTGGTTCATGCCTGTAATTCCAGCACTTTATGGTGCTGGGGCAGGAAGATCACTTGAGCTCAGGAGTCTGAAATCAGCCTGGGCAACATAGCGAGACCCCCATCTCTACTAAAAAAAAAAAATGCTTAGCTAGAAATGATGGTGTGCACCTGTAGTCCCAGCTACTTGGAAGGCTGCAGCAGGAGGATCATTTGAGCCCAGGAGGTAGAGCCTGTAATGAGCCATGATTGCACCACTGCACTCCAGCCTGGGCTACAGAGCGAGGCCCTGTCTCAAAAAACAAACAAATGAACAAGCAAACAAAAACCAGTAAAAATATGGCAGTATAGTATGGAAGTTGAGAACAGACTCTGGATTTAGAAGTCCAAGGTTAAAATGTCAGCTTCTCTACTTCCCAACCAGTGAACTTGAGCAACTTACTTAATTCATCTATGCCTCATTTTCTTTTATCTCTAAAATTGTGATAATCATATTGCCTATGCCATAAGGTTGTTGGGGGATGAAATTAGCTAATATATTTAAAGTACTTAGAGTGATGTGTGGCACATAGTAAGTGCTCAATAAATAATTATTTCAGGATTTTCAGTGCATTGTTGGGTTATGAAAGCATAATATTGGAAACAACCAAAATATCTACCCATAAGAGGCTGATAAAATACCTTGCTATATATCTCCACAATGCAATACTCGATAGTCATTGAAAGAAGAATGAATATCTGTACTCACTGATACAAAGTGATGTTCATGTCCTATTGTTAAGTGAAAAAAAGCTGTAAAGCATCATGTTTAACATAATGTTATCATTATGTTAAATAGGAATGAAGGAAAGAAGGAAAAGATGGAGGGAGGGGAAAATATATAGAAACAAATGAAATATATGAAGAAAAAAGAAAATGAGCAAACTTTGGAATGATATAAAGATATCATCAATATAAATAATGGTTATCTCTAAATGCTGGGATTAAGAAGAACCTTTATTATCTTTTCTTTATTCTTTTTGTTATTGCTTGAATTTTCTATAATAAAGATGTCTTTGAATGCAGAAAAAACTCGAAACAGAACAAGCAATAGAAGAACTATTAGAAAAATAGAAATGAAAGATTAAAATCATTGCATCCCAGTTTAATTTATTAATATTAAAAGAAAGTATGCACATAATCTCCAAAATGTTTCATCCTATTGCCTTATTTTATATATTAGAATCCTTACTTATTTGCTGTTAGCACAACCCATGTCTGTCTAAAATGTTTAGATTTGTAATAAAACATTGGAGGAAGATTTTTAAATGGAATATAAAATGCTTACGAAATATGACTTTGACGCCGTGTTTAAAATACAATATGTTTCAGTGTGAGACAAATAGCTAATGATTCAATTTATGGTTAAGAGCCTCCAGTACTATAAGAGATTTATCTACATCATGTCTGCTATTTTTAAACAAGAAACCTGAGTACATACATCTAGAGTTGCCTTTCAGAGTACTCAGATTCAACAACAGAACTGTGATTGTTCAAAATATTTTCAAAATTTTGTGTTGGAAATGCTTATGGGCCCTGAGGCTACATCTTGTAAATGCCACGTTATTTTTTTAAAAATTATCCCAAGAGGGTAAACCATCAAAAGCTTTTTGCAGGAGTCTGTCATCTAATCTAGCGCACTGTTCAATGAAGAGCAGGTCCACAAAGTTTATTGTCAGGAAGGCAAATTGGAATCAAGCTGAGTAATACTGTCTGGAGAAATATGATGTAATTTTGAAGTAGGCTTATTGTCATATAATACTCAGGAAATGAAGAGTAGTTTTCAAAAGGAGTAGTTGTTTGAAATAAGCCATTCACAGATGACCATTTTTAGACTAAAAACATCTTTAGATATATAATATTTTATGTAATCTTATATATCTAAAAAGTATATAAATTTAAGGGTAAATTTTGGATTGTAATATTTCACATTGTGGCAAAGGGAAAAGAATGAAATATTTCCTGTATTCAAGTCAAATTTTTTAAGAACATGGATATTTTTAAATCTTTTAATAGAAAGTAAAAACACTAAAAATTATTAGTATGCAATAGCATTTCACACACAAATTAGATTTATATGTAGCAAAAGAAGTTGTATTAATAGAACTATGAGACATGCTTAGTTTCAGTAAAATATTTTTCTCATTTTTAGAGTAATGAAGATTATTTACATTCTGTTGTTAAAATGATTACAAAAAAGTAAGTACTGTCTGATATATTTTTACATTAGCCATTCTTTCATTTTTCTATCTTATTTTTTCTGTCCAATTGTATAATTATTTTCTTAGTGATCATATTCTTTTTAATGAGTATAGCTGGCAGAAAGAACCTGTAGTCCTTTCTAAGCTGTGATGAAGTATGGCTTAATGGTTTTCCCAATTTTGCTGGATATCTACCAATTAGAATTTATATTTTTCATGTTATACTGTTTATCCTGCATGATAACCATTGGTACCGAGAGAAGCCCATTGAGTTATTTTTAAAACATTCCTGTATCCTTTACTGTATGAAGTTACTTCACCACTTCTGCTTATAATCTCCTTCAGCTGTAAGCAGCCGAAGCACGTACGGATTAACCAATATGAAGCTCTTTATCAAGCAAGATGCTGTGGAATGGACCCTGCCTTCCAAATCCTAAGTTCAAATAGGTGATACAACTTGAAAAAGAAACGAAAAGAAAAGAGAGAGAAGGAAGGAAGGAAGGAAGGAAGGAAGGAAGGAAGGAAGGAAGGAAGGAAGGAAGGAAACAAAAAGGAGAAAGGAGAAACGAAAGGAAAAGGAGGGCCAGGCATGGTGACTCACACCTGTAAGGCCAGTACTTTGAGAGGCCAAGGTGGGTGGATTGCTTGAGCCCAGGAGTTCGAGATCAGCCTGGGCAACATGGCCAAACCCCGTCTCTACTGAAAAAATGGCCCCCAAAATTAAGCCGAGCCTGGTGGTGTGCACCTGTAGTCCTAGCTACTAGGGAGGCTGAAGTGGAAGGATTGCCAGTGCCTGGGAGGTGGAGGCTTTAGTGAGCCAAGATCATGCCACTGCACTCCTACCTGAGTGATAGAGGGAGACTGTGTCTCAAAAAAAAAAAAAAATTATAAAATAAAGGAAGGAAGAGGCTAGCATTGTCCTAGTGGTGATGGGGAATAAATATGACAACATGTAGACGAAGAGGTATTTAATTTAACTCTACCTGCAAATATCAAGAAGGACTTTCCTGAGAAGGTAATAATTGAGCAGAATCTGAAGGAATAAGTAGACATTCTTCAGGCAGACAGGGGGAAAATGTCATGCCTGATAAATAGAATTGCTGAGGAAGGCAGAGAGACCAAAGGAGCATGCTAGACTTTTGAACATGTAAGTCTATTTTGGAAATGGGTATTTGGAGTTAAGGCGGAAGGACTGGTGGGAGATAAGGCAGGTGCTGTTGACATCACGCAGGGCCTATGCACCATGCTAAGAAATATGCACTCTGTGCTGTAGACCAGGGCTGCAAATGTGGCCTTCAGGCTGAATCTGGCTGACAGGCCGTGTTTTGTTTAGCCAGTAAAGTGTTTTGCTTTGTTTTATTTTTCCTCACCAAATAGCTCTAGTGGCTGAGGCAGTTAGTTGTTCTAGTCAAAACAATTCCAGCTAGTAAGTGTAGAATGAATGAAATTGGAGAATCACCGTTTTGAAGCGCGTCATTAAGTGAGAGGGTTGGGGGAACTTTACGAGGAAGGTATGCCGGTCAGTGTCCGCACAGGAAAACTCCTGGTCGTTCAAATAGAGGAAACAGGCAATTTCACACAAACAATTGGTCAAAACAAGTTTCAGAGGACTGAGAGCACAGAAGGGAGAAGAAAGAGCACACAGCAGCGGGAAGGAGAGGACATTAAACCCGGGGATCAGAGGCCCTGGAGATAGGCCTCCTCAGCAGCTGGAACCTCCGCCACCGCGGGAGCTGAAAGAGGAGGCGCATCCTTGGCTTCGACCGCCTTCCAGGCTCTTGTCACTTACTGCTTCCCGCAGGCAGAGGCCAACCGGTACCCCGCTAGCAAGGGCGTCCCGCAGGACAGGATGCACTGCAGAGCAGAGGGGTGCGATGTGCAGTGTGAGCTGTGAGCAGCCAGGGTCCAGGGACCCCACCCTCACCTCCAGCAGCTCGGGGTCGCTGAAAGTCTGGCGATGGAAATGATGCCAGGAAGAACTATTGAGAGTTATTCCCCCGACTTAAACAAAACAACAAAACAAAAAACCCTGAATGCAATCAAGCCTTAGGAGCTGAATTTCAGTTTACAGGATACACAGCAAAAAAAGGAAGCCATCTGGGGCAAAACAATCAAGAAGTGGGACCTTCTGTAGAAAACTGACCCAGAGTCTTTAAAAAGTGGAATGGGGATGGGGGAAGAAAGAAAAATGACGGTTACCGGTCTAGATAATAAATTTTAAAAAGAAATAGGGATAATCAATTACAATGAGCGACCTTATTTGGGTACTTGTTTGAGCGCCTACTCCCCCAAAATAGGCACTTTTTAGACGACTGGGGACATTTGAAAATTGACTAAGTATTATGTGATGTTAAGTAATCATTTATAGTTTTGCAAAGTGTGAATAATACCATTGTGCTTATTAAATAAATGTCCTTTTTAATATTCACACTGAAGAATGTAAGGGCGAAATGATATCCAGCATTTGTTTTAAAATACTTAAGCAAAAAAGGGGCAGCTGCGTAGATGAAACAAACGTGGCAGAAAATAAATGCTTATTGAAGGAAACTGATTTGGGGTTCATTATATTTCTATTTTTGTGGATGTTTGGTAATTTTTATAATACATATTTAAAGAATGAATGTAGACTATTATCAGTAAGTTCAACTGATAGGAAGAAAAGTCAAAACACCTGTCTTAAGGGACACAAATACTGTTTGGGAGGTTTTGAGGTGGAAGCACCTGGAGTTTTTACTTGTGCTGCAGTAGAGAGAGGAGGGGCTGATGAAGCAAGGCAGGAGGGAACTGGAGACTCAGGTGGAGGGAGCTTTAGACAGTACTGAGACCAAAGAGGAGATGAGAGCAGGTGAAAGAGTAGAAAAATTAATTTGTTGGGGGAAAGACAGTGTAATCATCTTAAAAATCCTTTTTTAAAGATTTCTCTTTTCTCTGTGAAGGAGGTAAGCCCCTGTGTTGAGAAGGAGGGATTCATTGGCAGTGAAGGAACTTAGGGTAGTGAAGGCTTGAAATAGGTGATTTATGTGAAGGGAGAGGGATTAAATAAAGATTAAACAAAACACCATATACATGTAGTTTTTCCCCTAAAAGACTCCCCAGGAAAAAAGTTACCTTATACTTGAACCCTTAAAAAATCTTCTCATACTCAAGGATGCCTTCTCAGTTGCTTTATTCTGAACAATAAACTACTATTTAGAGAAGAGAAGACACATTATCCTGAAGTGGCTTCAATCTATGCTAGTTTGGTATTCTTATAGGAGACTCCTGACAGAATCAATTAAAAAGAAGGCAAAGGTGTAAAACAATTCCTGAAGATATGACCGCATCATTGTAAGCCTTTTGAAGATCACTTAAAAAAATTAGAGTATGTGGTTACTTGTAAAGATCTCCAATAAAAACATTACCTAATGTATGAGAATACTTCTGATTTGCTACAAAATTTTCAGAGACAATGTCACTGGTTTTAGAAATTGCCGTATTGTAGTTAGAATTGAAAATCAAGGATACTGGAAAACTATGTCAGGTGATTCAAAAAGTGATTCTAGTGGTGATAATTATATTGATAATACCAATGCAGGATAAAGAGTTAGAATAAAATTATTTTTTGTGAAAGTAGAGTAAAGCAATAATTTAAAATGTGAATAATATAATAGTGAATATTCACTATTTAATATTCACTATTTTTAATATTCACTATTAAATTATAATAGAATAATTTAATAGTGAATATTAAATTTAAAACATTATCAAAGGTAATATAGACATATAACTTTTAAATTTACATGTCTAAACTTTTGCCTATTCAATTTAGCTAAAAACCCTTTTCCTAGGTTTTCTCATTAGGGTAATGAGAGATTGTTTTATATTTGGATTAGTCCTAGATTGAAACTATATAATTTTTAAAGGACTCATCTATGTTTGTATATAACCTCATATGAAACTGTATATAACTATACACTTTACATAAACCTATAGAGTTGTAAGATTTCCACTCTTGTATGACTATAAGGTAAAATCATTCATTTTTAATGGCAACAACCTAGAGTTATATTATTTTCTCCAGTCATTGGAAACTAGCAATTCCCATATAATTAAGTCAAGGGCTTTTGATGCTGTATATAAATAACCTAACAAGCTATAAAAGTTTTAGAGAGTCCTAGAAAGGTGTCAACACACAAAATTTCAAGTATCTTGCTTAAAACAGATTGAATAAAACCAAGACTGGAATCTTTCTCTCCAACATGACTGGGGAATTATATCATCAAAGTAGAAATTGTAACGTAACTTTTGGTGCTTTTTGGACTTTGGATGGAATTTTCTAGAGGACAAAATTTGTGTATCTCTGTAATCTAAACTTTTTGATGATTGTGTATGCTGCAACTTGATGTTATTTCCCTTTACCTCTACTAAATTGCCGCACAAGATCTTGTAGTTTAAAGTTACACAAATTCATTTAAAAATTTAGATATTATGTTACTAACTTTTACCACAAAGCAAACAACCAAACTCTCCATTCTTTTTTTTTCTACGCCAGTATTTTCTATTCCCCAAGGAACATATTAGAATTCGTTTTTTAAAAATCTTTTCATTTGATATATCATAAAATCAGAGGGCAGCCAGTAAGACTTTCATCCCCTTCACTCCTCCACTTATGCTCCCACCAAAATAAATGACCAAAAACTTTTCCACTAATGTACAGAGCCTGGGAAGAATTCCAGCATGTATTTTGAACAGTTCTTTCCCCCCAAGTTTTTAAGTTACTATTCCAGTTTTACAGATGAGGAAATTAAAGATCAGAAAAAATAAATTACTTCCTTGAAGTTAGGAAGTAAAACAAGCAAAATTGGCACAGAGACTTTTCTAGGTCTAAAACCCATATTCGCTCTAGCACAATATGCTATTCCAACCCCATTTTCGTGATACATACCCATTATAAAACATGAGCTTTCTTCCATGTGTGTTTGTGTGTGTTTATATATACTCAGGCAATCCTTGATTTGCAAGATAGCATGGGGCCATAGAAATGATTGTGCAAGTTGAAACCGTGCAAGCCAATATTAACAAACAATGGGAAAAAAATCACAATTGTTCCATGACCTTTAAACGTATGTTAAAACATTACTCTCTGTCAACTATAAATACATAGAAAAATGAAAAATATTGTTAAGCTAATTTATTACACTGTAATTTAAAACATTAAAATTATTGAGTATTAATGATTTGATTTCTTTTAAAAATTTTATCAAGAGTAATTTAAATGGTCCTTGCCTTTTTCTTATCACAGAACTTAAAATACTGAGCAAATGTCTTTTCTATGCTTCAGCAAATTGTTATACTCCTTTCTAAGTTTGGATCAGTTCCAGCATTTTATCATTTGTGTTTTCAATGTCATGAAATATCTCTGAGAGTTCCTTTAATGTGAAGTTTTTCAGCAGCATCATTTCCTATGTGACATAATTTCACCACAACCATTTTTCTTATTTGTCAGTTAGGTTCACCTTCACTAAGTTCCCTTTGTTGCATCTCTAGAGTCTCTCAAATAGAGGAGGTGTCAACATTCCCATGATCAGCTCTTTTACGGCACATCCAAATTCACTACCAGCATTCACCTTCTGCACTTTCATCTGTCAGCCAATTTCCTCTTTGGATTACCTACTTTTGTTAAATATCATGTAGGCTTATCACTGGGAGGCGAGGCAAGACAACCACATGTTTTGCTGTCAACAGGTGAACTAAATAGTAGATGTACAGTGACCAGTCACCAAAAGACTTTGAAAGAAGTGATGCAATTAGTCACTAATGATGATGTGCATCTGCTATTTATATAGTGATTTGTGCATTGAAGAGCTAGCAGTGAAGTTTGTACTTTACACAATTGTTCACAATATATCATGACTACAGTGTTGTTGTGGGAGACTGGTGTTATTTAACTAAAACACAGTAACTGAAGTTTATACATTCAGAATTGTACAAAGCAAGGACTATTTTGCCCATAATGGAGATTATGCATATAAAACTGTAAGCTTTTAAATTTTTTATGTAGTACAAAATAAACATTTCCTTGAACCTTTAACATGTTAATAAATAATGTAATGCCTAAATTCCAATCTCATTTAAAATCACATTATCTCTAAAGGAAGACCATTTAAAATTTTCTACTTGGTTTCCCATCCTTTACCTTGATGGTACAAGATTTATATTGGAATTTTTGTGATCATATTTTATGTAGTTTAGTGATGACCTTGTTGATCTATCACATTAACGTTTAAAAATAAAGATGCTAAAGAGTACACATAGTCCTCCAATGAGTGGTGGACAAGAGTCTGACTAAATCCTTGCTTGCTGGGGTAATCTAGTTTCAGGAGCCACATTGCTATTCAGTAGGACTCTTATTAAATTCAAAATTATGCATTTAAAAATCATCAAATATTCTTGCTTTCTTGCAGTCACTGTGTTCTCATAATCCATGAGTTTCATTGTTTCAAATGTCAGAGTACACATCTGGCTATAAACTTTAAAAATGTCAAAGTACCTGTAATTTTTATAAGAAGAAACTAATTTTATATTGTGTATTTTAATATGTCTGTTATTAATTTATAAAAAAATGCTTTGGCTAGTTTTATGATGCTGGTATCATGTATCAACATGTGAAATAATTCAAATCAAATATTATGTGGCCATGCATAAGAAAATTATTTTTAAGTATTTATGTTATTCTGGAAAATTAAATATTCAATTATAAGTCTGCATTTACTTCTATTTATAGATTCAAAAGGCAAGTGAGGTCTGGATCCTTAGAGGTCATTTCAATACCTGCCTTTTTATACTCAAGCATGTTAAATGCCAAGCACTTAGCTGAGGCCTCACAAAAATTAGCCAGGTATGTCATATTAGAAAATAGTAGCCTTAAATAACTAACTTCATCTGATAAAATCTTGGAATCAGCTCATATTAGAAACTATTTCAGACACAGTGGTGTTCTGGAGCTGGCTTCTACTGGGTTGCAAGACCCAACTATGTGCATCACTTCCCAACTCTGTATTCAATAACATCGAGTTGATAGCATTAGCCACAGTAGGAGTATTTATACCGTGGAAATGGGCAAAAGCTACAAAGCAGGATGTCCATCCCTCCACCCCCAAGTCAGTTGTTAAACATTTACCAGCACACCACTGATGGTCTATGTTCACATTTACAGACAATAATTAGCAAAGGTATAATAATGAGGAGGGGGAGAGCCTGGGATTATAAATCATTAGAGCTGGATTCTAGTCCCAGCTGTACTGTTTGCTGGTCATTGTAGGCAGGTAATTTCACCTTTTTTTCTTAGCTTTCCTAACTTTCTAGTGTGTATAATGACACCTATATTGCATAATTGGAAGAGTCATTATGAGAATAAAATACATTTGTGAAAGAATCTTAAAAAATTAAAAGCTCTATACACATACAAAGGATTATAATTTGGGGTATTAGTGTGGTAAGTATTATGGGAAATGTAATAATTTGGTCCCTCAAAACTTAATAAAGAAAAAGACATGCCAGAAATCAGAAAAAGGTCTTATCCCAGGAAACTGATTAGCCTTCTTTTGTGTTAAAATTATAAATGGTGTGTCAGAATCTAGGAATCTTTTAAGCGTTTTGTTTTGCTTTTAATTAGTGGTCCACATTATGCCCAGTTTTTAGAGTCACAAAGGTGGGAGTCATCCTGGATCTTTGTTTTTCCTTCAGCCTTTTATATCTCTGTCATTGTTTCTTTTTTAAAATCTCTCTACACATTGTCCCTCTCATCCTCCTTCCATTGGCTTGGATTTAGTTCAGGCCTTCACCATTACAGAGTCCCTACTCCTAGCCTAACCTAGCCTCTCTTACAATTCATTCTTCATGCTGTACCCAGAAGAATATTTTCTCATATGAGATCAAGTCCAAAGTTTCCCACATATCATAAAATATCCTTCATGATCTGGTCTGCCAACCTTGCAATCATTAACTTCCTTCTGTCAGCTCTCTGTGCCCTAAAACTAAGTGGCATGCTCTTCCACCCTTTCCACAACTTTGAAAACTTACTGTAAGATAGCCAACATTGTTGATATCTTCACGTAGCACTTATCTAATTGTTATAATTTTATTATTTTTTTTCATATGAGGTTATGAGACACAGAAGGGCAAGAATGACCTTGGGTACTGCTTTTTTTATATTCAGGACCTGGTCTGGTTTCTAGCTTAGTATGAGAAAAAAGTTTCTTTGGGTGAGTTTATATCCAGGCAACCCTACGAGCAGGGATGAGCTCTTGCCCCAGACTACAAGCCTCCCCACTGAGAAAGCAAGCAGGGCTCTCATGCCTCACCCCTCCCTGCCTGCCCACACCTTCGCACCTTTGGCAGTGGCTTCTGTGCTCATATCTGCATTTCCCATTCACCCTGCCCCCAGATTATGCTCAAGAAAATTTGTGCTCAGTCAAAATTATTACAAAGTTCAGCTAGGAGTTTCCTTCACCCTGTGACCCCTCCCCAGTTCCACTGGCTGCCTTCCCTTCCCCAAAGAACTCTGTGAGATAAGGCCAGGAATGACGTCCCTGGGCTGGGGTTGGGGACCAGGAGTGCCTACAGGGCTCTTCCCACTGCTTCGTCTACTTTTATATTTCTCTTGGCTTCCTAAATCCATTTCAGCTCTAGGTAAGGCTAAATCCTTCTCTCGTGTTCTGGATTTTCAGGTTCCTCAGTGGGGATGTGTGTATGGAGGCCAACTTTTCCCCCCTTACACTTTGGGAACTCGCAGTTTTTCAGCCATCTCACAGAGGTTGCAGTGGCAAGCCAGTTCTTTCAAAGGGTTTGTGAATTCTTTAGGTTTTCCTGGTATGTTGCTGCAGTGTTTCTTGAAGCAAACGTTCACAATGTGAGTCTCCAGGCACTGTTCTGCCTGGCCAAGCAGGAGCTGCGCATTAGTCCTGTCTCCTATCCGCCATTTTTTTGCTATAATTCTCTCCTTAATTCTTTTCAGTTATCATTCAAAATTTTTGACTCCCTAGAGTTCAAATTGCCCCAAATTTGGCCACAATCAATCCGCTGGAGAGTAGTAATTCATACAATTACTCCATTCCCTAGGATTGGGAGAGTTGGGGCAATGTGTGCTCACGCATTTCATCAGAGGCCAAACATAAAGTCACTTTGTGAAGGGAGTTAACATTGGGTTTCTTCAAGAGGACCATGAAGAGTTCCAGAGCTTGTGGAGACTACTTTCAAAATAAAAACAAAAAAAGCCACCTTTCCTTTCCAAGTAAACCAAGGGGTAAGACTTAGGGGAAATGGTTTAAAGACCCGTAAAAAGAAATATTAATACTCTGTAGCAGATAGTTAACCCTAAGAATTGGGGAGAAAACTCTTGGATGATAGAATCAATAAAGAAAGCTGTTAGTAGAGACATTGAAAAAAGAATAAAGTTTCTTTATACTTTCATTTGAACAAGACCTAAAATCAGAAAGAATATTAACACTATTATCTAGATCAAAACTTATCTAGATAGAAATGTAAAACAAATGGGTTGTGCTTATCCTGGTTTAGCAATGGTAGACACTGTTCATTGAATAAAGATGGAAAACTTTTTAGTATAAGATATTCAATTTTACTTAATTGAAATTAATTAAGTAAAATTAGTTACTTAATTGTAGCTAGTACTGTTAGTAAACTGCCAAAGAGTTTTTTAATTACTAAAGTATGCTTATAAATAAAAATTAATAATGACAAATATTAACAGATCTTATTGATTACCTTTAGTTGGCGAATCAAACAGGTATTGGATTTTTGCATTTTGTTGCTGTATGCCCAACCCAAGGCCAAGTATTATTTACAGGTCAGAAATTGTGTGTGTGTGTGTGTGTGTGTGTGTGTGTGTGTGTGTATACACCAATTATATCTGTAGATAGATATAATTTAAATTGAAAGTGTTACTTTCTCCCTCCTTCCTATAATTTCTTCTTCCTCATTGTATTCCTCCACCTTACTTTATATTCAGAAAATAGAAAATACTCACTGTATTAAAATGCCAAAGGAAGTTTAAAATTGATTATATATGAATATTCTTACTAGGTTCACTGTTACAGAGAAAATTATAGTTACCTGAAGCAAACTGAAAAGAAAATCTCAAAAAAACGAAATTGTATGCCTATATTTATTTCTTGGCTTACAATTTTATTAGATTAAGCAAATGCATTTTAAGCATTTGTCAGACATTGTATACACTTATCATTGCTACCCTAAATTTACTCATAATACTTTATGAGTAACACAGTTCTCAGTGCCTTACTGTATTTGTAAAAGTAAATAACTTATATATAGTTTGTACCCTATAAATCTCTCCACATTGTTAAATAATAATGTTGTGTTTCTAAATAGTAAGTATGGACCACACTACATAGACAATGTGCTCTCATTCAAAGAATTTGCAGAAGAGAGTTGTAGACTAGAGAGAAAGTTAGAGAAAGGCCTAAAGCAAGGTCTTCTCTTTCATTGGAAGAAAAAAAAGGTCTCTTTTGATTCCTAGTTAGTGGCAATGTCATGAAAACACAAGATCCAGCCAATGTACTCTTCCCAATTTGAAACACCACAGTTCTATTCTGTGTCCTCATAGTGTGCCTGAGGACTGCCACATTTTTCTTGATTACTTATGAGGCCCTCTTAGTCTACAGATTATGCATAATATATATTAAATAAAAAAGAAAACTCATTTCCATTGCCCTGTCTCTCTTATGGAGGATATTTTTAGGCTTACACCATTATTCTAACCAGCTAGTTGTGGAGTTGTGGATGAGAGTGCTGGTTGCTTTTTGGCTTCTCTTTGCTGGGAACTATCTGGAGATAGAACGTGGCACCTTTCATCACAAGCATAAAGCTACTTAGTCTTAGCTATGGTCTGAATGTTTGCATCTCTCCCAAAGCCTCCCAAAGTTTTGTTTTTGTTTTTTTGTTTGTTTTGTTTTGTTTTTGAGACAATGTCTTGCTCTATCGCCCAGGTTGGAGTGCAGTGGCACAATCGCGGCTCACTGAAGCCTCAAGTAGCTGGGACTACAGGTGCACACCACAACACCCGACTAATTTTTTGTAGTTTTTATATAGGCAGGGTTTGGCCATGTTGCCCAGGCTGGTCTCAAACTCCTGGGCTCAAGCAATCTGCCTGCCTCATCCTCCCAAAGTGCTTGGACTATAGGCGTGAGCCACGGCTCCTGGCCTCCCTCCCAAAATTAATATGTTAAAATTCTCACCCCCAAGGTGATAGTATTTGGAGGTGGAGCCTGTGGGAGACAATTAGATTATGCAGGCAGAGCCTCATAAATGGGATTCGTGCCCTTATAAAAGATACCTCAGAGAGCTAGCTAGCCCCTTTTACTGTGAGGACACAGTGGAAGACATCATCTATGAGGAATAGGCCTTCAGCAGACATAAGCCTGCTAGCACCTTGTTCTTGGCCTTCCCAGGCTCCAGGACTATGAAATATAAATGTTTGTTGTTTATAAACTACCCATTCTATGGTATTTTGTTATAACAGCTCAAATGGACTAAGACAGTCTTAAACTAGAAACTGAAGTATTTGTGAGGATGAAAGTGGATTTAGATAAAGAGACTCTTTCAAAGAGGGATTTAGATGGAATGTTTAGTATTTAGGAAAGAAACAGATACTCTCTTGTCTGGTTAATCTCAGAATCAAACATGGAGCAGGGTGTGGTGTCTCATACCTGTAATCTCGGCACTTTGGGAGGCCAAGGCGGGAGGCTCACTTGAGCCCAGGAGTTGGGAGGCCAAGGCAGGAGGATCGCTTGAGCCCAGGAATTCGAAACCAGCCTGGGCAGCATGGTAAAACCCTATCTCTACAAATAATGTAAAAATTAGCCAGACATGGTGGCACGTGCCTGCAGTCACGCAACTGCACTCCAGCCTGGGTAACAGAGTGAGACCCTGTCTCAAAAAAAAAAAAAAAAAAAAAAAGGAAATCAACTAACTGTAAATACCTTCAATTAATTGAAACTGAAATAAAATTATTATTTTATAAAACCATTTTCTTCAGTATATTCAGTTGTATTTTTTATTTTCAAGCTAATATAGCTTTACTCAATGGAAGCGTCAAAGATATTAATGTCTTTTTGGGTTTTTTTTTTCAGCTAGAAGATGATATCATAGCTAAAGAGATGTACTTTACAAAAATAACAGATTTTGTAGGTAATATCAGTTCAAATAATTGGTTTTTTATTGAGTTTTCAATGCTTGGATTCATAGGTAAGCAATGGATTTACTTTGTTGGATCAAGTTTTTTAGCACACAATAATTTAAAACATTTTAAACAGTTTATCAGTTTGTTTATTACTAAATGAAAAAGAATGGCATGATTTTTATAAAGACACTATTATCTTAACAGTATAATCAGATGCAAGTACCTAAATTCCAGATAATGTATTTTCTTAACCAAACTTTTTTCTAGAGAGATCAAATTGACATTTAGACACATAAGTCATAGAAACATAAAAGAGTTACCATTTATTAAATGCTTGCTGTGAGTCTGGCACACATGTTAGCTGAGTAGCTAAGATGTACTTTTCTCTGCTTTACAAGAATACTGAAACTCAGATAATTAAAATTGTAGAGAAAGGGACTTTAACTCAGTCGCTGCAATTTCCAGTATGCTAAAGCTGACAGTCTTAAAAAATATAAAAACATAATAAAAATTATACCCACCACAGAAAATTTCCAAATACTATACCCATTATGAGATCTTTTTTACTACCCTTCCTTAGATTTTCCTTTTAAATCCTTCAATTTTTCTTTCTTCACTTCCATGCTTTTTTCTTTCCTTTGAACCTCAAGTATTACCATACTGCTTATATTATGGTGCATGACATTATTGATTCATACAGGAGCTCTTCCTTATGTATTCTTTCCTTTTATTCCCAATCCCTACACCCTCTTCCTGCCACTCTTCAATATATTGTTCACTCTAATATGTTCAAAATACACTTATAAATATACAATATCCATGTGAAATATTTGGTGCTTTTCATGTTTGTATATTCCTATTCCTTACATTTTTGTCCTCAAAACTTGATTTCTAAATTATCAGCATGTTGTTTTATGTTCATTTAGTTTATTGGTTTTTTACTGCTACATAAGTGCTGCATAATGATGGTCACTGAAATTTATGCATTCAGAATTGTGCAAAGTGAGGACTACCTGTTTTGCACATAGAGATCATGCATATAAAACTGTAACCTGCTTTTAATTTTTTTACGTCAACAATCCCATGATCAGCTGTCTTATAGTCACATCCAAATTCACTTCCAGCATTCACTGTCTGTGCTTTCATCTGTCATCCAGTTCTTTCTTTTGATTACCTACTTTTGTTAAATGTCATGTGGATTTATCATCAGAAGGCAAGGCAAGGCAACCACACGTTTTGCTGTCTACAAGTGAACTAAATCTGGATGCACAGTGACCCATCACCAAAAGACTTTGAAAGAAGTGATGACTTATCACTTATCACTCACATTTGGCTTATCTATTTCCTGAGTGGCAGACCTTAATTGCTTCCAATTTTCTGCTGCCATGAAAAAATGAAGTGACATATATGTCCCCTAGAGTGGACCACTGAGGATTCACATAGCTCTAAGTACTGCCAATTGCTTTACAGATTGGTTATACGGTTTACGCTCTCATAAGCAGTGCGTAAAAGTTCGTGCTTCCCCATATGCTTGACAACACTTGGTTTTATCTATTATTATATGTATATATTTGCCATTCTCAGTATAAAGCATTTCTGGGATTGCTAGTGAGATCCATCTGTTTTTCATATACTCACTCGATGACTTTTGTTTTTCATGTTTTCTGTAAAATTTTAAGGGCCCAAAGGTTTTTCCTCAGCCTTGGTTAAAATAAGAAGGAAAATTATTGTTAACAGTAATACCCAAAGTAAGGCATGCAGACAAAGTAATCTTGCTGATGGATTAGTCTGAGAATTTAAAATTCTCAAAAAAATTTATCTTTCTCAGCAAAGTCAAGTAAGAGACACATAGAGAATGCTTACATTCTGATCACAAGAGCACATTGAACAAGGAGCACTATTTATGGGATGCCAAATCTTATTCAAGTTTTAACTTACAAAAGTTTTTCTTTTAGTTATCATAATAGCAATTCGGTTATTCATTATTTGCTAAAAATATGAGCTTGCCAACTAGAATTTTACAGCATGGTGACAGCAGGTTAGGAATTGAATCAGCTATTTTATACATCATTAAATCACTTGCTTTGGTTACTACATAAATAGGTGCAAAAAATTAAAAAATTAAAATACAATTATACATTTTATTAAGTGACTCATATAAACTTAAGTTCTAGTGAAGAATGAAGCATGCTTACATCCGACTTTCATATTTATCAAATCATTAGATGTATTTTACATTATTTACTTTGAAGTGAATATGTACCTGAATCTTATCCCTTCAACTTCATTTTAAAATTAAAGATGCAGTATATAAGAAAAAAACTATTAGACCTAATGGAATAATATTTAAAAATATAGTAAATCTTTAAGAATAACAAATATAAAAGAAAAATAACATCCTGTTAAAATAATGCTCAAATACTGAAATGAGAGTACTTTAATAAAATTAAGTACTAACAACGAAAAATGTAGTAGATTGATAAAGTGCTACAAAAATCAGGTAAAAAATACAGTTTGTACAAAATTAAGTAAAAGATTACAACGCCTATATATTTCATTCTATTCACTTGTCTTTCACTTGATTTAGACAATCAATCCTCATGAGTTATCACAATTGATTTCCTGAGAGTATTGACTATTCTAAACCTGCTTATATTCTCCTTCAGATGTGGTAATCCTTAATACTTAAGCAGATATAGTGTTTAATTTTATCATTGTCTAACTTCAGCAGTGCTTTAATCTTTATTTCTAAGGAATGGGACATATTTAAATTTTAATAACTTTTGCTTTTTCCCATGTTAAAGGAATGAACAACTACATATGAATTATTTGCATCTAATTGTATTTTTTTCCATAGGAAAGCTGTTTAGATCTGAGGACTTAACTCACTTTGTACGGTTTTTTTTAATGTTCTACAAAGAGAAACCCATAGACTGGCTCTTGAATGACATTTTTCAGGTAAAGGTGTGTGACGCAGGAGAAGATCTTGTGAGTATTTACTTTATGAATACCAAATATTTTAGGAAAAATATTATCTATCCAACGTAATTACCTAAAATTTGTTTACCAAACCAAATCTGATAAATGCACCAATTTTTAAAATTTCTAATATCCCAAATTTTGATCTTTCTACCTATTAAATGAAGTAATGAGAGACCCCTAAAATGCAGTGAAAAGTAGAAACAGAGGGACAAAAACAGAGTGAACAAATAGAAAAAAAAATGATAGACGTAAATTCAAACATGCCAATACTTACATTAAATATAAATGATTAAAATACACTATTAAGAGTTCATCAGGGTAGATTTTTCAAATGATGCAACTACTGAAGTCAATACTCAGTTCAAATATTATAGATAGGTTAAAACTTGTGGATGAAAAAAATATATACCATACAAACACAAATCAAAGGAGATTTGCAGTAGTAGCTATTTATTTATTTATTGAGACTCATTCTGTAGCCCAGGCTGGATTGCAGTGGCACAATCACAGCTCACTGCAGCCTCAACCTCCCTGGGCTCAGGTGATCCTCCCACCTCAGCCTCCTCAGTAACTGGGACTATAGGTGCACGCCACCATGCCCAGCTAATTTTTGTATTTTATGCAGAGACAGGTTTTTGCCATGTTGCCCAGGCTGGTCTAAAGCTCCTAGGCTCAAGCCATCAGCCCACGTTGCCCTCCAAAAGTGTTGAGATTACAGGCATAAGCCACAATGCCCAGCTTGTAGTAGCTATATTAATATCAGAATACACTTAAAAGCAAAGAAAAAAACAGTCTAGGGATCAAGAAAGATGTTATATATAATAAAAGGGTTAATTTACCAAGAAGACAACAGAGTCTTGAAATACATGAAGCAAAAACTGACAGAACTAAAAGAAAAAATAGACCGATCTACAATTACAGTTGGAGATTTCAACTGTCCTCTCTCTCAGTGATCAACAGAACTGATAGGCAGAAACCCAGCAAGGAGACAAAAGAACTGAACAACACCATCTGCCAACTGGATTTAATTGACATTTAAAAACCACTACATCCAATAACAGTAGAAAATACATTCTCAAAAAACAGATACAACATTCACCAAAATAGCCACATCTTGGATCATAAAACAAAGCTTAACAAATTTAAACTGAAATGATTTTTAATGTATGTTCTTGTACCACAATAGAATCAAATTAGAAATCAACAACATAAAGATAACTGAAAAATCTCAAGCACTTGGCAATTAAACACTTCTCAATAAACCCTAGGTGAAGGAAGAAGTTTCAAAGGAAATTAGACAACTCTTTGAAATGAATGAAAATACAGTGTTACAACGCTTCTGGAATGCAGCTAAAGCACTGCTTAGAGAGAAAGCTTATAGACTTAAATCTATATCTTAGAAGAGAAGAAAGATCTCATATTCATAATCTCCACTTCTACATTAACAAACTAGAAAAAAGAAGGGCAAAATAAAAAGCAAAGGAAGAGAGGGAAGAAAATAATAATAGTAAAAGAAAACAGCAAAATTAAAAGCATAAAAATAATAGAGAAAACCAATAAAACCAAAAGGTAATTTTTTAAAAAGAGCAATAAAACTGCTAAGTTTCTAATAAGAGTGACAAAAAATACAGGTTATCAACATTAGTAAGAAAGTGGGAGTTCCACAGCATACTCCACAGATACTAAAAGGATTTTCCATAAGGGAATACTGCAGGCACTTCCATGCATATAAAAGAGCAACTTAAAAATGAAATCCACCAAAAATTGTAAGCTATCAAAACTCATCCAAAATGAAATTGGTAATCTGAGTAGTCCTATATCTACTAAAGAAATTAAATTATTATTTTTAAATCCTGAAAAGGAAATTTCCATGTCCAAAGGGTTTAAAGGTGCATTCTACTAAACAGAGATGAAATAATAACAATTGTATATAATACCTTCTCCAAAATAGAAGAGGAAAGGGTACATCCCAATTCTTTTCATGAAGCTGGCATTATCATGACATGAAAACCAGACAAAAACAGAGCAAAAAGGGAAACCAAGGCCACATATCCCCCAAGTATATAGACAGAAAAATCTTCCCAGTAATAGTAAATTGAATCCAGCAATATGTAAAAAGAAAAATACACCATACTAATTGGTATTTATCCTATGAATACAAAACTGGTTTGTTTGAAAATCATACAGTGTAACCCACCAATTTAAGATTCTGAAGAAGAAAAGCCACATGTTAATATCAACTGATGCAGAAAAATCATTTGACAAAATTCAAAATTCATACGTAATAAAACCTCCCAGCCAATTAGGAATAGAAAGAAATGTCTCTGACATGTTAAAGAGCATCTAGAGAAATCCCATAGCCAACTTCATGTTTAATTGTTGAAAACTGGATGCTTTCTCTCTAAGATTAAGAAAAAAATAACCATGTCCATCCTCACCACTCCTATTCAACATTTTACTGGAAGTTCAAACCAGTGCAATAAAGGGAAAAACAAAGGCACGTGAATTGAAAAGCAAATGCCATGATTGTCTATGTAGAAAATCACAAAGAATAAACACACACACACACACACACACACACATACATCCTAGAACTGATAAATGGGTTTGAGCAAAGTTGCAAGATACAAGGTCTATACACACAAAACTCCATCATTTTTCTGCAAAATAGCAATGAAAAGTTGAAAACCAAATGTATTAGTCCATTTTCACACTGCTATAAGTAACTACCTGAGACTGGGTAATTTATAAAGAAAAGAGGCTTAATTGATTCACAGTTCTGCATGGCTAGGGAGGCCTCAGAAAACTTACAATCATGACAGAAGGTGAAGAGGAGGCAAGGGACATCTTACATGGCAGCAGGAGAGAGAAAGCCAGGGGGTAATTGCCACACATAAAACCATTAGATCTCATGAGAACTCACTCACTTTCATGAGAACAGCATGGGGGAAATTTACCCCATGATCCAATCACCTCTCACCAACTCCCTCCCCTGAAATGTAAGAATTACAATTTGACATGAAATTTGGGTGGGGACACAGAGACAAACCATCTCACCAACATTTTAAAATTACTTACAATATTTAAAAAACATTATATATAAAATATTTATATATCTATATGTGTATACATTTAACAAAATATGTATATTGTCTATATGCTGGACACCTTAAAATGCTAATAAAAAGAACAGAGAGACATACCATGATCATAGATTGGGAAGCTCAACCTAGTAAAGGTATGAATGTTACCCTAATTGGTCTATGGATGTAACACAATTCTAATCAAAATCTCAGCAGGAATTTTTTGGTAGATATTCTACCAAAGCTGATTCTAGAATTTTTAAGAGAAGACAAACGAAATAGATCTACTAAAATAGTTTTGAAAAAGAAGAATAAAGTTGGGAAAATCACATTATTCAATCTGAAAGCTTACTACAAAGCTACAGTAATCAAGACAAGCCACCTTTATTGGCAAAAGGATAAGCATAAAGTTCCATGGAGCAGAATAGGCAGTCCAGAAATAGGCCCACAAAATATAACGAACTGATATTTTACAAAGTGTATGCAATTCAATGGAGAAAGAATAATCTTATCACAAATGTTTACTGGATCAATTGGTGCCATATCTCTCAACCATAATGCGACCTAAACCTCACACTTTATACAAACATTATTTCAAAATAAATCATCTATCTAAACACAAAAAATCATCTATCTAAACACTAAAACTCTTGGAAGAAAATATAGAAAAAATGTTCAGGACCTAGGGCTGGGTGAAATTTTTTTAAATGACACTAAAAGCATTTTTAAAAATTGATAAATTGGACCTCATCAAAATTAAAAATTTTTGTGCTGCAAAAGGTACTGTTAAGAGGATAAGACACCACAGACTAGGAGAAAATATTTGTAAATTCCATATCCAACAAAGGACATGTATTCAGTATATGTATAGAACTCTCAAAACAGGTAAGCAACTCAATTTTTAAAAGGGCAAAAGATTTGAACAGACACTATCCAGACTCCATAAAAGTAGTGATTGTCCTTACAGCAATATGAAATAAGCTCAGCTTTATCAACAGGTTGTTTTGAGGGTGTATTTGCAAAGCCATTATTTTATATGCTAAACTGTAACTCCTCAACCAATTTTATCTGATGCTAATTTAGTTTCAAATTAAATTAACTCTAGACCATTAAATTACTTTACAGTTAAAAGAGAAACTGTTAATATTTCCTATGTATTAGTACTGGGTAGAAATGCATCTAAATAAATGTGTTATGTAAAAAATTACTATATATATACATTTTAGATTTATTTTTCTGAATCTTCTATGTATAAAAATATATAAAATAATTCTCAGTGATCATCATTATTTCAAATGTTTGTGGGGTTTTTATTGTTTGTTTTGTTTTTGTTTTTGTTTTTTAAAAATGGAGTCTCACTATATTGCCCAAGGTGGTCTCAAACTCCTGAGCAATCCTCCCACCTCACCTCTCAAAGTGCTGAGATTACAGGCATAAGCCACTGTGCCTGGCCTTCAAATGTTTGTTTTTAATAGGAGTGGTGCCATAGGTCATCCTTCTTTTTTTTTTTTTTTTTTGAGAAAATTATCCAGATTCTTTTTCATTGACTATAAATTGGTTCTTTGTTTTAATATTATATTTTTTACTCTCTAAGAAGAAATTGAGGTGATATAATTCAATAAAGAAATTAGTCAATGAATATAGGAAGTGAAAGAATGCTGTAGTCTGACAGATATGGATAGAAAAATAACAAGCATTTTATTTGAGTTATTGTAATTAAAAGAAAGAGAGGAAATATAATTGGTACAACACTAACCTGCTTTTCTAAGACAGAGTTCATGCAAATACATGTTGTAATGAAAACCCTTTTTTACCCCAACTCCTTTGCTCTATTCTTATGAAGAAAAAGCTAAGAATTAAATATTTTGTTTATATTTTTAAATATGAAAATAGAACTCTAGCAAAAACTAATATATAAAAATTCTACCATCAGTAAACGCAATACAAAGCAATACCTGGGTTTTTACAGAAGATTGTTGTTTCTTTTTCCCCAGAGAAACTGTATGAAACGAAAGAAGCAAATACGTATTCAGTATAAACCTTCTCTTTTCCAGCATGTGGGTATACATTCATCATTCCCTAGAAAAGAACAATATGAAAAAGTAAGATTTTGAAATGTAACTTTAGTAACATACAATGTTTTATAAACTTATAAAATACTATTTAGAAAAGAAGTGGTGACATAAGACACTATAAAATATGGTTGTTTAAGCAGAATTCATCTTATGACAGTACTGTATGTTGTGAAGAGCATTTATAAATTAAGCAATCATCTTTTAAAGCCCCAAGTTATCTATCATGGTAAGAAGAATTCAGCCTACATAAACTATTTTGCCTTACTGTTCCCAGTTGTGCAATTTTAAGAAGACTAAAAAAGAGTTTTGAAAATTATAATAAAGTTCACTCTTTTAGTCTAAAATTCAAAATTATACTAGAATATTTCAAAAATAAAATCCCTCTACTATTTAATTTAAATGTATCAGAATTTTTATTTCAGACCACTGTTCGTTTTGCCAGATGAAGAAAAATTTAGCGTTGCTTGAATTTTAGTCATTCTTAAAATTTTGCATCATTTTCAGATATAATATTTTTGATAATTAACTTAGCCCCTTAGTGTAGTAGAAGAAACAAGGAATTCAAGGTCAAAGCACCTAGTTTTCAGTCCTGGTGAACTAGGGAGTACATATATGATATTGGGCAGGCTATAACACTCCTCTGAGCTTTCTTCATCTATAAAAGCTTCAAAGAGTTTAAATGATCCTTCAGGTTTCTTCCACCCTCGACACCTCTACCCTTAGTGTCTTTACACTGTGAAAGAAATGCTTGCTTTAATCCTTTGTCAACTGAATGAGAAATAGACGTATACATCTTCCCATCATTCATGACTCTCCCTCTTTCTGCTTTTTCTACTTTGTGTATTGTAATGCACGGTTTGGAACCATGCCTAGAACATAATGTGAACTCAGTAAATGTTAGCTGTTGGCTATCAAGCAAGGTGGAATCCAATAAAGAAAATGTGTCCAACAAGACAAATATGTGCCTGGAATAATGAAAATGTAACTGTTGTGAATCTTTGTGCAAAAAGTCACACCATCAGAATGCATAGCTGTAGATGTGATGCAGAAATAGATTGGTCTATACCATTCTCTTTTTTGATGCTATTATAACGGGATTCTTTCATTATATTTTTTGGCCAGATATGATATTTTAACCTCACCTTTGTAAATTCATGGCATATTAAGTAAATGTAGACATAAACATTCATATTTTGATGTTATAATGCTGGCTTTTTTCCTTTTGATACCTCACACCACACAAAATAGAAGTCAATAACAATTTAATAATATGTCAAATGTGATTATATTTAAATTATTTGTTAAATTTTTAACAGGATGTCTATTAGGAGTTTCATGTTTCTAAAGCTTTAAAAAGTATCAAAATCATTCTTTGGAAATAATGACATAATAAGAATTAGACTATTTCTCAACTTTCTTAAGCGACTACATCATATTTTAAAATATTAATCCTTCAATAAAGTGGCAAGTATAAGAAAATTGGTATAAATATATAGACAATCATCAGATATTTATTAATTTAATTTTAAGTTATTACATTCTATGAATGTTCAACTTTTGTTGCTGTGTTTCCCTTAATATTCATTTCTTTAAGTCTTTTTAAAAAACTTTTGGGTAAAATTTGTTCTTTAACTAGTTAAATTTTGTTTTACCCTTATGATAAAACTTTTTTTTTTTGAGAAGGAGTCTCACTCTGTTGCCCAGCCTGGGGTGCAGTGGCACGATCTTGGCTCACTGCAAGCTCTGCCTCCCAGGTTCACGCCATTCTCCTGCCTCAGCCTCCCAAGTAGCTGGGACTACAGGTGGCCACCACCATGCCGGGCTAACTTTTTTATATTTTTAGTAGAGACGGGGTTTCACCGTGTTAGCCAGGATGGTCTTGATCTCCTGACCTTGTGATCTGCCTGTCTCAGCCTCCCAAAGCACTGGGATTACAGGTGTGAGCCATCATGCCTGGCCATGATAAAATTTTTTAAATGTAAGATAAATTTTCTACAGTTTTATTAAGCAGAAAAATAATTTTATTTATCTCTATTCATCTAGCTTGTAGTTCAAAAAATAATAACTTAATAAAACAAAAATATGCCTTTTTAGTGATGAACTTTCTTAAATAGTTTTTAAATTTTTTGAAATTTGCCTAGATTGTCAGTTTAAATGCTTTTTATCATTTCATATTCTATGTCTATGATAAACATACAAATTTCTTTTGGAAACAAAATATTTCCACATTTGTTAACAAAACCATACTTTCTGAAAATTCAAATAAAAACTTAAAAGAAAGTTTTTTGCTTAATTGATAAGCTAATCGTGTGTATTTCTATGATTTTCTACCTCTCCATTGTATACAAAAAGTCATTTTCCATTTATTACAGTGCACTGGGCATAGGGCCAATTATTTAAATGTACTGCCAGTAGGGTTGCCAGATAAAATACAGGACACCCAATTAACTTTGAATTTCAGTTAAACAACGACTTTTTTTCATGTATGTCTCATTTGTTTTGTTGTTGTAGTAGTTGTTGCTAAATCTACCAAGCCTAGTTGGAGGTGATGAAGGGGCAGGGAGTAGAAGATACTTCCCATAAAAATGCTTTAACTGAAAAGAATACCCACACTCAGAGAAGAAAGGATCAGCACAAGAACTCCAGCAACTCAAATGACCAGAGTGTCTTCTGTCCTGCAAATGACCACACTAGTTCTCTAGCAAAGGCTCTTAATCAGGCTGAAATGGCTGAAATGACAGAAATAAAATTCAGGATATGGATAGAAATGAAGATCTTCAAGATTCAGGAGAATGTTAATACTTAATCCAATGAATCTAAGAATCAAAATATAACAATACAGGAGCTGACAGATAAAATAACCAGTATAAAAAATAATCTAACTGACCTGATAGAGCTGAAAAACACACTACAAGAATATCCTAATGAACTTGTAAGTATTAACAGTAGAACAGACAAAGCTGAGGAAAGAATCTCAGAGCTTGAAGACTGGCCTCCTGAAATAAGATAGTCAAAAATAAACAAAAAGAGTGAAAAAAGAATAAACAAAGCCTCCAAGAAATATGAGATTATGTACACAGGCCAGATCTATGAATCACTAGCATCACCGAATAAGACAGGGAGAAAGCCAACAACTTGGAAAATTTATTTCAGTATATTGTCCATGAAAGCTTCTCCACCCTCGCTAGAGAGGACAACATTCAAATTCAGGAAATGCAGAGAACCCCTGCAAGATATTAGAAGATCATCCACAGGACACATAATTATCCGATTTACGGAAGTCAAAATGAAAGAAAGAATGCTAAAGGCAGCCAGACAGAAAGGGCAGGTAACCTGTAAAGGGAACCCCATCAGGCTAACAGTAGACCTCTCAGTTGAAACCCTGCAAGCCAGAAGAGATTGGAGGCCTATATTCAACATTCTAAAAGAAAAAATATCTTCAACCAAGAATTTCATATCCAGCCAAACTAAGCTTCCTAAGCAAAGGAGGAATAAGATCCTTTTCAGACAAGCAAATGCTGAGAGAATTCATTACCACCAGACCTGCCTTACAAAACCTCCTGAAAGGAGCACTAACTATGGAAAGGAAGGACTGTTACCAGCCAATGCAAAAACACATTTAAGTACACAGACCAGTGACATTATAAAGCAACCACACAAACAGGTTTGCATAATAACCAGCTAACAACACAATGACAGGATCAAATGCACACATATTAATACTAATCTTGAATGTAAATAGGCTAAATCCCTCACTTAAAAGGCAGAGTGGCAAGCTGGATAAAAAAGCAAGTCTTCAAGAGATTGGTATGCTGTCTTCAAGAGATCCATCTCACATACAGTGACTCTTATAAGCTCAAAATAAATGGATGGAGAAAAATCTACCAACAAATGGAAATCAGAAAAAAGGCAGGGATTGCAATCCTAATTTCAGACCAAACAGACTGTAAACCAACATCAAAAAAGACAAAGAAGGGATTACATAATAGTAAGGGGTTCAATTCCACAAGAAGAGCTAACTATCCTAAATATATATGCACTAAACTCAGGAGCACCCAGATTCATAAAGCAAGCTCTCAGAGACCTACAAAGAGACGTAGACTGCCATACATAATAGTGGAGACTTTAATACCCCACTGACAGTATTATACAGATCATCAAGGCAGAAAATTAACAAAAGATATTTAGGACCTAAACTCAACACTCGACCAAATGAACATAATATATACCTACAGAACTCTCTGCCCCAAAACAAGATATACATTCTTCTCATAACCACATGGCACATACTCTAAAATCGGCCACAAAATTGGACATAAAACAATCCTCAGCAAATGCAAAACAAAACCTCAAAATCATACCAACCATGCTGTCAGACCACAGTACAATAAAAATAGAAATGAAGACTAAGAAAATTGCTCAAAACCATACAATTACATGGAAATTAAACAACCTGCTCCTGAATGACTTTTGAGTAAATAATGAAATTAAGGCAGAAATTAAGAAGTTCTTTGAAACTAATGAGGACAAAGGTAAAACATACCAGAATTTCTGGGACACAGCTAAGGCAGTGTTAAGAGGGAAATTTATAACACTATATACCCAAATCGAAAAGCTAGAAAGATCTCAAGTTAACAATCTAACATCACAGCTAAAAAAAAAAAAAAAAAAAAAAAAAAAAAAAAAAAAAAAACTAGAGAAGCAAAAGCAAACCAGCTCCAAAGCTACCAGAATACAGGAAGTAACCAAAATCAGAGCTGAACTGAAGGAGACTGAGACATGAAAAACCATTCAAAAGATCAATGAATCCAGGAGTTGGTTCTTCAAAGAAATTAATAAGACATATGAACCACTAGTTTAATTGTAATAATGAAGAAAAGAGAAAAGATTCAAATAAACACAATTAGAAATGACAAAGGAGACATTGCCACTGACTCTACAGAAATACAAATAACCATAAGAGACTGTTATGAACACCTCTATGCACACAAACTAGAAAATTTAGAGGAAGTGGATAAATTCCTGGATACATACACTCTCTGAAGACTTAACCAGGAAGAAAGTGAATCCCTGAATAGACCAACAACAAACTCCAAAATTGAATCAGTAATAAATAGCCTACTGAACCAAAAAAGCCCAGGACCAGACAGATTCACAGCCAAATTCTATTAGATGTGCAAAGAAGACCTGGTACCATTCCCACAGAAACTATTCCAAAAAATTGAAAAGGAGGGACTCCTCCCTAAGTCATTCTGTGAGGCTAGCATCATCCTGATACCAAAACCTGGCAGAGACACAACAACAACAAAAAAACTTCAGGCCAATATCCTCAATGAACATCAATGCAAAAATCCATAATAAAAAACCAGCAAACCAAATCCAGCAGCACATCAAAAAGCTAATTGACCACAATCAAGTAAGCTTTATCCCTGGCATGCAAGATTGGTTCAATATACACAAATCAATAAATGTGATTCATCTCATAAACAAAACTAAAGACAAAAACCACATGATAGGCTTTCAATGGTACTGGTACAAAAACAGACACATAAACCAATGGAACAAAATAGAGAGCCCAGAAATAATGCCACACATCTACAGCCATCTGATCTTCAACAAAGCTGACAAAAACAAGCAATGGGGGAAAAGACTTCCTATTCAATAAATGGCGCTGGGATAACTGGCTGGCCGCGTGCAGAAGATTGAAACTGGACACCTTCCTTACACCATATACAAAAATCAACTCAAGTTGGATTAAAGCCTTAAATGTAAAACCTGAAACTATAAAAACCCTGGAAGATAACCTAGGAAATACCATTCTGGACACAGGAACTGATAAAGATCATATGATGAAGATTCCAAAAGGAATTGCAATAAAAACAAAAGTTGACAAATAGATCTAATTAAACTAAAGAGCTTCTATATAGCAAAAGAAACTATTAACAGAGTAAACAGACAACCTACAGAATGGGAGAAAATATTTTTTAAAAACTATGTATTTGATAAAAGTCTAATATCCAGGATCTGTAAAGAATTCAAAGTTACAAGCAAAAAACAAACAACCCCATTAAAAAGTGGGTAAAGGACACAAACAGATGCTTTTTAAAAGAAGACATACATGCAGCCAAGAAGCATATGAAAAAAAATGCTCAGTATCACTAAGCATTAGAGAAATGCAAACTAAACCCAAACCACAGTGAGATACCATCTCACACCAGTCAGAATGGCTATCATTAAAAAGTCAAAAAATAGGGCTGGGCATGGTGGCTCATGCCTGTAATCCCAGCACTTTGGGAGGCTGAGGTGGGTGGATCACCTGAGGTCAGGAGTTCGAGACCAGCCTGGCCAACATAGTGAAACCCCATCTCTACTAAAAAAAATACAAACATTAGCTGGGCGTGGTGGCACGTGCCTGTAATTCCAGCTACTTGGGAGGCCAAGGCCAGAGAATTGCTTGAACCTAGGAGGCAGAGGTTGCAGTGGGCCAAGATCGCACCATTGCACTCCAGCCTCGGCAACAAGAGCAGAACTCCATATCAAAAAAAAAAAGGCAAAAAATAAAAGATGCTGGTGAGGTTGCAGAGAAAAAAGAACACTTATACAGTGCTGGCAGAGTGTAAATTAGTTCAATCATCATGGAAAGCAGTGTGGCAATTCCTCAAATAACTAAAAACAGAACTATCATTTGACCCAACAATCCCATTACTGGGTATATACCCAAAGGAATACAAATCGTTCTACCATAAAGACACATGCACACATATGTTCCTCTATTCACAATAGCAAAGACACAGAATCAACCTAAATGCCTATCAGCGATAGACTGGATAAGGAAAATGTGGTACACATACACCATGGAATACTACACAGCCATAAAAAAGAACGAGATCATGTCCTTTGCAGGCACATGGATGCAGCTGGAGGCCATGATTGTTAGTAAACTAACACAGGAACAGAAATCCAAACACTGCATGTTCTCACCTATAAGTAGCAGCTAAATGATGAGAACGCATGGACACATAGAGGTGAATGACAGATACTGGGGCTTACTTGAGGGAGGATGGTAGGAGGAAGGAAAGGATCAGGAAAAATAACTATCGGGTACTATGCTTAGTACCTGGGTAGCAAAATAAGCTGTACACCAAACCCCCGTGACACAAATTTACCTATATAACAAACCTACACATGTACCCCTGAGCCTAAAATGAAAGCTTTTTTAAAAAAAATACTTTAACTGAATTATTACTTAAGGTCATGCCCTTGACTTTTATTAAAGGATGATATATTAGTACAGTATAACATTTTTGCATTTTCTTCAAAACTGTTATTTAAAGTTTTATGATTCTCTTTTATGTGAAAATACATGCAACAATTCTCTTTTAGAATTTGATGCTGGGAAAAGATATTTCTCAAAAAACTGTCATGATTTATTTGGTTTTGTGTGGGGTTTTTTCCCCTTTGACTAACAAGAAATTCAAAACTCATTTCATATGATATGTAGTATCCATATAATCTTATATTAAAAGCAGAATTTCTTCAGTCCTCATTTTAAATTTAATCTCTGGCTTTCTCTCATATATTATTATTAAAGGATTATTGTGTTTTCACTTTAAATTACCCTAAACCTTTACTATAGTTTTGTTATAAAAATCAAATAAAATAAATGTTTTAAACTATTTATATATTACCTACAATGTTTTGTTGGCTGTAATGATAATCTGACTATAAAGATTTCCCCGGAATCCCACAGATGGAAATCTGCTTTCAATCATTTTAACAACGTAAGAGTATTAAAATTGGCATTGTCTAATACATCTTGAGAATCTTATCTTCTCTCAATATAAAGTTACCTTCTCTATATAAAAAGTGTGGGTGGTATCAAAGAGGATACAATAAGGAAATAATATGATTAAGAAATTGCTATGAAAATAATTTCATCTTTATGAATTAATATATTATTTCTAGATGTTACATTTTTTGTTTTCATTTCAGAAAATATGAAGATAAATAAGAAGAAACTCTGTAATACCTGGAACCTCAGATAACCTTGATATCTAATGGCATGTTTCAGAAATTGTAGTAATGAAAATACATAATTATCTAGCAGATAAGTAAACAATGCATAAACTAGTAGACTTGAAAGTACTAAATGACTTCTTATGTCAAGACAAGGTAGAACATTTATATTGCTTTTACCCTATTACAATTTAATTTAAAAATACTAAAGGCAAGGAAGTTTTTTTTAAATTAAGAACTGCACTTTATTGACTTCGATAGTGAGACCATCACATAATCTCAATAAACAGTTAAAAGTTCGAAAGCTTGCTATTGTCAGGGAGAAGTTTGGGGTGAATTGGTATATGCCGTTATCCATTTTGTTAAGACACCTAAAGAAATAGAAAGCACAAATTTAAACAAGCCTGGATCTGACAGTGCCACAATGTCTTCTTGTCTATTAATAGATGCATTTAAAACTATAAACTTATCCCTATGTGCCATTTGAACCGATTATCAAACATCTTGATATATATGTATTCTTATAGTCATTTAGTTCTAAAGATTTCATAGTTTCTCTCATCATTGCCTTCTTAACACACAGATTATTTGGGAGTTTTTTTCCCAAATATATTGGTTTTCTCCATCTTTTATTGTTAATTTCTAAATTACTTGCATAGTGGTTATAGAACTTTACCTGTGTGATAAAATTTTGAGAATTGTTGTGAATCCTTGTGTTCCATATGACTTTGGAAAGAATGTATAGTTTCTGTATACTCCCTTTTAAATATGTTATATTCATTTGTTTTTAAAAGTGTTGGTTTTGTGCTTTAAAAATATCTCTTAAAAGTATTCCTATCTATTGGGTGCAAAATTCTCTTATATCAGGCTTTCTAATTTGGTTGTTGAAAACTTTTCACTCCTTACTAATTTCTATATGCTTGATCCATCAGTTTCTACAGGGGCCCATTAAAATCTATTTTTCTTCTTGATGTTATTCTGTAAGGTATTACTTATTTTGAGCAATAATAAGTGATATTTATTTGTTATCCTTTAATCAAATATTGTGAAATTCTTCATTTCCCATTGTTGCCTTATTCTTGAGTGCCAAGATCTCACACATTCGCCTCAGTATGAACTGTATCAAATACCAATTTATAAAGATAATATGAAAGACGAACTATTTCTGTGTGTCCATTTCATTCTCACCTTTGAGAAGAAAATAAGGTATTGTATGTATGTTAAAAAGATTTTAAATTTGACTTAAATTTTGAACTTTGGAAATTAAATCTGCCAAAGCATAGTCCCGGATAATATGAAGAATTACAACTAAGTCTAGGAACAGTATTTCTTGAAAAGATAGTAACATTCCTTGAAAAGGTGCTTACTTGGACTTCTTATCCTACCATTGAAGACTAGAACAAAATACCTAAATGATTAAGACCATAAGCTAGGATAAATACTAAAAGAGCCTATCCAACATTCTGCTGAATGTCAAGAGAAAGCTGAGATGATTCCAAGGGAATGCTGCTGCGGTGCTCAGAAAGAGGCATTTGAACCCTGACTGAGATACAGCGAGAGTGAAAGATGCTAGAAGAAAAAAGGGGGAAGAGAGTTAAAGACAGCCTTAAAAGTCCAACCCAATTACCATTGTCATTAAAGAAATGATTCTTGATTAAGAGTGGGTGGCCAGCACAAAGTATTTCTAGAAAATATTTCTAATGCAGCCAAAAGAGATGCCCCTAACTTCCGTCCTCACCCCTGCTGCTTGCAAATGTGGATGCTTAGAGGATCCATTTACCATCCATGGCCTTTGGTCTGAGATACATGAGGAAGGGGAGATTTGGAGAACCCCAGACACTTAATCTGGAGTAGAGCAAAGCAAATAGTGCTTCATTGGTTGGTTTGGGCATTTGTTTTATAGCATTTATGCTGATTTTGCTTTATTAAAATCACTCTTCTTCAAACCTACATGAAGACAAATGATGATGTATAATAGATAAGTTTGTAGAAACCAGATTCTCCTGAAATCTTTTTTCATAAATCTACTTTTGAAGCAAATAGAAGCTCTGCAAACATTAGAGACATAAGTAAAATTATCTCTATTGCCAAAATTTATCTCTCAAGTATTGAGATAAGAAAGCCACGAACACCTGCATTATTTATTATTGACTATATGAAGTAAATAGCAATGTAGAAATATTACTACTAATAATTAGTAATTAATAGCAATAGTCAATGTGGCTCCACTCTTGGGTAGAGGAGAAAGAGACACCCTCTACTAACATAGGTGTGTAAAAATGTCTCAGGGTTAATTGTGTACTCTTGCATAGACCTTTCACCCTGTAGTAGGTTTGTGACAATTGTGAACAAATTTACCAAGATAAATCTGGGCAGGCATTCCCGTGGGAACACATCTCCTTGTGTTTCCTTTTTTTAAAAACAGCCTTGGCTTACATTTTTAGACACCGTGTTCATTTTAATGGTAACTCTGGTAATGAAATATGAGAAAATTTATATAAGCTGACAGATTTTTGTTGTGCTGATATTAGTCTTCTTTCTATAAACCCAGATAAAATGTATACTTTCTTAGAAAACAGTTTACCAAAATTAATGCCAGTAGAGACAGAAAGCTTAAACTAACCAATTTTCATAGAAGAAATAGAGAAAGTTATCAAGAAAAAACAAATGATCACAAAGAGACAACAGACCCAGATAGTCATCTGCACAGGGAAATTCAACCCAACTTTTAGAGACCAAATAGTCCCAATATTTTTAAATTGTTTCAAAGCATGGCAAATAAAGAAAATTTTTAAATTATTTTAATGATATAAATATAACATCAGCACCTAATCCTGGAAATGGCAGCAAAAAAAAGAAAAGTATAGAGCAATATCATTTATGACAATTGATGCGAAGATCTGAAATACAATTTAGAAATAGATTCCCAAGCAACATTCAAAAAAAAAAACACCACAACCATGACTTGATATTTATACAAAGAATGCAAGAACCTGTTAGCATTCTGTTAGGAAACCTACTATTAGAGTGCACAATACTAATAGGACTAAGAAGAAAAATCACACGGTTACCTCCACAGATGCTTAAAAAGCCTTTGAAAAAAATTCAACTTATGTCCTATTAAAAAAAAGAAAATTGCAATGAATTAGTTCTTAACGTGTGGAAATAAACACTCTCATACACTGCTTGTGGGAATAAAAAATGACACAATTCCATGTACCTACAAGACATCCCAGCCATTCCACTCCTAGTTATTCAAGAGACTTGAATAACTCTGTATTAGGCCTTTTTTGCATTACTATAAGGGAATATCTAAGACTGGGTAATTTATAAAGAAAAGAGGTTTAATTGGCTCATGGTTCTGCAGGCTGTATAAACATGGCACCAACATCTGCTCAGCTCCTGATGAGGGCCTCAGAAAGTTCACAATCATGGCAGAAGGTGAAGGGGAGCCAGCATGTCACATGGTGAGAGCAAGAGCAACAGAGTGAGAATGGGGAGGTTCCAGACTCTTAAACAACCATAACTCACATGAACTGAGAACTCACTTATCACAAAGGAGATAGTGCTAAACCATTCATCAGGGATCTGCCACCATGATCCAGTCACCTCCCACTAGGCCCCACCTCCAACACTGGAAACACATTTCAACATGAGATATGGAGGGGACAAACATTTCAACCATATCAGCATCTTTATTTATAACAGCCAAAAACTAAAAACAATCCAAATGTCTATTAAGAGGTGAATGTATAAATAGTTTCATATCTGTATGGTGGAATACTACTGAACAATAAAAAGGAGCAAACTATCGATGCACACAAACACATGTATGGATCTCAGAATCATTATGCTGACTGAAAGAAGCCAGAGAAAAAAAGAGTACATGCTATATAGTTTCATCTATGTATAATTCTACACATGGCAATCTAATCAATAATGACAGCAAACAAATCTGTGATTGCTTAGGGATAGAGGGCAAGGAAAATTTGGGGGTGATTAATATGTTCATTATTTTTGTGGTGTTTCTTGGGTGTATATATGTCAAAAGTCATCAAATTGCATGTCACTCAATATGTCACATTGCAACTAAATATTTTCCCGAAATTTAGGGTTAATCCTGTCACTCTGCTGTTTAAAATAATCTGATGGTTCTATCTGAAGAATAAAGTTTAATTATCTGCCATGACATTCAAGCTCCTTAATAAACTGGCCCCAATGTACTATTCCTGAATCATTTTCTGACATTTACTTTCATGCACTCTACATCTAACTAAAATGGACTAGTTTCCATTCTCCGGATATCTCATGCTGTGACCATGATAGCCAGAATATCCATTTCCTCTGCCTTTGTCACACAGTTCTAATGTCACTTCTTTGATGAAGCTTTCATTTAGGAAGAATGAGTAACAACATACTTTATGCTCCCATAGCATTTTGTCTATGCTACTATTATATAATTTCTCATATATTATAGATATTTGGTTATATGTCTATTTCCCTAACTACATTATTAGCTATTTGAAAGCAGGAACCACGTGTTTGTCAGTCAAAATTTTTGCACACTGCCTAGGACACAGAAGATGCTCAATAAATGTTTGTTAAGACTTCTAGTAAGAAGTGAATAAAAGCACATGAGCCTTCCACTCTGAATTCTTATTAATATATTCATTAAAATAGATAACTAGGTACCCCCTGAAACAACATTCCAAATTGAGAATAAGAATTAAACACATATCAGAAACTTGGAGTTTTACATATTTTCACATCAATGGGTCAGGTTAACAACCTGTTTAGCTCACTTTCTGAGCTAAAACACTAAGACTAGAAGCAAGAGTAGGACTTGGCTGATTTAATGATAGCCGCAAACAAGGAAGGTGAGGAGCGGAGGGAAGCAGAAAGTAAAGCAGGGTCTCAGTGTAAAAGGCAAAAATGTCCTCATGAAAGTTTCTTAGGGAAAAGCTTTTTCTTGATGCTTGCTTTTACCTCTGTGTGCCAATTACATTAGATCTAGTGGTATTTTAAAAAGCCTTGTAACTGGTCTTCAATGAGAAGAACCGTATGTGATGGCATTGTTGTACTTACCACTAGAGAGGAAGCCTAGTGGAAAGCTTCATCTTTCCTTCCTCCAGTTTCTTGTCAATGCCTTTCATTGGCTGACCCCACAGAAACCATTAATGCCATCCATAAAGGCCACCTGCATGGGTCACAGAGCAAAGTGGAAGAGGATAGAGACTACATCTAGTGGGGCAAACAGAAAATATTTAGCATATTTCACCCCCTTTGTTAGCATATATTCTTGTTCATATATCTTGCCTTGGTGAAAAATGTATTCACACAAAATCCCCAGTAACATATCATTATGAGGTGATGCCAAGTCAGTTATACTCTTACCTGAAACCTAAAATCTTAGCTACCACCTGTGCTTCCACATAAGTAGCAAAGGAAAAAAAGGAAGCCAAAGGAAACAGATCACGAGACCCATTCTGAGGTTTGTGATGAGTCCTGGGTTGATTTTCAAACTTCCTTCTTTGATAATTCTTTTATGGTCCTCTTACCCTCTCCTGATAGTTGAATGGAAGGGGTTGTATGAAAATTGGTGTGACTCAACTTTTCTTCCTGTAGAATTTGGGTCCTTGGTGGATGTATCTTCCATTGATCAATACAGTTGAGTAAGGACTTACTAAGAAGTGCTAGGTTTTAGATACAGTTCTCTATTGCCCCCATTTTGTAACAGAAACCTATTTTCTCCTTGGTAATCAAGATCAATCACACTGTATACTAACCTTTCCTGCCTACTGGTTAAGCAGTACAGACTGTTAAGAAACAGCCACACATTCTAATTTAATGGAACTATGATTGTTCCCTCCTCAAAGCATTCCTCCCTGGGGCACTGGGACATTCAAACCCATTGAACTGAAAGTCTTGAGGATAAGAACAAAAATTGTGTTCAGGAGAGGATTTGTTGTAATGAGAGTGGCCACTTCCCCCTCACCCTTGTTTCCTACATTGGTCACCAGATTAAGACATAGTAAATCCAGTAGATCAGCACCCCAATCTCCCAGATGTTATTTTCACGAGGAGCTACAACTGAGTCTTCCAAAAGCCATTCCATCACTCTAACAAGGCAACTTCTTTTGGGTGATGTGGTACATAGTCAGACTAGTGAATCCATGGGGGTAAGACCATTATTGCACTTCCTTCTCATAATATGTATTTCTTGTTGGAAGCCGTATTGTGTGGGCTACCATGGCAATGGATGAGATATTCTGTAAGTTCATAAATGGTAGCTCTGGCAGAAAGGGAATAGACAAATCCACAACCAGAATGTGTATTTCTCCTCTGAGGACAAATAGCTGCTTTTTCCATCATGAAAGCATTCCAGATCCTCAAAATACTGCTAGACATCTGCCTGATCCCCATAAAAGATAATTCCAGCAAGACTTCCACACTGGCCTCTGCTGTTGACAGATTGAGAATTCAGTTACACTGGTAGCTAGATCACCCTCATGAATTAAAGCCCATTTTATTAAATCCATGCATGGCCTCAACACCTGCCTCCATGACCACTTTGTATATGGGGCCTTTGAGCTTGCATTTTTGGCCAGAAAAGGGGGCTGACGTGGATATTCTTATCCATCTGGATTTTGAGAACCTCCTCTGCAGTGGATACCTGTAGGGGGGCTTTATGTGGAACATACATATCTTCACACTCTGTGCCCACTCCAAGAAACCCATCCACAAACCTCTCTTACAACCTGCCTCGCGATCAGCATGTCATTCTTGTTCTTTCTACATCCCGGGTCAGCTAGCCTATCTGCTAGTCCACATATTATGAAGATCTATATTAAGGCTATCTTTCTTTCCACATGAGTGGACAACCAGAAATTCTGCCCACTGGAATGATTTCAGCTCACCCCTGCTTTTCTAGGACTTCCCTGAGTGGGGCTGTAATGTAGCAACTGTCCACTTCTCACTGCTACAAATATAGCAGGGCAGATCCATCCAGAAACCAGGTGGTACTTTTTCCTTCATTGTTAACTGGTCATAGAGGCCTCTTCATCAGGCCATAGATGCAGAGTGAGAGAGAAACAATAAGGAACCGTGTGAATCTGAGCCATCAGCATATGCAGTTTTGTTATGCTTCCTACACATGATCACATCTGTCCAATTTTGTGACTTGGTGAATCAGATTACCTCAATTCAGGTCACTTCATGTCTTATGGGCAGGCATTCAGTGTTTATGAAGATCCAGTAGTACACCAGGAGTTGCTTTTCAAGTGGAGAATTGTTGTCAGCAGAAGAGAGCATCTCTTACTGCAAAATCCTAGTGGTATGTTCTGTGATCCTCTTATTAGAACTTAACAGAAATTCCTCACCATGTCTTTATCAGCCATTGACACTTCTAATGCCACTGAATCTCCTGAGTCATAAGGCCCAAGTACAGGGACACTCTTTCTGTAGTCTGAACCTGTGGCAAGTTACAGGCCCCACTCAAATATGGAAGTTTTACAGATACCCAGGAAATGTGTCCTAGCAATCTGTCCAAATGTGGTGTATGTTATATCCCAAATCTGAGTAGGCCTGCCAGGTGTTGTGTCTCTTTCTTTTTGGGGGGTGGCCCAGGGTACAGCAACTTGTTTCTCACGAGGTGATATCTTGTCATAGCCCTCACTCCATGGAGCAGGGAACAAACACGGGGGATTCTGTTAGTTACTGCATATATTTAGCCCTATTACATATTCTGGAACTAGAGAAATACTACAGGTAGGGGGCTGTGACTTCACTGGACTCCTTTGGCATAGGGACTTAGGCCAAGACTCCATCTAGCATGTGACCTCCATAAATTCACAATCTGAACATAAGTACATGACGGTGCTTGGAGTCTTTAGGAATTAGTGTCAGTTCAGAAACAGTACTTTAAAAACTCTAGAAGGTCTGGATATTTCCCTTCAGCTAGTGCATAGTCACCCTGGTTGCTCTGGGGAAAATTTGGGGAAAGAATCATAATATACATGACTATTGATGCTGTAAGCTCCTTCCTCAAGAAAACAGCCTTCCCTTAGTACAAACGTGCGTCCAGTAACTTTGAATATCTCATTGAATGAATGGTTTTCTGGAAAAAATATTTAAAATTATATAGCAGAAAGTGGAAAATCTGAGTAAATGAATAATAACTCAGGAAAATTCAATGAACCAATCCACCAAAACATTAATGCCCATAAAGTTATAATAAACTTTTCAAAATCTCAAAAAACAATATAAAATTTCATACTATATAAATGATTCCAGGGCATGAGAGAATTCTTAAAACTTCCTAATTCATTGTATAAAATAAACTTAATTCTGTTATCAGATTCAGGCAAGAAAAATTATAGACTATCTCAATTATGCATACATATGTAAAAAGGCTAAAGAAACTTCATAAATAGAACTGAGAAACAAAATAATGGAATAATCAGTTATGAAAAGGTTAGTGTCTTATTCTTTTTGGCTGCTATAACAAAATGGCGTAGACTAGGTGGCTTCTAAACTACAGAAATTTATTTCTCACAGTTCTGGAGGCTGGGATGTTCAAGATCAAGGTGCTGGTAGATTTGGTGTCTGGTGAGGGATTGCCTCCTCAAAGATGGCACCTTCTCACTGTGTCTTCACATGATGACAGGGGCAGAGAGTTCCTGGGGCCTTACCCTTATGACTTTATCACCCCCTATAGTCCCGGCCTCCTAATACCAGACTGTGGGGGTTAGGATTTCAACATATGAATTTTGAAGCAACATAAACATTCAGACCATTGAAGTTGTCTTTATTCCCCAAATGCAAGATTGTTTCATATTCAGGAAATTTATGTATTAATAATCTCAACATGGGTTGAAAAGGCATGTACTGGAATTCAACATTCATTTCTAACTATTAAAAACTACTGAAAAATAAAAACAGGAAATTCATTTCACACAAAGAACAGTATTATACTATGATAATTTTTAATGTTATTTATTTAATTGTACAATTAATGCATAAATACATCTTTGTTATTAAAAAAAACTATTACCAACCAGGCAAAAGTTCTACCTGACAACCAACCAAAATCCCAGTCCTTTTCCCAGAAATTATTTCTGATTTCAATTTGGCGTGAATACTACTGTATATTTTCCTATGCATTTACATACATATGTACTTATTAGAATATATGGTATTGCTTTGGATTTTTAAAAGCCTTTGGTTAAAATGCCAGTTGATTTTTCACTCAATATTTGTTACTTAATTTTTTCTGTGTCACCAACATGGATCTAATTCTTTCTTTTTAACATCAACACAATATTCTAAAATATGAATAGAGCATAATTTATTTAGCATTTCCTCCTCTGATGCAGAAATTGATCCATTACTATTTAAATATTTTTTTCAGTGTTACAACAGTGTTTCAATGTACATTCTTCTGGGTGCCTACTTGAGCATAGAGTCTTTTTCCTAGTTTAAATAATCAGTAGTGGTACTGCTGACTCAAAAGGTATGAATATTTTTTATTTTAACAGATACTGCCAAATTGCCACCAGAAATAGCCATATCAACATATATCCCCAAGAGTAGTGTTTGAAAGCAGCAGTTTTCCCAAGTCTTGCCCTTTGCTATTAGTGAGCTTTGAAATTGTTGCCAGTCTAGTGAAAGCAGTATTTTGTTATAGTCTTAGTTTGCCTTTCTCAAATTACAAGTAGGGTTTAAATTTTCTCACATATTTATATCTTTCCTGATTTTTTATTTGAGATGGAGTCTCGCTGTGTCGCCCAGGCTAGAGTGCAGTGGCACAATCTCGGCTCACCGCAAGCTCCGCATCCCAGGTTCACGCCATTCTCCTGCCTCAGCCTCCCGAGTAGCTGGGACTACAGGCGCCCGCCACCATGCCCAGCTAATTTTTTTTTCTATTTTTAGTAGAGATGGAGTTTCACCATGTTAGCCAAGATGGTCTCGATCTCCTGATCTCGTGATCTGCCCGCCTCGGCCTCCCAATCCTGATTTTTTTAATGAGCTATTTGTCTTCTTCTTCTTCATTTAAATATGAGGTTCTTAAAACACATACAGGAACCTAATTAAACTCCTAAACTAAATATTAATAGTTTGTCATAGGCTAAAATTACTTTTCTCAGAAAGTCTTTTGTCTTAAACTTATTTTGTATTGTCTTTTGACATACAAAATTTTCAACTTTGAGATAGCCAAATATATTAATAATTTCTTTTATGACTTTTTCACTTTTCGTATTGTTTAAAACAACCTACCTACCCACATCAAGCATATAGTCCCATATATTATATTATAAAACTTCTATAATTTTTAAAGTTTAGGTCTCTATTTCCATTAAAATAGTGTGTGTGTGTGTGTGTGTGTGTGTGTGTAATGGTAGAAAATCCAACTCTAAATCTTTCCACCCCAAATGTAGAGCCAGATGGCCCCACTGATTTATATATTTATTAGTCCATTTTCATGCTGCTGATAAAGACATACCTAAGACTGGGCAATTTACAATAGAAAGAGGTTTAATGGACTTACAGTTCCACATCGCTGGAGAGATCTCAAAATCATGGCAGAAGGTTAAAGTCACACCTCACATGGTGGCAGACAAGAGAAGAGAGCTTGTGCAGGAAAATTCCTGTTTTTTTTAAACCATCAGATCTCATGAGAGTTATTCACTATCACAAGAACAGCATGGGAAAGACCCACCCCCATGATTCAATTATCTCCCACCAGGTTCCTCCCATGAGACTTGGGAACTGTGGGAGTTACAATTCAAGATGAGATTTAGGTGGGGACACAGCCAAACCATATCATTCTGCCCTGTCCCCTCCAAAATCTGATGTCCTCACATTTCAAAACCAATCATCCCTTTCCAATAGTCCCTCAAAGTCTTAACTCATTTCAACATTAACTCAAAAGTCTGCAGTCCAAAGTCTCATCTGAGACAAGGCAAGTCCCTTCCACCTATGAGCCTGTAAAATCAAAAGCAAGTTAGTTACTTCCTAGATACAATGGGAGTACAGGCATTGGGTAAATACAGCCACTACAAATGGGAGAAATTGGCCAAAACAAAGGGGCTACAAGCCCCATGCAAGTCTGAAATCCAGCAGGGCAGTCAAATCTTAAAGCTCTCCTTTGACTCCATGTCTCACATCCAGGTCACGCTGATGCAAGAGGTAGGTTCCCACGGTCTTGGGCAGCTGCACCCCTGTGGCTTTGCAAAGTATAGCCTCTCTCCCAGTTGCTTTCACAGGCTGGTGTTGAGTGTCTGCAGCTTTTCCTGGTGCACAGCGCAAGCTGTCAGTGGATCTACCATTCTGGGGTCTGGAGGATGGTGGCCCTCTTCTGACAGTTCCACTAGGTGGTGCCCCACAAGGACTCTGTGTGGGGGGCTCTGACCCCACATTTCCCTTCAGCACTGCCCTAGCAGAGCTTCTCCATGAGACCCCCGCCCCTGCAGCAAACTTCCACCTGGGCATCCAGGCGTTTCCATACATCCTATGAAATCTAGGTAGAGGTTCCTAAACCTTAATTCTCAACTTCTGGGTACCCACAGGCTCACCACCTGGAAGCTGCCAAGGCTTGGGGCTTCCACCCTCTGAAGCAGCAGCCTGAGCTGTACGTTGACCCCTTTTAGCCATGGCTGGAGCAGCTGGAACACAGAGTACCAAGTCCCTAGGCTGCACAGAGCAGAGGAGCCCTGGGCCCAGCCCACAAAACTGTCTTTTCCTCCTAGGTCTCTGGACCTGTGATGAGAGTGGCTGACATGAAGACCTCTGACATGCCGTGGAGACATTTTCCCATTGTCGTGTGGATTAACATTTGGCTTCTTGTTACTTATGAAAATTTCTGCAGTGGAGATTTTCATTTCTATCACATTGTCAGGCTGCAAATTTTCAAACCTTTTATTTTCTGTTTCCCTTTTAAAACGGAGTGCCTCTAATAGCACCCAAGTCACCTCTTGAGTGCTTTGCTGCTTAGAAATTTTTTACACCATATATCCTAAATCATCTCCCTCAAGTTCAAAGTTCCACAAATATCTAAGACGGGGCAAAATGCAGCCAGTCTCTTTTTTTATATATGCTGTGTGGTATGGATTGAAAAATGTACTTATTACATGTGAATATTCAATTGTACCACCACAATTTGTTGAAAAGACTAGGCTTTCTCTACCAACTGCATGTGTACCTATGTTGAAAACCAGTTCCCCACACTGTCTTATTCTGTTTTGTGTTGCTATAACAGAACACCTGGGAATGGGTAATTTATAAAGAAAAGAGATTTATTTAACTCACAGTCTGGCTAGCTGGGAAGTTCAAGGACATGGCTCTGGCTTGTGGTGAGGCTTTTGTGCTAGGCCAAAAGATGGCAGAGAAGGTCAAAGGGGAAGCAGACGCATGCAAAGAGGGAAAACCTGAGGGGCACCCAGCTTTATAACAACCCATTCTCATGGGAATGAATCCAGTCTCGTCAGAGCAAGAACTCACTCACTACTGCAATGGCATCAAGCCACCTACGAGGACAGGACCTTCATGACCCAAATACCTCCCATTAGGCCCCACTTTCCAGCACTGCCACACTGGGGACCAAATTTCAACATGAGTTTTGGTTGGGACAAACCAACCATATCCAGGCCATAATACATACACATGTAAGTCTATATAGAATCTATTCTGTTCCATTGATTTGTTTGCCTTGATACTAATACTCTTTGATAACTCTTTGATAACTATAGCTGTATATCATTCTATAAATCCTAAAGTCGGGTAGTGTTTCTGAGGGGGGTTATCTTGAGACACAAGAAAAAAACTCAGCATGGGCTCATTCTGCCAACTATATAGTTTAACCAGACGAATTCTGGGAAAAACAATGATGACTATTGTCATTACTATTATTTACTATTGTTTGATATTTTTGTTAAAGTAATAAGGAAAAAAACCTCAGAAAATAAGTATAAATATAAGAAAGAAAAGATCATTTTCTGCCATAGACATAATTATACATCTTGAAAATAAAAGTCAACCCACTGGAAATACTTGTGGAATACTTTGTTTCCTTTTCTCTATTTTCTGCACCATTAAAAAGCACATTCCTAAACATATGAAAATATACAAACATTTTTAAAGTATTATTTGAATTATCTAGGTTCTGAGTCCACTCATTGTATTTGAGTTAAAACTTCATTCTGCATAGCTCTTTAATCCTGATAATCGAGGCATTTCCTATATTCTGCATTTTTCAAGTGGCAAGGTGTTGTGGAAAGGGCACAGGCTTTGAATCCTCACTCTGCATCTTAAGATCTGTGTGAATAAGTTATGTAACTGATCTGGGTCTATTTCCTCATAAGTAAAATAAGGATGATACCTGTGGGTCAATTGCATATAGCAACTTGCACATAGTAGAACATTAATAAAACACAGCTCTGATTTTGATTACAAAACAGGCTTCCAACAGGACATCACTCTGTTCCATCAAGGAGCATGAACCTTTCTGCTTTTTTTTTTTTTTTTTTTTTTTTTTTTTTTTGACACAATGTCTCACTCTGCCATCCAAGCTGGAGTGCAGTGGCACTATCTGGGCTCACTGCAACCTCTGCCTCCTGGGCTCATCCCACCTCAGCTTCCTCCCACCTCAGCTTCCCAGGTAGCTAGGACTACAGGCATGCACCACCATGCCCAGTTAAATTTTTTGTATTTTTTTGTAGAGATGGGGTTTCATCATGTTTCCCAGGCTGGTCTCAGGCAGCTCGGCTCAAGTGATCTACCTGCCTCAGCCTCTCAAAGAGCTGGGATTACATGCATGAGCCACCATGCCAGGTCACCTTTCCTGCTTTTTATGTTTTTCTAGATTTCTGATTACTCTAGTCCCTCCAATCTTGATTACATTGCCTTGGTCTCTTCCCAAATCTCTCTTCAACTTTGATGTGTCAGAACACTTCACGACTCTACCATTCAGCATTACATTCTGGGACTCCTCCGCTTGTATTATTAAACACTACATCACTCTCAAAAGCCATACCCCTTGTCTTATTTGCAGATTATTCTTTCTCCTCTGACATTATCACATTGTATTATTCTGATGAAAAGTTGCCTATTAAACAAATTATAAATATTATATTCAATCATCCTTTCAATAAGTGGCAAATAATTTTGGAGATATGTTAAGGCCTTAAATTTCAAGGTTAGAGATTAGATTTCATGCTGTGGGTAATGAAGGGTCATTGGAAACTATTGAATGAGCTGAGGATTAAACTACGAAGTGTAGGTGGGAGGCTCTGAAGGGGGGCAACTAGTTAGGTAACTCTGAACAACAGTTTCTAAAGTAGTGAGAATCTAAACTAGAGAAATGGCACAGGGACTGGAGGGGGTGAGGACCTCTTTTAGATGATTTTATGGAGTTAGAGTTTAATTTATGGAGGCAGTGAATGTAGCAGCCAAAGAGTAAAAAAATGTTCTCAAGGTTTTGAGTACTATGTGACCAAGAAGATACTACTAAATCTTGCAAAAATTCACTATTCTTACATTTTTAGTTTTCAGCTTCCTCACTGCAAACTTTGAATGGATCCTTTAAAAAATCCCTCTCTAGCAGTTCAAGTGTATTTGTTATGGGCCACAGAAGTATGTTGAATAATAGAAGTCAGAAGGACGGAAGAAAGAAATAAAGGGTATAATATTGTTACAAAGTATCTCAAACAAAATGTCTTTTTAACCAGTAAATTTTAACACTATCCAAACACTCTCCCAGAGATGACAAAGTCAAAAGTTTAGAAATGCTGGTCTTAATTAGTGAAGCAATGTGAAAAAACTCAGTGATCTTGACCCCTAGCCAATAATGATACGTTGTGCACGGAATGCCACCAAACCCTTAAGATTGAAACTCTTCAACAAGGGTCTTAGACTCACAAGTCAATTAAATGTTGTTAATTAATCTTCCAATAAAATTAAATTGTTATACCAAATTCAAAGTCAAGATTTACTATAAAATATTAAGTAGTAAAATTAATATTGATCCAATATATAAAAGGCAAAGCAGCTTGTGATTGCATAATCATAGCATAAACTACGTTTATGCTAAGATTTATTTCAATGTGTTTGAAACTACAGGCTCTGAGAGAGACAGGCCTGATTTACATCCCGTTTCCACTGTTTACATGTTGTGTAACTTCGAGCAAGTTGCCATCAGTTTCATCACCTGGGTTGCCACGAAGGTTAAACAATGAATGTAAGCCCCTTAGAGCACAATGAACACAATAAATGTTAGCAGCTCTTATTAATAGTGTTGTTCGAGAGAAAAAGAACATATTGTTTTATATACAATGTATTTATTAACACTTAACGCATCTGTATTTGTCATATACACACACCAGACAGGAAAGCTCCTTATTAATCACCATGACTGCAGATCTGTTAACATCTAGAACTCTGGAGAAAACCTAGAGCCCTAATCTTGCTGCACTTATTACTGGACGTTGTTCATAAATATGATTTACATAAAATTCAGGACCCAATCATTGCGCAACAGGAGGTAGCACGGTCTGCAGAGAGGGCGGGAGCTCAGAGGAGGAAAAGTCTTCGGACTTGCAGGGGGAATTCCTCCTGGGCTAACCCGGGAGCGGGGTCCAGGCCACAACCGGCCGGCGGCGGCACAGGCTCCATGTGCGGCTCCCCCTGGAGGCGGTTGAGCCCCTCGGAGCAGGAGCGCGTAGCACACACCTCGGGCCGCCACCGCCTCCCGCCCGCCACCGCACGCGCACGCGCGGTTAGTAGTCGCTGCTGCGCGGCCGCCGGCGGGACTGGTCTGAAGAGACGCGGGGACCAAGTGGCAACGACTTGGACATCTGAGCTGTCACTGCCGAAAACAGGCCGCAAGAGAGGTGCGTGAGCAGCAGGCCGCGTTCCCGCTGTCCCGCTGCCCTTTGCGCGCAGATTGGGGTGAGGAAGCGGAGTCGTTGCTGCTTCCCCCAGGCACCCCGTTACTTTGCCGCCAGAGGGCTGAACCGGTCGGGGCCAAGTGAGGGTGGATGTTGAGTCTGGCGATGGGGCTGCAGCGAGCTAGGGTCTTGACTGGGCTCTGGCGGCCCCGTGGGTGGACGCAGGAGGTGGTGCCACCTGGGACCCTTTGTGTCTTCAGCACCGCCGCATCCACCTGCTGCGCCCGGGCTGGGGCGGACGAGCACGGGGACAGCTAGGTGCCTAGCCCGGCCGGCCTCCCCTGCGGGCTTGAGGAGCCACCGGGAGCCGAGGCCGTTATTCCAGCGGTTGCCATTGCAGCCCCGTTCCACGCTTGAGCCCGGGGCGCTCTCCCAATGGTTGTAGAGGGGGCCCGGGGCGCGTCTGGGCGCTGCTCACTCTGCTGACTGCTCCTTACAGAAACCCAAACGAGATCAAAATAGGCTCGGCTGTCTCAGTCTCCACCTATGTGGAAGCGAAGGGACCCCACTTCACGGCGGTGGGGCCAGGGACTGTTGGCCGCTCCCTCGATACCCGCGCAGAGCCCATTGTGCGCCGCCGGGGGGCGGGCGAAAGGGCTGGGTTGAATCCAGAGAGGCCCTAATTACTAGACTCATTATCGCCCCAGGCCTGTTTACCATCAATCAGACACTTTCGCTGATTTTATTTATAGCATCTGCCCAAGCAACAAAGAGGAGGTGTTTGCTTGGGAGTTAAAAGCAAATGGCAACCAAAGCTCAGGACTGGGAGAGAAAAGGTAAATAACGTGGCCACAGGAAGAAGTCTCAAATTAGAAAAGAGTTCATTAACGTATAAACTTTTTGTTGCTTAAAAGCAGGCAAAATCCCGATCTCATCTGATGATTTTGCTTGTTTTACAAATGTCGACATCACTCGAGGTAGCCCTCCTTTGGGTCATTGTAAGTTTGACCTGTTTTCAGTTTGGAGTTTTGCCTTCACGTCTTATTGGTTTGATCTTCCAGTAACATTTAGATCTCATCTCCAAATCCTCAGAACAAGATATTCTGTACTCTCTGTCTTAGCTAGTTGATAAGGTTAATTATTGTGTGTAAATGATGTAAGTATGTTGATGCATTTGTCTAGAAATTGAAGTGTTGTAAGTTAGCTGTAGTACTTTTTAAGTACCTAATAAATACTGGTGTTTTTAAATAGAAAACTAGAATTATGAACTTTAAAGAATCTTTGGATTGTCTAGTTCACGTCACAAATGAGAAAACAGGCCCACAGCAGTTTTTATCACTTGTCTTTTTAATAATAAAACTAGAAACTTGGTGCGATTGTGCCATGTTGGGTGTACTTTTTATTATATCATTCTACATTGCATTCCTGAAGCCACATGACAACTAAAACTTTAAGTAATAGGTGATTGTCAAACACCACTTCTGGAATATACCAGTGTTGGTCGGATCCTCAGTCAGCCATTAAAACTGAATAACAGCAGAAAGGCATCGCAGTTATAAGAAATAGCATGTACAAAAAGTGTGTTAAATAGGTGTGTTGAGAGTGAAAGAAGGCCCGGCGCGGTGGCTCACGCTTGTAATCCCAGCACTTTGGGAGGCCGAGGCGGGCGGATCACCTGAGGTTAGGAGTTGGAGACCAGCCTGACCAATATGGTGAAACCCCGTCTCTACTAAAAATACAAAAATTAGCCGGGCATAGTGGCGCGCGCCTATAATCCCAGCTACTCGGGAGGCTGAGACAGGAGAATCGCTTGAACCAAGGAGGCAGAGGTTGCAGTGAGCCGAGATTGTGCCACTGCACTCCAGCCTGGGTGACAGAGCAAGACTCCATCTCAAAAAAAAAAAAAAAAAAAAAAAAGGAATTACAAAAATGTGTCACAGAAACATAAAGTGACTATAGTGTTGGAAAAATGGCAGCTGTAGACTTGTTCAATGCAGTGTTGCCAGAAACCTTCAATTTGTGAAAAATGCAATAAATCAACGTGCAGTAAAATGAGGTATGCCTGTATGTACACACACACACACACACACACACACACACACACACACACCCTATTGATTCTGCTTCTCTGATGAACTCTGACTAATAAAATGACTCTCCTCCAAGTAATGATTCAGGGATTCTGCAACTTCCTACCTTGGAATTTTGCCGTTTTCAACCATGACCTTCAAAATTGCTTGCATCAAACCAGAAGGGGAAAGATCATAAAGAATTATAATTCATAATTATAGGAAGTTTTTATGGGCAAGGGCTGACAATGGCATACAGGTCTTCTATTTACATTCTGTTGGCTGGAACCAGGTAATGGTCACATCTAGTGCCAAGGAAATTACCCTTGTGATCAGCCAGCAACTTCTCCCACACTATACAACACATATTGCATATCCTGTGATTGTCTTTTCTTTGTGTGCCTTACTTACCTTTGATGTGACAGTGAGCATTACTTCAATACCAGTACATGAGCTGCACTTTATAATTTGTAATTTGGGGGTGGTAGTGGAGATCCAGTAGGGTTTTTAGGAGATATTGGTGTAATTATTTAAAGTAGACCAGACTACTTGATCTAGATTTCAAAGATTGGGAAGAATGGTATCTCATTCATGGATAAAGTTACTTGTGCTTCAATTTGTTATTGAACTACCACAGAAGCAGTGCAGAGAACATACATGAGATCAAAGATACGTGTTGGTGCAGAAGGATGTAGTTCTTCAGTGCCTCCCTTCTTATGAAGGCACAACTGATATTTAGTGATCTCAGCAAGCCTCATGGAGTGAGGAATACATAAGAAGCTTGGAACCCTGGGCATGCTACCTTTTAATTTATAAGGAGGGAAGAGGGTGACATTAGCACTAAATGTTCTACCCTATACCATATAAACAAATTCTTGCTGTACTAAAATTATATAACTTAAACAACCATACAGATCAATAAAGAAATAGATAACACCACAAGCCAACTAAACATAATAAACATATGGACAACACTGTACCCAACAATAGCAGAACACACATTTTTCTTAACTGCACATAGAACATTCTCCAGGATAGACCATATTAGACCACAAAACAAGTCTTAATGAATTTTAAAAGATTGAAATCATACAAAGTAAGTTTTCTGAACACAAAGGAAAGGAACTAGAAATCAATAGTAGAAGGAAAACAAGAAAAATTCACAAATATGTGGAAATTAAACAGCACACTCTTGAACAATGAGCCAAATAAGTCTCAAGAAAAGTTAGAAAAACATCTTGAGACAAATGAAAAGGAGAACAAAAGATACCAAAACTTATGGGATACAGTGAAAGCAGTGTTAAAAGGGAAATTTATAGCTTTAAGCACTTACATGAAAAACAAAAGATCTCAAGTTAACAACCTAACTTACACCTTGAGGAACTAGAAAAAGAGCAAATGAAACCCAAAAGTTAGAAGAAAGAGGGAAATAATAAAGATTAGAGCAGAGAGAAACAAAATAGAAAATAGAAAAACAAGAGAGAAAACAAGTGAAATCAAGAGTTAATTCTTCGAAAAGGTCAACAAAAAAATTAACAAACCTTTAGTTAGATTAAGAAAAATGAGAGAAGACTCAAATAACTAAAATTGGTAATGAAAGGACATTACATCTGATTCTACAGAAATAAGAGGGATTATAAGAGAATACGCTGAAGGATTGTATGGCAACAAATTGGATAACCTAGATTAAATGGATACATTCTTAGAAACACACACTCTATCAAGATTAATCATGAAGAAGTAGAAAATCTGAACAGACCTGTAACTGGTAAGGAGATTGAATCAGTAAACAAAAACTTCCCAGCAGATAAAAGCCCAGGACTAGGTGGCTTCACTGGTGAGTTCTACCAAACATTGAAAGAATTAACACCAGTCCTCCTCAAATTCTTCCGAAATATTGAAGAGGAGTAAACACTTCCAGATTCATTCTATGAAGCCAGCATAACCCTGTTATCAAAGCCAAAGACACTACAAGAAAACTACAGAGCAATATTCCAGATGATTATTGATGCAGAAATTCTTAACAAAATACTTGACAACAAAATTCAGCTGCATATTAAAAGAGTTATATACTATGACCATGTTGGATTTATTCCTAAAATTCAAGGATGATTCAACATAAGAAAATCAGTGTACCATGCCACATTTACAATGTAGGGAGGGGAGAACACATGATCATCTTTATTCATGCAGAAAAAGCATTTGACATGATTCAACACTCTTTCATAATAAAAAACACTCAGTACACTAGGAATAGAAGGAAACCACCTCAACATAGTAAAGGTCATATATGAAAAGCCCACAGTTAACATCAGACTAAATGGTGAAAGACTGAAAGCTTTTCCTTTAAGATCTAGAATAAGACAAGGATGCCTGCTTTTTCCACTTCTCCCGAGCCAGAGAAATTAGGGAAGAAAAAGAAAGAAAAAAGACATTCAAATTGAAAAGGAAGAAGTAAAATTATCTCAGCAGATAACATGATCTTATATGTATGTACAAAACCCTAAAGATTTCACGAACACAATACAAAAGTCTGTTAGAAATAATAAATGAAGGCCAGGCATGGTGGCTCATGCCTGTAGTCCCAGCAATTTTGGAGGCCAAGGTAGCCAGATCAGTTGAGTCTAGGAGTTTAAGACCAGCCTGCGCAACATGGCAAAAACCATCTCTACAGAAAAATACAGAACATTAGCTGGGCATGGTGATGCTTGCCTGTAGTCCCAGCTACTCGAGAGGCTGAAGTGGAGGATCACCTGAGTCCAGGAGTTCAAGGCTGCAATGGGCCATGATGGTGCCACTGCACTCCAGCCTGGGTAACAGAGTGAGATCCCATCTCAAAAAACAAACAAATGAATTCACTAAAGTTGCAGGGTAAAAAAACTAGCACACAAAAATTAGTTGCACTTCTGTATACTAACAATGAACAGGAAATTAAGAAAACAATTCCATTTATAACAACATAAAAAAGAATAAAATACTTAGGAATAAATCAAGGAAGTAAAATACTTGTACATGAAAAATTATGAAATGCTGCTGAAAGAAATTAAGAAACAAATATTAATCAATGGAAAGACATTGTGTTCATTGGGATTGGAAGACTTAATAAGATGGAAACACAACCCAAAGTAATCTACAGATTCAGTGCAATCCCTGTCATAATCCTAATAGCACTTTTTGCAAGAATAGTAAAATTCATATAGAATCTCAAGGGACCCCAAATAGCCAGAACAATCTTGGGAAAGAATAAGTTTGGAAATCTCACATCTCTGTTTCAAAACTTATTACAAAGCTATAGTAATCAAATCAGTGTGAGACTGGCATAAAGACAGACATATATATCAATGGGATACAATAAAGAGCCTAGTAATAAATTCCCACATATATGTTCAAATTTTTTTTATAAAAGTGCCAAGACCATTTTGTGAGAAAGGACAGTCTTCTCATGAGATGATATTGGGGAAACTGGCTATCCACATGCAAAAGAATGAGGTTGTAACCTTACCTTAAATCATAGACAAAAATTAACTCGAAATGGATTGAAGACTTAAACATAAGAAAACTATAAAACTGTTAAAAGAAAACATGGAAAGCTTCATGACATTGAATTTGCCAGTAATTTTTATATGACACCAAAAGCACAGACAACAAAAGAAAAAATATATAAATTGGAAAACTCAAAATTAAAAAGTTCTGTGCATCAAAGAACACAACAAAATGAAAAACCTATGCAATGGGAGAAAATATTTGCCAATCATATATTTGATAAGGGGTCAGTATCCAGAATTTGTAGGAACTCCTACAACTCAAAACAAAAACAAAACCTGATTTTTTAAATAGGCAAAGGACTTGAATAGACATGTTTCCCTTGAAGATGTATAAATAGCCAACAAGCACATGAAAAGATACTCAGTATCACTAATCATCAGGGAAATGCAAATCAAACCACAATATGATACTACGCCATATTAGGACCTATTACAATGACTACTATTTAAAAAAACATAATTTTGAACAAATGTTGGCAAGGATGTGTAGAAATTGGAACCCTTGTGCCTTGTTGGTGGGAAGGTAAAATGGTAAAGCCACTGTGGAAAACAGTATGAGGATTCAAAAAAAAATAGAATTATCATATGACCAAGCAATTCAACTTATGGGTATATACTCAAAAGAATTGAAAACAAGGTCTCGAAGAGTTATTTGTATACCCATATTCATTGTAGGATTATTCACAACAGCCAACAGGTGGAAGCAACCCAAGTGTCCACTGACAGATGAATGTATAAACAAAATGTGGTGTATACACACAATGGAATACTGTCCAGCTTTAAAAAGGAAGGAAATTTGATACATGCTACAACATGGATGAAGCTTCAGGGCATTATGCTAAGTAAAATAAGCCAGTTACAGAAAGACCAATACTGTATGATTCCACTTATATGCAGTACCTAGAGTAGTCAAAATCATAGAGATAGATATTAGAAAGATGGTTTCCAGGGGCTGGAGGGAAGGGTAGTGGGGAGTTGTTAAAAGTGTATAGCGTTTTAGTTTTAGAGCATGAAGAAAGTTTTGGAAATTAGTTGTACAACAATGAGAATGTTTTACCACGTGATTTAAAACAATTTTAAATGCATAAATTAACTACTTCATTTTCTTGTAGTATTACCCCAGCATCTGACCTCTCAGAGTTTCAGTACAGACTTGTCAATAGCATACCTCTCTCTAAGAAATGAGATGTCACAAACCTCATAGTTTTGTTTGGAACTTAATAACATGTTGGCACCATTGTGAGACAGATTTCAAGACTGTGAACTTCAGTATCTAATTCTCAATTGTCAGCTGGTGCAGCACTGAAGAATGATAGGATACTGCAGCATTACGCAGAAAGTATTAAGTCTGTATTTCTGATTTTTTTTTTTAAAAAAAAGAACAAATAAAAACAATAGAACTGCATTGTCTACAGAATGCCTTCTAACCAATTGCAGTTCTTTAAAACTCTCTGTTTTTGTTTTGTTGATTAGGAATAGTACCTACGCTATTCATGTCCTGGGCTGTAAAGATTAAATTAGCTAGTTCTTTGATGTAAATATAAGATCATAGAATTTTAAAGAAGAAACAAACTTTCAAGATAAAGTGTTTTCTGAACTGTTTTCTGAAGCATTGGCAACTATTTCTAAGGAAAAGTCAGGAAAAACTATAATATAGAATACAAATAAAACTGGGGTGCTCTGGTTGAGTTAAGGGTAGAGTTCCAGATAGAGCACTACCTGCTTGGCTTCCTCTTAACTCTTTCTTGGCAGCCCAGTACACCAGAGTTCAAACAAAGCACTTAGAATGTTTTTTTTTCAACAAATTAATTGTTTGGAACCTAAAGTGTACATTCATTTGAAAGAGAGGATATGGGTCTAAAGTTATATTAATGTTCATTATTAGTAGTATTATTTTATGTGTTTTTATTTTGCTCAAAAATGATTAATAGCCAGTCAAGCAAAGTGCCTTTTACTATGTAACATGGAAGGCCCTTAGGCTTTTAGAACAATGAAGCTTTTAGAGTTCACAATTAATAAGCAATTTGCAGATATACAAATTTCTGTGCCAATAACTAGGAAATTAAGGAAATAAGCCTATTTCATTGTGTCAAATTGATCCCTTTACATTTACTTCCTATCCCAGTTATACCTCTTTTGTGATTTAGAGAGATCAAATCCTAGTTAATGACAGCACCCATCATTTTTGTCTTTGTCCATAAATATATAAGTAATTATGTAATTGTGGAATTATAGGAATTATATATGCAAAAGAACTTTCTCCATAGCAGTCTACCTGATTACAATAAGCCCTATATTTGTTTGATCTTTTGAATGTGCTTTGATTTTAGTAAAACTCTACCACATTAAATTTGTGATAAAAAAATTTTTGTATCTTTTCTCAGCATTTATATATAAATGTATTTTGGTTTTATAATTATAAAATTTCCATTTTTATGTTTATATACACTTAAGCAACATTATAATAAAAACAATTTCAGTGAACATTTAGGAATCATGATACTTTTAAAGAGGTCTACATATTATTTGTGTTTGATAACTACTATCATCTTTATCTTTAGATTTTTTTTTTATTATACTTTAAGTTTTAGGGTACATGTGCACATTGTGCAGGTTAGTTACATATGTATACATGTGCCATACTGGTGCACTGCACCCACTAACTCGTTATCTAGCATTAGGTATAACTCCCAATGCTATCCCTCCCCCGTTCCCCCACCCCACAACAGTCCCCAGAGTGTGATATTCCCCTTCCTGTGTCCATGTGATCTCATTGTTCAATTCCCACCTATGAGTGAGAATATGCGGTGTTTGGTTTTTTGTTCTTGCAATAGTTTACTGAGAATGATGTTTTCCAATTTCATCCATGTCCCTACAAAGGACATGAACTCATCATTTTTTATGGCTGCATAGTATTCCATGGTGTATATGTGCCATATTTTCTTAATCCATTCTATCATTGTTGGACATTTGGGTTGGTTCCAAGTCTTTGCTATTGTGAATAATGCCGCAATAAACATACGTGTGCATGAGTCTTTATAGCAGCATGATTTAGAGTCCTTTGGGTATATACCCAGTAATGGGATGGCTGGGTCAAATGGTATTTCCAGTTCTAGATCCCTGAGGAATCGCCACACTGACTTCCACAATGGTTGAACTAGTTTACAGTCCCACCAACAGTGTAAAAGTGTTCCTATTTCTCCACATCCTCTCCAGCACCTGTTGTTTCCTGACTTTTTAATGATTGCCATTCTAACTGGTGTAAGATGGTATCTCATTGTGGTTTTGATTTGCATTTCTCTGATGGCCAGTGATGATGAGCATTTTTTCATGTGTTTTTTGGCTGCATAAATATCTTCTTTTGAGAAGTGTCTGTTCATGTCCTTCGCCCACTTTTTGATGGGGTTGTTTGTTTTTTTCTTGTAAATTTGTTTGAGTTCATTGTAGATTCTGGATATTAGCCCTTTGTCAGATGAGTAGGTTGTGAAAATTTTCTCCCATTTTGTAGGTTGCTTGTTCACTCTGATGGTAGTTTCTTTTGCTGTGCAGAAGCTCTTTAGTTTAATTAGATCCCATTTGTCAATTTTGGCTTTTGTTGCCATTGCTTTTGGTGTTTTAGACATGAAGTCCTTGCCCATGCCTATGTCCTGAATGGTAATGCCTAGGTTTTCTTCTAGGGTTTTTATGGTTTTAGGTCTAACGTTTAAGCCTTTAATCCATCTTGAATTAATTTTTGTGTAAGGTGTAAGGAAGGGATCCAGTTTCAGCTTTCTACATATGGCTAGCCAGTTTTCCCAGCACCATTTATTAAATAGGGAATCCTTTCCCCATTGCTTGTTTTTCTCAGGTTTGTCAAAGATCAGATAGTTGTAGATATGCGGCGTTATTTCTGAGGGCTCTGTTTTGTTCCATTGATCCATATCTCTGTTTTGGTACCAGTACCATGCTGTTTTGGTTACTGTAGCCTTGTAGTATAGTTTGAAGTCAGGTAGTGTGATGCCTCCAGCTTTATTCTTTTGGCTTAGGATTGACTTGGCGATGCGGGCTCTTTTTTGGTTCCATATGAACTTTAAAGTAGTTTTTTCCAATTCTGTGAAGAAAGGCATTGGTAGCTTGATGGGGATGGCATTGAATCTGTAAATTACCTTGGGCAGTATGGCCATTTTCACGATATTGATTCTTCCTACCCATGAGCATGGAATGTTCTTCCATTTGTTTGTGTCCTCTTTTATTTCATTGAGGAGTGGTTTGTAGTTCTCCTTGAAGAGGTCCTTCACATCCCTTGTAAGTTGGATTCCTAGGTATTTTATTCTCTTTGAAGCAATTGTGAATGGGAGTTCACTCATGATTTGGCTCTCTGTTTGTCTGTTGCTGGTGTATAAGAATGCTTGTGATTTTTGTACATTGATTTTGTATCCTGAGACTTTGCTGAAGTTGCTTATCAGCTTAAGGAGATTTTGGGCTGAGACAATGGGGTTTTCTAGATATACAATCATGTCGTCTGCAAACAGGGACAATTTGACTTCCTCTTTTCCTAATTGAATACCATTTATTTCCTTCTCCTGCCTAATTGCCCTGGCCAGAACTTCCAACACTATGTTGAATAGGAGTGGTGAGAGAGGGCATCCCTGTCTTGTGCCAGTTTTCAAAGGGAATGCTTCCAGTTTTTGCCCATTCAGTATGATATTGGCTGTGGGTTTGTCATAGATAGCTCTTATTATTTTGAGATATGTCCCATCAATACCTAATTTATTGAGAGTTTTTAGCATGAAGGGTTGTTGAATTTTGTCAAAGGCTTTTTCTGCATCTATTGAGATAATCATGTGGTTTTTGTCTTTGGCTCTGTTTATATGCTGGATTACATTTATTGATTTGCGTATATTGAACCAGCCTTGCATCCCAGGGATGAAGCCCACTTCATCATGGTGGATAAGCTTTTTGATGTGCTGCTGGATTCAGTTTGGCAGTATTTTATTGAGGATTTTTGCATCAATGTTCATCAAGGATATTGGTCTAAAATTCTCTTTTTTTGTTGTGTCTCTGCCTGGCTTTGGTATCAGAATGATGCTGGCCTCATAAAATGAGTTAGGGAGGATTCCCTCTTTTTCTATTGATTGGAATAGTTTCAGAAGGAATGGTAGCAGTTCCTCCTTGTACCTCTCGTAGAATTCAGCTGTGAATCCATCTGGTCCTGGACTCTTTTTGGTTGGTAAGCTATTGATTATTGCCACAATTTCAGATCCTGTTATTGCTCTATTCAGAGATTCAACTTCTTCCTGGTTTAGTCTTGGGAGAGTGTATGTGTCGAGGAATGTATCCATTTCTTCTAGATTTTCTAGTTTATTTGTGTAGAGGTGTTTGTAGTATTCTCTGATGGTAGTTTGTATTTGTGGGATCAGTGGTGATATCCCCTTTATCATTTTTTGCTGCGTCTATTAGATTCTTCTCTCTTTTTTTCTTTATTAGTCTTGCTAGCAGTCTATCAATTTTGTTGATCCTTTCAAAAAACCAGCTCCTGGATTCATTAATTTTTTGAAGGGTTTTTTGTGTCTCTATTTCCTTCAGTTCTGCTCTGATTTTAGTTATTTCTTGCCTTCTGCTAGCTTTTGAATGTGTTTGCTCTTGCTTTTCTAGTTCTTTTAATTGTGATGTTAGGGTGTCAATTTTGGATCTTTCCTGCTTTCTCTTGTGGGCATTTAGTGCTATAAATTTCCCTCTACACACTGCTTTGAATGCGTCCCAGAGATTCTGGTATGTTGTGTCTTTGTTCTCGTTGGTTTCAAAGAACATCTTTATTTCTGCCTTCATTTCGTTATGTACCCAGTAGTCATTCAGGAGCAGGTTGTTCAGTTTCCTTGTAGTTGAGCGGTTTTGAGTGAGATTCTTAATCCTGAGTTCTAGTTTGATTGCACTGTGGTCTGAGAGATAGTTTGTTATAATTTCTGTTCTTTTACATTTGCTGAGGAGAGCTTTACTTCCAAGTATGTGGTCAATTTTGGAATAGGTGTGGTGTGGTGCTGAAAAAAATGTATATTCTGTTGATTTGGGGTGGAGAGTTCTGTAGATGTCTATTAGGTCCGCTTGGTGCAGAGCTGAGTTCAATTCCTGGGTATCCTTGTTGACTTTCTGTCTCATTGATCTGTCTAATGTTGACAGTGGGGTGTTAAAGTCTCCCATTATTAATGTGTGGGAGTCTAAGTCTCTTTGTAGGTCACTCAGGACTTGCTTTATGAATCTTGGTGCTCCTGTATTGGGTGCATATATATTTAGGATAGTTAGCTCTCCTTGTTGAATTGATCCCTTTACCATTATGTAATGGCCTTCTTTGTCTCTTTTGATCTTTGTTGGTTTAAAGTCTGTTTTATCAGAGACTAGGATTGCAGCCCCTGCCTTTTTTTGTTTTTCATTTGCTTGGTAGATCTTCCTCCATCCTTTTATTTGGAGCCTATGTGTGTCTCTGCACGTGAGATGGGTTTCCTGAATACAGCACACTGATGGGTCTTGACTCTTTATCCAATTTGCCAGTCTGTGTCTTTTAATTGGAGCATTTAGTCCATTTACATTTAAAGTTAATATTGTTATGTGTGAATTTGATCCTGTCATTATGATGTTAGCTGGTTATTTTGCTCGTTAGTTGATGCAGTTTCTTCCTAGTCTTGATGGTCTTTACATTTTGGCATGATTTTGCAGCAGCTGGTACCTGTTGTTCCTTTCCATGTTTAGCGCTTCCTTCAGGAGCTCTTGTAGGGCAGGCCTGGTGGTGACAAAATCTCTCAGCATTTGTTTGTCTGTAAAGGATTTTATTTCTCCTTCACTTATGAAGCTTAGTTTGGCTGGATATGAAATTCTGGGTTGAAAATTCTTGTCTTTAAGAATGTTGAATATTGGCCCCCACTCTCTTCTGGCTTGTAGGGTTTCTGCTGAGAGATCCGCTGTTAGTCTGATGGGCTTCCCTTTGAGGGTAACCCGACCTTTCTCTCTGGCTGCCCTTAACATTTTTTCCTTCATTTCAACTTTGGTGAATCTGACAATTATGTGTCTTGGAGTTGCTCTTCTCGAAGAGTATCTTTGTGGCGTTCTCTGTATTTCCTGAATCTGAACGTTGGCCTGCCTTGCTAGATTGGGGAAGTTCTCCTGGGTAATATCCTGCAGAGTGTTTTCCAACTTGGTTCCATTCTCCCCATCACTTTTAGGTACACCAATCAGACGTAGATTTGGTCTTTTCACATAGTCCCATATTTCTTGGAGGCTTTGCTCATTTCTTTTTATTCTTTTTTCTCTAAACTTCCCTTCTCGCTTCATTTCATTCATTTCATCTTCCATCGCTGATACCCTTTCTTCCAGTTGATCGCATCGGCTCCTGAGGCTTCTGCATTCTTCACGTAGTTCTCGAGCCTTGGTTTTCAGCTCCATCAGCTCCTTTAAGCACTTCTCTGTATTGGTTATTCTAGTTATACATTCTGCTAAATTTTTTTCAAAGTTTTCAACTTTTTTGCCTTTGGTTTGAATGTCCTCCCATAGCTCAGAGTAATTTGATCATCTGAAGCCTTCTTCTCTCAGCTCGTCAAAGTCATTCTCCATCCAGCTTTGTTCCGTTGCTGGTGAGGAACTGCATTCCTTTGGAGGAGGAGAGGCGCTCTGCTTTTTAGAGTTTCCAGTTTTTCTGTTCTGTTTTCCCCCCATCTTTGTGGTTTTATCTACTTTTGGTCTTTGATGATGGTGATGTACAGATGGGTTTCTGGCGTGGATGTCCTTTCTGTTTGTTAGTTTTCCTTCTAACAGACAGGACCCTCAACTGCAGGTCTGTTGGAATACCCTGCCGTGTGAGGTGTCAGTGTGCCCCTGCTGGGGGGTGCCTCCCAGTTAGGCTGCTCAGGGGTCAGGGACCCACTTGAGGAGGCAGTCTGCCCGTTCTCAGATCTCCAGCTGCGTGCTGGGAGAACCACTGCTCTCTTCAAAGCTGTCAGACAGGGACGTTTAAGTCTGCAGAGGTTACTGCTATCTTTTTGTTTGTCTGTGCCCTGCCCCCAGAGGTGGAGCCTACAGAGGCAGGCAGGCCTCCTTGAGCTGTGGTGGGCTCCGCCCAGTTCGAGCTTCCAGGCTGCCTTGTTTACCTAATCAAGCCTGGGCAATGGCGGGCGCCCCTCCCCCAGCCTCGCTGCCGCCTTGCAGTTTGATCTCAGACTGCTGTGCTATTAATCAGCGAGACTCCGTGGGCGTAAGACCCTCCAAGCCAGGTGCGGGATATAATCTCGTGGTGCGCCGTTTTTTAAGCCTGTTGGAAAAGCGCAGTATTCCGGTGGGAGTGACCCGATTTTCCAGGTGCCGTCCGTCACCCCTTTCTTTGACTCGGAAAGGGAACTCCCTGACCCCTTGTGCTTCCCGAGTGAGGCAATGCCTCGCCCTGCTTCGGCTCACGCACGGTGCACGCACCCACTGACCTGCGCCCACTGTCTGGCACTCCCTAGTGAGATGAACCCAGTACCTCAGATGGAAATGCAGAAATCACCCGTCTTCTGCGTCGCTCACACTGGGAGCTGTAGACGGGAGCTGTTCCTATTCGGCCATCTTGGCTCCTCCCCCCATCTTTAGATTTTGTGCCATTGGCTCTTTGTTTTTGGATGAAGGCCTGCAGCTATAGAATCTGTTTCCTACAAGATTTGAAGTTTGTATTTTCACTTGCTCAAAGCACAATTTAAATAATTTTGTCAGTGATTTGTTTTAAAAGCCATCCTAGAATAAAGGAGCTATTATGGAGAAATTATTTATTTCTACATATACTTAACACTTATTTTCACAATTTTGTTTTATTTTCACTAATTACTTTTAATTTCACAGATAATCAATATGCATTTCCAAGCCTTTTGGCTATGTTTGGGTCTTCTGTTCATCTCAATTAATGCAGAATTTATGGATGATGATGTTGAGACGGAAGACTTTGAAGAAAATTCAGAAGAAATTGATGTTAATGAAAGTGAACTTTCCTCAGAGGTATGGTTATTGAGAAATGGGTTATAAATTATTCCTTTACATAGTACAATGAAGTGATTGACCTCTGGTGATTCATTTCAGTTCAAATAATCTTCATTTTAGAGCTAGATAGAAAAACATTGATTTTTTTTCTAAGTGTCTTATTACTTTAATTTTTAGAGTGCCCATGTAATTCAGAAATTTGTTCATGGCATCTAGCACAGTTTCTTAAACAAATAAATATGGGGGAGGTTTTTACTATCAAAACAGGAGTTTGTCACGGATTAAAGAGAACTAAGCTAATAGTAAGGTTTTTATTCATACTTTTGACATTGCTAGATCTTTTCAAATAAAAGGCTATATAATTTGCAGTTCCTTGAGAAGTAAAGTATTTGTCTTTATTTCTCTGAGAAAAGAAAATGCTAAGAAGGAGGATGAATTAGAAAAGGAAGTGAGGGTGAGGGGTGGGCATTTAGTAAACCTGACTCGTGTTTCTCTCAGCATTGTTAAAATGTATATTTTGAAGTAGTGATTAACAGGAGTCTGAGAAATTGCAGGGATTTTTGTATACCTTGATGATACATAAGAGCTTTTACATTGAGGAATATTCATATCTAACCTTGTGATAATCAGAGATATTTTTGGTGGTGAGAAAGCATTAATTGTATTCTGCCAGCTACTGTTTGAAGGGCCGAAGGGAATAATATGTAGTTGTTACAGATTTCTTTACTTCATTTCCTCTTATTAAGAATTTTTCATTGGCAAATGTGTTGTTTCATTGTTTAAGGTGAATAGTATGTTTCCCCTGTTAAATTGAAGCTCTGTAAGGACAATTTTTTTTAAAGCCTATTTCTATAATCTGCAGAAAGTAAGTACTCCGAGTACTAATAATTACTGACTTGGATACAGTTACTACAGGGTCTTTGAAGGTTAATATTAATACTTCAAAGAAATTGACAGGTAACTACCACTCGACTTATTTGGTGATACTTTGAGAATATGATAGGAAGTGGGAAAGAATGATTTTTGATGCTTCTAATTTTATAGCATGAGTAATCTACATAGGGTGAAGTATAAATAAAGGGCAAAATAAACTGATTTTAGGGGTGGCCTATCAGAAGGAAGCCTCTTGTGACACCACTGCCCGTTTTGTCAATCTATAAAAATATAGAGAAGAGTAAAGTTGTAATTCAGTAAACTTCATAGAAGATTGGCAGTTTTGGTAGCTGAATCTTGACCCTGTCAGTAATTACGTGGAATTTTGTGTAATTACTGATTTCCCTCCCTTAAACAGACAGGAAGTGTTTTGCTATCAGGGTAGGATAGGGACAGTGAAAATAGAAAAAGTATTTCTGCACCCTTTTCCCTAAAGCCTACTGGAAGAAATCTCACTAATCATACAGATACAATCTAATCTCACTAATCATACAGATACAATCACAACACGCTGATTCTGAGAGGATCCAGACTAACCTATTACTTTAGGCAAATTTTTATTTATTCATCCTCAGTTGAAATTATCTCTTGATAGTTTATCAGTCTTTACTCTTTTAAATTATTTTGTTGGTAAATTCTGTATCATGTAGTAAAAATGTATGAGCTTTGGAGCCAGACAGTCTTGGCTTTATATGTAAGTTCTACAATTATCTAACTGGACAGCAGTAAGCAAGTTACTTTGTCTGTCCCAGTTTCATCATATATAAAGTGGTTACTAATGATACTTCCCCCATAGAAATATTATAAGAATTAAAGGAGCCACTATATCATCAGCAATACCACTGCCACCATCATCATTATTGCCACCCTAACAGCTAACACTTCAAAGGCACTTGAAACAACGCTTTGTTGATAATTGCTTTGCAATGCTATCTCCATAGAATCTTTTCACTCTCTGGGTTCCTAATCTTGGAAAATTATATTATTATCTTTTAGGGTACCTAACAGTAAAACTTAAGAGTTAATTTTAAAAGCCTATGTGCTTACTAAGCTCTACATCTTACATGCTTTTCATTATGCTGTTTCCTTTGCTCCCAAAGAGTTTTATCCATAAATATTGTCACTTGTCAGAGTCCCTTTGTTCCTTCTGTGTTAGAAGGGGTCAGTGTATCCACTGTTTGTACGTATAGTATTTTTGTCATCATGGTATTTGTTATATTTTCTTGTACCTTATCATTACTAGGTACAAAGTTTTGTATCCTATTTGAGTTTGTCACCTCATATCTGTATTACCTGTATGTGCATTACATACTATGTTCTTCACTAGGAAGATTATTTAATTGAAATATTTGTGAAAATGAATAACTTTAGACTTGGAAAATCTCTTTTCTAGATTAAATATAAGACACCTCAACCTATAGGAGAAGTATATTTTGCAGAAACTTTTGATAGTGGAAGGTTGGCTGGGTGAGTATTCATTCAAGAGAATGTTTTCTTTGATTTATTAGCTTTTTTGAAGTTATTAGGTTTTGGCCTATGAAAATTATCTCTACTACAGATCTATAAAAAATTTTAAAGTAGTTTAATTGACAATGTAAATCAGTACTTAGTATATTTTTGTAATTGATAGAATGTTTAATTTGAATAGTTATTTATTCAAAGAAAATATACTAATTCCGAATGCAAAGATGAAATTTATAACATTTCTTTATTCTCTAGGACAGATTAACACTCTTAAGTTCAGATGACAAATATGAGTACTGCTCTACTCTAAATAATGGAAAAAACAAAAGTTAATATTAAATGATTATTATGTGTCAGATGTCCTTAAAAAAAGTAGATAATTACCATATTTAATCCCCATTTTACAGGTGGAGAAACCGAGGTTTCTTGTACCTTACCTGTGATCATACAGCTAGTAAATTATAGATTCCAAATTCGGTTTAACTCTAGCCCTTCAGGATTATGTGTAGGCATCCTTATTTAGCATCTAAGTATGAATTTATTGTTGAATGAAAAGTGACTGTATTGGGTGATCTTTTATTGTGTTTCTGTATGCCTTATATCTATAAATTGCTGCTTTTATTGTCAATGACATATATGTATGTTCAACTTTATTTACAGATGGGTCTTATCAAAAGCAAAGAAAGATGACATGGATGAGGAAATTTCAATATACGATGGTAAAATATTTATTTAAGTATTAGATATAACCAGTATGGCCTGGAGTTCACTAAACTTTGAGATTAGATTTTTGTTAAATTGTGTTGGCTGGAGTCCCCCACCCTGCCTCACAATAAAATGTTCAGTCTTTTATCTTGTCCCTCTTCAATATTTCTGAAAAACCCTTCGCTATTTCTGAAAATCTCACTCTTAAGCCAGTTAATCTAGTTTTCTAACTGAACAGTTGAATTTTCACTCTACTGCTGTTAGTCTTTTGCATTTCCTGAAGCAGTATTTCCCAGGCTACTGCTGTCTCTATGGTTTCATCTCAAGCATAGACACACCTTGATCTATAAATTAAATAAATTATAATTTATGGTAAGATTCTCCTAGCAAGTAAAAAGCAGAAGATAGCTAATGAGAGCTACAAGATATGTGGCTGCTTCTGGAATCCTCATCTCCAGGTCTATATCCATTATCATAGGGTGTCTAATAGGATTATCTTCAACCTTAGCTCTAGAAAGAAATGTCCTATAGGCAGGGGTCATATTGTCTTCCCTAATAGGACTACCCTAGAGTATGACCAAATATTTTCTTCTTTGTGGTCTAAAAACCAGCCTCCTTGATTGTTATATGCTGAAGCAAGATCAGCCTCTTCTCACAGTGACTGATAGTGGTAATTTCTTCTTTCTCAGAGGACCTCATACTCATAAACATGTGGCCCTGCACTCAGACTCTGATAAGCAGTTACATCACAACAGCAAAACAGATAGCATGTTGGATGTCAGCTGTCTGCTTCCTTTTCATAGTTTCTGTTTAGTGTAAGATAAAGATCATACCTGCATGTCTTCCTTTGCATGGTGTTCGCCATCCCAGCAAATCCCCTGTGTATATATATACACATATATACATATATACACAAATATATATACATATACACATATATGTGTGTATATATATGTGTGTGTGTGTATATATATATATATATATATATATGCTTATCAACTCCAAAAAGGACACCACCATATGCACAGAAAAAGCAGTAGTGGGATTTCTGGATCAAATAGTAGATCTACTTTCAGTTTTTTAATAAACCTCCATGCTGTTTTCCATAGAGGCTGTATTAATTTACATTGCACCAGCAGTGTATAAATGTTCCCTTTTTACCACATCCATGCCAATTGTTTTTTGACTTTTTAATAATGGCCATTCTTACAGGGGTAACGTAGTATCTCATTGTGGTTTTAATTTGCATTTCCTTGATGATTAGTGATGTTGAGCATTTTCTAAACATGTTCGTTGGCCATTTCTATATCTTCTTTTGAGAAATGTCTATTTATGTCATTTGCCTACTTTCTGATGGGATTAATTTTTTTCTTGCTGATTTGTTTGAGTCTCATGATTCTGGATACTAGTCCTTTGTCAGATTCATAGGTTATTAATATTTTCTCCCACACTGTGGGTTATCTGTTTACTCTGATGATTATTTCTTTCGCTGTGCAGAAGCTTTTTAGTTTAATTAGGTCCCATTTATTTATTTTTGTTTTTGTTGCATTTGCTTTTGGGTTCTTGGTCATGAATTCTTTGCCTAAGCCAATGTCTAGAAGAGTTTTTCTGGTGTTATCTTCTAGAATTTTCATGGTTTCAGATCTTAGGTTTAAGTCTTTAATCCATCTTGAGTTGATTTTTGTATAAGGTGACAAGTAAGGATCCAGTTTCATTCTTCTATATGTGGCTTGCCAGTTTTCTCAGTACCATTTATTAAATAGGGTGTCCTTTCCCTAATTTATATTTTTGTATGCTTGGTCAAAGATCAGTTAGTTGTAAGTATTTTGCTTTATTTCTGGTTCTTTATTCTGTTCCAGTGGTCTATGTGTCTACCTGAGACCATTACCATGCTGTTTTGATAGTATGGCCCTGTATAATTTGAAGTCAGGTAATGTGATGTCTCCAGATTTGTTCTTTTTGCTTAGGATTACTTTGGCTATTCAGGCTCTTTTTTGGTTCCATATGAACTTTTGGATTTTTTTTCCTAATTCTGTGAAAAATGTTTTTGGTATTTTCACAATAATCACACTGAATCTGTAGATGGCTTTGGGCGCTATGATCATTTTCATGATATTGATTCTTCCAATCCATGAGCATGGGATGTGTTTCCATTTGTTTGTGTCATCTATGATTTTTTTCAGCAGTGTTTTGTAGTCCTCCTTGTATAGATAGATCTTTCACCTCTGTTAAGAATATTCCTAGGGATTTTTTTTTTTTTTTTTGCAGCCATTGTAAAAGTCATTGAGTTCTTGATTTGATTTTCAGTTTGGTCGTTGTTGCTATGTAGCAGTACTACTGATTTGTGTACATTGATTTTGTAAGCTGAGACTTTTATTGAATTGATTTTTCAAGTCTAGTAGTCTATTGGATGAGTCTTTTGGGTTTTCTAGGTATGCAATCATATCATTAGCAAACAGTGATAGCTTGACTTCCTCGTTTCCAATTTGTATGTCCTTTATTTCTTTCTCTTGCCAGATTGCGCTGGCTAGGACTTCCAGATAAAGTTGTTACTTCTTAAAATAAGACCTTTATAGGGGGCGAGAGGCAAACTACAAGTTAGTGATAATACAATTCACCATCAATGTGAGAGAAAGAAAACCAAGTACATTAATCTTTTTCAAAAAAATATAATATGACCAAATCAGGGGGAGAAAGAAAAGAAACTTGGAAACTTAATAAAAACACACACATTTTTAAAAGTCTAAAAATGTATGTACAATTATAGACCAAAAATTACCCCTCTTTGATTTATAAGACTGTGTCTGGTTCTTGCATTATTTTTCTTAGAAAGAAAAAAAATGATATAAGAGCATTTGTGATTCAAAAGTGCTCATTAATGAATATTTTGAGTTGACACAATACTGGAAAATAGCCAGTTTTGTCGAATTGAATTTTCTTGGAATAGGCAATACCTATCATTTTCAAAACAGAAGATTTTACACAAACAAATATAAGTTGATTTTCTATTCTAAAACCAGTAAAGGAGTAAAGTCTAACATATAACTTTTGGGCTATAGGTAGCCCACCTAGCTTTGCATTGTATGTGGCCCATAATCTAATTTCAGGAATGTCCTGATCTTAACATGGAAAATTGTAACACAGAGAAGGCCTAACTCAGTTTTGCCTTGTTGTAGCTTAGCACTTATGCAGTGCTTTGCTGCCTTCCTGGCCAAAAGTTCTGAGAGCTGATTAGTGTACCCTGAGAAGGGTTTGTGTGAATTAAGCATGCAGTTTTCAAAATGAACTTTAAATCTTTACAATAACTGCTGCAAGTAAGAAAAGTAGCTGATGAGTATTGTGCATTTCAAAATAAATAGACTACTCATTTTGTGTTATGTGTCATATGCAGTTTCAAATATGTCATTTTGAAAATACAATATTGACATACCCTATTGAGACAAACCACATTTTATAATTTCATTGATTAAAAACTCTTTCATAGAAAAACCAAACTAATTCAGCTTTAAGAGTGACTTAATTAGACACTATAGTGTTTGCTATTAGTTTTCACAACTTTAGTTAAGAAGATGAAATCATTCTTTGATAGAAAAAAAAAGATAAATGAGCAGGCATACATATATAGTTGAAGATATTTCCTGATTTAAAATTTTTATTTTTCCCAAGTCAGGCTTCCTGGATAAAAATTATTGTTCACAACTGCTGATAAATAATTCTTAGGTCAATGTTTTCTGTTTTAGTTTAATTTGCTTTGCTTTATTTTTTAGGAAGATGGGAAATTGAAGAGTTGAAAGAAAACCAGGTACCTGGTGACAGAGGACTGGTATTAAAATCTAGAGCAAAGCATCATGCAATATCTGCTGTATTAGCAAAACCATTCATTTTTGCTGATAAACCCTTGATAGTTCAGTAAGTGTTGCTATGTTTTTGAATACTTTTTCTGAATTTTGTATTAGCTTTGGCTTCTGAATATAGCTTGTATTTTGAAAATGGATGTGAAAATCTAGATCTTCCTTTTTCGTTTCACTTAGTTAAAACACAAATGTGCATATACACACAAACATATCCATGCTTTCAATAAAAAGCAGGTAAATGATAAAATTATACAAAGATCAACCATTCTTATGGCCTAGTACTAATATTTATATTTGTTTATTTCAAGGAGTTGTATGTGGGCTATTAAGCAGCATATTTCCTTTGGTCTGAGTGCTTGTATTGACTAAATGAGGAATAAATAGTTTGGCTCTCTTAAAAAAATTTAAAAATTATGTGATATATACTGTAATATATACAATTCTGCTGTCATAAACTATATAATGCATAGTAAAAATCACCATTTTTGTTTTACTCTTAAAATTACTTGTTATCGCCGGGCGCGGTGGCTCACGCCTGTAATCCCAGCACTTTGGGAGGCCGAGGCGGGCAGATCACGAGGTCAGGAGATCGAGACCATCCTGGCTAAAACGGTGAAACCCCGTCTCTACTAAAAATACAAAAAATTAGCCGGGCGTAGTGGCGGGCGCCTGTAGTCCCAGCTACTTGGGAGGCTGAGGCAGGAGAATGGCGTGAACCCGGGAGGCGGAGCTTGCAGTGAGCCGAGATCCCGCCACTGCACTCCAGCCTGGGCGACAGAGCGAGACTCCGTCTCAAAAAAAAAAATAAAAAAAAAAATAAAAATAAAAAAAATTACTTGTTATCAAAATATTAAACAATATATTCAGAACAGAATAATAAAAATTGCTATTAAACCAGTGATAAGATTCAAAGGCAGAAAATTTATTTCAAAAATAAATGTTTATGAATACCAGTGTCTTTCAAGCAGGGACCCCTTTTAAAGGTCACATTCTCACAGATAATCCTTTCTTTCAACCTCTCCACCTCCCCACCATGCCTGGCATGGTGCCTCATGCCTCATGTGTGTAATCCCAGCACTTTGGGAGGCCTAGGTGGGCAGACAGCTTGAACCCAGGAGTTCAAGACCAACCTGGCAACATGGCAAAACCCCGACTCTACAAAAAAATTTTAAAAATTAGCCAGGCATGGTGGTGCCCGACTGTAGTCCCAGCTACTCTGGAGGCTGAGGTGGGAGGATCACCTAAGCCCAGGAAGTCGAGGCTGCAGTGAGCCAAGGTCACACCAGTGCATTGCAGCCTGGGTGACAGAATGAGATCTTGCCTCAAAAAAAAAGAAAGAAAGAAAAAAAAAGAGGACCAAGAATTGAATAGCAGTCTTTCATATGTTTAAAAACAATTCAAAGGAGAGTGAATGTTTGTCTCCTCTTAATATTGATAAAATGAAATGGGGTAAATAAAATGAAGAGATTTATATTCAATGCTATAAATGCTGATTTACAACATAACTTTACTATAAAGCTGCTTTTCCCAAATTGTATACATGTTAATATATATGAATATAATTAAAGATGAAGAATATCCTAACTCAAAACGTAGGAAGTAAAGGCCTGGCGCAGTGCTTCACACCTGTAATCCCAGCACTTTGGGAGGCCAAGGTGGGTGGATCACGAGGTCAGGAGATCAAGACCATCCTGTCTAACATGGTGAAACCCTGTCTCTACTAAAAATACAAAAAATTAGCCGGGTGTGGTGGCAGGCGCCTGTAGCCCCAGCTACTCGGGAGGCTGAGGCAGGAGAATGGCGTGAACCCGGGAGGCAGGGCTTGCAGTGAGCCGAGATCATGCCACTGCACTCCAGCCTGGGCAACTGGGCAACAGAGTGAGACTGTCTCAAAAAAAAAATAAATAAATAAATAAAAATAAAATTAAAAAAGGAAGTATGTTAGCTCATTAAAGACTGAGAAGTTCTACATATGAAAACCTGTTTTCAGCATTACTACTGTGTTTCCCAAACACATTTGATCACATAAGTTTATTTTCCCACCTAACAGTAATTGCTATTTCATGGAACAATTTGAGAAATGATACTCTAAAGAAATTAAGGTTACCATATACTCTGCATATGTCCTTGGTTTTCCTATGACTGGAAGTTTAGCAGTAGTCAAGCTGTATGATAAACATTTTGTTGATCCTCTAATCCATTGTGAATCATTTATACTAGGTAAAAGTTAATTATTTGAAAACTCTAAAAGTTTGCAGTATAAGAAATGGACAAGGTGATTGAATCTAGGCATAATGGAACAATGAAACTGTGTTCACATTTATGCAGCCACTGTACAAAATTGTTTTTTCCAATTCTTACCTTTTTACAGAATGCTCTGTCCTGAGATAATCTATTATAAAGCAAAATCTTTTTAATTTTTTTTCTAAAAACAGTGACCTTTAAGTCATATCATGCACCACGTGTTCTACTTATAGTCTTCAAATACTTAAATTCCATGAAAAACAAAATTTTGTCAGCTATTGCTTAAAATAAAGATAAGACTTTGAGGAAAACAAACTGTCCTCTATTTAAAAAATGAAAAAGAACGAAAGAATACCTTCCTTCTGATTATCATAGAAGCATTTTGAGCATGTATTTGCCCCTCATTGGGCATGATATCCTTTAATCATCATAACAATCCTTTGAGGTGTAAGTATGGGCCATGTCTGCATATTATAGATGAGCAAATAGAGACTTAGAGCTTAAATGACTTGCCGTTACCCAAGGAGTCACTAGAGTAAGTGGCAGAATCAAGAATAACTCTCAGGTCATTTTGACTTTAAAGTACATGCTTGTGGCCACTGTTGTAGATAGCTTAAGAAATAAAGCATGGTAAAAAGTATAGGAGAAAATCACCCCTTTCAAATCAGAGATACTTAAAATTTTGTTTCCTTTTTTTTAATACAAAATATGTACACCAATTGAGTTCAAACTGTTAAAATTTTGTATACTATCATGTTTTACCTTCTTGTCACTAAATTTCTTCAGAAACATTTACAACTATAGTCCTTTATTAAAATGATCATTATTTCTGGTTATTTCTCTAGTTTTCATGTCTTTTTGATTTAATTCATTTAATGAAATCATAACCTTTTTTGTTTTTACTGTTTGACAGCCATTTCCTTGTTGATTTTTGTCACATATAATTCGTTAATTTAACAACAAAAAATCTCGTAAGTCTATGCCTCATTGCCATAGCAAGGCTATTTCCTTTTAAAGTTACCAATAAAGAAAAAAAAACTTTGCTGAGAATTACACTGTGTTGTAAATTCATAAGAGACTCTCATGTTCATTCTTTTAGCTGTTATACTAAACAGTGAAAATTTCCCATATCTCCTGGCTGTTTAGGTCTGAAATCCAGCTTATTGACTGAGATTATGAATCTCTTTGCTGGAGCTATTTAATTAAATGTACAACTTATTTAACATGGTAAGGTGTAATGAACTCTAGGTATCTAAGATCATTAGCAATTTCGTAGAAATCTTGCTGTAGCTGTGGTTCTTACGGCCTTTATTTTTTTTTAGTTTATAAAGTGTAAGTATAGTGCTTACCTTATCAGAATTTGAAATTTCCTGTTGTAGTTTTAGTTACAGTATCTTATGCTTAATTTATCAGTTTTGATGGAAAAAAATTTAAACAAATTGATTGGTTTGTCTGCAGTTGATTGTAATCATTCTATTTTTAATATTTTAATGATGTGTCTTGTTTTAGAGTAGTAGAAAAGCGTTTCTGCTTATTTCCTATAGGTTGTAGATATGCTTTATATGAGTTTTCTGATAATGTAAAAAAATTTATACTTACATGAATTGAGAATAATAAGATTATATTTTAAAGAGCAACTAGTAAATTTTATTTATCAGTAGTACGGTTCTTTTTCCCTTTATTCAGATATGAAGTAAATTTTCAAGATGGTATTGATTGTGGAGGTGCATACATTAAACTCCTAGCAGACACTGATGATTTGATTCTGGTATGATATTTTAATATTTAAGAAAACCTTATTAAAGTTAATAAGTATTTTTAAGGAACAAATGATAAAACTGAATATTTTGTCTTCAACTGAAATTGAAAAGAATTGTAGATATCTTTTTTCAATGTGAATTTACATAGCTCTTACAATTCGCCTTCAAGTTTTATATAAAGCTGTGTTACTTGAAGGCATCAATTTTATAATCTTTAACAACATGAAAAAGTTTACCATGTCTGTAGGACAAAAACTACGTGATACTTATAAATTTCTTTTGAAATATAGCTTAGAGTTATTTTCTTTACAGAATAAGACTCTTAAGTTTGTTTAGAGAAGCATAACAAAGCATAGCAGTGAAACAAAATGGCCGAAGAACCAAATTAAAAGGGGTTAGCAACCCACAGAAAGTAACTAATTTTAAAAACTTTTCATGATGAAATAGGTTTATACTTCTAAGAGGTTGTATTAGGACCATTGGAAAGTTGGGGATATTTCTTATAGCCTTCTCCTGTAAAAGGCTGTTTCAGACTTTCTGCATATAACAGAAATACGATAGATGAGACATCAGGGGTATATTTTTCAGAACACTTAGCTGTACATAAGCTATGAAATGTAGATGGGAGACTTTTTCATGTACTACTCATTATTATTAGGATCAAGTGAAGGAGAGGCCATTGGAGTATATGTTGAAGCTCTTGTTTTAGATGAACACTTGAAGGTAGGATGACAAAAAAATCTAATGCCAAGTATTTCTATAAGCACTTTATCTGATTAATTCACTTAATCCTTAGAGAACTCTTATAAGGTAGGTACTATTATCATCTCCATACTTCAGAGGTGATGAAATGGAGGTGCAGAGAGCTTTAAAAAATTTGAGTCAGGGTGACACCCAACTAGTTTAAGAGGCAGTGGTAGGATTTGAACCCCAGTATCTGACTCCATGCCCCATGCTGTTAACCACTATGCCATGCCAAATAAAGAGAAATTCATGTCCTCGTGTCTGTTTTTATGTCTGAATGAATCTCTCTTCATCTTGTGCTCAGAGGGTCATTTTCTGGTATCTTCCTAAGTAATAGTAATGGGTGATAATTTTAGTCTTAAGGCCATAAATATGCTTTCCTCTAATGCCTAATTCTCTCAATAAAAATATTAGTAATATAGATTTACATAGAGAGTTAAAGCATATTATGGTGTTGCTAGAGTATTTTCAGCTTCTGTCCCACATCGTCAGGAAGTAGTGTGTACTTAAAAAAATCTATATTGAAGTAAAATTTGTCATTTTCCCATGTCCTTTATTGTCACTTGTATTAAATAGCTAGCTCTCTGGTGAATTACCATTTAATATATTTTTGTAAACTCTACCCATTGGATAAAATACAGAAATGCATTAAATAGTCTGTGATTCTGGACTAATGCCAACACTCATCTCTCTTTGAAGGAAAACTTTTATGATAAAACATCCTATATCATTATGTTTGGACCAGATAAATGTGGAGAAGATTATAAACTTCATTTTATCTTCAGACATAAACATCCCAAAACTGGAGTTTTCGAAGAGAAACATGCCAAACCTCCAGATGTAGACCTTAAAAAGTTCTTTACAGACAGGAAGACTCATCTTTATACCCTTGGTATACCCTTTTAATTCATTCATGTATTCAAAAATATTTGCTGACTATTGATGTATTCATGGCAAGTGCTTTACAAGAAAACAAATGTGTACCCCATCCTGAAGGAGCTTATCTTTTTCAGAAAATAGGACATGTATAATGACAGCACGGGTAGAAAATAAAGTACCATATAAGAAAGAGAGATGAGGCACAGCTAAGAGTTCACAAGCAATATTACTTCCAGCTTAGAGACTTGGAACAAAGCTAGGAAAGATTATATTTGAACTCGTCTTGAAGTACAGATAGAATGTTGAAGACAGTAGGGTGAAAGGACATTTTAGACGTTGTGACAGTGGTGCTGTAAGAACAGAAAACTAGAAAATAAAAAGGAAGAGGCCAGAACAGAAAACTAAAAAATAAAAAGGAAGAGGCCCTTAATGCCAGACTAAAAAGTTTAGACTTTATTCTGTAGGCAGTTGTGATTATTGTTATGTCCTACCTTGTGTTGGTTGTGGCATGTACTTCGAAAGGAGAAGCATTGAGCAGCCATATATTAATATACTTAAGTAAATAGGAATTTGCATAGATATGGGGGTGAGGGACATCATAAGCAGTTGTTTCTCCCATTCTCAAGTATAATGGCTGTAGAGCTCTGGTCAGCCCACTATCAAAATCAGAGCATATTGGAACCTAATAGGACATTTTGAAATGGCCCTATTGGCTTCCTTTCTCACGTCTCAACTCCACCCAAGATTAAAGTATTTCAATCTTTTTCCCCAAATGCTGCAGTGGTAGAAACATTCATTTTGTCTGCTCGGGCAATGCCCATTTCATCTTCAATATCAGATGTGATATAATAAATATCTTTATGAAATAATTGAAAAAACTAGGCATTTGGGGGAACACCAAGTAAACTGTAGAAATAATGAGAAAATATTACTAGAACAGAATAAATTAATTTTTTGTTATACTTACAACACTTTAAGATGGTATCAAAAAAATTAAATGCTGAAAAAGATTAGCTTGTATTTTGTAACTATAAAAGAGTGAAGCTGACTCGTTATGAGTCCCAAAACAGAGCTATTTGGTATTATTTTTTATTTGAGAAGTAATGGAGCATTTTATTGTAAAAAATGCAGTTTAAAACAAAATTTTATCTTTAGGAAATGTATCTAGTGATTTTAGAATGTTTTAGTTCAATACATTGGTTATTCCTCTATTTCTGGTTGGGAAAAAAGCTTTACCCATGGAGTTAAGGGTAGTTACATTATTTAGAAGATTATCTTTAAAGCGTATATCAAAATGATAACTATAATTTATTTAAATTGGTCCCTTAGTGATGAATCCAGATGACACATTTGAGGTGTTAGTTGATCAAACAGTTGTAAACAAAGGAAGCCTCCTAGAGGATGTGGTTCCTCCTATCAAACCTCCCAAAGAAATTGAAGATCCCAATGATAAAAAACCTGAGGAATGGGATGAAAGAGCAAAAATTCCTGATCCTTCTGCCGTCAAACCAGAAGACTGGTAAGCAAATAATTCGGTAGCAAAGCATTATCTGGCATAACTAGGTAATGAAACAACATATAAGTGAAGTTTACAACCCATGAAGTTTATTTTTTTAAACATCAGAACTACTTATTTTTAGTATTTTGGGTGAAATATTTTCTAAAATGGATTTTACACTTCCCTCCCTGTAATTTTTTTTTATTTCTATTGATAATTATGTTGCATTTTTTAATATATATTTATTTTTTATGTTTTCAATGCTGTGGATTAAAAATTTCATAAATCCAAAATACCAGTGCTTTAATTTTCATTCCTAGTTTGATCTTTATTGTATGTGTGTGAGAGTCCGAGGTGGGCAGATCACCTGAGGTCAGGAGTTCGAAACCAGCTTGGCCAACATGGCGAAACCCCGTCTCTACTAAAAACACAAAAATTAGCGGGCATGGCGGCGGGTGCCTGTAATCCCAGCTACTCGGGAGGCTGAGGCAGGAGAATTGCTTGAACCCAGGAGGCAGAGGCTGCAGTGAGCCCAAGGTCGTGCCACTGCACTCCAGCCTGGTGACAGAGCAAGATTCTGTCTCAAAAAAAAAAAAAAAAAAAAAAAAGAGTATGTTTGCCCTTAAATGAGAGAAACCACATATAACTGCTTCATTCTGATTGTTGAAATGTGTTAGAATTTGTTTTACAAAGTACTAAAAGAAATGCTCCATTAAATTTTAACTTTTGGTTACTCTGAGCACTCAGAAACTCAAGATGACATTGGTATCAGGCAAGCACAAATCTATACATTTGTAAAGTTGATTATTTCTGTTTATTTTGTAACTCATTTGGAAAATCATGAAGTGTCCTCTTGTTTAAAATTTCTATCTTTCTGTAATGATGAAAATTGTATTAGTAGTTCAGTACTTTATGTTTATATACTTCAGAATTTACTAAGTGTTTTGTTTTTGTTTTTGTTTTTGTTTGAGATGGAATCTCGCTCTGTCACCCAGGTTAGAATGCAATGGCGTGATCTCAGTTCACTGCAGCCTCTGCCTCCTGGGTTCAAGGGATTCTCCTGCCTCAGCCTCATGAGTAGGTGGGATTACAGGCAAGCGCCACCACGCCCGGCTAATTTTTGTATTTTTAGTAGAGATGGGATTTCACCATGTTGGTCAGGCTGGTCTCGAACTCCCGATCTCGTGATCCTCCCGCCTCAGCCTCCCAAAGTGCTGAGACTACAGGCTTGAGCCACCACGCCAGCCTAAGTGTTCTTTTTAAAATAAGAATGCTAGAATTAAATAAGGAGAGTTTTAAAAATTATATTGGAATAGGGAAGAACTTTCCAAATATGACATAAAATCCAAGAATCCTTTAAAAATAAGTTCAACTACATGAAAATAAATGATTTGTATATTGCAAAAAAAAAAACCTCCCTAAACTATTTCAAAAAACACACAAGAACCAGGAAAAATTATTTTCAATCATATAGCTGACAGAGAGCTAATTTCTTAGTATAAAGGTAATGAGCTAAGAAAAAATAGTTTTTGTGTATCACTTATGCTACTAAATGTACATTCAAAGTTCAGTGAGATACCATTTTTCACCTACCACATGGGCAGAAATCAAGAAGTTTGGTAACACTCTTCGCAAGGACAGGAGAAAATAGGTACTTTTGCATGCTGCTGGTAGAACCGGAAGTGGAGTGTAACCATTATAGAGAGTAATTTGGATGCTACTATCAAAATTTAAAATGTCCATACTCTTAACAATTATATTTTCACAGATGAGAAATGGCATATATTCTAGGACATTCACTATGGCATTGTTTGTATTAATAATAGTAAAATTTTGGAAACACTAAATGTCCTCCAAGAGGAGATAAGCTAAATAAATTATGGTGTATCCTCAAGTAGAAAACTATGCAACTGTTAAGAATGAAGCTATGTGTATATATATATATGTGTATATATATATATATACATATATATATATATACATATATATATATATATGTATATATATATGCTCCAGCCAGGCATGGTGGCTCATGCCTGTAATCCCAGCACTTTGGGGGGCTGAGGTGGGTGGATCACCTGACGTTAGGAGTTCAAGACCAACCTGGCCAACATAGTGAAACCCCATCTCTACTAAAAATACAAAAACTTAGCCAGGCGTGGTGGCAGGTGCCTGTAATCCCAGCTACTCTGGAGGCTGAGGCAGGAGAATTGCTTGAACCCGGAAGGCAGAGGTTGCAGTGAGCTGAGGTCGCACTATTGCACTCCAGCCTGGGAAACAAGAACAAGACTCCACCTCAAGAAAAAAATAATAATAATGGAGCTCCTCGAACAGTCTTGACACATAGTAAGCATGCAATATATATTTGTTGATGAATGACTGAGTTTTTAAGTAACAAAAGCAAGGTCTAATACATTATGTATAGAATGCTATCATTCGTATTAAAAAAAAGAATGTATACGTGTGTGCATGTATGCATAGAGCACAACAGGGAATATGTACCAAAAATTGGCAAGTTAGCAAAAGATTTAGGTGGGTAGTAGATGAGGACAAATAACAGGCACAAACAAAAGGGAGGGAAATAATTTTATGGTACCTTCTTAGTGTTGTAACATGCATTTTTAAACTTTCTGAATAATTAGTAATATAAAACGTTGTATTTACAGGGATGAAAGTGAACCTGCCCAAATAGAAGATTCAAGTGTTGTTAAACCTGCTGGCTGGCTTGATGATGAACCAAAATTTATCCCTGATCCTAATGCTGAAAAACCTGATGACTGGTAAGCACTCTTCATCTTCAAATGTCGATTTCAAATGTTTCTTACATGCATTTTTGTTACTAGTTTATATGACTGATCTGAGACTTGAGGTTACTGTATTTGCTTTGTTTTAATATCCTAAGGAATGAAGACACGGATGGAGAATGGGAGGCACCTCAGATTCTTAATCCAGCATGTCGGATTGGGTGTGGTGAGTGGAAACCTCCCATGATAGATAACCCAAAATACAAAGGAGTATGGAGACCTCCACTGGTCGATAATCCTAACTATCAGGTAACAACCGCTTGTTCCAATTATTTAGTGAAGTTAAAAATGTTGTGATCTTTTCTATTTAAATATCTAATTACCTATGTCAACTTTTGGAAGTTTCATTTTTAATTTTAAGATGTCAAAGAAAATAGACCTCAACTAATTTATATTTTAAAAGTAGAGCATCAATTATTTAATTTTCTGGGGAAATAAATCACTTCATACTATATTCTTCCCTAATTATCAGTTGATGCTCACTTTGAAATAAAGTTCTATTTTAGAAGTAAATATAAGAAGTGAATTTTGATCAAATAGACTCATATTGTACATTTTAGTAATTAATGCCTGTGCTTAATTAATGTACTTATTATTTAGTATTATTAAAATTCTGATTTTTGGCCAGGTACGGTGGCTCATGCCTGTAATCCCAGCACTTTGGGAGTCCAAGGCGGGCGGATCACGAGGTCAGGAGATGGAGACCACCCTGGTCAACATGGTGAAACCCTGTCTCCACTAAAAATACAAAAAATTAGCCAGATGTGGTGGCGCACGCCTGTAGTCCCAGCTACTCAGGAGGCTGAGGCAGGGGAATCTCTTGGACCCTGGAGGTGGAGATCGCAGTGAGCTGAGATCGTGCCACTGCACTCCCGCCTGGCGACACAGCAAGACTCAAAACAAAAAAACAAAAAAACAAAAAACCTGGCCTGGCGTGATCTTGGCTCACTGCAGCCTCTGCCTCCTGGGCTCAGGCGATTCTCCTGATTCACCCTCCTACGTAGCTGAGATTACAGGCACACCCCAGCACGCCCGGCTAACTTTTGTATTTTTAGCGGAGACGGGGTTTCACATGTTGGTCAGGCTGGTCTCGAACTCCTGACCGTGATCCGCCCACCTTGGCCTCCCAAAGTGCTCAGGTTACAGAAGTAAGCCACCGAACCCAGCCCTGATTTTTTTCTGATATCAATCGACATCTTTTGAGTGTACCTAGCTTTTTATATTAAAAGTTTCTATGTTATCCACTTAACCCTCTAGTTTTATCTTTGTAATTATTTATGGATACGTTCTAACATTATATATATGCAGTTTCATATTCTAATTACTCACTGTAGTTTTTATTAAAAGCATTTAACACAAAATGTTTCTTTTGGTAAATTTTTTTGTTTGATGTCTGTCTCTTTTATTTGACTTTAAACTCCATAATACAGGAACCATGTATGTCTCCATCATCTGGCATAGTGCCTGGCCCAGAATACATACATGTGATGGTGGAGTGAGTCAGTGAGCAATGATATTGTTGAATGTATTTGATTTAATGGACAGTTTAATCATTTAAGATCTAATGGAAGTTTTAGGTTGAGTAGTTGTGCCGAGATTCAACCATACCTGATTAATGATATCTGTCATGGGTATATGTTAAATGGAGTAACTCCATTTTTGCTATACAATGATCTTTCTGATTTGGACAACTTGAATAACATTTTGCAATGAATAACTTTACTAAATCTAAAAATTTGTCCAAAGTAGACAAATTGTGAAATTTATTCACGTTTCTGTTTATGTTGGATTTTCCCTTTTCCTTTTCTTGCAGAATTTAAAGTTAGTATCACTCGTAGGGAACATTGTGTACACAGCAAAAGAAACAAGATTTTATATCCAGTATATTACTAATGAATTAATATCAGTTAAAATTCTCTTTTTTCCAGTTAGCATTGCGAATTTCATTCAACAGCAGCTACTTATTAAGCAGCATTTATAATGAAGTTATTTTATTTGAAAATGTCTTCAATTACTTTTCTTCCAGGGAATCTGGAGTCCTCGAAAAATTCCTAATCCAGATTATTTCGAAGATGATCATCCATTTCTTCTGACTTCTTTCAGTGCTCTTGGTTTAGAGCTTTGGTCTATGACCTCTGATATCTACTTTGATAATTTTATTATCTGTTCGGAAAAGGAAGTAGCAGATCACTGGGCTGCAGATGGTTGGAGATGGAAAATAATGATAGCAAATGCTAATAAGGTATGGTGTTGACCAATAGCAGTAGTGATATAACTATGAATAATAATACTTGGTCTTGGTTGTAGGTTATTCAGATGGCTCTTTTAAATGCAAATAAATGTGCAGTAACTACTAAATGCCAAGGAAATGTGTTTGAATAAGTTTATGTAGACAGAATATTTTGCTTTTTATGTTACTTCATTATGAGCTATATATGCATATGTAAGTCCTCATTTTATTCATTAAATTATAACATCACTAATGGGATTTAATGCTTATTTACTGTTCATAGAAGAAGACTACTTAATATCTTTGTCATCTTGCCAGTTCAAGACCTAAGTGACAATGATAATCTAAATATTACTGTTTATTTAACTATTTTTTACTTAGAGGAATGTACAAAGAATTTATAGTTTAACATTATTAAATTCTGTTCCAGTTTTTTCCCGAAACCTTAACACTGTTTAGAAAAGGTTGGGCTAAATATTTCAACACAATGCATCTTAGAAAATGTATCATTAAATTCAGTTGCTATAAAGAAAAATTCTTACCTTACATTTGGTTCCTTGGGTCACTAGCGAAAAACCATCAAAAGAGTAGGTGAAGAGGGATTCTTGTTTTGAACCTCTTGTAACTAAAACATTTGATTTTTTAAATTTTATTTTAATAAGAGAAATAATATCCTTACTGAGGGTCTTATGTGTGAAATGTGTTTATATAAAAAAGAAAACAATTCTGAGGTATGATTTTTAGTAAGTTCTTTAAAAGTACAGAATGAATGATCAGAGTACAGAATGAATGATCACTTCAAATAAACCAGGTAATACATCCATAAAAGGTAGTTCTATTCTGAAATTTACCAAAAAGGAAAATTACCATTTTTCTTGCCAGTATGTTAGAAGTTTCCACTTTTGTCATAACATACCTTCTGCTATCAAGTCTCACTCAGTGATGCATGCTAATAATTAAATTAGACTTTACAAAGTATAAGGTGGGAAAATGAAACTTCTTTTACTTACGAGTTCATCACTCCTTAATGTAAAATGCCTGAGTAAATAAGTTTTTTTGTATCTTGTGTTACCCAGTAAAGGTTTGTAAAATTTGAATTGCATTTTTATGCTTATCTCGTCTATAGCCTGGTGTATTAAAACAGTTAATGGCAGCTGCTGAAGGGCACCCATGGCTTTGGTTGATTTATCTTGTGACAGCAGGAGTGCCAATAGCATTAATTACTTCATTTTGTTGGCCAAGAAAAGTAAAGGTAAAGAAAATGGATTTCCTTCAACTTTTTTCACCCAAATTTCTTGTTGTTTAAGAGTTCTATAAATTAAGCGATTCTTAAAAGTAATAAACTAAATGTCTCATAAGTTTTACTGATAGTTCATTATGTATGTTATCAATTATTGCAAAAAAACTTTCAAAATAGCACTCTGCCTTTAGTAAAAATAACTTATGTTAACTACCACAGAAAAAACATAAAGATACAGAGTATAAAAAAACCGACATATGTATACCACAAACAAAAGGAGTACTAGAGCAAGAAGAAAAGGAAGAGAAAGCAGCCCTGGAAAAACCAATGGACCTGGAAGAGGAAAAAAAGCAAAATGATGGTGAAATGCTTGAAAAAGGTAAGATGATGAGAGTGATTTATAATGGAGACTCTGGGTAAAGCTCATAAAACTGTATATGGCCTTGAAATAACTAGTTATTATACTTGTTTATTATCAAGTTTATACATCTGAATCTCCCAAGAATATGTGACTGTGGCAAGAAGGAATAATAGTCCTCTGAGCAGCCACCCTGTTTATAGTTTTTGCATTCTAGGAAGAAGGAGATTTAAATAGTGTTCAGTTGCTTGAGAGCCTAGCAGTTAATGAATCCCATAGGCCATAGCTTTTTGCAAGGATGTTTCTTGGCTCTGGGAGTGTAGAAGATGAGATGGAGGGTGATAGAGGGTGTATATCATGGCCTCTGTAGAAAAGGAATAGATATAAAACAGATGATTGCAGCAACAAAATCAACACCAAGTCTTCCAACAGCTATTGTTAGTCAGATGCTTATCATATAGAAGAAATAATTTAATTAATTTTCTGAAAGGATTGCTGAACCTATATCCCCTTCTCACCCTATGTTAAACTCTTGAAGATGTTAGAACTGAAGTCACCCTTTGGTGGCTGTCCGCTGAGACCTCCTTACATAAGGTAGAAATAAAACTATTGATTTGCCCAGTGTCCCAAGCCAAATGTCTTGAAGCACAGTGTTTAACTCACTTAATGAAACAGTTGACTTAAAAACACATATGTGTCTATCTATTTTTTAAGAGACAGTATATATATATATACACACATATACATACACATGTTCATGTGTGTATTAGGATAGGTATCTAAAACAACAAATGTTTCAGGTTGTAAGTTTCCAGCCTTGTTTTTGTAACTTCTTAGTGCTTAGTATATTGATGTCTGGATCAGCCTTATTTAGAGGGAATTTAAGTATCGGAGGGGCCTGCTTGTATAAAGGTACTTTCACCACTTTCATCTATACACGTAGTCCCACATTGGAACTACGTAGAAGAAGTAGAGTTGATTTTTCAACTTCCCTTTCCCCAAAGCCCATTCTTGGTAGGGTAGGAGTTTTTACTTTATATAGCTCCTAGGACGTGCTTAATATCTTTTGGTTAATAATGATGACAAAAGTTGGAGGTTCTGCTAAATGGAATCCTAAGGAGGGTCAATAACTGAAAAAATGCATGATGTCCACAGAGAACAAACATAAGTAAATAACATATTGAAGATTAAAAGATCACCAAAAATTAAAGGAAGTATTTTCCAAGACAGGAACACAGGAAAGATTATTATTTTTTGGTTTTCATATTACATACAGACTGAATGCTTAAGAATTTTTTAAACTTGTCCCCAAACTCAAATATGATTCATTTATAAAATATGATAATATAATGAGTATTTATAATTTTTAAAATTTTGAATGGAAGAAGTTGCTTCTAAATCTTGGAATAAATCTTGGAATTTAAATAAATCCCATTTATTGTATTTAATACTTTTCAGTAGCAAAATTCTAATTTATTGAGTCTTTGCTTTTAACAAAATCTGTATTCTAGAAGAGGAAAGTGAACCTGAGGAAAAGAGTGAAGAAGAAATTGAAATCATAGAAGGGCAAGAAGAAAGTAATCAATCAAATAAGTCTGGGTCAGAGGATGAGGTAACAGAAAATAAGCTGGTTTCTATGTATAGTTGTTATCCATAAAAAGTTTTTTCAATAAAAGCACCAATATGATTTATGAAAGAATTTTTGCCATATTTCTCTCAGCTTTTATAAGAGCCTCTATATTGTTTTTAAAACATATCCATAAGGAAGGAAAGAAAAATACTGTAATTTATATTGTCTCAATGCCTAGTAAAACAGTATAGAGCAAGCCTGTGGCGTACAAAATATAAAGATAGAATACATGTATCCAAAATTATGACTTTCTCATTGAAATTCTATTGAAAAGCATAATAAACACATTGTTTGAATATTTAAAAGATAATTATCATTATTATAATTTTTATAGCTGTTGTAAAACATCTTTATTGTCTCAACATTTTACTCTCACGTTTTAAAATATTTCATTCATTGGGTAGTTGAGTACTATCTGCCTGATAGGGTATTTTTCTCAAATCTTTAGTGAACTTTTCTCCCCCCTTATTAGTCTACCCCTTTTTGTGTCCTGATATAAAATGGAACTTTGCACAATGCTTTTTTTTTGTAAGTTATTATGGAATGAGAAATCCCGAGTATAATTAGAGCCAGAGCTGTCTTTTTTCTTTTTTGTTTTTAATCCAGCATAAACCAAAAACCAGTTTTCTCTGGCCCTTAAAGAGCTGGGTAGCCTTACCCCACAGAGTCACCATCCTAACATATTACATTCCAACTATGTAGGTAGGATAAAAGTACAGTTCTGCCTGCTCTTGCATGTGATGAAATGAATTTTGTATTTTATCTATTTAAAGAAATCCTCCAAATAAATTTGCAATTATTGTTAAGTCTTTCCTAATGTTTAATCAGTACACATACTGTTTGCTGGTCTTCCTGCCCTCTGAGTTTTTATAGGGACTTTGGGACCATTATTTAGTATGAATATCCATATTTAGGGAGAGCTAGGTGAAGAGAATTTCTTCCAGAGCCAAGTTTTAAATAATCATTGTTTCTGCTGTGACTTTCTTAAAATAATACCTGCAGTCATTTACTTGAATATGTATTCTATTTACATTTACTTTACAAAATATTTTGTGTACCTTCGAAAACATCTTAATTCCATCTTTCAGTCTTTCCGTCTTCTTATGTGTATGTGTCAGTGAGCTGGAATACATCGATTTTTGTATAGCCTTGAGAAATAACTATAACTTTATTTCATATAATACCTTCATAATAGCACTTGATTGATAGCACATATATTTTAGAGAATAATAAATATATTGTTTACTACTATCTACTAGTTATGTGTTATACTAAAAGAAACCTTTTCATAATTATTTTTTCTAGATGAAAGAAGCAGATGAGAGCACAGGATCTGGAGATGGGCCGATAAAGTCAGTACGCAAAAGAAGAGTACGAAAGGACTAAACTAGATTGAAATATTTTTAATTCCCGAGAGGGATGTTTGGCATTGTAAAAATCAGCATGCCAGACCTGAACTTTAATCAGTCTGCACATCCTGTTTCTAATATCTAGCAACATTATATTCTTTCAGACATTTATTTTAGTCCTTCATTTCAGAGGAAAAAGAAGCAACTTTGAAGTTACCTCATCTTTGAATTTAGAATAAAAGTGGCACATTACATATCGGATCTAAGAGATTAATACCATTAGAAGTTACACAGTTTTAGTTGTTTGGAGATAGTTTTGGTTTGTACAGAACAAAATAATATGTAGCAGCTTCATTGCTATTGGAAAAATCAGTTATTGGAATTTCCACTTAAATGGCTATACAACAATATAACTGGTAGTTCTATAATAAAAATGAGCATATGTTCTGTTGTGAAGAGCTAAATGCAATAAAGTTTCTGTATGGTTGTTTGATTCTATCAACAATTGAAAGTGTTGTATATGACCCACATTTACCTAGTTTGTGTCAAATTATAGTTACAGTGAGTTGTTTGCTTAAATTATAGATTCCTTTAAGGACATGCCTTGTTCATAAAATCACTGGATTATATTGCAGCATATTTTACATTTGAATACAAGGATAATGGGTTTTATCAAAACAAAATGATGTACAGATTTTTTTTCAAGTTTTTATAGTTGCTTTATGCCAGAGTGGTTTACCCCATTCACAAAATTTCTTATGCATACATTGCTATTGAAAATAAAATTTAAATATTTTTTCATCCTGAATACCCTATTTGACAGGTTATTATTGGGGAGGCTTTATATTATTTTCCTTATTACTAAGGGATTCTAATGGCTGATTTCAATTCTTCATGCTTTTATATATATATTTTTTTCTTGTTTCCAGTGGGGTTGGAATGCTTTTGTATATTTATCTTTTTTTTTTTCCTGAACAAGTTTCAATCTATTTTAAGTCTGTCATCTCATCTATGAATAGCTTCAAAGCTGCCACTGAGGTGGATAGGAGCAACTATTATTATTGCTCTTCTTTTTAAAGCAGTTACCACGTCACTAGACTACATTAAAATGGAGCTGTGTTGTTCCACTTAAAATATTTTATTTATGAAATTCTTGTGTCTGGGTAACAGGTTTAGACTCTTTGGAAGAGGATCTAAATCTTTGAGACCACAGAACTACTTGAATACTAACTACCTAGAAAACTTTCCGCTTGTTAGGTAAGATTTTGGATTCCTTCATAGACGTACACATACCCCATCTTTGGGCAAGCCCTAAACTATTACAGGTTCCCATACAACTCCTTCCCCAGTAGGTAAATTTAGAACTTATGAATAAGGAAAATAAGTCTCTAGCTTCTGCTTTTACTGAAGGAAGCCAAACATAGCCGCTAATACTATTCACTCCTTATTTCAAAGAGTGAATTGAAAAAGAAAATAAGTTATTTACTCCATTGCTATACTCTGAACTTCTATAAATTGGTGCTAGAAAATCTTAATACATAGTATTTAGCCATACTTTGTATTTATTTAATATGAACTGAACACATCTTGCAAGCATTCTCCCTCTCTAGCTCACTTTGCATTTGGAGTGTAATAATCCTAGATGAGAATATTTCTGAAGGTAAATCACTACTTCGGGACTCAAATTTTTTTTAATCAAAACCTTCTTGCCTGGGAAGTCTCTTGCATGTGAACATTTTTTCTAAAGATTGTTTAAAGCTTGTTTATGTTTTTTTACTTTCTTGATTGCAGATTCATTTGTTTGGTTAAACTCCATGAGCTTGCAGTGGTAAAATTTGAGCAACTGAATTTCCCAAGTCACTGCTAATTCCTGTGCACACACTTGTTTGTGGATGTACCATAACTGACAGGTTTAACCAAAACTAAAACTCTAATGTATGACCTGTACTATATCCATGCAATAGACAGTCTTTCTTAATAAACAAATGGCTTTTTCCTTTTACTCCCTGACTTTATTGTTCAAAATGACCTACATTTTATCCATAAAGGAGAGAAATAGTGTATTTTGCTTTTCTTTATTTTTGTTTGCCTTTTCAGAGGCTTTTTAACTTGATCAGTGTAAAGTAACATCCCTTTTCTTGAATATTTTTTACTGATAGTCTTGCTTCCATTAATCATTTCTCCAGGAAAACTTCATGTTTCTAGAATTAGTCTTTTTGAGGTATCAGTCCACATTTGGAGGAGAAACATGATGGAACTGCTTACATGCTAAAATGAACCACTAGAAATGAATTTAATGTATGGTAAAATTTCAGAATTCTAGTCCAAAAATGGTTTTGTATTCAATAGAAACTCTTCAGAATAGTTAAAACATAAATACTTTACACTCTAGGGATCTGTGAACAATTTTTTGTTCTCTTTTCAATTGTGGCTATATGTTTTAACTTTAGCAGGATTTAAAGATTATAAGATGGCTGAAGTAAGATAACTAAATATTTTATATGTGATTTATTAAAACATAAAAGAATATCTGCATAAATTTCAACAATTTCTTCCCCCCCAAAAGTATATAACTCCCATGTATTTCATAGTATGAAAGCTGAGTTTGGGAAATAAAATTATCCCTAATCTGAAAGGTCAGATATGGGGCAAGTTGATGGGAGAGAGAATGCATGGAAAAGCAGAGTAGTTTTAGAGAAGATGGGCAACATGATAACTGGAAAAATGGGCTTTTACCACCTAACATAGTTATCACATATTTTGTGTTTGTTAAATGAATACTTTTTCGGTAAAATTTGGGGATATTTCCAAGTTTTAATAGCACTTGATAAGCCATCTATAAAGTATACATTTTAAAACAAGATAAATACATTGTAAAATTGATTACAATGAATGTACAACTTCAGCTTCTGTTTTCTCTCAACCCACCCTTTCATAGGTCCAAAGGCCAATGGCCAACATAAAGTCCCTGTTATATTAAATGTGCCTTTTTTGTTTGGTTTGGTTTTTGTTTTTTGAGGAGACACAGTCTCACTCTGTTGCTCAGGCTAGAGTGCAGTGGCACCATGCAGCTTTGAACCCTGGGCTCAAACAGTCTTCCCACCTCAGTCTCCCGAGTAGCTGGGACTACAGGCAAGTACCACCATGCCTGGCTAATTAAAAAATCTTTTTTTGTAGAGACATGGTCTCACTATGTTGTTCAGGCTGGTTTCAAGATCCTAGCTCAAGGAATCCTCTTGCTTTGGTGTCCCAAAGAGCTGGGAATACAGGTGTGAGCCACCACACCTAGCCTTGTAAATTGGTCTTTTAAATACCATTAATCTCTGATTTCAGTGAAATAAACTACAGCTAGTTTTCTGATAAGAGTAAGAGGGAATTAAGTTTCTTCCAATTCTTAACCTTTCATGTCTTCACATTATCTGTTCTTTCATGATTTACAAATGGTCTTAACAACTAATCTCTGGTGTCCACTGGCAATAATTTTGGATGCATGCACATTGAAGAAGAATCTGATGACAATCACCACAAAGTGTTCAGGGAATAACAAAATTTTTATTGGGCAAAGTAAAGAATGGCTTTACATTCTAAAGATCTATTTTGCTTTTCTTTGGACCACAAAATTAATTTTAGATTTTATAATTCAACTACCATATTTCTCTTACAAAAGGGACTAGATCACAGGGAAGGGTGACAGGAATAGAGATGTGACATTAACTAGTTGGAACTAAATGCATACATGATTTTGGTTACTCTTCTACAAAAGGTTTTGTTGCTACAATTCCATGACCAAAAATCTCTGAAAAGTTAAAGATTTTCCTAGCATTTTGGCAACAAAACTCACCTGGTAGCTGAGCCTGACTTCCCCGGCAAGGTTTTATGTACATATGTAGTCTTTCTTTATCCTACTTTAATACTCATTTTGCTACAGAAATGTTAATATACTTGATTATAGGTGTTGCCCCAAACCATATTGGTGTCTGAGTCATAATATTTTATAAAATCTGGAAAACTCCAAATTCTAAGACATCTGGCCCTACAAGTTTCAGACGAGGATCTGTGATGTGTAGTAACCTGCTGTGAGTCCAAAGGGACTATAAAGAGGACACATTTTGCATAGAATGGCAGTGTCAATACTGGGGAAATTTGTATTGGGAAACAGTGGGGAAAATGGGTGCCTTAAACTATTTGGGATGCTATAACAAAATATAGACTGGGTGGCTTATAAACAAATTTATTTCTCAGTTTTGGAAGCTGGAAGTCTGAGAGATCAGTGTTGAGGGCCCTCTTCCAAGATGCAGACTGCTGTCTTCTATGTGGCAGAAAGAGAGCTCTCTGGGGTTTCTTTTAATGACACAATCCCATTCATGAGGGTTTCACCCTCATTACCTAATTATCTCCCAAAAGCCCCACCTCCTAAAAGCATCACATTGGGGTTAGGATTTCAACCTAAGAATTTTGGGAGGACACATTCAGTCCATAACAAGGAGTATGCTGATTTTTCCCTACCAAACATTATTCTACCAGCATGTAAACTAGGAAGTATTAAAGGAAAAACCATTCTGACACTTGTTAAAGCAGTAAAGAAGACTTTACTCAGGACTGTATATGTTAAGACCATCACCCAATAAGGGAAAGAAACTGGGCTCAACTAACACAGCAAATACAACTGAGGATTTATAGTCAATGAGCAGTGATGAGGTCAGTGGATGGAAAACTACTAACTGGAGACATCAAGAGTAGGGTGATTCTTGCCAAAGACAGGCCAGGTTGACGATCATCAGTTATTGAGGATGGGATTATCTCTAAACTCATTTAGCAGGATTTTTGCTAAAACTGGACTAGTCAAAAACAGGGCTCAGAGGTGCCTGTCTAAAATTTGGTCGAGTCTTTTCCAGAAGCTGGACACAGTCCCTGTGCACACTGTGTACCACCTATATTTCTAATGAAGAAATTATCCTGAAGTATTGCATAGCAAAAACTAAGTATATAGCATTAGCTTACCATTAACATGACAAGCAGTGGGGATATATTTTGACACCTACTAATCTGATAGCTCTAGCTGGAAAAAGCCAGAATGTTAAGTGAATTGGCTATTCCTTGCTTTCAGCAAGGTATCAAAAAAATTGACATTTTCAAGCAAAGATAGAAGGGAATAGACAAAGTTTTGATACAAGGAACCTCATGAAATTAAGCCAATTGTTTCTGAAGTCTGAATAGCAGCAAAGGTTCAAAATTATTTTTGAGGTGGGGGAGATTGGGGGGAAGCCCATGAAGACTTCTCTACCAATCGTTAAGCCAAAGGAACCCAGCTTTGCAGTGATGATCTGCATGTAACATTCCCAGTGTAATCTTATTTTTAGTTGATCTCAAGATAGCCTCCATTAAAGAAAGGCAAAAATAATACATACTTTGAGAATTTGGTCAAAAGCTTGGTTGTGGTTCCTCGGCATATGCAATCAGAAGCACACTGATAAAAAGGCTTGAGTTTTTGAGAGAATCGTATTCCACAGAAACATGAGCTTGGCCTTAAAATGATGGGCACCAAATTCACACCAGCAGGAAGTGGACTGTCTTCACAATTCCCATGGAGTGAACACCCAATCTCTACTTCTGAGGTAGCCATGGAAGAAAATGGATAAGGAGTAACTTTCCAGAGGGGAAACCATGGAGTTCAATGAACAAGGGAGTCCCCTGCCAGAGATCAGAATCATAGTTGAATCAAGGAACTTCTCCACTGCTAGGGACAAAATCTTCATACATCTCCCAGGAGCATTCCACAATTTTTACGTTTCCCTTTATTCCATTTTCCAAATTGAGACTTTTTATTTGGCCATCCTGTCCCAACTACATTATAAATGGGCAGCAGCAAGGGTGAGAGCAAATAATTTGCCTATCAGTTTAGAGATTGTCAGACTATTAGAAGCCACATGTAAAGGGATGGACCTTTAATAGAGATCCTAGATTGTGAGCTGAATCACTAGCTGGATGAAGAGGGATTACTTTCTGTGTAAGGGAAGATACTTGGTAGCACAAGAAGAGCTGTGGCTGAGGCTGCTAGCAGCCACCAAAATCTTGTATTTATAGCTGGAAGATGGCTTCCCAGCCAGGGACTACATTTCTCAGCTCCTCTTGTATCTAGATGTAACTAAGTCTCCACACCACTGGAATATGAGAAGATATATGAGCCATTTCCAGGCACAGCCCATAACACCTTGCATATGTACACTTCCATGTTCTTTTTCTGCAAATTAGAAGAATAACTAGAGTGACTTGAAAGCCATGATTTAAAATGGCAGCACCATCCTCAGCCAAAGTCCCTGAATAACTGTTTGAACAAGGGCTGCTAGCCTGCAATGCTGACCTTGGAACCACTGGTTGGGAGAGAAACTTCTATATTTATATTCTTTATCACTGGGTCTCTTGCTAAAGTAGCTTAGCCTACCCTAAAAAATACAACTTCCTTTTTCCCTGGAGATACTGGATCCTTTGAGTGCTTTGCTTTTGTTTTCCAAATTAATGTATAATAGCCTATGATATTTATATTGATAACCAGTTATAGTTGTATTAATAAAAATATTATTCCCCTAAATAATCAGTAACTGGGTACTTAAATAAGATACACTATTCTGTGGCATTGAATAACCCTGGATACACCACTATACCTAAATACCCCATTTACTTAGGCAACTATATCAAAACACACACAACCTCTGAAATAGCTTTTTATTAAACGGCAAAGCAGAACTGCAACACAATTTAAATGTCTGTAAATTAGGTCACAAAAGGGATGCAAAATGTTTGCAGTTTGACTATTATATATTCACACAGCTAAAGTCATTCATCAACTCTTACACCAATACATAAGATTATTCCATGATTAAAAGCCCAAATCTAATAACCTTAAGCTACATTAGTGGATCTCTTTTCATATTATAAGATTTTAGCAATACTTCCAATATTGATTTCCTTACCAAATGGAATCTAGAAGCTAAATTTTTAAAAATTGTTAAAGGATGACTAAAACTCTTCAAACCCAGTAGCAGGGTTTACAGAAAATTCTAGAACAAGTGAGATAAAATACTGAGCAAGATAATAAGTATACATGTATAACTTTCCCATTTTATTCACTATTCTAATACTAATACACCATTACGGAATTTTGCAGAAGTTGACCCACTGGGTACAAATCAACTTAGAGACCAAACTCTTTGTAACTGTTCTCATCCAGATGTGGCTAACATAAGGGTAGTCAAACTTAATCCACTTTCATATATATTTCCCAAAAGATCTACTCTGTGCCAGAGAAAACACAAATCTGGAGTGAAAATATTTGGTTACTACTGTTTACCGAGTACTTTTCCACCCTATTTCCATTTTTCCTCAAAATTTTCTATTTTAACATACACATGACCAGAAATTATATATTTTCAGATAATACAAAATGAGTTATTTTGGGCAAAAAGAAGTTTTTAACAACAAATATTCCCAAGTTAATTCAGTTTCAAAGAAAAACCTTCATTTTTAGCCTCCATCTATTTCCAATTAATTAAAGAGACACTAGCATTCCTATCTTAACACTAAATACACAAATGACAAGCCCTAGCTGAGACAGTATCTTATTTTGGTTAAGTTTCAACAATTAAAATACAGGTTACTCTCAGAGATGATTAACTATTAAAATTACTTTTACAAATGTGACACCAATTTTTTTCCTTAGCGGAAGGGAAATAGGAAGGAAGAGGCAAATGGAGAAGAGGCACAAGATGGTGGACAGGGTACATAAAGCTGTGCATTTAGTACATGATTTTGGTCACTTTTTCACAACACGGTGGTTATTTTCTTGTATATCTTACTAATCCTATAATAAAAGACAGTGCTAAACCTACAAATTCAATAAAACATTCATCTTTAAGTTTCATAAATATATGCAATTCTAATCATAAAGTCTCTACAATACATTTGCACGTTTTCATAGACTAACATAATACACAAACTTATGGAAGTCTCCTGTTATTGTGTTATTTTTGTCTACATCTGACATTATCTTCATAAATATTCAATGAAGCCACAAAGGTACTGTAACTTTTGGAATCTATCCAAGTTTTAAAGAAAAAATGATCAGCAGCAATTCCATAAAACAGAAGGGTGTCAATCCCTTACTTTCTTTTGCTTTTTGTGTCAGTTGTTTGAAAAACACTAGAAGCTGACATGAGATTTTCTATATATTGTCCAAGAACTTGGTTTTCTGATTTTAGCTTCAGATTTTCTTCCTTAACTGCATCTACTCTTGCAGAGAGATCTATATAAAAAATAAAAATGCCCATTATCAATAAAACAATGACAATGATTCCATATTACAAAATTCTTAGGATTCATTCTTAAAAGAAATAATACAATCCTTAAATTTTAAGAATTCGGATTTTAGAGACAGCAAGGTAAACAAACTGAGTACAAATTAGTAGACAAATTCCTAAAAAGATATTTCACATTAGACTAAATGCTATTCTTCATAAATAGCATTAATGTTGAGTAATTTTTTAAAAAGACTTTGTTTTTAAAATGTGAATTTTGGTTCATGTCTTATCAACATAAAACTATAACATCTTTACTAGAAATGTTTAAGATATATATCAGGTTAACACAACTGAATTCATATACTGAATACAGGCAGTCAGTTTCCAAGCAACTTATCATCTTGTATTGTAACATTATCAAGACATTGAACACATGCAGTTCCTGATGATCACATAAGAGGTTAATTCCGGCTGGGCACGGTGGCTCGCACCTGTAATCCCAGCACTTTGGGAGGCCGAGGCGGGTGGATCATGAGGTCAGGAGTTTGAGACCAGCCTGGCCAACATAGTGAAACCCTATCTCTACTAAAAATACAAAAAAATTAGCTAGGCATGGTAGCAGGTGCCTGTAATCCCAGCTACTCGGGAGGCTGAGACAGGAGAATCGCTTGAACCTGGGAGGCAGAGGTTGCAGGGAGCCGAGGTTGCGCCATTGCACTCCAACCTGGGCAACAAGAGTGAACTCCATCTCAAAAAAAAAAAAAAAAAAAAAGAAAAAGAAAAAGAAAGCTAATAGGGAAGTCACAGATGACTTTTATTAACTCTGTAAAATGTAAATCAGTGGGAGGTTCTGAGTGACATGATCTGCTCACTGTGGCACCAAAAACACAACCTCTTAATTTCATTAAAACTCAAAAGATGTTTCAGTGTATTAATTTTATGCAAGATTTAGAAAATGAAAAAATTCAGATGAATTCCTTTTTAATCTCCAAGGCTAATACATTGTTTTTACTTTAAAATAAGCTTTATTAAAGCGGACTTAGTAACACATTATGGGGACTTAAAAGGGGGTCTCATACTAGCCAGCATTATGTTAGGCTTCAAAGAGGGAAGCACAATAACAACATTTGACTTGACTGAAGTGTATCTGTTCTTTAAACTACCAAAGCAGGAAGATAGATATATATATGTGTGTACTTTGAAGTTCATTCTTTTAAAAATTATACATCCTAACAAACAAAATTTAGCAATATAAATTTTTACAAGTTCAATTAATTGGCTGTCATTCAAATAAACTACAAAATGCAAGCCAACCTTCAAGTGTGTGTTGGAGTTCCAACACTTGATTAATAAGTCTTGTTTTTTCCTCCAGTTCCACTTGATTTTCAGCATCAACTGCTGTAATATAAAGGTTCAAATTTACTATTAATTAGCATTAGGTACATTTGTGTAGGGTAGCACTTAAAAATCTGCAAAATGTTTTATATTCATTCTTACTTGACTTATACAAGAGCCCTGTGAAATAAAATTTTGTATCCCCAAATTGCAGATAATACCACCAAGGTAAAGAAGATAAAAACAACTTGCCAACCTCTCATAGCTAAGGAATGGAAGCTGCTTTGGTTGGTCCTTTCTAACACTAGATGAGATATAAATAAGTAATTAGCCAAGATCAAAGTCTTCTAAACATGGTTTCTCTGCCCTTTCCATTGCTTAATAAAGCAAAAGCATCCACAAAACCAGGAGTATACAAAAAAGAAAATGAAGAACATACCATCCATGTCAGCATTCATCATCTTGGGTAACAAACTTTTGGGCCTTGGATACAAAATTCTTGAGGAATGGTCTACAATAAGAAAAATTCAGAAATATAGACACATACAGCAATAAACTATAAGCCTGTTTTTCAAAGGAGGATGATTTTGTTAACTATGACATAGTAGGACTTTTCATATGCTTTACTAAGAATAAAATAAATGCCTAATGGGTAAATAAGCAAAGGATATAAATAGTTTGAGAAAATGTTGAGCTTCTTGATAATCAAAAAATACATAAATACCACCGTACAGTTATTATTTTTAAAGGAGATAATGATCAATACTAGCAAAGAGTTATGGAAAAACAAATACACAAACACTGGACACAAATTTTAAATATGTAATCTTTTTGGAAAGCAGTATGATAATAAGATTCATAAAAACATTTACATCTTTTTTAACTGAGTATTTTACCTTGGAAATTTAGGCTAAGGACAATAATGCAAAGAAAGTTATATACATAAAAATCACTTCAATTTTATTTACAATGAAGTCAATCAGAAACAACATAACTGCCCACTCAAAGTCTGGTAAATTACAGTTGTGATTTTCTTTTTAAGAAGACATATTTTTATTTATTTATTTAGAAATGAGGGTCTTGCCAAGTTGCCCAGTCTGTATTAAACTCCTGGACCCAAGCAATCCTCTTTCCTCAGCCTCCTGAGTACAGTTATAATTTCTAATGGAGTGGCTACTGAAAATAATTATGACTATACTACATGAAAAAATGTGTATAAAATTGTATATTCACTGATGTAAATTATGTGAAATATATATAAATATGCATAAAAAACATGAAAATGAAAAAATGCTCTGATATTAAGGATGACGGTATGGATGAAGATAAAATTGTTTCAAATATTCTTCTTCATTAAAGTATTGCTTTACATATACTGTTTAATTTTTTACAAATAAAATTCAAAAGATAAATACTAGACCATCTAAAATATTAATATGGAATAAATGAAAAAATGTCCATTCATCAGCTCCTAGTCAGGGTTAAATCAAAACAGACTAATCAGGATGTAAATAAGTAAATAAATACTAACATTTTATTATTACAATGAAGACTTCTAAATATTAGAACAAAAAATTTCTATAAAACATGTTCTGCTCCATTGCTAACAATCATTTCATTCAATATGTTCAAAATATATTAAATAATGTCACCAGATTATTACTGAAAACAGATTTGTTAACCAATCTAATCTACTACATTGAAGCAACCTAGACCTGTCAGTGTTATTCTTTCAACAAGTATTTACTGAATATCTTCTATGCCCAAGGCATTGTTATGCCTCCGTATCTTAAACAGTAGAAAGCAGACCTATTAAATAAGGATATCTACATACTAGAACTAGAATCACAATAGAGATATCAGTGTATTACACATTCTCTCACAGCTGTTAATACAAATCTTGTTGTACTTCAGATACTAACATGAAATTTGAAAATGCCCAGTGTACATCTACATAAATCCTGTTACACTTTAGATACTAACATGAACTTCAAATTAAAATGCCCAGTGTACATATACATAAACTTCAAGTTTATAGTTCAAGTTAGATAGCACTCACTAGTCTAGAAAAAAATATGAAATATCCCTTGTATAACATTATTAAATAATTAACTACAAATGGTATACAATTAATTTAATAATGCTGAATAAACCTACTCCAAGTCTTCTAGCATCTGTCCCCTTATCTAAACCGCATTTAAAGTTGCTCTGCCCGACCTCTTTTTCACATTATTTAATTCTCAGGTTCTCTGCATTTCAGATTACTAAAATTTTTCCAACAATTCTTTTTTTAAAAGTTATTCAGCCTACTGTAGTATTTAAAGACCACACTCCAAAAACTATTCCTCTCCATTGAATCAACATGTCTCTTTAACTATAATTGAAGAGGAAGAGTGTCAGTGAAAACTTGATTTGACATTTCCCTGACAGAGAAGCACACCTGTAACCAGGTACTACAGTCATTCTCTTTTCATACCATTTCAACCACTGATCCAGCTAAAAGAGGTCTGAGTAAGATGAGAGAGGCAACAGCCAAAAGCAAAAGTGATCGTGGGAGTGCTCAGCAAGAGTAAGCTGCAATTTGGCATCTGTCTTTGCTAAATAATAAATTAAAAGTGCTTCAAATTTCTCATATCCAATGATTTTAAGGCTACAGCTAGAACGAATTTTCATGATAGCTAAGAAGAGTTATAAGATATACAAGCCAAAGCAACAGATAATCAGAAAATCGACACAGCTGATTTTGAAGTCAGATATAATACAGTGATAGGGTAGTCTTCTTTTGCTTATGTTTCAGACTAATATTTAAATTAAACCAAAAAGTCTGCAAAAACACAAGTATTCCAAACTCACCAATATAAGAGGTAAAGAAAAAGAAGCCAGTTTCTGAAATTCTGACCACATATAATTCAAACAATAGAAAACCTATGCATGGTTTAGCAACAGTGTGACTTCATCTGAAAAAGTGAAAGAAAATAAAAAGCAGAAAAACAGGGTGGAGAGGGCTTATTAAAGGAAAAATTACTCTTACACTCAAGATTAGGGTAGAGGCAGGAGCACAAAAGTAGTGCCACAAGAACAGTGCTATAAGGGTATACAACGCGAGAGAGCACAATTCACACCACAGTCTACGTAAGATTGCATCCCAAGTGTTGCACAGTGAAAAAACCGCCCACTGTATCTGGCAGCCCTACGCATAAGGGCATTACTCTTTAGTACAGTGGACCACAGCATTACCTGCTGCCTTTCCACGACAAAAGAACAAGAAGCAATTGTATTTTATTGTGATGTGATCAAATAGACCCATCTCAAAATGCTACTATTGTATTAATATATATTCAAAGTCTTTCAGTAGATTTAGGGCAATAAACTGATTTGTTTGACATATGGGATCAAAAGACTTGCTGAGTTCTTTATGTCAAAGTATTTTAGCCATGGATTTTTTCTTTTAAAATAGTATTGATCCCCAAACTGCCCAAAGTCTACATTAACACAGTACTACATCATAACAGATACTTAATACTGAGCTTTTCAAATTTTTCAACTATAAAATCCTTTTTTACCTATAGTTGCTATAACATCAATCTAATTCCATGTCAAATATGCTCTTAAGAGTTCACTTTCAACTCCTTCTGCTCCTATATATAAACGCAAATCTGATGAAAAACGAGAAAATTAAGACCAAGTCTGCTCAAGCGTGGGAACACTGAAATGAATTTGGGGCGCTGAGGCTGCTCTGCCTATCCTAAACCACCTTACCCCAGAAATGGACATGGTTCGCTGAGATTCTTCAGCTCTGATGTATGGCTAGGTCAGACCTTTCAAAGGTTTCTCAAAAAACACAGTAAATTCGGGTATCTAGCCTTGGTTAGTGGAAGGGAATCTAGAATTACTTTTTTGATTATTTAAGTCCAGGAGGCAGAACGCATAGAGAGAATACAAACCAGGAAATGTGGCAAACATTGGGACAAGATTCATTTAATTAAATAATTTTTGCCATGCACACACACCTGTGACCAAAGACGATCATCTTACCAAATATGCCCCTATCTTATTTTACAGTTATCTCTAATAGTGTACAATATCCACAATATCACTCTCCTCAAGAGGCAGCCTGGCACAATGATTAACAATATGGATTCAGATTACCTGGATTCAAATCCTAGCTCTGCAATTTATAAGCTCTGGAACCCTGGGCAAGGTTAACACCTCGGCCTTAAGTTTCCTCATTTGTAAAATGTGGATAATAACCGTACGTATCTCATGGGTTTGTTGTGAGAATGAGTGGATAGATACAATGTGTTGGCAACAGTACCTAGTACATAGTAGGTATTCAATAAATGTCTGCTATCGTCTTCTCTACCTTTTAGCTCTAATTTGGGCAACAGAAAGAATTTAAAGAAAACCATCTGGTCCAGCTGCTTCATTTTACAAAATCAAGGCCAAAGATGACAATGGCTTACTGAAGACCACAGAAGTAGTTAGCAACAGGGCCAAGACTACAACAAATGCCCAGTGTTTTTTCCACCATTCCACCACAACTATTGTCACATCTGAGCCTGCAGATTTTGAGACTTTTTCCTAATACCCGTCCATCTTCAGCCACTCAACTTTTCTGCATCTAAAATTGATTTCACCATCTGTCATACTGGAGAACTACTAAGACTGCTAAAATAATGTCTTCGTGCATTAATGTGCTAAATGCTTTGCATATGTTATTTCATCAAATCAACAGAAGGAAACTGCAATTTACAGATATGGACACTAAATTTCAGAAAGTCTATATATCTTTCAGAAAAGCTGTTTCAGAGGTTTCACAGCCAATGTCTCTACCAAGAATTTGAACCCAGGTCTAACTTCACAGTCCATGCTTTTTCCATTATGCAATGGAAAAAACTTTAATATGGCCCTAATCTTAAGTTTGCCAAACATTTTGCTACCACTGATGTCAAACTCCTCTGGAATCTTTACTAAGCAACTGAAAATAAACTCCATTCCCTTCAAGCTACGGAACTTCAATATAATGTCTGTTCAGATCTGTTCAAGTTCTGCTTTGACTTGTCCTGGTTAAATAAATCCAGTTTCAAATTCCACAAGATCAAGGAACTGTTTGGCCAAATGAGGATTTAAATGGAAGCTATACTCTCAGAGAATGGCTAGCTACACTGATTTTAATCAGGAATAGAGGTACCAGAATACATGGGCACAGCTTTGGGTCCTCGGGCATAGAAAACGTGTTGGCAACCTGGAATGGCATCTGTCCTTATTGTTGCGTAATAGTGTGAGGTTGACACACTGTATAACAGAAGCCCTGCCTTTCAGGAATGTATCCTCTTTCTCCTTTCCAAACCTTTCTTCCCAAAACTTGTTCAGCAGGACTCTGGGGGAGAAGACGATCAGGAAACAAACCCAGGTGCCGCTTTCGCCGCCTGGAAAAATGGTCCAATCCTTATTTTACGGCTCTCTAGGCTCCCTCCCCACCTCAGCCTCCCCTCCCATCTCTCAGGCTCTCGCAGAGCAGCCACGGGAAGGTCCAGGCGTGCCAGGTCCCATTCCACCCAAACGCCCCTCCCGCAGTCCAATTCCAGAGCCGAGAGCTGCAAAGCGGCTCCCGACCCAGGAGCTGCGGGGAGAAAGCTACACGATGTCTGCGTCAGGGACCGCGAGAGGTCCCTCTCCCAAAGAACGCCTGGGCCTGACAACGAAAACAGGAGAAAAAGAGGTCGCGCAAGGGTTCTGCCGGGAGCCAGGCCTCCGCCGCCCACCAAATGCCCAGGCCCGAGACCGCTCCTCCCGGGCCCCCGGTGCGCAGGGCCGCGTCCAGCCCGCCCCGCCCTCCAGGCCCTCGGAGGTACTGAGGATGCAGCTCTAGTCGCCTGGGGCCAGGCCCTCCGCTGCCCGGGACGGCCCTCACCTTCCGCTTGAGGCGCCGGGAGAAGGAGGGATCCGGCCGACACCTCAGGCCGGGACACTTGGACCAACTGACCCCGGCAGCTCCGCCCACTCCGCCCACAGAACGTGCGCCGTGAGAAGAATCCCATCCCGTCCCAGCCGCTCGCCCGCCAATCCTGACTCGAGAATACACGCCTGCGCATTAGCTGCCCGCCTCACCCCAGTCGTCCAATCTCAAAGCACCGGGATCCACCTTTGCCATAACAAAAGGACACTGACATCCAATCAGGATTGAGGTCGCTGTGGGCGGGACCTGGAACAGCGACAGCCAATGACAGTAAAGAAGCGAAGCTAAGCGGCGCTGGTGAAGCGGCTCATCAGGTCTATCAGGAAACCTGAGAATTGGAGTGAGAATCCCAGTGTGGAAAATCAGGAAAGAGGCTGGTATGAGCGACAGAGAAGTCATTCAGGAAAGAGGTTGGTATGAGCGACAGAGAAGTCATTCAAGTTCGAGAAAAGAGCGTTTGCGAACCAAGCAGAGAAAGTCAACGCGACACCGTCGTTCCTTAATTCTAAAAGCAGACTTTTTCATATTTTTCTTATTTCCGAAATCGGAAAGCTTATAGTTGAGCTAGTGGAATGTTCCTCTCCTCACGCCCCTCCTCCGAAACTATTATTAAATCTGTAGTGCGTGGCCATTTAATATTTTAGAATTGAGAAAATACCCTAGTGGTACTGAGGCATAGCACTTGTGCTTACCTTACCCCTGTGGAGCCTCACAGCAACCCACAGAAAGGAACTGAAGCCTGAGCGTGAACACATTTCTTGCTCAAGGTCACATATACGGTATCAAGAGTGGAGTGTTCTTCGTGACACCGTTCATCGTAATCTAGTACTTGACACAAAGCGGCATCCTGCTTTAATATTCGTTGAGTACAAGGTAGACATCCACAGCAATACATTATTATTTTGGCTTTGGCACAGCCTCCTAAGCTGTAGAGACAAGCCTTATGTCTCCCTGTTTCTTGACTTTTTACTTCTGGCACAGTTTGCTGACACATCGCCTTAATCATTTTAAGAGCTATATAAAAATATCTTCTATTCAGTGTTTTGAGAACTATGCATTTGGCTGCGACTGCAATATTCAGTTTGAGGAAATTTACTAGAATGCAATGTAGGAGCTAAATAAATGAAAAAAAATCCAACATAAATCTAATAGGAGTGCCAAAAAAGAGAGACTAGAGAGAATGGATGCAGGCAGTATTCAAAGAGTAATAACTAAGAATTTTCCAAGATTGTGGAATATTTGAATTTTCAGATTCAAGAAGTACTTATTCTTGAGCAGGATTAATATAAGAATTCTATGCAACGGTGAAATTGCAGGACACCAAAGATCAAGAGAAACTATTAAAAGCAACCTTTTGTTTTTGCTAGAACAGTATTTTTAAATATTTTTAATTGTAGTGAAATATACATAGAATAAAATTTACCATCTTAACCATTTTTAACTTCAGTAGTATAAGATACATTCCACATTGTTCTCCAACCAATCTCCAGAACCAATCTCTCTTTTCATCTTGCCAAACTAAAACTGTATACCTATTAAAGAGCAACTCTCCATTTCCTATTCCCCTCATCCTCTGGCAGTAATCATCTTACTTTGTGTTTATCAGTTTGACTACTCTAGGTACCTCACCTAAGTGGAATAATACAGAATTTGCCCTTTTATGACTGGCTTATTTCATTTAGCATAATGCCTCAGAGTTCATCCATGTTATAGCATATTGCAGAACTTCCTTTTTAAGGCTGAATAGTTCTATATATCATTTATTATGTGTATTATGCCACATTTTGTTTATTCATCTATCAGTGGACGCTTAGGTTGCTTCCTCCTTTTGGCTATTGTGAATAATACTGCTATGGACATGGGTGTGCAAATGTCTCTTTGAGACCCTCTTTTCAGTTCTTTTGGATATACACCCAGAAGTGTGTGTTAATTTGTGCTGAATCATATGGTAATTCTATTTTAAAGCAACTTTTAAAAAAGTGGTATTGACACAAGAATAGACAAAAAGAAAATTAGGAAAAAAAGGGTACCTGGAAGTTGGTATACAATAAAGATGTCTGGTGAGGAATAACTGTTTCTAAGGTTGTGGGGAAAAAACTATTATTCATTACTGTTGGGAGTGTAAATTAGTATAGTAACTGTTCGTGGGATATAGAAAACACAAGTTATGGTGGTTCTAGTTAAATTGGCTATTTATATAAAAATAAGAAATTCAATCCTGATACCACGACAGAAATAAAACTAAATTCCAAATGAAATAATGATCCAAAATGTGACAAACAAAACTCTAAACTTTTAGAAGAAAAGCGTATGTCTGTATATCGCCGTAGGGAAGAAACAGCACGATTCATTAAGGAAAGATGTAAAATATTGATTATTTTAAAATTTGGAAGTTTTACAAACAGAAGAGAAGCCATCTCTAATCAAGTTAAAAAACAAGCCACAGGTTGGCAGAATATAGTAAAACTCTCAAAATATAAAGAATTCAGGCCAGGCGCGGTGGCTCACGGCTGTAATCCCAGCACTTTGGGAGGTCGAGGCGGGTGGATCACGAGGTCAGGAGATTGAGACCATCCTGGCTAACACGGTGAAACCCCGTCTCTACTAAAAATACAAAAAATTAGCTGGGCGTGGTGGCGGGCGCCTGTAGTCCCAGCTACTCGGGAGGCTGAGGCAGGAGAGTGGCATGAACCCAGGAGGCAGAGCTTGCAGTGACATGGTGCCACTGCACTCCAGCCTGGGCGACAGGGTGAGACTCCGTCTCAAAAAAAAAAAAAAGAATTCAGACAAATCAGTAAGAAAAAGACAACTCAAGATAAATATATGCAAATAACGTAAGTAGGCCACTTACAGAAGAGGAAAACTGAACGGCCAGAAAGGTTTTTAAAAAATGTTTACCTTCACTAATAATTAGGTAAAATAACATTAAAACAATTAGATAAAGGGGCATATTCATCAAGAAGACACAAAATCCTAACCACAGTGCTACAAAATAGAAATGAATCAAAAATTAATTGAATTCAAACAGTTCATTACTCCCTGCTCTGCAATTTGTAAAACAACTATACAGATAATTTAAGTATACAGAACTCAGGTCCCAAACTTTTCAGTATATTAGAATCACCTGGGAATCTTTTAATTATTCTAGTGAACAGACCACACCTCAGAATAAATTACAGTCTTAAGGAGTGAGATACAGGCATTAGTATTTTTGAAAGTTACGAAGGTGATTTTGAAAAAAGGCTGGCAAATTTCTGAACTATTGATATAGAAGACCTGAACAATCCTATCAGCCAACTTGACCTAATGGACATTTGTAGAACATTGCACCCAATAACTGAAGAACATGCTTTCTTTTCCAATGCACTTGGAAAATTCATCAAAATAGACTCCACTGTGTATCATCAAACAAATCTCAGCAAATTTAAAATAATTGAAACAGTAAAAATTATTGTCTCTACCCACAAATTAAACTAGAAATCAGTAACAGAAAGATATTTGTAAATCTCCAAATAGTTGGAAATCAAACTATGTACTTCTAAACAAACCATGGGTCACAGGGGAAGTCACACACAAAAAAATTAGAAAGTAATTTTAAACTAAAATGTAAACATAAAAAGGCAGCTCTTGCATGACTCAGCTTTCAGCTTATTTTCAGCTTTCAGACTTGGGAGGCTGAAGCAGGAGAACTGCTTGAACCCAGGAGGTGGAGGTTGTAGTGAGCTGAGATGGCGCCATTGCACTCCAACCTGGACAACAAGAGCGAAACTCCATCTAAAAAAAAAAAAAAAAAAAAAAAAAAAAAAAAAAAAAAATCCCCCTTCTGAATAAGGAAAGGCTATAAGTACAAATAGAAACCACTGAGATTGCATAGAAATATTTGATTATAAGGTGAACATTCATGCGACCTGGACTATGTGAATATTGATAATATAGTTCATCTAAATAAAGGCACAAAATTACATTTTTTTTCCTAGAGAATGGGGGAAGTCCTAATTGAAAACTGTACAAGGCAATATATTATGTGGGGGAAGAAATGATAAATAATGAAATAGAGAACTTCCAATATCTTTTTGATGTTCCAGTCTGGCACACTCTCATTGTGCACATACAAGCTGCTATTTTGTCTTAATTAGAGGGTTCTAAACGTACTGTGGATATTTAAGGTGAAATATGCTAAATGGAAGCATTTTTGATAACTTTCAAGTATAACCAGGTGTGTTGTCTGATGCTTTAAGCTCATTAATTTGCAGAACATGTTCCATCTCATTCCTAAATAAGAACTCACATTTTCTTTTTTACTCATTTTTTTCACTTGAAAGGTTATTGAATTCATTGGAGAATGAATGCTGTTCTGAATTTGGTGAGTAAAGAATATAACCTATTTGTTAAAACTTGATTTCAAAACTAGACGTAATTGTATACTACAGCCTAGTATACTATACTCAACAGTATACCATATAGCTATTTGGTAAATTAAGGTGTTCATGTATACTTTCTCAAGATTATAATTTCTGATAATAACCAAAAGTAAATAAATTTGATGAGTCATTTTCATTTATTTGTTCAATAGGTAGAGGGAATGTAAGAAATTACCAATGTACTTTTAGAGTTTTTTCAAGCAAGAATTCCAAAGGATTTCAAGGTCTTTATGGAATCAAGCTTTGGACTTTATCATAAAAATGGAAATAATTAGGAATGATTCTGTGCAGTCTCGGTGCTGTGAAAGGAGAATAAAAACGTGAGACTCCAGTTCACTCTGCCAGAAGGAAAAAAATAAGCTGAAAGCTGAGTCATGCAAGAAGCTGCCTTTTCTTCTGTTCCTAAGCAGATAGCTACAGATAAAAGGTTAAATATCTCCATAGGTAGCTACTCTATGTTCACCCTATTTCATGTAAAGTGCTGATTTGCTGCACACAAGATGAATGCATCATTCACCATTCCCCTACCTGCGCCTTTTCTCCTGCAACTTAGATTACTATACCCTCGCTCTTACCTCTCCAACCCACTTTTCCCCTTTAAATACTGAAGCTCTCAAAGTCATCCTTGGATAAAGGAACAGACCAGAGACTGTTTCTGTGATTCTGTGTTCTTTTCTTCCAGGTATGTCCTTAACCTTGGCAAAATCAACTTCTAAATTGAATGAGACCTGTCTGAGATACTTTTTGGTTTACAGTCCTTATTTTTCTCTAGATAGTATTTTCAAATTAGCATTTCCCCCAGAATTGGTATTTATACCTCTGGTTGTACAAGATGAATTTTTAAAAATAATTACATGTTTATTTTATTATAATAAATACGAATAATACAAGAAATTCTCAATTCACAGATGTTAACATGTTGCTTAGAATAAAGCTAAGTTCAAAACTGATTTTAATTAAATGGTTAATTTAATGTGGCAAAAATTATGATGTAGGTATATGATTGGTTCAGAAAACTCTGATCTACCAACAACGTGACAAGCATTGGTTTGAAGAAGAAGAAACCTGGGTTCTTGTTCTGGCTCAGCCTAGATTGAATTCATTCCATTCTTTGCTCATTTAAAAGTTTAGTTTTGTGACTATATCGTGAGCTAGATACTGTACAGCATTCAAATATTTGAAATTAACCATGAGACTGCAGGGAGTTAGTCACTTTCCTGTCCACCCCTGTTTCCTCAAGTGAGGGCTTGGAAGAGAGTTCATTTAGCTTCTTAACATGGTGTAAAATAACATTAAGAACTTTATCAAACAACACTACCAGTGAGTTAAGTGAATGGTTCCCTATATTTAAGAGTCAATCTTTGCTGGTAAGATTGTGTCTGACCATCCAGCTTTTGGCACCCTGCCTGCCACAGGTTCTCAAAGCATATTTTCTGAGTGAGTTGTCATTGAGCCACCTCATTCCAGCTTTTGTGATTTTGTGATTCTGTGATTCTCTAAACACGAATCTACATTTTCAATCATGTCAGCTGGGTACTTGCTCACTAAAATTTTATAAAAATAATCTGGCTTTAGACTGGGCACAGTGGCTCACATCTGTAATCCCAGAACTTTGGGAGGCTGAGGCAGGTGGATCATGAGGTCAGGAGATCAAGACCATTCTGGCCAACATGGTGAAACCCCGTCTCTACTAAAAATACAAAAATTAGCCAGGCATGGCAGCACACACCTGTAGTCCCAGCTACTCGGGAGGCTGAGGCAGGAGAACTGCCTGAACCTGGGAGGCAGAGGCTGCAGTTAGCTAAGATCACGCCACTGCACTCCAGCCTGGGCAACACAGCAAGACTCCATCTCAAAAAAAAAATAATCTGGCTTTAAAATCAAGATTAATCATATGTGTCTGGGTCACTAAAGGAGATTCTGTTTTTAACAAGCATAAAGTAATTCTCTGAAGAGCATAGAAGTCAGGGTTACAGTGATAACTAATATTTTTATTTATTTATTTATTTATTTATGAGAAATGGTCTTACTCTGTCACCCAGGCTGGTGTGTAGGGTCTTGCTCTGTTGCCCAGGCTGGAGTGCAGTGGTGCGATTTTGGCTGACTGCAACCTGCACCTCCCAGGTTCAAGTGATTCTCCTCCTCAGCCTCCCGAGCAACTGGAATTACAGGTGCCTGCCATGACACCCGGCTAATTTTTGTATTTTTAGTAGAGATGAGGTTTCACTATGTTGGTCAAGCTAGTCTCAAACTCCTGACCTCAAGCGATCCACCCACCTGGGCCTCCCAAAGTGCTGGGATTACATGCGTGAGCCACCACGCCTGGTCAATAACTAATATTTTATAAAAGAATGCACCTGGCCTTCTTCCTTCTTGCCAAACGCCACCAACATGGTGTTCAGGCGCTTCGTGGAGGTTGGCCGTGTGGGCTACATCCCCTCTGGACCTCGTGCCAGAAAATTGGTTGCAACTGTAGATGTTATTGATCAAAACAGGGCTTTGGTTGATGGACCTTGCACTCAAGTGAGGAGACAGACCATGCCTTTCAAGTGCATGCAGCTCACTGATTTCAACCTCAAGTTTCCACACAGAGCCCACCAGAAGTATGTCAGACAAGCCTGGCAGAAGGCAAACATCAATACAAAATGGGCAGCCACACGATGGGCCAAGAAGATTGAAGCCAGAGAAAGGAAAGCCAAGATGACAGATTTTGATCATTTTAAAGTTATGAAGGCAATGAGGAACAGAATAATCAAGAATGAAGTTAAGAAGCTTCAAAAGGCAGCTCTCCAAAAGCTTCTCCCAAAAAAGCACCTGCTGCGAAGCGTGCTACTGCTGCTGCAGCTGCTGCTAAAGTTCTAGCAAAAAGATGACCGCTGCAGGCAAGAAGGCTCCAGCTTAGAAGCTTCCTGCCCAGAAAGCCACAGGCCAGAAGGCAGCGCCTCCTCCAAAAGCTCAGAAGGGTCAAAAAGCTCCAGCCCAGAAAGCACCTGCTCCAAAAGCGTTTGGCAAGAAAGAGGTGATTAGAAAAGTAATAAAAGTTCTATTTGGGAAAAAAAAAAAAAAAAGAAAGAAAGAAAAGGAGGCACCCAAGATTGCAAGCAAGGCTCTAAAATGCTAGGCTGCTCATGGATTTTTAAAATTGCATTATACAAACATGATCTTTACAGTTTTCTGTTTCCCTGGTAACCATTTATGATAAAAATAATCAACTTGTTAGAGTTCCTCTGTCAGCTTTTGTCAGGATCTGGGATGTTACCCTACAGTTGACCCTTGAATAATGTGGGGCTTAGGAGGTGCCAATACCCTGTGTAATGGAAAATCCATGTATAACTTTTGACTCCCCCAAAGTATAATTGCTAATAACCTATGTTGACTGGAAGCACTACCAATAACATAAACAGTCAATTAACACATATTTTGTATATATGTTGTATTCTTACAATAAAGTAAGCTAGAGAAAAGAAAATGTTATTAAGAAAGTAAGAAGGAAGAGAAAATATATTTACATTACGTGGAAGTGGGTCATCATGAAAGTCTTCATCTTCTTCATTTTCACATTGAACAAGCTGAGGAGAAGGAGGAAGAGAAGGGGTTGGTCTTCCTGTCCCAGAGGCAACAGAGGCAGAAGAGATGGAGGAGAAAAAGGGAGGAAGGAGAGTCAGACACTCAGTGAAACTTTATGAAAATACATTGTAATTTCTGTCTGACTTTTTGCTCCTTTTCATTTCTCTTAGAATGTTTCTATATGGTAACACCTTTCTTCCACTGCTTTGGTTTCAGTGCCTTTATCAAAGAAGTTTCAGTGCCTGTATCATAGAAGCCATGCCATTCTTTTTGTCCAAGAAGTCAAAAGCAGTCTTGAATAACTGGAACCCTTCTGCCAGATTGTCTAATGTCAATTTTTCTGGCACTGCCTCTTCTATGTCTTCTTTCTCATCATGTGGCACTGGTTTGAAAGCACCAATCTCCACCATGTCTTCTTCTGTTAATTCCTCTGCTGTGGTATCTGTTAGCTCTTACATTTCTCCAAGATCCAGATCTTGAAACCCTTCACTTTTCACTTTTTTTTTTTTTTTGCCATATCCATATCTTTCATGATTTCTTTGATTGGCTCTGTGGTAAATCCTGTGAAGTCATGCACAATATCTGGATAGTTTTCTTCAGCAGGAATTTATTATTTCAATCTTGATGACCTTCACAACTTTTTTTTATAACAACGATGACATCTTCAATGGTGTAATCATTCCAGACTGTCATGATGCTCTCTCTATCAGAATTCTCTTCCATGGCATTGACAGTCCTTTCCATTGAGTACCCTGTGTAATAAGGCTTAAGGGTTCTTAAGAGCCAAGGATCTAGAAGCTGAATTAAAGACATTGTGTTTGGGGGCAAGTAGACCACATTGACAGCTTCAGTTTTGACCTCATGGGGTTCTGGGTGGCCAGAGGCACTGTCCAATATCAGAAAAAAATTTAAAGGTAGTCCCTATGGGCAAGGTAATTCCTGACTTCAGGGACAAAGCATTGATGGAAACAATCCAGAAAAAGGGTTCTCATTGTCTGGGCCTTCTTGTTGTACAGCCATTAAGACTGGCAGCTGATGTTTTTCTTTTCCCTTCAAGGCTCAGGGATGAGCAGCTTTATAGATAAGGGCAGTCCTGATCATAACCCCCCTGCATTTGCACAAAACAGTATAGGTAGCCTATCCCTTCCTGCCTTAAATCCTGGTGCTCACTTCTCTTCCTTACTAATAAATGTCCTTTGTGGATTTTTTTTCCAGAATAGGGCACTTTGATCTGCATTAGAAACCTGTTCAGGCAGATATTCTGTCTCCTCAATGATTTTCTTAATGGCATCTGGAAACTTGTCTGCTGTCTCTTGATTGGCAGAAGCTTCTTCTTTAATTATCTTGACATTTTTAAAGCCAAACCTCTTCCTAAAATTATTAAGCCATCCTTTGCCAGCATTAAATTCTTCAGGTTTACATCCTTCGCCTTCCTTTTGCTCTAAGTTGTCATATAATGACTTCGCTTTTTCTCAAATCACATCACAGTAGGTATGCCTTTCTTATAGCAATCCTGCATTCCCACAGAAAAACTGCATTTTCAATACTAGATAAAAAGGTATTTTGCAAAAAGTGTAAGTTTTTCATGCTTGCTGGTGTAGCTGCAGTGATAGCTTCATGAATTTCCTTTTCTTTTTTTACAATCTTTCTTAAGCTGAATTCATTTATCTTGAAACGGTGGGCAACCACAGCTGCAGACTTCAATCTGCAATACATATCAAGCAATTCAACTTTGTCTTGTAATGTCATGAATTTTCTCTGCTTCTTGGGAGCACTTCCAGCATCACTAGTGGCACTTTGTATGGGTGCCATGGTGTTATTCAAGGTTTACAGTATTGCACTAAACACAATGAAAAAACACTAGAGAACCACAAGAGATTACTTTTTACTGCTATAGGCAATTTACCAGAGAGATGAACTGCTCACACAGAGATAATTAGCATCCCATGGCATTTTAAGTGGATACTCACAGCACTTAAGCTCACAGCAATAGCAGCAGGAAGTGGCTGTGAAATTATGATGGTAGTACAGTATGTACTACAGTTAATTTTATGCACTTATGGTTTAATACAGCATCTGTACATTTGTTTACATTTCTCTCAACTGCAAATGGTGCCATGTGTGCTCTGTAAGCATGTGCATAAGTTTTGATAAATTGTAACTTTTTATAATAGATTTGTGATATTTTATGGTAATAGTAACACAGACTAGTATCTACATATGTTTATGCATTTGTGACATACCTAATTTTTTATATATTTCTAGGCTATGAAGTTTGTGAATTTTTCCAAATTGTCACAATCTCCAAAAAATTTTCCATTATATTTACTGAAAAAAATGCATACAAGTGGACTCATGCAGTTCAAACCCATGGTGTTCAAAGGTCAGCTGCACTTACAAGCTAACGATTGCCTGTTTCATGAATGCTGGCGGAAGACATGAGATGTCTGGGTCAGAGTCTAAGGACTCTCTTACTCCCAGCTCATCATGAGCTTCATGCTGATTTGTTGCTGTTACCTATGTCCCCCAAGTCCCACAGGGATGAGGCAGAGGGCCCCTGTAGATGCCTATACATGCAGCGGGTTATAATATAGGAGAGGAACATTGAGTTTGGGGAATCTTTGGCTTTTATGGCAAGTGGAAGCAAGCTTGCTCTTTAACCAGAGAGGCATTACCTCATCCCTTAAAGTTGCTCTCTGAAAACATACCTGAGTAAAGCCTGGGTTGACTGTATTCTTGGCATACCAGCAAGAATATGCAATGACACTCAGGGCCCATCCCAGTTTGCTTCTCCCAAAAACCTCTAAATTGAATGATCTTTAGTTCTGTGTCAAACTCCTGTTTTTCTTCCTCCTTCCTTATATAGTATCCTAAGGGAAATACCACAAAATGTCTCAGAAAATGTTGGTTGGATATCTAAAGTTTAAAAAGGAAGAGAACCACACCAGCTGGAGATTAAAGAAGCATCAGTAGAAGTCAGTGGCCATTAATAGAAATATTTTTAAAATAAGTCAAGTAGTATTTTTGTAGCTCCCTCCCTAACCTTTCTTTTCCACTATTTGACCAAACCCTACAACAATAAGAAGTAACAGCTGGGCACAGTGGCTCACGCCTGTAATCCCAGCACTTTTGGTGGCTGAGGTGAGCAGATCACTTGAGGTCAGGAGTTCCAGACCAACTTGGCCAATATAGTGAAACCCTGTCTGTAATAAAAATACAAAAATTAGCCGGGCATGGTGGCTTGGCCTGTAGTCTCAGCTACTTGGGAGGCTGAGGCAGGAGAATCGCTTGAACCCAGGAGGTGGAGGTTGCAGTGAGCCAAGATCACACTACTGCACTCCAGCCTGGGCAGCAGAGCGAGACTCTCACAAAAAAAAAAAAAAAAGAAGAAGAAGAAGAAGAAGAAGTAAGGACACACCTGTCTTTAGCCGGTCTTTAGTTTGTTTTAAAACAATTGCTTAAAATTAGTAATTACCAGGATAGTTAGTAACACTCATCGCAGTGAAGCAAATCATGCCCAGTGTGAAGCAAAGATATGGCCAGGCTCTCTCTTTCCTTCTTCAGTGAAGGCAGAAAACTAAAGAAAGCCTTGCTACTAAGGGATAGGGGCTGTGTCTGTGTCGTGCTCAGAATCACTCTCAGTGTCTGCTCTAAAGGCTGATGACAACCAATTTAAATCAAGTTCAAGTCCCCTTCAGCCTTAGAAGAAATAGCTCCTCAAGTTATTGAAAGAGCCCAGAATTCCTTGCAACTCATTCTTTATTATAGAATTATGAGTTCTAGAGTTTGTAGATTTTCTTTTTGTACTACATGAAGCGCATTACAAGAAAGTATCTTGTAGCTTTCATTTTGGGAGAAAATAGATGTAGTCCTCAGAGGTATTCTGAATCCATTCTTGTCACTCACAGAAGTTTCTTCACAGGAGATCTCCATGACTCTTTACGTTTCAAGGTATTAATTTTACTTGGAGCATTGTTTGTCCCACCCAAAGAGTTTTACGTTAAAATACATTATTTTATTTATTTAGAGAGAGGATCTCACTTTGTCACCAAGGCTGGAGTGCAGTGGCACAGTCATGGCTCACTGCAGCCTCAACTTCCTGGGCTCAAGTGATTCTCTTGCCTCAGCCTCTCAAATAGCTGGGACTACAGGCACAGAACCATGCCTCGCTAATCTTATTTCTTGTAGAGATGAGGTCTCATTATATTGCCCAGGCTGGTCTCAAACTCCTGGGCTCAAGTGATCCTCCCACCCTGGCCTTCCAAAATGTTGAGATCACAAGTGTGAGCCACTGCGCTGGCCTAAAATACAGTTTAATAGAGTTTTTCCTAACAAGCACCATTGGCCGCAACTGAAGTCAGCATTTTAACATTGTCACGTGACAGTCAGTTCTAGCTTTGATATAAAAGTCCTAAAGTGTACTCTTAGCATCACTTTCCAGAAAAAAAAAAAAAAACCCACTGCCGTGCTGCAAGGGACCATTGACAGAAATGGTGATTACAGTGCCTGTCCCTACAGGTCTGTCAGCAAGATAAAATAAGAAAATCTGAGAGAAGTTGCCTGGCATGGTGTCAGTACTCTTGGCATACCAGCAAAAATATGTAGCGAAACTCAGGGCCCATCCCAGCCTGCTTCTCCCAAAAACCTCTAAATGGAATAATCTTTAGTTCTGTGTCAAATTCCTATTTTTCTTCCTCCTTCTTTATACAGTATCTTAAGGGAAATACTACAAAATGTCGCAGAAGGTGCTGGATGGATATCTAAAGTTCAAAAAGGAAGAGAACCACACGAGCTGGAGATTCAGGAAGCATCAGTAGAAGTCAATGGCCATTAATAAAAACATTTTTTATTAAAATATTGAATCTGAATAGAAACCTCCTGTACTTCATTTCTTAAATCCCTTGAGGGTAGTAACTGCATCTTCTCCATTGATATAGCCCCTGCCAAGCACAGTGCCTGAAGGCAGGTCCACAGACATTGGCTGAATAAACGAGTGCTCTGTTCCCAGTCCGTACTTTCTCTGTGTCATAAAAAAGCTGACATGTCTGTGCTGCATTTGAGGATGACACTGGATTTCCACATTGCCTTTTCGCCTCAGAGCTTATATTACTTCCTATCAAGTTATCTCTCTGCCCCTCATCGCATCCCAGTGAGAAAGCAGAAAATCCTAGAAAGTCATTTTCCTTACTGTTCCGGTGGTGGCTCTTCACGCTTACAGAACGTTAGGTACACTGGGAACATCACCTAGAGGGACACTGACATCACCTCATCATAACATATGTCTCTGACAACTGTCAGGAGATATTCCAAGTAAATGAAAAGACACCGTGAATGCCACTTAGGGGTTCTACACAGGGAACTATTAGTGACAAAAGCCTATTTATTCTCTTTGAGATGGTATGCTGGTGACCTCTAGTGGCAAAATTGGTTCAAAATCAGCTTCTATTTCCCACAAAATTTACTTCTTTATTAATTCATACTTTAATTTTATCCTTTAGTAACATTCTCTACTTGTGGAATGTTCTTAATTATGCACAATGATTTGTGTCTGTTCATATCCAAGTAGCACAATTTTGGCATTTCACGAAATCACAGAACTGTTGAGCTGAAATAGTTCTCAAGGGACCTGTCAGTCTTATTTCATTATACCTGGAAAATGAGACCCAGAGGAGTCAAGTGGCTTGCCTGAAGCCTCACCACAAGGGGGCGACAAAAAGTCTTCTGACTCTAGCACACTGCCTGCCTGGTAGTAGAACCCAAGCGACTAAAGAAAAAATGGGATCTTGTTTAGAGTTCCATGCGGAGGAAGAGCATGTATGCTGTCCTATCCCTCACTATTGTATCCTGGGTGTGTGAGGAGCCTTTAATTCACAGGTCTTTAGAGAGAGTACAAAGCATCTGAAGGACCATCCCTGAGGAGCCTCACTCATATCTGCATGGGCATCTTTAGATCCCACGTCTCCAGCCTGAGTCTGATGTCATATTGAATGAGACTTCTGGGGCGTCTTGAGAGAGTAAATGTATTTTGCATTTGGAAGGATGTAAATTTAGAAGGATATAAATAATCTGTGTCCAGAGGACCAGCTGTGGTGATTTTTTAAATGGTCACAAATCCCTTGACATGCCCTCACAGACATCCTCTCCTACGTTCCTTCCCCTTGAAGCTGAACAGGCTTGGGACTGCTTCCACCCAGAGAGTGTAATGGAAGTGACGCTGTGTGACTTCTAAGAATCAATCATAAAAAGTACACACAACCTTCCTTGTTGGTCTTAGAACATTTACTCTAGGGAAAACTAGCCACCAAGAAGAAATACAATTCCCCCCAAACCACTATACTGAAGAGACCATATGTAGGTGCTCAAAATGACAGCTCCAGCTCAGCTCCCAGCCAGCAGCCAGCTTCCACCGTGGCTGTGTGAGTGAGCCACCTTGGATACACAGCCTGTCTAACTTCAGATGACCGCAGCCCCCACCCACATCTGACTGTAGCTGCAGGAGAGACCCCTAAGGGAGAACTGCTCAGCTAAGCCCTTCCTGAATCACTCAGCCACAAAATAGTGAGCAAAATGAAACGCTGTCGCTCTACAACACAAACTTGTGGGTAAATTGTTACACAGCCATAATATACAGAACAAATAGTTTCTTAAAGACATTTCTCTCATTCTGTAACAAACACTGAATGAAAATGCAAAATATGTTATATACATGTTAAATCCTGGTGGAATTGCACTTAATCTGTTCAACTTTCATAAATCAAAGAGTTCTTGGTCCAAATGAATAGGTATTCTAGGTGACAGAAATATAAGTTCTTCCTCTTTCTTGAAATGGTGATTCCATTTAATAGAATGGTGATTAAAATGGAATGGTGATTCTATTTTAAGAAGGCTAAGTAAATTTTATGCAGTTTTCCAAAGGGAATTTTCTATTTCAGAATCCTAGCCTTTCTCAACCAGGTTTCCCCAAATGAACCACAAAACACAGAAAAGGATTTGAGTGACTACTTTCTGAATTCTCCCAAGGGTGTTGTATAACTAGTACCTTTCTAGATGCAATGAAAGAATTTAATTCAATGCATACAATGAACACCTTAGGAAGGCTTAGTTCCCTCTCAGAACCCAGGCTGAGAAGGCTGGCAGGCACTATAGGCTAACTCAGCCATACAGTAGCCTTATCAACAGGAAACTGAAGTTTAGAGAGGTTAAATAATTTGCCCAATGTTACCACAGCTAGCTGAGCAAGGATTTGATTGCAGGGACTTCAACTCTAGAGCTTGGAAACTTAGTCATTACTCAGTGTTTCTAAGAAAAATACTCCATAAATGGGTAATAAACAAGGGAAATGTTAGCTCTTAGCAGCAATGTTTGTATGTGAACAGTTAATGGACTTAGCAGCAATGATCGTAACTATCTGGTAATGCAAATTACAAGTGCGTAAACTCAAAGTTATCTGAGCCAAAGATTTCTTTTTCCTTTTACTTAAAATAATAAAGGTAAAACTTTTTAAAAAAGTATTCAACTCAGGTGTTGCTTTATCTCCAAACCTGTAAGCCATCAATACAATAGGGAGTGTGAATCAGGGGAAGGACAGAAGAGTGGAGTGCAAAGGTCAGGCCCTGAGACCAGGGCGAGAAAGCAAAGGGATTAGGAGTGCATAGGCGTTAGAGAGAGAGAAAGGAAGGGAAGGAAGACAGAACACAGCAATGGAAAGGAGACATACACCACAGAAAGCACTCAAGAGAGGATCAGAGGCAAGATTACAACAAAGGACACAGTGGATAAAACATTTGTTGAGGGAATGAGGAAAAGGGGAGAAAGAGAAGATGTGGGGTATAACGAATTAAAGATGCTACTATTCGTCATTCTTTATTAGAATGACGAAAATAATACCAACTACGATGGGTTAGGAAAAGTAGTATAGTGAGATGGCAAAGGCAGCTCTGATCTGTCTCACCATTTTGACAAAGTGGCATATCTGATATGTAGAATTTAAGGTCATAATCCTAATGTGAGTCCTGGCTTTGAGATCCAAGTGAAAATACCAATGTTTGGTTTATAAACACCTTATCTCCTTAGGGAAATTAAGGTTAACAACTTCAGGAGCCCAGCCACATGGCAATAGGAACATGCATTGTCTACACCCACTTCCATCCAGTGGCATTCACTGCAGGAGGTGCCAGGCTGAGAGTCAAATCAGATACACGGAACTGACAGCTGGGTATGTAATGGGTGAATGGATAAAGGAATATTCCACTTTTCCTTGTTGAATGCCCTTCCCTATCTCTACTGGTGAAAAATTTGAAGACAAATTTACTGGAGAAGAAATGAAGTGAATATAAGTGTAAATTTGAATAATTCAAGGCAGTAGGAATAGAATCTCTGTACACCTGATTACCATATATAAAAGATTTTAAGGCTGGGTGCAGTGGCTCACACCCGTAATCCCAGCACTTTGGGAGGCTGAGGCAGGCAGACCACTTGAGGTCAGGAGTTCGAGACCAGCCTGGTCAACATGGTGAAACCCTGTCTCTACTAAAAAAAAGTACAAAAATTAGCCAGGTTTGGAGGCAGGCTCCTGTAGTCTCAGCTACTCCAGAGGCTGAGGCAGGAAAATCGCTTGAACCTGGGAGGCGAAGGTTGCAGTGAGCCGAGATTGCACCACTGCACTCCAGCTTGGGCAACAGAGCGAGACCCTGTCTCTAAATAAATGAACAAATAAATAAATAAAAGATTTTAAGGTACTATGTATCTCTTCCTTTTATCCTTCTCTAAGGATATACTGAGGATTATAACTCACTTAATAAATTGGGAAAAAGTAAATCTATTCTGATATAAATAAATAAATAGTTTGATGTGAAATGAAATATTTATATAGTCTCAAAATATCTCCCTCTAAAATACGTGCTAATTACTGAAGGAAAAATGAGTCAGACACCACCCGTAATCAAGAGCTCAAAGTTAACCTCACTGGTAAAGGGAACATAGAAATTATATACCACCTGACAGTATGCAATGAGAAGAACACAGTATCATTCTGCTATATTCTTGCCAAACTTATTGATCATGAGGAAACATCAGAAAACACAAACTGAGAACCATTTTACACAATGACTGCTCTATAATCTTTTAAAGTTATGAAAGTCAAGTAAAGATGGAGGAACTGTTCCAGATTGAAGGAGATGAAGGTGACATGACAGCTACATGCAACATATGATTTTAAAATGATACTTTTTGTAAAGGATATTATCAAGACAACTGGTGAAGCTTCAGTGGGCTTTGAAGATTGGGTGAGAGTGATGTAGGGATGCCATTTTCCTGATGTTATTGGTTGTGTTGTGGTTACGAAGGAGAAAGTCTTCGTTTGTAAGAAATATACACTAATGTATCCAGGAGTGATAGAGCACAGGCAACTTTCAAATAACTTAGGAACAAAACAGAATCTTCTTTAAGTTACTTGAAAATTTTCTATAGTTTGAGATTATTTCAAAATAAGGGATAAAATGCAAAAGACATGACTGTGCTGAAGGGTGTCGTTTACAATTTGTGCCGTGTCTCCTTTACTCTCCACCCTCCATGCCTTGAATATCCTGTAGCTAAATTTGCCACTTTCTCCATTTTATTTTTCCTAAACAACTTTTCACATGTATCACCATAGTGGTGTTGCGACAGATGTCCATAATCCAACCACTGATATTTTCACATGCTTCTGAAAATTATCACCCATGTTAGGATTAATACCTTAGTTCTATATATTAGAAAAACTCTAGTATTAATCTCATTTTTTATGAAAAAAATTGCATAAATATAACATGAAAATCTAATAACCTGTAATCCCTTCACACTAATACATACATTTTTCCGAGTTCCCTTCGCATTCTAGTCCATATATATAAATTACTTTTGCATGGTTGTAATCGCAACATAGATACAATTTTATATTCTATCTTTCATGTCTGAGCATATTCCAATATTGGTAGAGAGCCTCTGGGCTCTTCTTGCCCTCTGATTCTATGATTACATTTTTGAAACAATGACCTCATAACATAACTAGAGGACCATATTTCATTATTCAGTACCTGCAATGCAGGCACCTTATTGCTTCTACCTAGTCAGTACAATGCAGAAATGCTATCTATCTACTAATTTCAATTCTGATGCATTGTCATTTGACAGAGGCTTTGAAGTCACCTAGACCTGGGCTTGAATCCCAGCTCTGCATTGTGCAATGTACTAAACCTTTCCAAGCCCAGTTTTCAATCTGAAAAACAGGGATAATATCAATAGCATGATATTTGTGTGGACTGAGATAATGCATATAAATTTCTTAGCACAGTGCCTGGCATATAATACGTTTTTAATGAATGCTTATTATCATTATGCACCTAAGAGACTGTATTAGTCAGGGTATCATTGTTCTATAACATTGTTTTATATACATTATATATATATATATATATATATATATATATATATATAAAAATATAATGTATAGGCTGAGAAGTTGGGCCAGTCTCACCTTCTTACATTTTTCTGCCTGCTTTATATTCGCTGGCAGCTGATTAGATTGTGACCACCAGATTAAGGGTGGGTCTGGTTTCCCAGCCCACTGACTCAAATATTAATCTCCTTTGGCAACATCCTCACAGACACACCCAGGATCAATATTTAGCATCCTTCAGTCCAACCAAGTTGACAGTGTTAACCGTCACAGAGACACATGACTAGTTAGTAAAGTGTGGGGTTACTCCAAACATTTGAGACTCTTAGTTTTATTTGTGATGAGTGATGACGGGTTGCTTTTTAGATAGAAATAAATACCCAAATAGTTAACTAGGATTTCCAAAGAAACCAACTGATTTTCTAATTGTCACCAGAATTGAGAATCTACAGGAAAACTAGAATGACATTTGATTAATCATTTTTTCCAACTCCTGCATTAATCTTCCTCCCTCAAAAAGGTTTAAAAAAAAAAACCCTTAAGGATATAATCATTAGAACATGCAGTTTGCTTTTTAAAAATAATCAATTAGTTACGAATTTGTCGAATTCCTTTCACAGTCAAATGATTACACGTTACCTAAAAAGCATAAATGTCCCAACCTACAAAATGGACAAATAGAGGAGTTACTGTTTGTGTTGGTAAAAAATATCCTGCAAAAAAAAAAAAAAAAAAAAAAAGTTCTTTGAGAAATTCCTTGAAATGTAGGCTCTCCCAGGGCAATTGTATGTGGACGATCACTAAATATTTCACAGAGAGACACTGGCTGAGAAATGTAGCGGTTAGGGGTCAACAGTCACTGTAAACTGAAGAGTCTCTCAAATTATAACATTTTATTACAGAAATTCCATTTTTACAGTATGGCAAAGGGCTCAAAGCAGAAGGGACAGGAATCCACTGTGTCAGATGAGAAACACTGTGACAGCACAAAGCTCAAGTCATTTAAAATTCCAAAGTAAAAAAGAATGATAAGAAACATTGTTAAAAAAAAAATCTTCTAAACATTTTTATAAAGGAAGCTAACCTCCTAACCACAAATGAAGATGAAAGCAAAATATTCACACGGAGGAACAAACAATAGTAGAGCCTTTTGTCTGCTAAGAAAAGGTAGTAAAGATTTTCAAGAGGGATAAGAAAAGAAGAATGTGTTTTAAAATACAAGCTTTTCAAACAACTTTTACTAACGTCACACTACGAGCAATGAAAACCACGCATGTGCGCAGGCAAGTGCTCTGAGCCAAAGTCATTAAGCTGACAATGAAACATGTGTATGGAGAAAGAAGGGAACAATGATTAAATGGGGAAGAAAGTGAGTAAGGGCTGAAAAGAGCCTGCTGTTGACTGTGTGCATCCCAAGAAGGCTGGTGGAGGGAAGACCCAGGTCACTGTAACAGAAAGGCGGCAAGAGAGGCTCACTGTTCTTCCAGACCATTCATGTGAGCTACCACTGAGTCTTTTGTGTTCCCAATGTTGAGGACTGAAAATGAATACTAGGCCGGCATGGTGGCTCACGCCTGTAATCGCAGCACTTTGGGAGGCCAAGGCGGGCAGATCATGAGGTCAAGAGATCGAGACCTGGTGAAACCCTGTCTCTACTAAAAATACAAAAAAATTAGCCGGGCGTGGTGGCGTGCACCCATAATCCCAGCTACTCAGGAGGATGAGGCAGGAGAATCGCTTGAACGCGGGAGGCAGAGGTTGCAGTGAGTCAAGATCATGCCACTGCACTCCAGCCTGGCGACAGAGAGAGACTTCGTCTCAAAAAAAAAAAAAAAAGAAAAAGAAAAAAAGAAAATGAATACTAACGCCTATCTAGGAAAGCAAAACACCTCTTTCTGGAGCAGTTTTTACAATAACTTTGATTCTGTGATTGGTGGATATATTGTTTCAGCAGTGTCACTTATAAAGCTTTTGGATCATTTAAAATGTTTATTTCTAGGCTCGTGGAGCCCAATAGAAGCTGATTCATCTGGTTTGTCCTGTTCTTTTGGGGCCCGTGTCCTCCTTCTCTCTGTACCCAGACTATCTTTGAAGGCCAAAGGAACCCTTAAGTTCTCTAAGGAAACCAGGCTTTGACCCTGAAATTCTGAACAAGTCAAGCAGGCAGGAAGCCTGTGAGGGAAAGTGTGTCCAAAGCTGCTCCCATCCAACTGGAGCCTTTGTGAAATGAAGGGCCCTGTGTCAGCCCCTCTTCAGGAATGCAGACTTGAGACAGGTCAGCATCTTATTAGCTCATGAGCTCAGGTAAATAAAATTCACCCCTGATTTTCAGGATCTCCTCTGGATTTCTCCCTGGAAAAAATTCACCATAACTATGAAGGATTTTGTACAAATTTAACATGAGAAAATTCTAATGCCCCCCTCCCTTTTTTTGTGCTTATTCTAATGACGTAGAAAAAACATATAGGCAACCAATGGATGTTTTTTGTCTTTGAAAGGAAGAGTCAAAATATTACGACTTATCCTTTGCTGAGAAAATTAGAGAACACTCTCGATTACTGAAAACATTAGATACTGCGCTAACATGCCATTTCTTAAGCTTGTTTACTGAAACTAGTTTTTGCTTTATGCTAGATCATTTATTTCAGTTAAGTGGATTTCTTCTGATTGAAGATTTCTCTGCAGAAAGAGCACTTACAATTTCTAGCAATACACTGGTGACCCTAGAGCCATACCACTCCCAGAAGCTGCTGAGAAGCAGAGTTAATCTCCTTTTTCTTATTGAATCTCTTATGCTAAGTCTCTAAGGCATTTTGCTGGGCCAGGGGAGGTATTCCTAATGCCACTGTCCATATTATCTTTAGCTTACAGGAACAGATATTTTACTCTGCCAATGGCATTATCCATACTTATATGGATCCCAAATGCCAATTAAGATTTGCTGAAACTTTTTGCCATTGCTGGTGCAATTAACATACTTGTTTGATTTCACTAAAAACAACATTTCCAACATACTAGAGATGATCTTTTTCAATACCCTTAAGGATATGGGAATAATCTTTTAAATTAGTATTCATAGCCAAATTCATTGGAGGGTGTAAAGAGAAATGGCACTGGTGGCAGGGGGTTCTCTAGTCCTGACCAGAACACGCTCAGCCAGCGCTCGCCACTTCCTTGTGTACTTATTTAACCATGTCCCCACTCTGGGACTCTCATCTGCGCAGTTGTCTCCCAAGATGTCCAGTGTAACCCAGCAAAGCTGGCAATGGCCGCTTGGCAGACACTTGGGAGCATGGCGCTGGCTGCAAACACTGGCTCCATTCATATCAGAAAAGAAAGGCCTGCTCCCTTTTCACCGACAAGACTCCTGCTATGGCTCAGTGTTCTCTCAGCTGGGGAGCCACAAGTCTATTTCCTTCTTTAGCCCATATTATAATGGAGGATGAGATGAAAAGGAATACAGACCCTTGATACCTTTTACTTAGAGTGCTAACTAATGCAGGGCCTCGTGTCTGATCTTCTGCTTGGCTGAGGGGACGGCAGATGGCCTTCTGAAAGCTTTTCAAACCCGGGCTGCTTTCAGCAGGGCGTGAGGGGGTATTGTTACATTTTCCATATAGTGGTAGGAAGCATCACTGAATAAAAGCACACAACAATTGTGCCACTTCTCTGGGAAGCATATTACAACCTTACAATGAGGGCTAATTGGCCGACACCAAAAGCAGACGCAGACGCAGCTTTGAATATTATTCAGGAGAGGTTTTAGAGAGCAGAGTCAGGACGGAGGCTGAGGCATAAAGGAGAGGAGCGATGGGAAGGACATCGACGGGGAGGCGGCGAGGGCCGGCATGAAGAGGGGAAAGAGTGGCTTCATTATATTCATCAGAAAAGAATCGTGCTCTTGTATAAAGAGTTCCTTCATATCCATCTCCCCTTCCTTATCAGGAGGACGTCAACAGGCAGTCCCAGCTTACAGCGCCATGTCCACAGGACACTGTCGTTACCATGAGAACTGATGTGGCCAAATCTCAGAGCCTTCTTCTTCTTTTTTTTTTTTTTTAGATAAAGTCTCGCTCTTGTTGCCCAGGCTGGAGTGCAATGGCGCGATCTCGGCTCACTGCAACCTCTACCTCCCGGGTTTAAGCGATTCCCCTGCCTCAGCCTCCCGAGTAGCTGGGATTACAGGCACCTGGCACCACGCTCAGCTAATTTTTTTTTTTTAAGTAGAGATGGGGTTTCTCTATGTTGGCCAGGCTGGTCTCAAACTCCTGACCTCAGGCGATCTGCCGGCCTCAGCCTCCCAAAGTGCTGGGATTACAGGTGTGAGCCACTGTTCCTGGCCCAGATCTCAGAGCCTTTTAGGAAACTTTTATGTGAGCTCCTTGAAGTGGGCAACAGAGGAAGGAAAATGTACCAAGCACTCACTTTATGCCAGGCTAGTTCAAGACACCATCTTTATTATTTCATTTAATCTTCAAATCAATTCTGAGACTTACTCTTATGATCATTTTGCAGCTGAGGGAATGGAGGCTCAGGGATGGCAGATAGCTTGCACAAAGTCTAACAGATTCAAATCCAGGCATTTCTGACTTCAAAGTTCAAGCCCTTCCTGCCACACTCCCCTGTGCCAATTCTTCAAATAACCAGGTCCTGCCTACTACCTGGCATATGACAGTAGGTGCTCAATAAATGCGTTCTGAAAACAGAACTAAACTTACCCAGAAGTGTGGATAGAAAGAAGAGACAATAGAAAAGAAGTGTCTAAAAAGTAGAGACAATTTAGGAAAACCAACCCTAGGAGTCAACTCTCAGCTAGGGGCTGGCCTGCCTAAACTGGCACTTATCCCAACACACACAAATTCTATCAGAATTCTTTAATCAAAAGATGTTAAGCCATTCAACTTGTGCTGGATGCTGGGAATACAGATATTTGAAAACCCAGGCTGTGTTTTAGAAGCTCGCAGTCTATTGAATAGTCTGTTCATATACTATGAAAAAAAATGCAGACAGAGATAAGTTAGGGGTTCTTAGAAAGGAGAAAGGAAATCTAACACAGCCTGGGAAGATCAGGGAAAGCTTCCTGAAGGTGGCATTGCCTGAATGGGGTCTGAAAGGGTGAGTAGGAATTGACCAGACAAAAAGAAAGGTGGGTAGTGTTATTCCAAAGTGAGAAGCAGCACAGCATGCAGAGGCATGAACTAGGCACTGTGTGGAGGGAACATTAAGGGTCTCCTACTGAGCTCAAATGGTGTGGCAGGAAATGACACTGAAAAGATAGGGAGAGCTGGGAAAAGGGAGACCTTCAATGCTATGCTAAGTGAATCGGACTTTATCCTTCAGGGGCTGTGAGGCATTGATTGTTCTCTACAGGCGGAGGTAGTGATGTGGCCACTGTGGAGGGTAGATTTGAAGGGATAAAATTTGAAATAAGATAAACCATTGGGAGGCAGGTGCTGTGGTTTGTGTTGGGGATAATAAGGACCTGGTGAGGGAGGTGGTGGCAGGGATGGAGAAGGCCAGATTTATTTGAGAAACATTTCCAAGGTCAAGTCAACAAGAATTGGTGATTGATCAGATTGTGAGAAAGAAGGAATGACATATGGATTTCTAGCTTTCGTAACTGTGTGGATGGTGGGGCCATTAATTAAAATTATGAATATAGGAGTGGGAATAGATTGGGGGGAGAAGGTAAGTTTATTTGACACCTGGGAGATATCTAGGCAAGCAATTGGATTATGAATCATAAACTCAGGAGAGAGGTGAAGACAAGATTTGAGAACAGAAGTCTGAAAATAGTTTCCTCTGCAGTCACATCTGTCCTGCAGATGTGCTTTGTTTGGATCTCTATGCTATTGTTTTTAAAACTAGGATTAGGTGAAAAACATGGAAAAACCAGGAAATTGTACAAAAAATTGAAATATTCAGTGTCTCTTAAAGTTTCCACTTATTTGCATTTCTGTCCCTCCATGACAATAGTTAACCAGAAGCAGAAAGCAGCTCTGCCTTTTGAGCCGGGCACATGCTCTCCAGGGAGCCTCAACCCTCAACCCTCCTGGCTGGACCCAAGGCTCAGTGTTGGTTGTCATTCTGTCATCACAATTGCTCTGTTGTTTTCTTACTGCAGAGTTAAGAGGAAAGTAAACTATGTTGTTCCCTTACTTCAGTCAAAAGTGGAAAATGCAAGAAAACAAATATCCCAATTTAAAAATGGGTAATGAGCCTAAATAGATGTTTCTCAAAAGAAGACATACAAATGGCCAATGGGTATATGAAAATGAGCTCAATACCACTAATCATCAGAGAAATGCAAATTAAAACCACCATGAGATAACATCTCCCAACTGTTAGGATGGCTATTATAAAAAAGATGAAAGATAAGAGTTGGCCAGGATGTGGAGAACAGGGAATCTTTGCACACTGTTAGTGGGAATGTACATTAGTACAGCTACTATAGAAAAGTGTGGAGGTTCCTCAAAACATTAAAACTGGAACTACCATATGATCCAGCACTCCCACTACTGGTATATATCCAAAGGACTTGAAATCAGAATATTGAAAATATATCTGCATGCTCGTATTCATTGCATCATAATTCACAATAGCCAAGATATGGAAACAACCTAAATGTCTGTCGACAGATGAATAAAGAAAATGTGATGTGTGTGTGTGTGCGTATATATATACATATATATACACACATATATATACATACATATACACACACTCACACACACACATACATATAGTGGAAGAATTCAGCCTTAAAAAAGAAGGAAATCTTGCCATTTGTAACAACATGGATGAACCTGGAAGACATTATGTTAGCCAGGCGCAGAAAGACAAATACTATGTGATCTCACTTGTATGTGGAATCTAAAAAAGTGGAACTCATAGAAGCAGACAGTACAATGATGATTATCAGAGGTTGGAGGGTGAGGATATTGCGGAGATGTTGGCCAAAGGATACAAAATTTCAATTCGACAAGATGAATAAATTTAAGAGATCTTTTGTACATCACGGCAACTATAGTTAAAAACAATATATTGTATACTTAAATATTTCAAAGAGAGTAGATTTTAAGTGTTCTCACCACTAAAAAAAATAACTATGTGAGGTAAATTATATGTTCATTAGCTTGATTTAGCTATTCCACTACATATATGTATATGTGGCCGTTCCACTACATTATATATATAATGTACACCATAAACCATAAACATATACAATTTTTATTTGTATTTAGTAAATAAGAAAAAAAGTAGAAAATGAAATCTAGTCCAAGAGGACTGTGTCTCCTAAGGAAAATGGTGAGAAATGAAGAATGTTCCCATAAATTTAACATGCAAACAAAGCATGTCCTTGAAAGAATTAACCTTGAGATGCCATTGTGAAATAAACCATAGTAAGAGTAATGTCTGGTATATGTAAAAGATGCATGATGAAAAACTTGATAAACTAAAAACAGAATTGAAATGTCAATAGCTTGTTTTAGAAAAGTAGGGGAAAAAAATTATGATATACCATTGCCCCTTTCCCACATACACATTGCCTGGCCCTGAAGGTGTTTGAATTTGCGATTTCTGTTTTAGAGTCGCTGGGATATAGCAACGGGCGGTGAGAATGGAACTAGGAGTAGATAGGATCATCCAGAGCGTGTGTCCAGAGAGAGAACAGTAGCCAAGGACAGAGTCTTAGGGAAACGCTGGAGGACACAGGTTCCCAAAAGAGCCTGAGATGAAAGATGAAAGAGGCTGAAGAGGAACCTGAGCCGTGCGGTGGCATCAAAGCCAGGGGAGTGGAAGCATAGGAAGGAAGGAGAGATCAATGCCGTCTAATGTCTTTTGTCCTGCACTGTATGGCTCCCACCTCTAAGGTCCCAGAAGTGGGGCCAGTTCAGCTACAGTACAGTTGAGACCATAGATTCCTAAACTATCTTAGTTTATGGTGCCCTTGGTGTCTCAGTAATTTTTTCACAGTACTCCAAAGCCAAGATAAACACCAAACAGTTCCATATATTAAGTGTTTAGATCCAAACATCTTATTAACATTGTTATGTCCAAAAAACCTAGTAGCCATTAAAAAAAATTACTGTACCTAAATTGAAAGAAAATATATTTTTATTTCATTCTTAAAGGAACGCACTTATTTATGGGATGTGTGCACCTGTTGGGCACTGCATAACTTCTCCAGCCTTCTCAAACTGCCGCCCTCATTATCTGTTCTACAATTGACTTTCATACAGAACTTGCTTTTTATCACAGCAATTGCAGAAAACCCAGGATTGAAAGAGATGATGTCATTGAAAGATACATAGTTCAATCTAGTGTGAAACAATGAGTGACCACCAGCCAGTAGTCCTTTCAGTGTCTGAGAGAGGTTGAGATGCCCTCATAGAACCCCTGTGAGTTTGCTGCAGTGCCCTGGAGCATCTTGGCACACAGTTTGGGAGCCATGTGGTTAGATGGCATGGACAGGTCTGGAATCCTATCATTTGTAATGTTTCTTTGGGGACATTTGTTCTGAATCCATACAACTCACGTACAAGTAAATTTATGAAGCACAACTGGCTTGTGACTTGAGTAACTACTGGCATTGCCCGTTCTCACTGCTCCATACTACCAGGAAGTAGAATTACTTAAATAAATAAAATTCAAAGTAAATGAAAGTTTGATTAATGCCTTCAATCCTTTCCTCAAACAAACCTTCTCAAGAGTTAGTAGAAACTTCCTTCTCCTTTCTCTCGCCTTCCTCTGAATAAGAAAAGAAGCAGTATAAGGGGGAGGCGATGGAGGTAAAAGGAGACAGCGATAGGTCTGACCAGTCACACAGGGATCAGTGCCGGGGACTCGAGGCCTTTCTATTCAGAATTAGAAACAAGTGGTCCTTGTGTGAGAGCCTCTGTATCCAGCAGCTTCCAATACCGCACTCGGCTGGCATCCAGTAGCCGATGTCTTTCTGGACAATCACCAAGGCCAACCCATTAGGGCCTATAATCCTTACAGTTTTTAGAGTTCCCTAAAAGGTGCAAGGCTTTCTCTGGTATCCAGCTCCAACAATCTACCAAAAAGCCCAGCATGAACAAACACCGCCACTGCCACTCAATATCCATGCAGAAACTGTAAGATGAGAAGGGTGCTCAGATGGAATGCCCGCAACCATAGGAGACTTGGATTGGGACTTTGGCTCTATCACTTCCTGGAGAGGCCTTAAGCAAGTTACTAAAAAAATATGAGCTACAGTTTTATCATCTGTAATGTAGGACCATAATATCATGATGATGTTGTAAAGATGAAATAAGATGTTAAAAGGACGTAGCATTGTATCTGGAATCCAGTAAATGTATTGAAACTATTGCATTTAATATTGACTCTATGAATTTATTGAACATAGGAGTTTGAGAAATGCTTCCTTTCTAGGTAGTCTGGCTCTGCCTCTAATTGGCTCTGTGCTCTTGGGCAAGGCATTTAGACTCTCTGGGCCTCCCTTACATATATATATGTATATGTACACATGTATGTGTACACATATGTATGCATATATGTATATTGTAAAAAGAAAAGTAAGAAATTGAACTAAACTTTCTTTTAATATAAGCATACCTTTTTAATGCTTTACTTTTGCAAGGATTCCACAATTTGAATGAATGATGTCTGCTAAACAAGCTCCATTTTTTTATAATAATTTGTTTTCCTATTTTTAGTTATCAAAGCCCAAGAACGTTTTATTAACAAAGATGAACCAGTGTTACCAGGTCAAATGAATAAAATTGTCTCCAAAAGCCAAAGAAACATGGTGTCTTTGTTAACTGGCACATTTTCATCACAAATATATGAACAATTTCCATTTACCATTTTGAAATATGGAAACAGCAGAAATTAATACTAGTTCCTGAGTCCACCACTGGTTATTATGCTGGACCAGCTCCAAAGGCCTTTTGTGCACTGAGATTTTGTGACTCAGTCTAACAAAGGAGAAGGAGGCGGCAATTGGGAGCAAGGGGACGTTGGTCCTCTCGTGTGGTTGCCGGCACTCTCACTACCAACCAGAGAGCGTTGCTCACTCTTTCCTAGTTCTTCAGCGCCCATGCCCACACGTCCAGGCTCCATTAGCAAGCAGCTCCTATGCAGCCCTTCTCAAAACCAGTGCCAACAGTGGACTGGACACCTGAACTTAAATTTCCTGCCCTCTTGCTCTTTCCTCCACTGGAAGTGTGAAAGTGGCAGAAGATGAGACGTGGAGGGGAGAGTTGAAGGGGTGTGATGAGGTGCGTCAGAGAGTCGCTGTAGAAAGGCCTGGCACCACCAACAGTCCCCACTTTCAGGCTCAGCCCATGCAGAAAAAAATTCTGGGCTGAGTCACATTCTAAGCAAGCAAGCTTTCTCTACGAACTGCATCCTCCCACAGCATATAGGGCTCCCCATGCGCATGCTCATCTCGCCTCCCGAAGCTAAGAAACATGGGTTTCCCCTGTCTTTGTTTCCTTCACTGCCTTCTGCAGCTCTGTCTGCTTTCTAAAACACCCTGGTGGGAGCATGTTAAGGACAGCGGTATCCCATTTCTTCAACAGCCCAGTACCTCGTACCTTTCCTCCCCTTATAAAGACTGAAAATACTCCTCTTTGATTTCCAAAGACCCCAGCATGTTTATGCAGTGCCAGGAGGGAAGCTTAGGTCTGGCTGGTGGTTTGTGTTAATTGTCTGGCTGCACTTTAGAAAGACGCTTTTTGAATCTAAGCATTTAGGGAGAAAGTGGAGAAGCGTGGCTGTATGAAAGAGCAATTGATGTTAAATATTCATGCTCTTGCTCTCTGTTAATCAAAATTAGTAACCCCCATTGCTTAGCTGCAGTCTTGCTGGCTTCATACTATGATTGCGCTAAAGGAACTTGGATAGAAAGCAACAACCACCACACGCACACACACCCCACACACACCCAAGGACTTGGGTGCTTGTAGGTTTGAAGTGTTTCCAGTTAACATTGTGCAATTCAGCACTGTCTATTTTTTCCAAGATGTTGAATGAACCATGGTTATCCTTTCCATCAGCATTTTAGAACTGCTCTCCCACTTGGTTCCTTCTCTCATGTTGAATTCAGCAAACTTTAGCCTTAAAAATCAGACATTTTCTGCAATAATCCTTAAAGCTAATTGCAGCATAGTCTAGTTCAGTTTTCAGTAATGATACAATTATTTTACAAGATAGAAAAGAAACTGACTATAATTGAACAAAATGTGGCGATATTATAGGTTGTTTTCGTAGCAACTTTGACATCATGTTTCCTGAACTTTTAGGAAATATTTTGTTTTTATTTATTTTAAAAAGTACATGTTATATAATGACAGCAACTTTAAAATTATCACTTAATTTAAAAGGAAAAAGAAAAACAGCTCTTAATTAAAACCTGTTTTTGTAACTATATTTTTTCAAGTTTTCTACAATGAGTATGCTTTATCATTATACTGAAAATAATAAAAGTTATATTTTTAAAAAACTGAGCTGTTGTTGAATGTATGTTTGAGAAGTTATCCATTTTTTCCTTACCTATGTCATCTGCAAGAGAAATGTTGGTGAATGTGCTGTCTTCCTCCTCCTCTTTCCTGGACCCGTCCATCTTGTTCAATTTTCAGACCTGTTAGTAAGAAAAATGAGGGCAGAGAAAAGCAGCAGTTGTCCCATGTGACCGCCCTTGTTAAATCATTAATCAGTGAACTTCCAAGCAGGTGCTATCTGATCCTTGCACTAGCCACCCTCTTCCTGCTTTCCACCTGAGAAGTTCTCACCTGAGTGTTGCATTCTTAACCGGAAGTGGTAGGAGACCCAAGTTAATGACTTACAACCCTTGACCGGAGGCTGCTGTGCTGGCACGGCTGCTGTACCCTGGCTAGATGCCAAACCCTGCCTTCAAGTTTCCTTAGGCTGAATTGCTCAAGGAAATTGTCCAAAAAGCGTAAGGATAAGGTTGGGGGAAGAAATTGACTTTATATGATTAACATATCTTTTAGATACCCACGGTAAACTTCTCAAGGATTTATCAATGACCAGAGCATGACCTGGGGGTAAGTCACAAACCCTCAGAGCCTCAATGTTCTATCTGTAATATGAGGATAAGTCTGTTGTGAGGATTAAATGGAAACTGCCTGGTACATGTATGAAGAAATAAGATTCATACATGTACATATATGCCATACATATATGCCATACATATATGTAGAAATATATGAAGAAATATTTGAAGAAATAAGAAGAAATATATATGAAGAAATAAGATACATGAAGAAATAAGATTATATATTGAGCTCATCAATACACTCTCATATTACTGTTCAGACACCTCATCCTGTAAAAGTTCATTGAAACAGCAAGGTCTCCCTTTTCTGTTTCTGGAGTTGAGCCCAAGAGGAGAGATGTTGGCTTCATTAGCCCTTAGGCAGGGACCCTTTGTTTGAGGAGGAAGTATTTCTTTACAACTATTTATCCAGGTGCCCTAGTTCACATTTGTATACAGACACAAAGCAAAACTATTTTAGAATTTCAAATAATCACTCCTTTGCGGAAAAAAATAGCCAAATTTGATGAAGCATTTTAAGCAGATATTAAAATTGTTACTACATGCTACATTCTGCACTGTGCTTTGATACATATAATATTTTTTTTATTCAGGCAAGTTCATTGTTACTATATCAAGCAGAATGGATGTGAGCTGTTGGAAATCCTGAATTTTAAAAATTAAATTCACTAGAATAGAATTCCCCCAATTTTTCAATTATATTCTGCAAATATTAAGTGCCTATTCTATACAAGCTGAGCACTTTGGAGGTTCAAAATAAAAGGTTTATTTATTTGCTATTAATAAGCTTATAAAAGTGTTCAAAAACAAGAATCCTGGAGGTTTACAGAAGGGAAAAAAATATATGCAGCTGACAGGACCCTGAAAGGCTTAGAGAAGGGGACATTTGAGATGCATGATCAATGAAAAGTGGGATTCAACAGGCAAAATTGGTCAGGTAGTGAGTGCTTTCTCAGTGAAGGAGTATGGGCAAAAGCTCAGAGACAGGAAGGTATTGGGCACATGCAGAAACCAAGAGTATGAGATACAGGTAAATAAGAGGTGGGAGATATGGTGGAAAATAGGATGTCATATCTAAGAGTGGTTTGAATGCTAGATTGTGTTAGTTCAAGTCCTCTAAGAATCAGACACCAAGATGGGATTAAAAAGATGAGATAAAATAGGGAGGGAGGCAGAAAGGTTGGAGGGACATTAGCCCATGATGCAAGTCTGACAAAGTGAAGTGAAGTGAAGACAAAGTGGAATGGAAGGTCCAGCTTGATCATCAGAATAAAGAAATTTTGACAAAGATGTCAAAGAATACTTGAGCCAAAGTTGACCATAAGAGGAGTCCCATGTCTCCCAGAAATGACCTCCCTTAGTTTTCACACAGCACTTAGTTACTGGCTGGGAGCAGCTGGCAGAAAGTGAGACCTCTGTACAAATGTAGTTATGGATTTCAGAGCACAGTAGCTGAGGTCCTTGATTAGTTACACTCCCTGTAGTTGGAGGTCTACAGGGTACAGGCTCAGGGCAACCACATGAGCTGCTTTTTCTAGCAACTCTGTATATAATCATGGACCAGTATTTTAGGAAGCATAAAAATTCCTCTCTTGGCTGATCCATTTTCTGTCAGTCCTAGAAATAATGACACACACTTTTAAAATGCCTACTATGTGCTAGGCAACAGTCCTACAGGTAGGCACTAATATTATTCCCATTTTAAAGATGAGGGAGCTGAGGCATGTAGAGAGTTTAAAAAGTGACAGAATGTTATGCAGCTAAGCAAGTGGTGGAGCTAAGATTGGACTTCTTGCCCTCTGGCTGTAGGGTCTGTGCTCTTAACCATTCTATTATCTACTCATAATAAAATTATCATGTGAGGGAGGGCATGCAAGAGAAGAGTTAATTGACTTAATAAAAGAATTTATAAACCAAAGGGTGTATTTGCTTTAATGCATACACTTGGTTTTGTTTTTATTATTTACAACCAACTTTATGTTTTGATAGGATTGACTAAGCACTTGATTCTTTGCCTTTTTTCTGATATTCTTCAAGGATATTTCTTATGAAATGTCTATCCTAATGGATGGGGGAATGAAAAGAAAGAAAACTCGGCTGGGCTCATGCCTGTAATCCCAGCACTTTGGGAGGCCGAGGCGGGTGGATCACAAGGTCAGGAGTTCGAGACCAGCCTGGCCAGCATGGTGAAACCCTGTCTCTACTAAAAAAAAAATACAAAATATTAGCCAGGCATAGTGGCACACGCCTGTAATCCCAGCTACTCAGGAGGCTGAGGCAGGAGAATTGCTTGAACCCGGGAGGTGGAGGTTGCAGTGAGCTGAGATCTCGCCACTGCACTCCAGCCTGGGCAACAGAGCGAGACTATCCCTCTAAAAAAAAAAAAAAAAAAAAAAAAAGTTAGGCAGCATTGCTATCATCCCCATATTCACTGAGCAAAAGTTATAATGGAAAAGAGGCTCACTTTTAACTGAGGTAGAGAATTATCTGTGGATTTAAATTATCCATGGTGAATATTTTCCCTTTTGTTTTCTTCTACTAGTTGTATAGTTTTAGCTCCTATACTTAGGCTATTGATTTCTTTTGCATTAATTTTTATATATGGAGTGAGAGGTAGGGATGCAGCTTCATTCTTTTACATTCGGATATCCAGTTGCCCAAAATTTATTTGTTGAAGAAAATTTGTATTTTCACCACATTTTCTTTTCTTTTTTTTTTATTATACTTTAAGTTTTAGGGTACATGTGTACCACGTGCAGGTTTGTTACATATATATACAACATGTATATAACATGTGCCATGTTGGTGTGCTGAACCCATTAACTCATCATTTAACATTAGTTATATCTCCTAATGCTATTCCTCCCCCATCCCCCCACCCCACAACAGGCCCTGGTGTGTGATGTTGCCCTTTCTGTGTCCATGTGTTCTCATTGTTCAATTCCCACCTATGAGTGACAACATGAGGTGTTTGGTTTTTTGTCCTTGCGATAGTTTGCTGAGAATGATGGTTTCCCGCTTCATCCATGTCCCTACAAAGGACATGAACTCATCATTTTTATGGCTGCATAGTATTCCATGGTGTATATGTGCCACATTTTCTTAATCCAGTCTATCATTGTTGGACATTTGGGTTGGTTCCAAGTCTTTACCATTGTGAATAGTGCTGCAATAAACATATGTGTGCATGTGTCTTTATAGCAGCATGATTTGTAATCCTTTGGGTATATACCCAGTAATGGGATGGCTGGGTCAAATGGTATTTCTAGTTCTAGATCCCTGAGGAATCGCCACACTGTCTTCCACAATGGTTGAACTAGTTTGCAGTCCCACCAACAGTGTAAAAGTGTTCCTATTTCTCCACATCCTCTCCAGCACCTGTCGTTCCCTGACTTTTTAATGATCGCCATTCTAACTGGTGTGAGATGGTATCTCATTGTGGTTTTGATTTGCATTTCTCTGATGGCCAGTGATGGTGAGCATTTTTTCATGTGTCTTTTGGCTGCATAAATGTCTTCTTTTGAGAAGTGTCTGTTCATATCCTTTGCCCACTTGTTGATGGGGTTGTTTGTTTTTTTCTTGTAAATTTGTTTGAGTTCATTGTAGATTCTGGATATTAGCCCTTTGTCAGATGAGTAGATTGCAAAAATGTTCTCCCATTCCGTAGGTTGCCTGTTCACTCTGGTGGTAGTTTCTTTTGCTGTGCAGAAGCTCTTTAGTTTAATTAGATCCCATTTGTCAATTTTGGCTTTAGTTGCCATTGCTTTTGGTGTTTTAGTCATGAAGTCCTTGCCCATGCCTATGTCCTGAATGGTAATGCCTAGGTTTTCTTCTAGGGTTTTTATGGTTTTACGTCCAACATTTAAGTCTTTAATCCATCTTGAATTAATTTTTGTGTAAGGTGTAAGGAAGGGATCCAGTTTCAGCTTTCTACATATGGCTAGCCAGTTTTCCCAGCACCATTTATTAAATAGGGAATCCTTTCCCCATTGCTTGTTTTTCTCAGGTTTGTCAAAGATCAGATAGTTGTAGATATGTGGCATTATTTCTGAGGGGTCTGTTCTGTTCCATTGGTCTATATCTCTGTTTTGGTACCAGTACCATGCTGTTTTGGTTACTGTAGCCTTGTAGTATAGTTTGAAGTCAGGTAGCATGATGCCTCCAGCGTTGTTCTTTTGGCTTAGGATTGACTTGGCAATGTGTGCTCTTTTTCAGTTCCATATGAACTTTAAAGTAGTTTTTTCCAATTCTGTGAAGAAAGTCATTGGTAGCTTGATGGGGATGGCATTGAATCTATAAATTACCTTGGGCAGTATGGCCATTTTCACAATATTGATTCTTCCTACGCATGAGCATGGAATGTTCTTCCATTTGTTTGTATCCTCTTTTATTTCATTGAGCAGTGGTTTGTAGTTCTCCTTGAAGAGGTCCTTCATATCCCTTGTAAGTTGGATTCCTAGGTATTTTATTCTCTTTGAAGCAATTGTGAATGGGAGTTCACTCATGATTTGGCTCTCTGTTTGTCTGTTATTGGTGTATAGGAATGCTTGTGATTTTTTCACATTGATTTTGTATCCTGAGACTTTGCTGAAGTTGCTTATCAGCTTAAGGAGATTTTGGGCTGAGACGATGGGGTTTTCTAAATATACAATCATGTCATCTGCAAACAGGGACAATTTGACTTCCTCTTTTCCTGATTGAATACCCTTTATTTCTTTCTCTTGCCTGATTGCCCTGGCCAGAACTTACAACACTATGTTGAATAGCAATGGTGACAGAGGGCATCCCTGTCTTGTGCCAGGTTTCAAAGGGAATTCTTCCAGTTTTTGCCCATTCAGTATGATATTGGTTGTGGGTTTGTCATAAATAGCTCTTATTATTTTGAGATACGTCCCATCAATACCTAATTTATTGAGAGTTTTTAGCATGAAGGGCTGTTGAATTTTGTTGAAGGCCTTTTCTGCATCTATTGAGATAATCATGTGGTTTTTGTCTTTGGTTCTGTTTATATGATGGATTACATTTATTGATTTGCGTATATTGAACCAGCCTTGCATCCCAGGGATGAAGCCCACTTGATCATGGTGGATAAGCTTTTTGATGTGCTGCTGGATTCAGTTTGGCAGTATTTTATTGAGGATTTTTGCATCGATGTTCATCAGGGATATTGGTCTAAAATTCTCTTTTTTTGTTGTGTCTCTGCCAGGCTTTGGTATGAGGATGATGCTGGCCTCATAAAATGAGTTAGGGAGGATTCCCTCTTTTTCTGTTGATTGGAATAGTTTCAGAAGGAATGGTACCAGCTCCTCCTTGTACCTCTGGTAGAATTCAGCTGTGAATCCGTCTGGTCCCGGACTTTTTTTGGTTGGTAAGCTATTATTTGTCTCAATTTCAGAGCCTGTTATTGGTCTATTCAGAGATTCTACTTCTTCCTGGTTTAGCCTTGGGAGGGTGTGTGTGTTGAGGAATTTATCCATTTCTTCCAGGTTTTCTAGTTTATTTGCATAGAGGTGTTTATAGTATTCTCTGATGGTAGTTTGTATTTCTGTGGGATCGGTGGTGATATCCCCTTTATCATTTTTTATTGCGTCTATTTGATTCTTGTCTCTACATTTAATTATCTTAGTATTCTTGTTGTAATTCAATTGGCCATAGATGTTTGGGTTTATTTCTGGAATCTCATTTCTAGTCCATTGGGCTATATATCTACTTTTATGCCAGTACCACACTGTTTTGATTACTGTAGCTTTGTGGTAAATTTTGAATTTAGGGAAGTGTGAGTACTCCAACTTTATTTTTCTTTTTCAGTATTGCTCAGTGTATTTAGAGTCCCTTGCAGTTCCTTATGAATTTGTGGATCAACTTGGATTTGCCACAGGATTCTTAGATTGACACTAAAAGCACAAGCAACAAAAGAAAAAATAGATAAATTGGACTTCATAAAAATTAAAAACTTTTGTGCATCAAAAGACATTATCGAGAATGTGAAAAGCCAATGTACAGAATGGGAAAAAATATTTGCAAATCACATATCTGCTAAGGGTTTAATATTCAGCATATATAAACAACTCTCACAACTCAATAACAAAAAGACAACACAATTTTTAAAAATGCACAAGGAATTTAAATAGACATTTCCCCAAAGAAGATATGCAAATGGTCAATAAGCACATGAAAGGATATTCAACATCTTTGGTAATGAAGGAAATGCAAATCAAAACCACAATAAGCTACCACTTTATACCCACTAGGATGGCTTTAATTTAAAATGAAAACAAAACAAAATGGGAATTAAGCATTGGTGAAGATATGGAGAAATAGAAACATTTGTATATTGCTGGTGGGAATGTAAAATGATGTGGCCACTGTGGAAAATAATTTGGCAGTTCCTCAAAAAGTTAAACATAGAGTTATCATATGACCTAGCAATTGCACTCATACATATATGCCCAAGAGAAATGAGAACATATGTCCACACAGAAACTTGTGCATGAAGATTTATAGCAGCATTATTTATAGTAGCCAAAAGGTAGAAAAAACCCAAATGCCCATCAATGGAGAAATGGATAAATAAATTGTGATACGTACATTCAATGGAATATCATTCAGCAGTAAATAAGAACAAAGTACTGATACGTGCTAAAACTTAGATAAACCTCAAAAACAGTATGCTAAATAAAGGAAGCCAGGCACAAAAGGCCACATATTTTATGATCCCTTTTACATGATATATCTGGAAAAGGCAAGTCCGTAGAGACAGAAAGCAGGTCGATGGTTGTCAGGGGATGAGAGAAGAGGAGAATGGGCAGTGATTACTTAATGGCTATGGGGTGTGTTTCTGGGGTGATGAAAAAGTTTTGAAATTAGTGAAAAGTGGTGGTTGCATCACTTTGGGAATATCACTAAATGCCACTGAATTGTGTACTTTATAATGGCTAAGTTTATATTATGTGAATTTTATACCAACTTTAAAATAAGATTAAAAAATACAATTCAGAGAAAAAAATTATCCATGGTGTCCCTGTCTCTACATAGTATGAATAAATACATTATTTATAAGTGTATTAAATTGTAACTACTTTACAATTCAAATTCAACGGAAGACTAGTGTACCATGTATCATAGAATCAAGAGGGCCAGAATACACCTGCATCAAAGGAGGTCAAGATAAGAATGCACATCTTTATTATTGAAACAATCTTCCCTAAAACAGGACTCAAAAGCATAAACACTGAGGTCAATATGAATATATAATAAATCTCATTTTTTAAGTGGGCAGTGAGATATAAATGTGTGTGTATGTTTGTGTGTGTGCATGCTAATCGGTATTGGGGTTACAGAGCTGAAGAAAGCATAAAATGAGGAAAATTAGTAAATTAATCATCATTCTCACACTCCCTTTGTCATGATCTCAAAATATCAATATCAATAATGAAGAACACTGGAAGCCAGTGTTTGCTATGGGCTTTCTCAGAGCTTTGTATGAACAATAACCAGGGAAATATCTCTAAGAGCTCTCAGTACCAATTATGACATCTGGAGTGTATGCAATCAGGAGATTCCCGGAGAGAAACTGGCATCTCTAAAGAAGGTGCAAGCGTTCCTCTTTGGTATAAAAGGTTCTCTTTCTTTGGGAGTAATTTCATGCGAAACTATTTGGATATTTTTGACAAATTAGTGCAAATTGGATTAATTCAACCCATTAGCTACAAAAGGAGAATGTGATGGTAAAACTTTATTTTCATTATATATAGCTAATAGCAATAGCTAGTATTTATTGAGTGACTACTCTTTGTTCAGAACTATTCTCAGTGTTTTACCTCTATCATCTCATTATCCTCACAACAACTCTCTAAGGAAACAGAAACATGAGGACAAAATGGCTTGCTCATGACCCACAGCCAGGAAGTGGCAGAGCTGGGATCCATGCCCAGGCAGTCCAGGTCCCAAGCCCACACTCTCACAACAGTGGCGGCTTCTATAACACATAGGCATTAAAATACACAATCTGATTAATATGCATATTGTGTTTTTACCTCTACATGTTCATTTTAAAGATGAAAATCAAAGATGTAATAAAGATGTAAAAAGGAAATATTAGGAAATTCTAGATTTCTTACATGTATATATACCTAAACATACACACATACCAAGTGAAATAATCACTTTGTATAATGTCTTCAAGATTCATCCGTGTTGTTGCATATTGCAAGATTTCCTGTTTTTTATTTTATTTATTTTATTTTTGAGACAGGGTTTTGTCATGTTGCCCAGGCTGGTCTTGAACTCCTGGGCTCAAGCAATCCAGCCACTTCGGCCTCTCAAAGTGCTGGGATTACAGGTGTGAGCCATCATGTCTGGCCCATGGGGTGTCTAAAATAGTCAAACTCATGGAATCAGAGAGTAGAATGGTACTGGGGCTGAGGGGAAGAGAAATGGTGGGGAATTGCTATTCCATAGGTATAAAGTCATAGGTATGCAAGATGAATAAGTTCTAGAGAACGGCTGCATAAAATTGTGCCTGTAGTTAACAATATGGTACTGTACCCTTACAAATTTGTTCAGACGGTAGAACTCACATTAAGCGCTCTTACCACAATAAAATAAAAATTAGGAAAAAAAACAGTTTCGCTATTAGTGTTTTTTTAATTAAAATTTTCCCTTAATTATATTCTGTTTTAAATGAATTTATCTTTTTGTTTTCACAAGTGTATTTAAATTATATGTCATTTAAATTATGGATTCAATTTCAGTAAATATACTTTAATATGCTAACAGCTCACATCAAGACAGGAATCTTTACATAAGCAATTAGCTTTGGCAATAAAGTGATAAATAGAAACACAATTCTTGACTTTACTGATGGATATTCTCTTAGAAGACATCAGTCTGGATTCTTCAGCATCAGCAATAATGAAGCATGACATTCATAATATGCTTATTTAGGTAGGCAGATAATACATAGAAATTCTGTTTAATAATAGAATTTGTCTGGGCATGGTAGCACATACCAAGGCAAGATGATTGCTTGAGCCTGGGAGTTTGAGACCAGTCTGGGAAACATAGTGAGACACTATCTCTACAAAAAAGATTTTTTTAATTAGCTGGGCGTGATGGCATGCCTGTAGTCCCAGCTACTCAGGAGGCTGAGGTAGGAGGATCACTTGAACCCAGGAGTTCAAGGCTGCAGTGAGCTATGATCACACCACTGCACTCCAGTATCAGTGACAGAGCAAAACGCTTTCTCTTAAAAATATTAATAATAATAGTAAGAGAATATGGCAGCAATTGGTAAAAACAAAATGCAGTATATATAATGTTTCCTAATTCAACATAACAACAAGGGGTTAAATGATGTGGATTTGTAGCTTCCTGTTTTGTCCAATTATCTTTAAGCCATCTACTCCAGCAACAAGATGTCAGATTTCATTCCACATTCATCAAATATTCATGTGGCATCCACTGTTCTTCCAGGGTAAACACTGTATTTCTTTAAATGCCTTCCAAGACTCCCAGTTCTGCTTGGGCAACACAGAAAGTTTAACACATTTTATTTTACACATTGTATGTAACTTTTAGTCAGTATATAAGTTACCTAGATTCAGTCAACATTAATTCAACAAATATTTATCAAATACCTGCCATGTGCTAGGCATTGTTCCAGGCACTGAGATTATAACATAAATGAAACAAAATACTTCTAATCACAGAGTTTACATTTTTGGTGGAGAAGGCAGACAATGATTAAACAGATAGACATATACATACACAAATATATATACTACATGTGTATTCAAATATATACATTATATGTATATACAAATATATATACCACATGTATGTATACCTAAACACACACACATCCAATGGAGAGGAGAGAAGTGCTATGAAGAAAAAATTGCAGGGTAAGGCACACAGAGAGTGATAGGAGTGTGGGTGTTATTTTATATACGGTGTCAGGAAGGCCTGGCTGATGCAATGACATTGGAGCAGAGACTAAAGGAGTTGAAGGAGCCAGCCCGAGGGCATCTGAAGGAAGAACGCTGGCAGAAAGATCAGCAAGTGCAAAGACCTTGAGGTGGCATGAACAGGTTTGGCATGCACAAAGAAGGTGTTAGAACAGGGAGGTTTGAGTGCTGTTTGGAAATATATCAGGGACTGACCATGTAGAGCCTCACAGGCCCTTTTAAGTTCCTTGGGTTTCACTCTGTGAGATGGGATACGTTATGCAGAGGAGAGGCTTCTGGTTATAGCAGGATGACTCTGACTGTAGTGAAGAAAATAGACACTGGTTAAAGGGTGAGGGGTAGGGGAAGGCAGAGTCAGGGAAGTGAGTTTAGAAGACTATTGCAGTAATCCAGGCAAGAGATGATGCTGTGATCTGGACTTGAGTGGTCGCTGTTGAGGTGGTATAAAGTAGTCAAATCCTGGACAGATTTCAAATCTGGATCCAAAGGCATTTGCCAATATGGAGAGTAAGAGAAAGATCAGTCAAAGATGACTCCAGGCCGGGCGCGGTGGCTTATGCCTGTAATCCCAGCACTTTGAGACGCTGAGGCAGGCAGTTCAAGAGGTCAGGAGATCGAAACCATCCCGGCCAACATGGTGAAAACCCGTCTCTACTAAAAATACAAAAATTAGCTGGGCATGGTGGCACATGCCTGTAGTCTCAGCTACTAAGGAGGCTGAGTCAGGAGAATAGCTTGAACCCAGGAGGCAGAGGTTGCAGTGAGCTGAGATCATGCCATTGCACTCTGCACTCCAGCCTGGGTGACAGAGCAATACTCCGTCTCAAAAAAAAAAAAAAAAAAAAAAAAAAAAAAGATGACTCCAGAGTTTTTGGCATGAGCAACTAAAAAGGGAGGTATCATTAGCTTAGGTGAGAAAGACTATGAAACACATAGAAGGAGAAACTTAAGAGTTTGATTTTAGGCATGTCTCGTATGAGATGCTTTTAAACATCTGATATGGTTTGGATCTGTGTCACCACCCAAATCTCATGTTGAAATGTAATCCCCAGTGCTGGAGGTGGGGCCTGGTAGCAGGCGGTTGGATCACGGGGGCGGTTTCTAATGGTTTAGCACCATCCCACTAGTGCTGTTCACATGATAAGAGTTTTCAAGAGATCTAGGCATTCTAAAGTGTGCGGCACCTCCCCATCTCTCTCTTCCTCCTGCTCCTGCCATGTAAGATGCCTGCTCCAGCTTTGCCTTCCACCATGAGTAAAAGCTCCCTGAGGCTACCCCAGGAGTAGATGCTGCCATGCTTCCTGTACAACCTGAGAAACTGTGGGCCAATTAAACCTCTGTTCTTTAGAAATTACCCAGTCTCAGATGTTTCTTTAAGCAGTGTGAGAACAGATAATACAAAATCCAAATGGAAATGTTCAGTGAGCAGGTGAAGATGAGTCTGGAGTTTAGGATAGAAGCTAGGGGAGATATAAACTTGAGAGCTGTGAAGGTGTGTAAAGCCACAGGACAGATGCCTTGTAGCTGTCCACACTTAGAAATCAGGAAGATAAGGAGGAATCAAACCAGGAGACTGAGAAGCAGCAGCCAATTTGGAAGGGGAAGAAGCAAAAGACTCATGTTCTAGAAGCCAAATGGGGAAATTATCTCCAAAGGACAGAGTGATCAACAGTGTTAAGTGGTCAGATCAAATAAGGTAAGGACTGAGGGATGATCCCATGTAAGATGTTTAAATGGATGTCTGGTTTCAGTTTCTAACCAGCGAGAAAATCTGATGAAGATAGATAGTGGCTACAAAATAAGGAAGTGGGGAGTGATCAGGAAATGAAAACTATAAAGAAAAAGGCCACTTGGGAACTATGGGCAACTCTTTTCCAGCAGGGTGGATTGGAAGCAGAGGAGAACAGGATGGAAAATGTTTATTTTCATAGTTCAGTGGTGAATCCAGAATTTTTCTACAGGAAGAACCTGGGTCAACATTCTGATTGGCAGAAGAGAGGTGGGCAACTAGTCTTGGAAATGCATTTTATATTAGATTAAGAAAATGCTATTGTCCTTATCAAAGAATTGGAGAAAGGAAAGATTAAAAACTCTTCCAAGCATCCCCTTGGAGCCACCATTGCCCAGACTTGAGGGCTGCCACATATGGATGTTAGCCTTGCACAGAGCTGCCTAATAAGGGAAAGTGGGGTCTGAAATCCATCCCATGCTCTGCTCACCAAACCATGCCCTAAACCTCCCAGGTATGCCTTTTCCTAATTTGCATATATACCAGCCGTACGCTGCATTGATGCAATAAAAACTGTTTTTTTCATCCCAATGGGCACAAACTGTATTTATCTATTAAATTCTTGTATTAATGAAGAGAACTGCCAGCACTCAACTCTCTAACTGAAAATTATTCAGAATCTGTAAAGTGTTTTTTAAAGGTGAGCTATTCTTACTTTCATGTCCATATCCTCACAAGGCATTTATTAGTGTTAAAACTTTCAAAGTCATTTGACTCTTACTATTAAAACATGTCTACTATTGAGAAAACAAAGCCATGAATTAAATCTGACTTCAATAAATTTTCACATGCCTTCCTTGAACCAAGCAATTGATACTTGCTTATGTCTCAACTCTGCAGCCCTTGTCTGAAAATCTTGATTTGTAGCTCACTAAGGTCAGTATGTTCCTATTATTGTGGCTTTGTTGGCTCCCTCTGGTGGATAAATTATGGGAACCTTAATTTTAAGTGCTCTTTAACAAAAAGCTTCAGCATTTTTTGTTTTTTAATTTTTAATTTTTTTATTTCAGTAGGTCTTTGGGGGAACAAGTGGTGTTTGGTTACATGAAAAGTTATTTAGTGGTGATTTCTGAGATTTTGGTGCACCCAGCACCCCAGCCGTGTACACTGTACCCAATGTGTAGTCTTTCTCCCAAGTCCGCAAAGTCCAACATATCATATGAAGATTTGTATCTTCATAGCTTAGCTCCCACATATGAGTGAGAACATAGGATGTTTGTTTTTCCACTCCTGAGTTACTTCACTTAGAATAATATTCTCCAATTCCATACAGGTTGCTGCAAATGCCATTATTTCTTTTTATGACTGAGTAAATGGTATATATATACATATACCACACTTTCTTTAGCCACTCATTGACTGATGGGCATTTGGGCTGGTTTCATATTTTTGCAATTGCAAATTGTGCTGCTATAAACATGCGTGTGCAAGTATTATCTTTGTATAATGACTTCTTTTCCTCTGGGTAGATACGTAGTAGTGGGATTGCTGGATCAAATGGTAGATCTACTTTTAGCTCTTTAAGGAAACTCCACACTGTTTTCCACAGTGGCTGTACTAGTTTACATTCCCAGTTCCCAGCAGTGTAAAAGTTTTCCTTTTCACCACATCCATGCCAGCATCTATTATTTTTTTATTTTTTGATTACGGCCATACTTGCAGGAGCGAGGTGGTATTGCATTGCGGTTTTGATTTCCATTTCCCTGATAATTAGTGATATTGAGCATTTTTCCATATGCTTGTTGGCCATTTGTATATCTTCTTTTGAGAATAGTCTATTCATGTCCTTAGCCCACTTTTTGATGGGATTGTTTGTTTTTTTCTTGCTGATTTGTTTGAGTTATTTGTCAATTCTGGATATTAGTCCTTTGTCAGATGTATTTTTGCGAATATTTTCTCCCACTCTAAGGATTGTCTGTTAACTCTTCTGCTTATTTCTTTAGCTATGCAGAAGCTTTTTAGTTTAATTAAGTTCCATCTATTTGTTTTTGTTTTTGTTGCATTTGCTTTTGGGTTCTTGGTCATGAAGTCTTTGCCTAAGCAAATGTCTAATAGGGTTTTTCCAATGTTATCATCTAGAATCTTTATGGTTTCAGGTCTTAGATTTAAGTCTTTGAGCCACCTTGAGTCGATTTTTGTATAAGGTGAGAGACAAGGATCCAGTTTCATTCTCCGACATGTGGCCTGCCAATTATCCCAGCACGATTTGTTGAATAGGGTGTCCTTTTCCCAATTTATGTTTTTGCTTGCTTTGTCAAAGATCAGCTGGCTGTAAGTATTTGGGTTTATTTCTGGGTTCTCTATTCTGTTCCTCTGGTCTATGTGCGTATTTTTATACCAATACGATGCTGTTTTGGTGACTGTGGCCTTATAGTATAGTTTGAAGTTGGGTAATGTGATGCCTTCAGATTTGTTGTTTTTGCTTAGTCTTGCTTTGGCTATGTGGGCTCTTTTTGGTTCCATATGAATTTTAGGATTGTTTTTTCTGGTTCTGCAAAAGCTTCAACTTTTTGAAGCCTTGAGGGCTTTGCTGTTCAAAGTGCATACAGATTTCCTGTGATTATAAGCTAAGTAGATACAGGACATTTTTGGGAGCAGTAGGTTGGGAGATGCCAAGGAAGGGATAGCCAGGGTGGCAGTGACAGTCTTGTAGACATGTGTCAGATGGAATCACTCTTGATAGGCAAAAGGCTTTAAAAAATGTTTAACTGGGTATAACATACATACAATAAAGTGTGCAAATTATAAGAGTACAGATACGTAATATGTATCCAACACCCAGATCAAAACCATTTCCAGAACTTCAGGGTAAGAATTTTTTTAGTTGGTTTTGCTTATTAGCATTCAGGTCAATTTTGAAGCAGAAAAAACAACTTGTAATTACAGGATTGCAGCCAGTAGTGTACCCAAATGAACTGTGAGGAATAATTTGTTAAATGCATTGAGGTGAAAAAATGTTGGGCACAGAGGTCGACTCGAAGGTGGCACACAGAAATTATTATCCTACACTCTGAGGTGAAAATTACTCATTTTTGTCCCTTGCTTGGTTGTGTTCATCAATTTGCTCTTTTTTGAACAATTTTCCAATTCTATTCCCTTTCTTCAGTTCAAAACACTGAGTGTTGTATGCTCAGGACTGTGGATTCAGAGAGGAATAAGTTGTGGTCCCTGCTCCTCAAGAACTGATAGACCAGTTAGGTTTAAAGCAAAAATAGGAGATGGGTGACTGTAATCCAATGTGTTAAGTGTGTCAGTAAGAAGAGCTAACATGATAGAGCATGTCCTGTGTGCTAAGCTTTCTTCTCAGCATGTTCCCTGCATCTTCCCATTTAAAACTCATTACTGGTGAGGAAGCAGAAGCACGAGGAGTCTGGTGATGTCCCCAAGGACTACGTGGCTGGTGAGTGTGGCTGCCAGGACTTGGCTCACGCATATCCACTTCTCAAGTGTGGCGTTGGAGGCACCTGCTGGCAGGGAGATCTTTGAATATCTTGTCCTTTGAGCTGCCCAACAAGCAGCAATGCTCAACACTACAGAAAAAAAAAACATGCCAAACAGCTTCTTTCCCTGATACAGTCCTAGTCCAGCCCCAAACTTGCCATTTCACAGATTCAAACAAAAGCTGGCTGCATCCTTGTAAAAATTCAAAGGCATGTTTTATTTTCATATGGAATACAGCAAAGTGTTGGATTACTCCAGAGTGAACGCTTGACTATTCATTGTTATAGCATGGATTTCTCCAAATCATAGGTAATCAACATAATTAGTTGTCAAGCATTTCAAACAAAACATTTGTTTTGTTTGAAACAGGGTCTCGCTATGTTATCCAAGCTGCCCTTTACCTCCTGGGATCAAGCCCCAGCCTCCCAAGTAGCTAGGACTACAGCCATGTGCCACTATGTCTGGCTATGTGTCAAGCATGTTTTTAAAAATAATTTCTATTTAAATTGCTTGTTGAATTGTCCACTAATAAGTGATTTTTTTTTTCAGTATTGAAAGCACAGTAGAAAGAATTATTGTAACCTTAGAGAGCTCCATATAGTTCAAAACAGATCAGTTTGATGGTGCAGGATTTTGAAATCCCACCTGAGAGTGGTGTTTGCATCTTCCTCCTATCAGAATTTGCTAAAGCAGGCAAAGACTGAAGACAAAGACAGCAGAGCCTTCCCACATAATCACAGAGTCCTCGCTCTTCGAACAGAGGTAAATTCTGTTCATCAGCAACACTGTGATGGCTTCACACTTAACACTCCTTAGAGGACAAGGGCCAAATTTAACATAAACTAAATTTTGTTTATCACAGGTTAGATGCAGGTGGGAACAGGAAAATCATAACAAGGTCTAGTAGTAGTTTTGATGGTGCTGATGTAGGAAGTGATTTTCAACTTCTTCAAGCCATCCTATACAACATCAAGGTTTGCTGTGAAAATGATGTTTGTGTAATCATTAGAAGAGAGAATAAAGGTGGAAACATTTGAGTTCCAACATTTATCATGGCTGCCCACTTCCAAGACTAGACCACAGGCCTCAGGAGCAGAGTCACATTGTGAGCAGTGATTGAGTTTCACCAATGAATGTTATCAGATTGAGCTTTACTGGGGCTCCAGTTCTTTGTGTCTAATTCATAATTTTGTTATGGTCTCCTAGGTGTATAAGAATTGTAAACACAAGCATTTATATATTTGTATGTTTAAACATATGTTTAAAACAAGATAATAAAAGACTTTAGCATTAGAAGTCCACGGGAGGTTTGTTTTCTCCCTAACAGTGTAGGGGGGGGGGTCTGCCTATAACTCATTTGAGAAATGCTGTACTGTAAAGCGTGGGCCTACAGAGGGAGACAAACACAGGCCTTGCTTTTCAGGAGCTCACATTGACAGAATTCACCACAGTGGACACAAGTGAAGAAATTATAAATGAACTTTTTTGAAGTCATGCCACTATATTTATTGCTGTTTTGTTTTTTTGTTTTGTTTTCTTTTGTTTTAACTCTCTGGCACCTTTAAAAGTTGCTGCTCAGCAAATAACTTTTTTCTGTGTTGCCTATTGGGATCTCCCCCTAAACATCCTCGTTGATTTTTTTTTCAATTTGCATACAGTAAAGTTCACTCTTTGTAGACTACTGTTCTATGGGGTTTGAAAATGCATAGAGCCATGTATCCACCTGCCCAAGTAATGTATAGAACCGTTTCATCATGCTAAAAATTACTTCTCATCCAGTCCCTTTGTAGAAAACCTCTCCCGTTTCCCTCAACCCTGCTAACCACTGAACCACTGACCTGTTTTCTATCCCTATAGTTGTGCCTTTTACACGATGTCATAAAAATGAAATCATATAATATGTAGCCTTTTGGGTCTGGCTTGTTTCACTTACAGAATGCATTTAAGATCCGTGTTGTTGTGTAAATCGATAATGCATTCATTTTTATTGTTGAGCAATAGCCTACTGTACGGATATATCACAGTTCCTTATTCCATTACCTACTGAAGGACATTGCAGCTGTTTCTCGTTTGGAATGACTGTGAATAAAGTTGTTATACACATTTTTATATGAATTTTTGTATGAACATTAGTTTTCAACTCATTTGGATAAATGCCTTGGATTGGGATTTCTGGATCATGTGGTAAGTATATGTTTAACTTTATAAGAAATTTCCAAATTGTCCTCCAACCTGGTTGTGCTATTTAGTATGCTCAACAGCAATGAATGAGAGTTCCTGTTGCTTTGCATCTCACCATACTGCCACGTTTTTCTCTATTCCAGAAATTCTGATAGGTGTGTAGTGCTATCACATTATGGTTTTCATTTACATTTTTCTGATAACAAATGATGCTGAACACCTCTTTTATATTTATTTGCTATTGATATCTTCTTAAAGAAATATCTGTTCAGATATTTTGCCCGTTTGTAAGATTGGGTTGTTTCTTATTACTGAGTTTTAACATGTCATTATATAGAGAGAGACATATTATATATACACTCTGGAAACGAGTCTTTGTCAGATATGTGATTTGCAATTTTTTCCCCAGTCTGTGCCTTGCCTCTGTGCCAGTCTTTTTATTTTCTCAACTGCATCTTTGGCAAAGCAAAGATTTAAATTTTGATAAAGTCAAATTTATCAGTTTTTTTCTTTTATGGATTGTGCTTTTATTGTTGTATCTAACAACCCATTGCCAAACCCAAGATCACACAAATTTTCTATGTTTTCTTTTAGACATTTTATAGTTTTATGTTTTGCATTTAGGTTTATTATCCATTTTTAGTTAATTTTTGTTTAAGGTACAGGGAGATTCATTTTTTGCAAATGGACTATTCTGGCATCATTTTCTGAAAAACTATCCTATGTCCATTGCATTGTCTTGGCACCTTTGTTAAAAATCAGCTGACAATATTTCTGTAGATCTATTTATGAATTCTCTTTTCTGTTCCATTGCTCCATGTGTCTGTCCTTTAGCTTATTCAATACTGTCTTGATTAGTATAGGTTTTGAATAAGTCTTGAAATCCTAGCATGAATCCTCCAACTTTTTTTTTTCTTTTTCAGCATTGCTTTGGCTATTCTAGGTCCTTTGCCTTTCTATATAAGTTTAAAAATTAGCTTGTCATCATCTATAAAAAGCTTACTGGATTTTGATTGGGATTTCATGGAATCTACAGATCAAACTGGGGAGAACTGGCCTCTTAATAATATTAATGCTTCCAAATCATGAACACAGTGTATCTGTCAATGTGTTTAGATTTTTCTTTAATACCTTTCATCAGTGTCATTTTCAACATATAGACCATGCACATGTTTTAATAGACTTATACCTAAGTACTTAACTTTTTCAGTGCAATTGTAAATGATCTTGTTTCTTAATATCAAATGACAACTATTCATTTCTGGAATATAGGAATATGATTGGTTTTTGTATATTGACCTTTTTAAATGTACTTATGAGTTCTCGGAGTGTTTTGTATATTTTTGGAATTGTCTACATTGATAACCATGTCATCTTCAATTAAAGACAGGCTTATCTTTTTCCTTTCAAAGCTGTATGCTATTTATTTGTTTTTCTTGGCTTATTTCACTGGCTATGACTTCCAGTCTGGTGTTGATTGGGGATAGTCAGAGAGGACATCCTCGCTTTATTCCCAGTTTTGGAGGGTAAAACATTCAGTATTTTACTCTTAAGTATGATGCTAGTTGTAGGTATTTCATAGCTTTCCTATATAAAGTTAAAGAAGTTCTCTTCTATTCCTAGTTTTCTGAGACTTTTGTCATGAATGGATGTTGAATTTCATTGATTTTGTTTTTGTTTCTATTGAGATGAATGTATATAATATAATGAATTACATTGATTGATTTTTTAAATGTAAGCCTGATTTTCTTTCCTGGGATCTGCTATAAACCCCAATTGGTTATATACTATTCTTTTAATATATTGCAATGTTTGATTTGCTAATATTTTGTTGAGCATTTTTTGCATTTATTTTCATGACGTATCTTGGGCTATAGTTTTCTTTTCTTGCAATGTGCAAGCTGGTTTGAGTCTTAGGGTAATGCTTACCTCACCAGATGAATTCATAAATGTTCTATATTCTGGAAGATATTATGTAGAATTGGGATTATTTCTTGCTTAAGTGTTTTGTAGATTTTATCAGCGAAACCATCTAGGCTAGGAGTTTCCTTTTTAGAAGTTTCAAAACTATAGTTTCAATTTCTTAATAAATATTGGAGTATTCAGGTTAGGTATCTTTCTTAAGTGAGTTGTGGTAGTTTGGCTCTTTAAAATAATTGTTTCATTTTATCTAAATTGTTGAACTTATGGATATAGTGTTGTCTGTACTATTCTCTTATATTTTTAATGTCTGTGAGATCAGTAGTGATGTCCTTTGTTGCATTCCTGATGTTGAGAAATTGTGTCTTCACTCTCTTTTTCTTGGCCAGCTTAACCAGTGACTTATCAAATTTATGACTTTATCTAAGAATCAGTGTATTAGTCCATTTGAATTGCTATAAAGGAATACATGAGGCTGGGTAATTTCTAAAGAAAAGAGATTATTTGGCTCACTATTCTGCAGGCTGTACAAGCATGGCACCAGCATCTGCTTGGCTTCTGGTGAGGAAGTTTTTACTCATGGTGGAAGGTGAAGGTGGAGCACACATGTCACTTAGAGCAGGAGCAAAAAAGAGAGGGAGGAGGAAATGCCAGGCTCCTTTCTAAACAACAAGATCTCATGTGAACTCATTACTGTGGGGAGGGCACCAAGCTATTCATGAGGTATCTGCCCCTATGACCCAACCACCTCCCACCAAGCCCCACCTTCAACACTGGGAATCACATTTTAACATGAGATTTGAAGGGGACAAACATCCAAACTATATCAATCAGCTTTTGGTTTCATTGATTTTATGTATTGTTTTCCTATTTTCAATTTCATTTATTTATGTTCTATATTATTTCCTTTCATCTGGTCACTCTGATGATATTTCTAGGCCTAGCACTCTGGGCCTGTGGTGGGCATGGCGGCCTCTAAAGATCTCCAAAATGCCTTCGGGGCCATTCTCTTGTTGTCTTGATGAATAGCACCTGGATTCCTTCTATCCCTACTAATTTCCTTATCAAATGGTCACTTGGCCACACCCATGATTTTCTTTCCTAAACATGTTTTCTTATTCTTTACGTGGCAGACTGAGATTTTCTGAATGTTTATGTTCTGCTTTTCCTTTAATTGTAAATTCCATCTTTAAATTGTTTCTCTCTTCTCACATTTTACTATAAGCAATTAAGAGAAGCCACTTAGCATCCTAAAATACTTCTCAGCTTCGAGATTTCTTCTGCCAAATATCCTAGTTCATCACATTTAAGTTCTGCCTTTTCCATAAAATCCTAGGACATGAACATAATTCAGCTAAGTTCTTTGCTACTTTGTAACATGGGTGGCCTTTCCTCCAGTTTCCAATGTTTGTTCCTCATTTTCATCTACAACCTCATCAGAATGTCCTTCACTGTCCATACTTCTACCAGCATTCCGTTCATGACCACTTGAGTAATCTCTAAGAAGACTGGGGCTTTTCCTACACCTCTGTTCTTCTTCAGAGCTCTCACCAGAATCACCCTCAATGCTCTTAATGTATTCTCACGGCAATATAGGCTTTTTCCAGCATTCACTCCAAAACTGTTTCAGCCTCTACCCATCACCCAGTTACAAAGTTGCTTCCACATTTGTAGGTATTTATTACAGCAACACCTCACTCCTCTCGTACCAATTTCTGTCATAGTCTGTTTTAGACTACTATAACAAAATACCACAGACTAGACAATTTATTTTAAAGAAACAGACATTTATTTCTCACAGTTCTAGAGGTTGGCAAGTCCAAGATCAAGGTGCTAGCATCTGGTGAGCCAGATGCTAGCTAGAGCTCCTTGCTGCATCCTCACATGGCAGGAGGTGGAAGGGAGCAAACCTACTCCTGCAAGCCCTTTTTATAGCAGCATTTATCCTTTCACAAGGGCAGAGCCCTCATAATCTAAACACCTCCCATTAAGACCCATCTCTAAGACATTGTTGCATTAGGGATTGAGTTTTTAACACATGAATCTGAGGGGGATACATTCAGAACATAAGAATGTCTGTCAGTAATTAGAAAATTGCCAGCAATTATTTCTTAAACATTTCTTCTACCCATTCTTTCTTCTCATTCTGGGATTTCAAATTATGTATATGTTAGACTGTCTAATATTGTCCCATAGCTCTTGGAGATTTTGTCCTATTTTTTTCCACTCTGTTCTCCTTCTGTTTCAGTTTGAGTAAATTTTATTGACCTATATTCCACTTCATTAATTATTTCCTTGACTATATCAAGTCTACTGGTAAGCCCATGAAAGACAGTCTTCATATCTTCTACTGTGTTTTTGATGTCTAGCATTTTTAGTTGATTCTTTCTTGTTGTTTCTATCTCTCTGTTGAACTTATCTATCTGATCTTGCATGTTGTCCACCTTTTCCATTAGTCTTTAACATATTTGTCATAGTTATTTAAAATTCCCTGTCTGATAAATCCAACATGTTTATGAGGCTGGTTCTGTTGATTACTTTGGGAAACACAGTTTTCCATACTGTGTTTTTTCTTGCCTTTTTGTGTACCATGGGATTTTTTGATGAATGGTAAATATGTTATACAGGGCAGTAGATACTATGTAAATATTTTTATGCTTGGAACTGAGCATGCCTTTCCTTCTGCTAGACTTTTAATGTGGGAATTTGTGTTAATTTAGTCCAGAGTTGGACTGGAAGTTTGTTATTGCTATGGTTACCCTCAGGGGTCCAGAAGCTTTAAACTCCCCTAGTGATATATTGTTTCTGTCTCTTCTCTTGGTTTTGAGTCTCCCCTTTGCACTATCCTCCGGAGAGAGTCTGTAAGTAGTTCTCCAAACTATATTCTGATGCAACTCTTGTTAGCATGGTGGCAGAGAGAGGGAGAGGGGCGACCTCTTATATTCTTACGAAGCATCAGTCTTAGCAGAAACTGAAAACCTGGGTCTCAGTGGCTCCTGCAACTTTTCCAGCTGTAGTGCTGGCCTAGCAAATATTCCTGCCCTGCCCCCAAAGTGAAGCTTCTTTTCCCTCGTATTCTCCTCTCCTAGCTGCAGTCAGTTTCCAGTGGTACAGTTTTGACCAACTTCCCTTTGCAGATTAAAGCTTTGTTGGGTAGGGAAGATGAAGGGAATGTATCAGGGTGGTGTTTGGGCAGTGGCTGCTATTCCCCTTCTCCAGCCAGCATCTTGGAGGACATTTTCTGAGGCTTCTCCTTGATCTACCCTGTGAGCTCCTATTGTTCTTGGAGGGAAAAACTGTAAGACAGTGTGAACCCTCTGTGTCTGCAGCCCCTGGGACTTCACACTCTCATGCTAGTGTTACCGGAAACTGGTCCTGATCCACACCCTGAGAAAGGGTTCTTGGATCTTGTGCAAGAAAGAATTTAGGGCAAGTCCATACAGTAAAGTGAAAGCAGTTTATTAAGAAAGTAGAGGCATAAAAGAATGGCTACTCCATAGACAGAGCAGCCCCGAGGGCTGCTGGTTGCCCATTTTTATGGTTCTTGATGATATGCTAAACAAGAGGTGGGTTATTCATGCCTCCCCTTTTTAGACAATATAGGGTAACTTCCTGAGGTTGTCATGGCATTTGTAAACTGTCATGGTGCTGGTGAAAGTGTGTCAGTGAGGACAACCAGAGGTTACTCTTCGTGGCCATCTTGGTTTTGGTGGGTTTTAGCCGGCTTCTTTACTGCAATCTGTTTTATCAGCAAAGTCTTTATGATCCGTATCTTGTGCAGACCTCCTATCTCATCCTGTGACTTAGAATGCCTAACCATCTGGGAACACAGCCCAGTAGGTCTCAGCCTTATTTTACCCAGCCCCTTGGAGTTGCTCCGGTTCAAATGCCTCTGATACTAGCTCACACTTGGCCTTTAGCAATTCTTTAAACATTTCTAGCATAAGCTTCTTACCAGTTTTTTATGCATTTGGCAGTATCTGTTCTAGGTAAGTGTATGCTTGAATACTGTTTCTCCCTGCAGGCCCTTGTCTTTCTCTTGGTTTTAAGAAAGTTATTTGCCTATAACATAAGTTCTCTCATAGGTTCAAAAAAGTTGTTAATTTTGTAGTTTAGTTTTTTTTTTCTCATTGTTAGAATGGGAGAAGTACTTTTCTAACCTCTTAAATCTCCGAGCTTTAACAAGAACCATTATTTATTTTAGAATTTTAAATTTCTCCAGCATTAACTTGATCTTGAAAGTTTTAGAGAATTTTTGCAACAGCCCCAAACCATCTTTCTGTGTATATTTGGAAATTAGAACTGAGAATCACTAGTAAAGATGGTATAAAAATGAGAAAAAAATGAAATTTGGGGTCACTAAATTGTATTTTTTTTTCTTTTCTGTATGTTTCTCTCACTCAAACTTGGAGCTGGCTGTGTTTCATATGGGCTCAAGGAAATTATTTGGTAGCACAGAAAGCAGAAATAACTCCACGAAGTTCTGGGTTTTGGGCCAGGCACAGTGGCTCATGCCTGTAATCCCAGCACTTTGAGAGGCCAAGGTTGGCGGATCACCTGATGTCAGGAGTGTGAGACCAGCCTGACCAACATGGAGAAACCCCATCTCTACTAAAAATATAAAATTAGCCAGGCGTGGTGGCGCATGGCTGTAATCCCAGCTACTCAGGAGGCTGAGGCAGGATAATCACTTGAACCTGGGAGGCAGAGGTTGCAGTGAGCCAAGGTTGTGTGGTTGCACTCCAGCCTGGGCAACAAGAATGAAACTCCATCTCAAAAAAAGAGAAGTTCTGGGTTTTGTTTCCAGAAGCCTGAGCTCACAGTAGAACTTAGAGCGTTTACAATAAAGAAGAAAAAAATGGGAGCCTTGTTAGAAGAAACAAAAAGGATAACTGGAGGAATAGAAGGCTTCCTAGAGTAGAAAAAAGGTTCCTGCACCAGAAGTGGAGATGAAGGGAGGCCTTGGAATAGACAAGAAAAGATGCTGCAAGTGTAGCAGGACGAGCCACAGACAAAACCCCTCAGACACTGAGTTAAAGAAGGAAGGGCTTTTGGGTTGGTTCCAAGTCTTTGCTATTGTGAATAATGCCGCAATAAACATACGTGTGCATGTGTCTTTATAGCAGCATGATTTATAGTCATTTGGGTATATACCCAGTAATGGGATGGCTGGGTCAAATGGTATTTCTAGTTCTAGATCCCTGAGGAATCGCCACACTGACTTCCACAATGGTTGAACTAGTTTACAGTCCCACCAACAGTGTAAAAGTGTTCCTATTTCTCCACATCCTCTCCAGCACCTGTTGTTTCCTGACTTTTTAATGATTGCCATTCTAACTGGTATGAGATGATATCTCATAGTGGTTTTGATTTGCATTTCTCTGATGGCCAGTGATGATGAGCATTTTTTCATGTGTTTTTTGGCTGCATAAATGTCTTCTTTTGAGAAGTGTCTGTTCATGTCCCTCGCCCACTTTTTGATGGGGTTGTTTGTTTTTTTCTTGTAAATTTGTTTGAGTTCATTGTAGATTCTGGATATTAGCCCTTTGTCAGATGAGTAGGTTGCGAAAATTTTCTCCCATGTTTTAGGTTGCCTGTTCACTCTGATGGTAGTTTCTTTTGCTGTGCAGAAGCTCTTTAGTTTAATTAGATCCCATTTGTCAATTTTGGCTTTGGTTGCCATTGCTTTTGGTGTTTTGGACATGAAGTCCTTGCCCACGCCTATGTCCTGAATGGTAATGCCTAGGTTTTCTTCTAGGGTTTTTATGGTTTTAGGTCTAACGTTTAAATCAACTGGATTAAGAAAATGTGGCACATATACACCATGGAATACTATGCAGCCATAAAAAATGATGAGTTCATGTCCTTTGTAGGGACATGGATGAAATTGGAAACCATCATTCTCAGTAAACTATCGCAAGAACAAAAAACCAAACACCGCATATTCTCACTCATAGGTGGGAATTGAACAATGAGATCACATGGACACAGGAAGGGGAATATCACACTCTGGGGACTGTGGTGGGGAGGGGGGAGGGGGGAGGGATAGCACTGGGAGATATACCTAATGCTAGATGACGAGTTAGTGGGTGCAGCGCGCCAGCATGGCACATGCATACATATGTAACTAACCTGCACAATGTGCATATGTACCCTAAAACTTAAAGTATAATTAAAAATAATAATAATAATAATAATACAAATAAAATAAATAAAATAAAATAAAAATGCAAACAGTAGAAAAAAAAAAAAAAGAAGGAAGGGCTTTATTCAGCTGGGAGCGTCAGCAAGACTCATGTCTCAAAAACTGAGCTCCCCCAGTGAGCAATTCCTGTCTCTTTTAAGGGCTTACAACTCTAAGGGGGTCCGCAAGAGAGGGTCGTGATCGATTGAGCAAGCAGTAGGTACGTGACTGGGGGCTGCATGCACCGGTAATCAGAACGGAACAGAACAGGACAGGGATTTTCACAATGCTTTTCCATACAATGTCTGAAATCTATAGATAACACAAGCAATTAGGTCAGGGGTTGATTTTTAACTACCAGGCCCAGGACACGGTGCTGTGCTATCTGCCTGTAGATTCCATTTCTGCCTTTTAGTTTTTACTTCTTCTTTGTTTGGAGGCAGAAATTGGGCATAAGACAATATGAGGGGTGGTCTCCTCCCTAACAAGAACCCATAGAGAAAGAGCTGCATGCAGTATCTAGGCAAACAACACCCCTAAGCCATCTTACAAGAGAGTCCCCTGTCTTAGGTGTGGCTTGGAAGCATCAAAATGTCAGCAGTCCTGAAAAGCCCTTAAGATCATGGACAACGGAAGTGTTCGTGGAAACCTGTGGAACAGACGAAAACAACGAGTCTCCATAGACACCTTCACACTGCAGAATATGCTGGGCACTGACATGACCTTGAGAAGGGAGGGGAGGCTCCGACAATGACTCAGATTATATTTTCTCATGAGCCTGGAGAGATTAGTCAAATTTAATTGATTTCTAGAAAATAAAGAGATTTAGTATTGCTTGCATACCTTAATTTGTAGACTGAGAATCATACCTGCTACAAAAGTAATCCATTCCCAGGCACCTAGTTATCATAGTTTCATTGAAAATATTTTATATTTTAGTAACTGAAGAATTTTTCCACTCCAATGCATCTGAGGGATTCAGCATGCCCTCAATTGTAATGATTCCTTCTGGGGTGCAGTGGGGTGGTCAGGGCAGCAAGGGAAAGGCACTTTGAATAAATCCCCAGGTGATTCTGAAAAGGACTCCCTCCACACACTCACTCCCTTTTTCCACCCCTTCTCTGAGAATCTGTGTTCACCTCTTTTGGTCTACGTGTATGTTTTTCAATTAGGACACTAAAACAAAGACACAGTTTGACTCTTGTAAGCAAGAGGTGTGTTCTTACAAAGGTGCACATAAAGCAAATATATCTATATGCAAACATGTAATGCTATATACATAGATTGAAATAATTGCTGTTAATGGCATTACAGACAACTAAAGAATGGGTATGTTTGTGAATCTGTGGCTAAGAGAGAAAAATCCCTAGATTTCCTTCTAGGAAGTCGTTATTGACTTGGGAAACTGTCCCCGATCTGACCCAGCCTCCCACTGAGGTTGTAAGAAGGATCAAGTGAAACACACATAAGCATCTGAATGAAAATGTCCCCAGAGTGAACAATTGAGAGAATTACCACTATCCTCCCATTCACATCTGTTGACTGAGGCCCTGGAGCTGGCATACTGATGAGAGATGCTTGACATTATCATAACAGAGTTGTGTGACTTTTGTTGGTGTTTCTGCCAATGAGGCCTCATTGGGGGATGGCACATTATATGTTACATTTTCTAGAGCTTCTGTCTGGTGCCAGTGTGAAGAAACACAGCTAGAGACCTGGTGATGGGACTTATTTTCTTATTTCTGGAAATGTTTCACCACCGAAAAAGCCACTGCAACCTGCTATCTTAATGCTACAGTACATGTTGGGCCTATTTCTCTTGTCTAATAAAATCATATGATAGCACATCTTCTCTCCCCTGGGTGGAAAAAAGGCCTGAGGCAGGGATCCCTTGGAAATTGCAGTAAAAAGCAAGAACCAGGTAAAAGTAGAGACTTCGAAAAATCTGGGTTAAAGCGTTCAAAGAGCAAGCTGAGAGTGGTAGGTTATCCCTTGTGATTTTTCAGTGGAACACAGAACACATACCCTGGTTCCACTAGACAGTGCAGGGGTCACAGGAGGCCACTGCAGAAAGTCCTGGGAGTTGCCCAAAGGCTCAGCTACTTGGACCTACTAATAGAATAAATCACTGGGAACAGAAATATCCTGTCAAGAAATTGGATGAGATGTGTTTTTCAGAGTTTGCTTTTAGTATAGCACACTGGTTAAGAATTCAAGCTCTACAGTTAAAACCAAATTTGAACCCCAATTCTACCACTTAACTAAATTGGGTGATCTCCAGTCACTTACTAAAATATAAACAGGGAATAGGATTATACCCATCTGAAAGGGTTGTGGTGAGAATTAGATTAGGTAATGTATATTCAGTGCAGAGCCTAAAGAATCACACAATAAATGTTAGATACTGTTAGGCATACCCGTTCCTTTGAAAATACCTAAGCTACTGTCTACTACTTTGTACTGTTACTCAGAGGTCACTTTAGAATGAACCTCCTTGAAAAGGAATGTCTTTGACACACAGGGGAAGAGTGGAGATTTGCATTTTTATTATTTCACTCACTGAAGAGAGAGAATATGGAGTTCTTTACAGGGAACTTGTTAGGATCAAAAAACCAAGTTCTTTAAGTGGGAGTCCTAACATATAGGGACACTAAATTGCCCCTAGTCCTCAGATCCTTGATAGAAACTGTGACCCAATGTTAGATTCTTTTGGGTTCAAGGGACACAGACCCAAATTTGGTGGTTGGGGGTTATTGTAAGAATGAACAGGAAAGTGAGAAAATGGAAAGGAACATTCAGCAACCACACAACCACACCTTGTGGAGAACTTGGTGGGGGGGTGGAGTTCACAGCTGTTCGGGCTCTCAGATCCCAGTGGCACCCCTGGCCCTGGACATCTCATTGCCTTCTGAGGCCAACTTCTCATTGCTCCCCACGCTAGTGTCTCCACTTAGCACCTCGCTAGCTGCTCTGCCAACTTCCACATCTGCCTCTCTTGCTTCCCTCTCCCCTTAAGATTTATATGCAAAAGAGAGAATCTGCCTGGGATATTTTGCTATTTTCCATAAGAATTCATGAGAATTCTTACTCATGAAAGCATTGGAATCCCAAAAGAACACAAAGAATGAGATCTGGGCTGGGTGGCCAAGATGTAGCTCCCAGTATACTCCATCGCGACTGGCCACTCTGCCCTCAACCCTCAACCCAGCTGAATACGACATATCTCTGGAGACCCAGTGGGCACAAGCTGAGCGATTGGCCATAAGGGCCTGGCCTAAACAGGAATACCTGCTTCAGTACAACAACCCTAACCGCCAAGGGCTCATCCAAAATACTGCCTTGATTTGTTGGACCTATGCAAGATCAGCAAGTGTCTATCCCAATTTTAGACCCGCTCCCAAAAACCCTCTCTTGGGAGCTCTCTGTGGAATTGGGCCCCTCTTCTTCTAGTATTATGTTTTCAAAACTGACAGGGATAGAAAAGAAAAACTTATCCAGGAAGGAAAATTGGGCTGAACATTTAACATCTCATGTCAAGTCTGGCAATGGCAATGATGACCATATGCATTCTTTTTTTTTTTTTTTTTAAACAGGGTCTCAGTCTGTCACCCAGGCTGGAGTACAGTGGCGCAGTCTCTGCACCTCCTGGTTCAAGAAATTCTCCCATCTCAGCCTCCAAGGTAGCCAGGACTACAGGCGAGTGCCACCACACCCGGCTAATTTTTTGTATTTTTAGTAAAGACAGGGTTTTGCCATGTTGGCCAGGCTGGTCTGGAATTCCTGACCTCAAGTGAGCCACCCGCCTCAGCCTCCCAAAGTGCTGGGATTACAGGCATGAGCCACCGCACCTAGCCGACTGTATGTATTCTTGCTTAAATAAATATTCTCTTAATCATTTAAAAAAAAAACAGGACTGAATTCTTTCATGAAACGATGGCTTTTTTGCTTTTACTCTTGGCTTTACATTGCGTATTAGCAAGAGGGTCTTGAATTTAGTGGCTGCCTCCACCGGGATACTAGCTTAGGCTCTTAGGTCCGAGACCTCTATCTCTTAGGTGCAGATGGAAGATTTGCAATAAAAGATATCAATTTTCTGCCATTATTACTCTCCACACTTGTTCATATGCTAAGTTTAAAATCTATATTTCCGCCGGGCACAGTCGTTCATGCCTGTAATCCCAGCACTTTGGGAGGCTAAGGCAGGCACATCACCTGAGGTCAGGAGTTCGAGACCAGCCTGACCAATGTGATGAAACCCCATCTCTATTAAAAGTACAAAAATTAGCTGGGTGTGGTGACACGGGCCTATGATCCCAGTTCCTCAGGAGGCTGAGACAGGAGAATCGAGAATCGCTAGAACCCGGGAAGCAGAGGTTGCAGTGAGCTAGATCGCGCCATTGCACTCCAGCCTGGGCAACAAGAACAAAACTCCGTTTCAAAAAACAAATCCGTATTTCCAGTCTGATAACTTTTTGCTTACAGGATAAACTTCAGGTTAGTGACTTTTAGTTTATTTGTTCGGTGGAAGTACAATGTATGGCAAATGCATTGAATAACATCAGGATTCCCTGGCATGAAAAGGTGGAGGACTGACTTAGCGAGAGTTTCCCTAAAGTACCTCTCACATGGGCTTTCCAGCTGGAAAAGAGAAACAGAACCTAAATGACCATCATTTATGATGTCACTTTTACTCAGTTAACATGTAAAATGTCATCTCAATTTTACAGAAAATTCATATGAAGGCTGATGTGACCTTCAAATTAATTTCTGTCTTGATAGGTCTATAGGTTGTAAAATTCCTAGATGGTATAATGGCCAGAATGTTGAGTTTTTCTTAAAAATTCAGCAAAAAGGCATTCTCTTCTTGTTGTAGCAACAATTACAAGGTTATGACATGTGACAACAAAAATACCTAGATTTAAGGATAATTTTACTTCAAACTACCAATTAAATATATAATTATGTGGACAAGGCACTATGGCTCATGCCTGTAATCCCAGGACTTTAGCAGCCAAGTGAGGCAGAAGGATCACTTGAGGTCAGGAGCTTGAGACCAGCTTGTGCAACATGCCAAGACCCCAGCTCTACAAAAATATATTTTTTTAATTAGCCAGGCATGGTGGTGCACACCTATAGTCCTATCTACTCAAGACTGAGGTAGGAGAATTACTTGAGCCCAGGAGTTCGAGGTTACAGTGAGCTATAACGGCACCACTGCACTCCAGTCTTGGCAGCAGAGCTAGACCTGTCTCAAAAATAAATTAATTAATTAATTAAATAAATATATAACTATGTAATCACATATGTAAATCTTGGCCTCCTTGTACTTTCAGTGCCCCCAGTTCAAATGCAAAGGGTATTTTTAGTTCCTGTTTTTCCTTTTTATCAAGCTTGATCAGTGAACGAGAAAGTCTTATCAATCATCTACTTGTTGGAAAGCATAGAGCTTTTGAACCACACAGCTCATTTCAAAATTAGAAATGCCTCCACTGAGGGGCCCATGTCAAGACCTTCCAGAGGCAGTTGTCACTAGATCTTAGGTCTGACATGTGTCTTTGGGTAAAAGCAGCTAAGAAATGTTTCTGGAGATGGTATGGGTGGAGAAAGCAATAGAAGTCGTATTTCTAATTTTTAACAAGTAAATCCCAATTCATATTTGCCAGAAAGCAATATAACTATTTCTCGCTAAAAGTGTTTGTTCTAAAATGTTTGCAAAACAAAATTATTTTTAAAGTACGGCATACTTTCCCATTGACACATTCTAAAGATGCATCCTCAAGGAAAATTTTTAGGTGGCAGAAAAATATTTTCTTACTATTCATAATAATCACTGACATTTACTGAGGGCTAACTACTTGCCAGGCATTGTTCAAAGATCTTTACACAATTCTTTCATTTTATTTCTCACAATGATCCTACTAGGTATTATCTCAATTTCCCAGGTAAGAAATGTAAGACCAAAAGAGTTTAAGTAAGCAGCCCAAAGTCTTATGGTTGGGGTAAAGAAAAGATTAACTCAAGCAGTCTGACCCCAAGGCACCCCTGTTCCCCACACCACTGTGCTGATATCAACACACATCCAGGCTTACCAGGAGGAAGAGGGCATGTTCCTGGTCTGCCAAGCACTGAGATAAAAATACACTGTAAGTTGGATCATGGGGTGTGGGGTCCTCATCTCCACCCTTGATAACATCCTAAGAATTCATCTAGGATGAATTCTGTTTTTCTTGGCTTTAAACTCATTCATTGTAGATGACTGGATAATGCTAATTGCATGACATAGATTCACTCAACATAAGGGGTTATGAGTTAATGTACTCCCTCCCTAGGGGTATTTACAGCATTGGTAGTTGAATATTAGTTTATGTTAATTGAATGAAGATACTACAGTTTCACAAGTGCTACTGAGAAACAATTGGAGAAATCAGACAAGTGAAGGTTAAAAAAAATCTTTTTTTATTATTTTTAAGAGATAGGGGTCTGTTGCCCAGGCTAGAGTGTAGTGGCACAATCATAGCTCACTGCAGCCTTGAGCTCCTGGGCTCAAGTGGTCCTCCCACTTCAGCCTCCCAAGTAGTTAGTAGTTAGGACTGCAGGTGTGCACTACCATGCCTGGCTAAAAACCTGTTTTATTAAGGATAAGTTAGATTGAGGAGTAGGAGTTAACTGTGGCACAGGCAGACTCTCTAATGTTTTTCCCTAGGTCTAACACTTGGTACATCTCACTCAAGGAAGGGTTGGCTCCTCAGAGCACACACACAGAGCAAAACAGCTGCATCATCTGCATCTGCTATGTCTCTACACTGGAACAAAGTGAGAGCTAGGATTTGAGACCTGGCCCTGGAAGCAGAGCTGGCTCCTAACCCCATCATGACTGCCACCCACAAGACAGGAGGTGGGCAAAACACACCCACCCTCGGGGGGAGATCCGAAGAAGAAGGGACAGGAAGAGCAGAGTTTCCCATGAGCCTGGAGAAACTCCCCACTTCACCAGGCAGCTAAATCATGACTAGTCCCTCAGGGAAAAGTGAACAGGGCTGAGAGGGGCTAAAGCTACTTTTCCCAATGCTTTCAAAAGAATGAAAACTCCTATCATATTGTCCAAAGCAGGAATGCACGAGGGAGAAGGAAGGTTCCCAACAATGCAAGAAATTATGTCAAATGCTCTATGCCTACTGGTTGCTGCTTTACAGACACATTGCACATAGAGCGAAAGTTCCTGAAGGGTTTATTGTTCTTCAGAATTTATTTAAGATTTGACCAGAACCTTGTAAAAAAGGATATACCAATCCCACTGGCAACAGGCAGCTGGTAATGCACCCATAACGTCCTAAGAAGAGTGCTATCCAGGAGAGAAACTTGTGACTTCCCCCGGATGAGAAGCAGCAGAAGCCTATTTGAAATAAGGAAGCATCATCTTTAAAGAGCCTTTAATTAATATTGTATCACTTCCAGCCCTGTAGGAATTCAACAATGGAGCAACCCAACCAAGTACAACTGGTTGAAGATCAATCAGATTTGGATTTTCATGTGACAAAGATTTTTTTAAAATATAAAGCATAAGAATTTACAATAATCTCCTTCACCATATTTTAGGGAAGATTATTGTTTCAGTGGCTCAGTTCCTATGCCTTTGGATGCCTTTGGTGTGCTGGTCAGAGAAATGGGTAGAAAAGATAAAGTATGGGGAGAAAGTAAAGAGAGGTTTACTTGATCTACATGGGAAAGGGCATAGAGCCACCTAAGGAGGCAATGAAAACATTTAGAACTTGGCAAGGATAGCAAGACAGAGGGAAGGAGGGAGTGTCAAGAGAGGCAACCTAGGCTGGAGATTTTGAAAGAGAGAAGAGAAATTTCAGTAGCTGCCATGAGCTGTGGGGTTTGGGGGAGACAGGAATGGAAAAGTGGATTTGTTGCAAGTTTGAATAGGCACTTCAGAGTAACTCTCTTTTACTCCTGTTCAAGGAAAGCTTCAATATATTAATCATTCTTCAAGAATTTGGAATGGTATTTGTTTTTCTCTTGCATATGTTATCATGAGGTAATAGGCTTTAAGGAATGGCAAAGAAGCCCAGATTTATTTGGATATATCTATTTGAATCTTTCTAGAGTGAGTTATTCTGTGGGTACTGTGCTTGTCCACAAAGTATAAAGTGGTGATTGTAAAAGGATGTGCCTGGGAGGTGGCCAGAGTACAGGATGTGACAATGCCTCAGCAACAGAGTGGTGACAAGGCTATGTTAGAAGGGGGCCCAGCAGAAGCCAGAGACCTGAGTGCAGCCACTTCTCCAGCACACTTCCCATCACCTATCAGTGACTCCTCTGACAGAGACTCATGGTTGGTCTTCAGCACATTGTCTTTGGGTCTTCCATTCTGCAGGATGTTTGCCAGAGAATGGCCAGCTGTGAGGTGAGGCTCCACCTGCTGGGCACAGGGTCATGGAAAGTCACTGCTCTAGAATTAAAAGTGCATCACTTCAGGATCAGCACTGGTGCTGCGTGACTCTTCACCTACTTGGCCTCAGTTTCTTCACCTGTAAAACAGCTGTCTTGGGAAGATGGTATCAATGATCCCTTTCAGCTCTTATGCTCAATGATACCTTTCCAGATACTCATTCCTTACTGTAGCTATTGCTCCCACTTTGTCTTACCCCAGGGCCCTGGCCATCTCCAACTCTTCACCCAGATGTTTATTCTACTCACATCATGGCCCTCCCAGTTAGACCTAACTGGGCGTGAGCAAAAACACTGGGGCTGTGGCTAGAGTGCCAAAGCTGCCTGCTCCTGAACTGTAAGCTCTAGACTGGCTGGGGGAAAAAAGAGGGCATCTCATCAGTGACCCAGGCACTCTGGGAACCATGTTCTGCATGCCCCTTCTCCACACACACAGAACAAGACAGTAGAGCCTGTCTCTGGAGCTCAGACAGCTTGCATAGCAGGAGGAAGCAGCTTTGCTTTTCTCCAGACACTTCTCAGAGCCACTGAAACAGCAACTGGATAAATATAGGAGGATGACGCATCAACTCTCAGTGAATGTGAGTGCATGAGCGTGCGTGCACAGACAAGCCGGCAAGCTGCAGGCTGCCACGTGGCTCTCAACCTCCAAGAATCGACACACGGGCTCCCAGAGCCAGAAAATCTTAGCAAAACTTGGTGTCATCAAAGAATCTTGGCAGGAGGGTGATCTGAGGCCATGAGCGCAGTCATGTCCTTGGCTCCTTGGAGCATTCACGGAGGTCATCCTCTGCTCGGCCCTGGCTATATATAGTCCTGCTTTCTCCAGTGTGCATACAGTCTTTCTGAATGAAACACCAGAAATCCTCCCAGGCTCTGTGAAAGCATCAACTGAGTGGCATTTGAAGGTCCTAGAAAATGAGTGGAGGAAACAGAGCAGGTGTTTTGCTCATTGTGAAAGGCAAACGCTGACTTGGAAGGTTTTGAGGTAGGGAATATGGGCCAATCTCAGCACTGCCAATTTTTAATTACTAGCACAATTAGCAGCCTGGCCTAACAACAAGCCTATTTTGTAAAGCTCTGTTTAAGAACCAGCAAATTGTGGCAATAGCACTAAACAGATGAATAGCACATTCATCATATCCCACTCTCTGAAAGCAATGATCTGCCTGCACAGTCCTGAACTTATCACAGCCTCTACCACCAGCAAATACCTGACATCCTCTTCTTAGCCCTGACTAAATTGGCATAAGAGTAAGAATCATGTCTCCATAAAGGCCGTCTTCCTGTGGTTGATCAATCACATTAAGTGAACTATATTAAATCAATGCAATATACATCAACATTAGCTTCTTGGGATAAAATAAAATAGAATCTCCCTGTCCTCTTATTATCATCTCTTGTCATGACCACTATTTGAAATAATTTTGAAATATTTAATGTAAAGGCATACAATCCCTAATGATTGTGAAATAGCATCTCCTTGGAGATAGGATTTCTGTGAGAGACCCAGTATCCATGAGTGTCCATCCGGCCTTGATAGAACTCATATGTGGTTGAATCTGCTACTTAGATCAAACCTAAGAAACTCAGACAGGCCAAGATTGCTCCTCTGGGATGTGCAAGATCCCTGAGGAACAAGAGGGGCTCATAAACAACAATAGAGGATCTTTGTAAGGAAAGGGAAGCTGTAGACTTTTGTAGACCATAAGACTTCATCTCTAGGACTGAGTTAGAGAAGCAGAAACCATAGACTTTGATAAGCACCTCCTGAACTTTAACTGAGCCCCTAGCTCTTGTATTCTTGGGTCAAGACAAGTGATTGCTGATTCTTCACTGAGCTAAACTTTAGGCAATCATAGTGGAAGGAACCTCAGACTGCTCAAAGAAGATCTGGGTAACTCCCTACCTGCAGAACAACACTGATTTTAGCAGAGTATGCTCTACCAGAAGATCAGCAGAGGACTGAGTAGTGTTAATTGCAGAGTTACTGTATTAGGCTGCTGTAATAAAATACCTTAGACTGAGTAATTATAGGCAACAGAAATGTATAAGCAACAGTTCTGGAAGCTGGGAAGTCCAAGATCAAGACACCAGCAGATTTGATGTCTGGTGAGGGTCTGCTTCATAGATGGCCCCTTCTTGCTGCATCCTTGTTTGGTGGAAAAGATGAACAACGTCCCTTGGGCCTCTTGTATAAGAGCACAGACCCCATTAATCACCTCCCAAGGCCCCATCTCTTAATTGCACCATGTTGGGGACTAGGTTTCAACATATGTATTTGGGAGGACACAGACATTCAGACCACAGCAGTCACTAAGAAGAACTTGCTCCCAAATATTGCCTCACTTCATGCCTAATTCCACTATTATAAATCTATTTACTGGAGACAATCATTGCTTCTCTTTGAGAATCATCTACAAATACTGTGCAAGGGAATGTCGATCATTCCCCACCTTCTCCTACCTACAACATACTTCCTAGGGGTCCTGACCAGCTGGCTTCCACTTAAGTTAGGCCAGAGGGAAATCCTAGCAGGAATTAGAGGGCAGGGGAAAGAAAGAAGTGGTAGTATTCCAGCCCCTCTGTCTCTCTGTTTGGGGATGTCTCTGGCAGTGTCCACATTTCCCCTGTGGTCACACCAGGCCTCCAGTGTTGTCTGGGTGGTCCAGGCACATCTCCTTGATACCTCTAGTTCTTGCCATTGCTAATCTTTGCCTCTACATCTCCTGTTTGCTCTTCAGCTCTCACAACCCATTTGTAGCTGATTCCCCTATTCATTTTCTTTATTGAACTACCTGACTTGGGCTGTTTTCTTGTCTATATCCTAACTTACTCAGAGGGGTACTGATATGGTTTGACTGTGTTGCCACCCAAATCTCATCTTGAACTGTAGCTCCCCTAATTCCCACTTGTCGTGGGAAAGACCCGATGAGAGGTAATTGAATCAAGGGGTGGGTCTTTCCTGTGCTGTTCTCATGATAGTGAACACGTCTCACGAGATCTGATGGTTTTATAAAGGGGAGTTCCCCTACACAAGCTCTCTTGCCTGCCACCATGAAAGACGTGACTATGATCCTCATTCACCTTCCGCCACCATTGTGAGACCTCCCCAGCCATGTGGAACTGTGAGTCAATTAAACCTTTTTCCTTTATAAACTACCCAGCCTTAGGTATGTCTTTATTAGTAGCATGAGTACAGACTAATACAGTTAGCATATAGATGTGTTATAAGTGAGCTTAATTATTATTTTTTCTCTCCAAGACCCTATAGTAGAAGGGAAGTCCCAGGAAGCTCAAGAAAGAAGGATTTAAAAAGGGAGAAAAGGTGAATTTTCCCCAGGTCTTCTCTACCTATGAAAGGTCCCCCTGACTCTAGCGTTGTGTGGGAAAGCCATAAAGAAGCAGCTCCCTTCCACAATGCTGACTTGTTACTCTCTGGCTTTACATCATGGAATCTTTGCCCCAGCTGAAATCTGTTTGCTGGCATCCGTGATTCGTGAGCTCCCAATTGCAGACTTTTGCATACCCATCTCCTCCCCTATGACCACCTCTCCCCTACCTTCCTCTCTGTCTATATAGCTATATGGCTCTTCCTCCTTGACAAACCAACTTAAAGCCTAAAATCTGAGCACTGTTATTGTTATACAGCCTGTCAGCAAGTTATAGGTGCAATCTGAGCTTAAATCCTCCTGCATTATTTTGTTCATTTGTTTGTTGGTTTGTTCTTGCCAGAGATCTTGCAGTTTTGATTATAGGTGCTTTCCTATTTGGCCAATAGAATTTTAAGGTCCATACAGATATAAGACAATGTCTGCTATTTCTTTTGCTGCTTGTTCCTGCCCTTCCCTCTGTCCCTCCAGCTCCCAGCAATTATAACATCTAGAACTGCTCTAGTATGTCCAACAAATATTGACATGCTGCCTAAACAAACTTCCTCAGCTAGAAAGACTAGGCGTATACCTATTTGTCAAGACGGCATGCCTTCTGTAGGAGGAATGCTGGTCTGAAAACCCTCAGACCTGTTCTGTCTCTCACAGAACATCCCCAGTAGAATGCAGTCTCCAGGCACAGGGTTTGGTCAGTCATTATTTTCATTTCTCCCTGGGCCTTGTGTGCTTAAACTCTATCTGCAATGCGGTTGTTTTTCCTTCAGTACAAACCTCCTGAAGGGGATTCTTGCTGATGGCATCTGTGGCAGAGACGAGCTCATGCCTGAAGAGATAAATTATTTATGGTGAATGGTGCCCTAATGGATTGTGTGATCAATAATACTTATAATAGCACAGCAGTGGACAAATCACAGAAGGGCTAGAACACGTGTCTACATCATTCTGAGAAGATGGGGTCCACCAGATAGCAAAAGGAGAAAAGGGGTACTTATGTCAACCTCAAATCGGTTCTGGATCAGGAATAAAGGGCAGCGTTAGGTTTGTTGGTTGGTTGGTTTCTTGTTTAAAGGGACAAATCAGTTTCTAGTCATGGGGAACACTGCACCAAAATGCCCCTAATATTATCCCCTTCCCAAAGACCAGCCTTCCTGCTCTAATCTAGCTAAGAGTCTCCCCAAAGTTCTGAGCTTTCCAGCAGCTGTGCAGAGAACAGCCTGAGTTTCTCGCTGGGTACTGGTATATGGGCTGCCTGCAAGTAATGAAGACATTAGTATCTGTTGCTTAGAGTGTTAATTGCTTCACTGTAGTTCTTAGCCCCAGTTCCTAGGCAACATCCAATATCGCAACAGGCCTCTTTGTGCAGATGTATAATCCCAAGTTTAAAATTTCTCAAGACTCTGCTGTCTTTTATTTTTGTGGTTTGTTTTGTTTTGTTTTTTGGCCTGCAGGAAAGTCCTACCAGGATATCTAACTAGAATTTCAAAATCAACATGTCCAGAATCAGTGGCAATATCTCCATATCTCTCCCCGACCTCCTACCTGCTACCTCACCCTCCCACTCCCTGCAAAACAAAACAAAACAACAACAACAAAACCCTGTTTTTGCTCTTGATCTACTGTCAGCCTGTCACCAGTGTCTTGTAGTTATCCATGCCCAGCGCCATATGCTTCCCTTTCCAGGCTTAGCTGAACTATCACTCTCTTTCTGAAGTCTCCCCTTAAATCTGAAAAACATGGTGCTTAGGTTTCTCCCTAAGCACCACTCTTCACTTCTAGCTGATGTGATGGATAGTTGTATGTGTGTCATCTCTCAAATGATACAATGAACTCCGTTTAGGGTATGCAGCATGTCTTAATCAACTTTGAATGTCCCAAAGAGGCTAGCACAGCACAATAATAAACTTTCCATTAGAATTTGTTGAATAAATGATTAAATGAGCAAATCGTATGTAGGTAACGGAGGTGGCACCGGCAATGCTTGTTTTCTTTATCATCTATATCCCTAAAGTGTGCAACAGAAAATAGTGGGAAGGGACTAAGCCACATCAGAGCAATTCTAAGTGAACAGCCCTGAAACTCTGTTCCACTATACTGAGCTCCATTTCCCTATACCTGGATTTGCACAGGCGTTTCCCAAAGGAAGTAAGAGTTCCCAGTATTGTTCCCATAGCTCCAGCTGAACTGAGGAACTCAGAACTTTGAACTGAGGAACTCAGAACTTTCTATAGAAAGGACAGAGGAACCTGGGCTTTTCTAGGCTGATTTGGATGTGGAAAAGCTATGCCAGACATTCCCAAGGCACTAGATAGCTATAAAGGAAAGAGATAGATCAGGATCCTAGCCATGGGCACTGAAAAGTGTTGAGTGTCACCAGGGTCAGGGGCTTCTGTAGTCACCCCTGGGCTCCAATAACCAAGCAAGGTTGGCAGCAGGGCCACAGGGCCTGAGGTCCCATTTTCCCACTCTCATATAGGCATTGTCTCATCTTTTTGAATTGATGGGGTTGTCTTGGTAGGCCAGAGGTAGGAGATAAAGAAAGATAAAATTATTCATGGGTAACATTCATACATGCATCTAGCCAGTACCAGAACACGCAACAAATAATAATTTTTTTTCTGTAAACCCTTCAGTTGGTGCCATCCAAGATGTACTGCTGGGTGTAACTATCAAGATAAAGGCTCTTTGCATAACCCCCTAAAGAAAGCTTTTTTTTTAAGCTCTAGGTGAAGGGCAATAATAAAGTTGCAGCCAATTGTCTGGTCTAGATTTCAGGACCCACATCCCATGTAGTCCCAGCATGTGTGGCACAGCCTCTCCTTGTTAGTAGGGTCCATTGTTGTTGCAGTGAGAACTTTAATTTTGTATTTTCTCACTTGGGTGCAAGTAAATTTTTCAAACATAAAATTGAGCTAATGTCATCATTGAGCATTTCATTTACTTTTTTTTTCTTATAAAAGAAACCGCCCTTGAATATATTTGGCTGTGTGATTGCACAGTCAAATAAGGATACATTTAAATATTCAGCTGGGTAACTACGTCTACAGTCTACTTTTGTTACTGGCTTACAACACTATACGTGGATAGGAACACCTACCTTGATAATGTTCTTGATATTCACTTTGGTCTCTTCTGAATGACATAAGCCTTGCTTAGCTGATTTATTTCCTCTTCTAATCTTAGCAAATCACGTGATTATCATTGAGAATGACATCCATTCTGAAGATACCTTTCAGGATGACTTCAGGACTAGAAATAGTATCTGGCTTGTTTCTAGTACATCTTACCTAAAGTTTCATGTATGAATGGGAGAACGAAAGCCTCAGATTGTCAACTAACTCTACCAAGTCTTACAATAGTTCAGTGTTCATCCAAAAATCAAATCCATAATTCCAGATCATTTCTTCAATTCCTTCAACTCTTCTTTGAAGGTAAGAATCTCAAATCACTATATCCTCAATACTTTTTGGCAACAAGGTTCTCCTTCTCTGTATAATTTATCCCTGGGTCTGTAGTAGGTCTTCAACAATAAATCATTGTTGAGCGCAGGCAGAATGAAAAGACAAAGACCCCTTTGATTTTCTGTGGACAGGAGATGCAATGAGCTTATCTCACAGTTTTATAATCTGAAAAAAAAAGCTGACTCAAATCATTACGTGAGAAATCAAACGCATGTTCCTTGTGCTTTTGGCAATTAGGCTTCTTTTTAGAAATATAAATCCTGGCTGGGCGCTGTGGCTCATGCCTGTAATCCCAGCACCTTGGGAGGCCCAGGGAGGCCAATCACTTGAGCCCAGGAGTTTGAGACCAGCCTGGGTAACATGGCGAAACCCTGTCTATGCAAAAAATACAAAAATTAGTCCAGTGTGGTGGCATGCGCCTGTGGTCCCAGCTACTTTTGGGAGGCTAAGATGGGAGAATCACTTGAGCCTGGGAGGGCAAGGCTGCAATGAGCCAAGATTGTACCACCGTACTCCAGCCGGGGCAACAGAGCGAGAACTTGTTTCCAAAAAACAAACAAACAAACAATAAAAAGAATAATAGTTTTTAGAAAGAAACATAAATCCTCAGAAAAAGTGATTGTGTAATTCCATGGCAGGGAAACAGTGCGTGGAAAATGTAAACTTTGAGTACATGCACGTTCAGCCATGCCTCCATCTGTAACTTCACAGCTGAGACCCAGACTCTCGTCTGATTTTCTAAGCCAGGCAAGACTGATCAAGAATCCTACAAGAAGAAAGTTTTCAGAATCCTGACCTCACTCCAGCAGGTCCAGAACGTTGCTGGTGACAATGTTCTGGAAGACACCTCAGCATGAATCTCTGGAGCCAGCATCTGGTACCACTGCCATCTATGGGGTGAATACTGCAATTAAGAGCCTGACCCTCTATGGTGAATAAAAAGGTTGTGAAATTATATGTAGCAGTGAAGAGTGTGTTGGAATTAATATTTGTACATCTTATGAATATAAGTGTCAGAGGGAAGAGACTTTCAAATTTCATATACCTAATTCCCCCTAAATCCACAGAGATCAGTTGAAGACAGATCATGTTTTGTTGCTGAAAGACCCCGGAACAGAAAATCTAACACCTTACTGGTTTAGAACTTACTAGAAGTAAAACTGAAAGCACAACAGAGTTCCTTCACTTGTACATTCCGCCTCAGATACTCATCCTGCCATCCTAGGACTTCAACCATGCCTCCATCTGAAATCCTAGGTTAGCTTTCTATCACTCTCCATCCACCACTCCCATTCTTGGGTGACCACTGCCTTTCTCCTGGGACCATGAGCTGACAACCTTCGCTCCTTTGTTATAAGCTTGGCTCACTGAGGCAAAGGTCCCTTCTTTGGGCTCCCATTTTTTGAGGCATGTTAAGAAGATGGCTGCCTAAACCAACCAGCTCCTCACACTTGATCCATGGATATCAATGTCACTGCCATTGAGGAGGTGCCAGCCCTCTGTCCTGAGACTCATTGCAGAAGAAGGCTGCCTTGCATATACACACATGTTGTACTTGAAGGCAGGAAATAATATTTCATCTGAAACCACCAGGTTCATCCATTTCCTTAAAACCACTTAGACATTAAAGAGCAGATGCAGAATTCCCACCAGCACTGTTGACATTTTCTGTCTCAGAAGGATTCCCTTTCAATCAACAAAGTGAGTGCTTTCCTGGGCCTGGGCTTGGCTTGAACAATACAAGAGAGACCAAAACACTTCCCTGGCACAGACAGCCTCCATTCAAACACTCGGAAGGTTTTAGTTCCTTCTTCACCCCAAATGCCCAGCAGAGACACCCAGCTTTCTCTCCAGTGCTGTTCTGAGAATCTGCCAACTTCCAGTGATGAAGCTGGCATTCTTTAGTGCTGATGACTCACGTGCTGTCATCAGCACAGGCCAGGCACTGGGGAGTACCTGGGGGAGAAGCCTAGCTGTGACTGCTATTGCCTCAGCTTTCCTAAGAACCCTGTAAGGCTGCCCGTGAGTGTGCAGATGCAGGCTCTAGCCTTGCTGATCCATCCTCCTGAGCAGGGCAGACTGAGATCAGGAAGGGGAGCGAGGAAGTGAGGGAGGCCAGAGGGAAGCGCCATATCTCCCTGACACTCTTTATGATATGAAACAATTCTGGTTCTTTGCTAGCAAAGCTTTAATCACTGGGAGGCTTATGCAGCTAGAGAATTTTGCTCACAAATAAAGCGGGGATGATGCCATGTGCTCATCAAACCTGCGGCCTTTGTCTCCGGGACCCACAGCCAATGAGATTTCCCAGCTCCCTTCAATTAGATGAGCCATATGAGTGAGTTCTGGCCACTGAAAATGAGAAGGAACAATGTGTATTACCTCAAAGCTGGGCCTATAAGACTGTGATGTGATTTTGCACACTCTCTTACCCCCATTAGTGGGCTTAGTGTTCATACCCAGGGTGAACCTGGCAGCCATGCTTTAAAGGCAGAGGGTGGGCCACAGGTGACTGTGGAGAACAAAGGACTGTGAAGTGGGTGGAAAATAAGCATCGTTGTGCTAAGGCACTGAGACACTGGGCTATGATAGCAGCAGCCAGCCCTGCCCACCCTCACTACTACAAGCATTGCCTTCCACATTAGTCCCCAAATTGTGTGACTACTGCTCTAAATTTTTAATATTAGAAATAAAGTCTCATAAATAATAAAAAGACAAACGACGTTACAATTCTAATGGGGGAGGGGTGTACAAATGCTTTAGTTGTCTTAGAATTCGTTTGTATCCAGTACTGCTCAAAGTAAGTAAATTCCATGGGAAAGCTTTGATATCTCCAGTTGAATCACAGATTTGAGCTATAGCAACATTTGTTGATATAGACTCTGACTAGTGTTCTATTTAGCTTCTAACTTTAAGAAATTCCCACTGGCAGCTGAACAGTCCCAATTCTTTAAAAGAAAAAAATTGAAAAAAGAAAAGAATGGTAAAGTGTGAGGGTAATTCTGAACTGATTTTTCTTTCCTTATGAATTCATATGACTTCTGAGTTGGCATTTAGCACTACATTTCTGTGTATGTTTCTCACAAGCAGGGCCTATGCTTTACCACACTTTACATCCCTCACAATGGCTAGCACAGTGTTCTTCAGTTTGCTGGATTTTTAAAATGAAATCAATTGCTTGATTATTATGTATTGCATGCCTACATTAAAATTTCTCACGTAACCCATAAATATACGCACCTACTATGTACCTACAAAAAATAAAAATTTTTTTAAAAAGCTGGACATGGTGGCTCATGCCTGTAATCCCAGAGCTTTGGGAGGCTGAGGTGAGAGGATTGCCCAAGGCTAGGAGTTTGAGACCAGCCTGGGCAACATAGTGAGACCCTGTCTCCACAAAAAAATAGAAAAAATTAGCCAGGCATTTCAGTGTGTGCCTGTGGTCTCAGCTACTCAGGAGGCTGAAGTGGGAGGATCGCTTGGCCCCAGGAGGACGAGGCTGCAGTGAACCATGATCGTGCCACTGCATTCCAGCCTGGGTGACAGAGTAAAGCCCTGTCTCAGAAAATAATAATAATGAATTAATTTATTAATTAAAATTTTAAGAAATCAGTTCTTGTCCACCTTTTATCTTCCATCCCTTGGGTCATCCCTCTATTCAGTCACTTCACATTTTTGGCTTCAAGAAAAGATAACACAGCAAAAAGTTAGAGAAAAGAGGAGTCACTGATTGGCCACAGGAAGGAAGGGAGCTGGAAGAAAGAACTCAGAGGCTGGTGGGTCCCCAAGAACTCAGAGGCTGGTGGGTCCCCAAGAAACATTCCAGAGCCTCCTTTCCAGAGCTTAGCCTGGCACGGGCATGGGGAGAAATGACAGATGTCCTCCTTACCCACCTTGGTTGGTTCTGCCTGCAGAAGGAAGGAACTTGCATTCAGTTTCCCAGCTGGAGCCCAGGAAAGCAACATGATCCCACAGAATAATGGTATGCTTGTGTGCCAACTTAGTGTGAGGCACTGGTATGATCACACGAGTGGCAAAGAAATAAGAAAGGCTTTTGGACAGTCTCTTGGAGATTTCTGAGGCCCAGAATTCTGTGACAGAAACAGATAACACCTTTGTGCCCAGGAGAGTCCTGGAAGTAGCTGAGAGAGAGAGCTGGATGCGAAGAGCCCATGGTCAGGAACCAGGGACGACTCAGCAGCCACCTGGTGAACCAATAACTGAAGACCAGATGGCAAGGTGGACACCTCCGGGGAGGCCAGCATGGATGGCGAACGATCCCGAGAACCAGATGTCCCCTTCCCAATACCTGGCACTGCCTAAGCCTCCAAATGTAAATGCAACCCCAAGGAAAGGGGCTGGGGGAGGCTGGGGAGATAAGCCAAATTAATTTAGATTGAATTTCTACAACCCCAGAGGAATGGAGGCTTAAAAAGAAAGAAAGGGAAACAAAGAATTATGTTTCAGACACATCTGAATATGTGGAATGAAATTGATACCTGTGACGTGTGATCCAAGAAACGGGGGTTTCTATTAACCTTAAAGAAAAGGCAAGAAGGAAGTTAACGAGTCTTGTAATTTCAGGAACAATGGAGAGCCTCCCTCCCCCCACTGTCTCCTGCACCTCTGTGATGGTGTTTGAATTTTCACCATCATATTGTTTTTTTCCTTTGATTTAAAATTTTCCTCTGATCATACACATACTATTCAGTAATGTTCACCTTATTAGTCACTTATTCCTTGATGTATTAATAAATCAGTTTATCCTATGCTTTTTGACAGCAGGGTGCAATCAAGAAATGTTTTTCCTACACAAGGGAAGGAGGGAGAAAGAGGATGGAGAGGAAGGAAAGGTGTGGGAGGGCAGGAGAGAATGAATGAATCAAAGGACCAAATACCATGCAAAAAATGAAGAGTGGTAGCTCTGAACACAAACTTTGTCTACCTTATAATTTTGAGTAGGAGTAGCCAGAGATAAGGATAGAGCCAACTCTGTGTTATGAAAAACTACCTGCTTCTCCTCGAGGTGGCCGCCCTTCCTGGGGAGGTGCAGTGCTTTGTGTGACTCATCTCTAAGTGCTGCGTGGGCTCCGGCAGCAGATACTGACAACAGTGCCCCCCCCCCCACAGTCACCAGAATGCTCTCCTCTCCGGCATTTTCCCTCCGCGCCTCTCCAAAGACCTTGCAAACGGCAGCAAATTCATGAAGCCCAAGAGTACACCTGCAAGGCAGGTGCCAATTCAATCAATTAAGCACCAGTAAACATTATTTCATGGGAGAAATGGTGCTGCTAACTTAGGGCAGAAAATGTGATTCAGAGAAGTCCCAGGGCTTGTGAAATTAGGGCTTTCTGTTGAGGAGTTAAATCAGCCTTTTGTGCGATGAGGCTGCAGCAGGGACAGAGCATATAAAGCAGGTGTTTGCTCTTACATGAATCTGAAAAGTTAAGCCAGGAGAGAAATAGGTAAATAAAAGCGAATGTAAGACCTAAATCCCACAGCAAGGGCAGTGACAGGAGGAGAGTCACTCAGCAGCCACAGAAAGATACTGTTAAGATGGAAGAAAACAACGCCCAGTCTTTTGTGTTCAGGGATAGTGAATTATTAGGTTTTTTTTTTTCTTGTCGTGACCTTGTGATATTGAGTAGCCTCTCTTCAGACAATCAGTGTTGACATCAGCTACATGCTCAGATCAATAGACATTTCAGGGGATGTCGAGAAACTGTGTTCTCAGAGGCAAGGCAGGCAGCCTGCATACCTCGTTCACCCGCCATGTCACCCGGTTTACCAGGAGATTAGGATGTGGAAATGGGTCAGTGTCCTTCAATGGCATCAGCGAGAGAGGCTTTTCCACTGCACTTTTCAGGGATGAGTCAGTCTGTGGGTTATTTTCCACTAACCCAGGCACGTGGCCATTCATTAAATCTGGAAATAAATCATGCACGGCGCCCCTGGGGAACTGTATTTGTTTTGCACGGTTCTTATTCAGCACATCCAGCTAGAAAAGACAGCCGCTCCACCCTTAGTAGTTCTGAAAACATAAACTGTGGCTTATTTTCAGGCTTTCTGCCTTCAGAAATTTTGCCCATTGCTGGTTTGGAGTTTCCTAACAGCATCTCTCACGAAGAACATGCTCATTAAATCCATTTTGGATTTGATCCTTGTGAATATTAATGCCAGTGGGGGCTGTGAAGACCCCTCTGTGATGCGCCTGTCACAACCAGATAATGATTCACACCTAGGCATGTGGATCGACCCTGCCACAACGTGCCTGGAGCAGTGAGTCTGAAATCTTCATTCTCATAACAATCATCCAGGGAACTTTTAAAAAATGCAGATTCCTGGGCCTGGTTCCCACAGATTCTGAGTAAATAGGTCTGTGACAGGGACCCAGGCACCTGCAGCTTTATAAGCTCCAGGTGATTTTCTTTTTTTTTTTCTTTCTTTCTTTTTTTTTTTTTTTTTGAGACGGAGTCTCGCTCTGTCGCCCAGGCTGGAGTGCAGTGGAGCGATCTTGGCTCACTGCAAGCTCCGCCTCCCGGGTTCACGCCATTCTCCTGCCTCAGCCTCCCCAGCAGCTGGGACTACAGGCGCCCGCCACCGCGCCCGGCTAATTTTTTTTGTATTTTTAGTAGAGACGGGGTTTCATCGTGGTCTCGATCTCCTGACCTCGTGATCCGCCCACCTCGGCCTCCCAAAGTGCTGGGATTACAGGCGTGAGCCACCGCGCCCTTCGCTCCAGGTGATTTTCATGCAGGTGGTCTTGTGACGCTACTTAAGAAACTGTCCTGAGCCGGAGCCCAGCCAGCAGGCGGGGCCACGCCGTCTCACTTCTCTCCTTGCTGTTCTTTCTGTCTTTCAGCCCTTGCCCCCAGGAGCTATCCTGCCTGGATTTATTCTGTTACTCCATTGTCAGATCCCACTTGGCCAGCCCAACTCTAACAATTGGCTTCTAGAAAGCACGCCCCTGTGTGGCTCCAACCTCCACATGGCCAAGTATGGCAGAGGTCACATTCACATGGAGTGGTGGGGTGTGCTGATGGGCCTTCTGAGATTTTTTTTTTAACCCATGGTCCAGGCAACCATGGTTCCTTTTCTGTTATTTTACCCCTTACCTATAGACCAAAGATATCAGATGTAAGCTCCTACAAACTCCCACCAAGTGTAAACCTGAAAGGGAGGGATCCCCATCATTATATCATAAGCATTTTCTTCAAGAAGGAAGGAAATATACTACTAAAATCTCCCAATTATCTACACTAATGAAGAAAACCATGACACAGATAATCCAATTATTTTTTACTTTGAAATTAATTGCATGGTTACTTGACAGAAGATATGCTTCCTAACTGTGCTTTATTTAACTGGTGTGTGGCTATTTCCTAAGCTGTATACCAGCTGATTGCTGGTATGGGGTTTAATTTCAAATTTATTATGATAACTACACTTATGCACAATGTGTAAAGCCTCAAATCACAGGGTCCAGACATTTGGACACAGAAAACCTTGGAGAAGAAATAGTTATAAGAGCCAGGGCATGGACAAGTAGCTACTTTTAGCTGTTTCCAGGTCAGCAGAAAGGGAAGCAAATGTGATGTCATCAGGTCTGTACCTCTCCATGACAGTGTCATCAACATTTCAGCTTATGGTGGATTGGGCGGCACGGTTTATGTGGTCCTTTCTAACCTTGAAATCCCATGAACCTAGAACTTGAAACATAGTGGCCAGATGTGGGCCTAGAGAGGAGCATAATCCTTAATGGTCTCCACTAGCCCAAGAAACAGAGCACGGGTCACTAAAATTTTCTGCTGTCAATATTTGGACTCATTTCCTCCAAGTCTTTGAATAGGAGAATTTAGTTGGTTGGTCAGCTGGGTACAATTGTTTGTACCCACAAAAACTCTCTAGGGCCCATTTTTTCCTGACAATGAATTGGGTATTTAGATAGAGAATTGCATTCATGCATGTAGGGGACTTTCAGGCTTAGGCACACCCTGAAGCAATAATGTCTTAAATCAGGAATCACTTAATTTCCACAGTGGCATCCGGTACTTCCATGGGAAGTAAGCTGAGAATTATTATGCAGGTTACTGTCCCCTCCTCAATATCTTTCCTTGGTAGTGACACTACCTTATTCTGCTTCCACACATTCCTGTCCATCATTGGAGAGACTCACTGGAAGTTGAAGGGAAATGGCATTCCAAGTGAGTGATGTGGGCTGACATACCTGGGATGTCCCTGAGGCTGCCACTCTCAGCATGCCTCGGTACTTTGGATGCCATGGTAGTTACCACACCTGCCAGTGTTGGGTTTAGGCCCTGGTTACAAGTGTCTCTGTATTTTGTTTTTTAATGTGTTTTGGACCCAAAGGCCCTTCTTTAACTTCTTTCCATCTTAGCAAAGGAGTAAAAAAGTTATGGCTGAATGGGGAAAGCTAAGTTAAAAGTTGGCTTCTGGGAACCCTCACCCTAAGCTTTTGCTGCCTGGACAACTTCCCCTTACTTTCTGAAGAGCCCCCAGTCACTGGCTCTGCTTTACTCTCCCCTTGATGGCTGCCTCCATGAATCCTATACATGGGGGTGTTCCATCACCATAGTGGCCATGGAAGTGGATCACTCAGATCTCCTTTTAAGGGGATCTGCTGGGAGGCAATGGCTGATTGACAGCCCTCAGCTGCTGCACCTTTGGATACACTGTGGGGTTCTCTGGAGAGCTTCCAGCCAATGACAGGGAATGGTAGGTGTACTGGACCTATCCATTCCTGCCTGGCGTGGAATTCTCTACTCAGCAACTATGGCTTTGGGTCTTCCCATTGGCCTGGCCAAGACTTACCTAAAACTGCACTGTGGTCCATTGCAATCCTTCCTTTCTTCCTATCCAATCCTTCTTTCCCTCTCTTCTTAGTAGGTGTCAGACCGGCATTTCCATCTCAAGACTCTCTGACAACTCCTGCTCCTCTCTTATTCTTTTAGTTTACCTCAACAAATAGCTTACACCTCCAATCCTGTCTTGGCGTGCCCTGCTCAGAAGACACAAGACACACCAGGAGTGACGTGAGGAAACAGGCAGTAAAGATAAGCCTTTGCGACTGGGTTACTCAGACCCTCCCTGACAAGGAGGAGCCCATCTTGAGTGGTATGTGGGGTATGGTTATTCCCTGGCACCTAGTGGCAGCCCAGTTGTTTAAGATTTCATGTGAGAAAACATTCTGTTGGGGGAGAATGGCTTTGCATGTGCAATGATTCAGACTTCTGAAAGATATAGGGGGGAACACATGAGCTACACGTACAGTGGAGTTTGCTGGCTGCTACTAAGTGGTACAAGTGTTCTACAGGGGAATCGTGAGAAACCAAGAGCAGTTGACATACAGATAAAAGCTAAGAGTGGGAGCCAGAGGGCCTTGCTGGTAGTTTATAGGAAGCCTCTTCTCTCCTGCACTGGAAGAGCAGACACAGCTGAGCTGCCAACACAGAATTTGATAATTAAAGTTTCAAAGCCCCAGTGATGCTTAAACCAACTCAGATCTCCTATGAAATCAGGGTCCCAGTTGGGGAAACATGAGACCCTAAAAACTGAGATGGGTACATCTGGGTGGATGGTCCCAAGGGCTTTGTTGCTTTAGATTCCTCTGAAGCCTCAGAGCTTTCAGAGGTGGCTCCCCCAGAATAAGAACTAGAATTTTTCCAATTCAGAAAGATACAGCAACGTCCCCTCCTCGGCAAGGTAACAGGTGGTCCCCTCAGGAATTGTCCCATCTCTTATTCTGGCTTCCAGGCCAATAACTAAGATGAAATTTCAGCATACTTCAGTCAGGAATATGTTGGGTTTCATAAGGAAAAAGGAGATTATATCCCAATGGAGCTGTGAGAATTAGCTAGCATAAGCCATCAAGAACCAGAAGAGTACCAGTCAGGTTCAGTGGCTCATGCCTGTAATCCCAGCACTCTGGGAGTCCAAGGTGGGTGGATCACTTGACATCAGGAGTTCAAGACCAGCCTAGCTAACATGACAAAACCCTGTCTCTACTAAATATACAAAAATTAGCTGGGCATGGTGGCACGCACCTGTAGCCCCAGCAACTTGGGAGGGTGAGGCACGAGAATCACTTGAATCCAGGAGGCAAAGTTTGCAGTGAGCCAAGATCATGCTACTGCACTCCAGCCTGGGTGACAGAGAAAGACCCTGTCTCAAAAAAAAAAAAAAAAACCAGAAGAGTACCGCTGGAAGCAGATTTTGAGCATGCGTGATCAAGGTGGTTGAACATAAGATGGGGGGCAACAGAGATGGTCAGTCAATGAGGATGCTGCCACAATCAAAAGAAGGCAGGAACAGAGGAGCAGGAGGCAGAGGGTGGTCGTTCCAATAAACAGTCATCATCATTCACCTATTTCCCAGGTCTGAGATTTTCAGACCTGGGCCCCATTTACCTAAAAGGTGGCAGGATCCATAGGTAGAATGACACTATAAAACCATGGCAAGCATAAACTATAATGAGTTCTCTAGTCCTTTCTTAAATAAACTACATACACTGGGGAAAGGAAATTCATCAGATATTTTGAGGATGATCAGACACAAGGTCTGAGCTGGCATTGATACCTGGAGACCTGCAGTATTATCACAGCCCCCCCAATAGAGCTGAGAAATCAGATGGATCCTGGAGAATGACCGTTGCCTACTGAAGGCTTACCCAAGCAGTAATCCTGATCAAAGCTGCAGTGCCTGATGTGATTTTATTCCCAGAACATATTAATAAGCGTCAGGTACATGGTACATGGTCATTGATTTGGTGACCGAGAAAGGATATTGATTATAATTCTTTTTTGTTCTGTTGCTTTTCAAACTCACTCACCCTCTGCCATAATACAGTCCCAGGAGACCTGGACCTTGTGGACATCCTGCAGAATGGCATATGGATCCATTACAATGATGACATCATGCTGACTGGGCAAGATGACAAGAGGTTGCTATACACCAGAGGGCTTGGGAAGACACATGCCCTGCAGAAGGTAAGGTATATGAAGAGCCAGGCGGCTGCCACCACGTGAAGTCTTTAGGACTCCAGGATATAATCTCTAAAGTAAAAGACAAATGTCTTGCAGCCCCTATCACAAAAAAAGGAAGCATAGCACCTGACAGGCCTCCCGGCTTCTTTTGGAGATAGCACGTTTCATACCTACCAATACCACACTTAAGAATATTGGGAGACTCAGAAGACTGCCAGCTTTCAGAAAGCCCAGGAGCAAGAATGGGCTCTGCAGCAGATCCAGGCTTGCCCTGCCACTCAGGCCATAAGGTCCAGCAAGCCCTGTTGTGTTGGGAGAGCCAATATTAGAAAAAAGATATAGTGTGGAGTTTATGGCAAGTTCCCAGTGAGAAAACAATAATGCAGGCTTCTGGGGTTCTGGAACAAGGTTATGCCATCTATAGCAAAATTATTATATGCTTTTTGAGAAAGCCCCCACATGTTTCTGAGCACAGAATGCTTAGAATGGAATGCTGGACCATGGAACATCAAGTGACCATGCATACAGACTGTCCACTGTGATGTGGGGTTTGTTCGTTTGTTTGTTTGTTTGTTTTTGAGACAGAGTCTCACTCAATGTTTCCCAGGCTGGAGTGCAGCAGCACGACCTCAGCTCACTGCAACCTTCACCTCCTGGGTTCAAGTGATTCTCCCGCCTCAGCCTCCCAAGTAGCTAAGACTACAGGCACACGCCACCATGCCTGGCTAATTTTTGTATTTTTAGTAGAGATGGGGTTTCACCATGTTGGCCAGGTTGGTGTCGAACTCCTGGCCTCAGGTGATCTGCCCACCTCAGCTTCCCCAAGTGCTGGGAATACAGGCATGAGCCACTGCGCCCTACTCAATCCAGGTTCTTTTGAAACTGCCAATTCATGAGGTCACATAGGCTCAGCAGTAGTCTATTGTAAGATGGAAATGAGTGGAACCAAAGGCATGGGGGAAGTTGCATGAACAGGGAGCCCACCCTCCACAATTCCATCCACTATCCCCAGCTCTTACCTCTTGTCAAATGAGTGTCCCAAGTGACCAGCTGAAGAAAGAAAGAGGAGAAAGCCCAAGGTTGGTTTATGATCTGTGAAGGGTCTGAGATTTTACCCTGCCTGTAAGCTAACAAGTTATCCTGACACTGTTGTATGGCTGCTGGCAGAAGATTTAAGGTCAGAGACAAAGAACTTTATTATTCAGCACAATTGCAGCAGCCAGAGTATCAGCATTTTCTTACACCAGTTCCCTGGGCTCTCATTCCTATACAGCAATGCAAAAAAATGCTAGGTGACACCTGCACATGCAGTGGCTACATTACAGAAGAGACTCTGGGCTGGCCAGAAGCCTGGGAGTAAAAACACTGAAAGATTGGTGAGGAGTCCTGGGGTAGAGGCATGTCAATGGACATATAGCATTAAGCATTAAGTGTCAAGATTGCTGCACCACACTTTAATACCCACTAAAAGTAATGGGTGTTACTTATAATCCTCACAGAAGAGGTACTGAACAACCAAGTAGACAAAATGATGCAGCCAGCTGCTATTAGCCAGTCTTTGTTATCAGCTTTCTCTGAGCTGGCAGGATAAGCACATGAATGGAATCGCCACAGGGACAGAGATGGAGGCTGTGTATGGACCCAAAACTGCTGGCTTCCACTTGAAAAGGCTGATCTGGATACTGCTGCCTTTGAATGCACAACCTGTTGGCACTAGTTCTTAAGGAGCCCAATGGACCATTTGGTGACAAGTCACTTACACTGGGTCCCTGCCATCCTGGAACAGTCAGCAGTTCACAGGTATGGGTACCAATCTCAAAACGAATTTGCCCTGTCTGCCCACAGAGCCTCAGCCAGCACCACTCTCCAAGGGTTTACAGTATCCCTGATCCACAGTCTTAACATCTCAAGTAATACAGCATCCAACAGGAGACCCACTTCACAGTGAAGGAAATGAGGGGGTGGAGCCATGGGACACACTCACTCTATCACCTGTCACACCATCCAAAAGCAGCCAGCCTTGAAATCCCGAAAACTCACTTGAAAAGGGCGGCTGATATGCTGGCTCAGAGGAGATGGGACATCATTCTCTAGGACGCAGTGTGTGCATTAATTCGGAGGCTGCTTTGTGGTGTTGTGTCCCAGTGGGAAAAGTACAAGCAGGAGTGACCCTCCTTAATATCACTCTCTATGACTACTGGTTCAGTTGGTATTTCCTGCCACACAACTCTGGGCTCTGCAATGTTAGAGTTCTGGTCCCCAAAGGAGTACACTTTTGCAAGGGGACATAGCAAGACACATTTGTGTCTCCTAGCATCTGTGTTAATGGTCTGTGTGTGAGGTCATGTATGTTGTGTAGTAGTGAGTGTGTGTGTCATGTGTGTGGACATGGAAGAGATTTCTGCATGTGTGTGCATTGTGTGTGTTGTGTGATCAGGTATGTGGTGTGTGGCATGTGTATGTATGTGATGTATGTGTGGTATGCATATATGGTGGAGCTGTGTATGTATGTGGTATGGGGGTGTGTTTTGTATGAGGGGTATATAGACATTTGTGATATATGTGGGTAGTATGTGGGTATTTACGTGTACTGTGTGAACATGTGTGGTATGCGTAGGGGGTATGTGCATGAGGGTGATGTGTGTGGTGTGTGTACATGTCTGTAACTTGTATATGTGTGTGTAGGGTGTTGGGGCACATGTATGTATATGTGGTATATATACATGTGTGCTGTGTGGTGTTTTGTGTGTATATACTTGGTGTTATGTATGTGTATGATGTGTGTGTATGTGATGTGTGATATGTGAGTGGTATGGGTGGTACATGTGTATATATGTTTGTGGTACGGATATGTGTGTGTGTGCATAGGAGGATTTGTGTATGTGTGTAGTGTTTGTGGTGTGTACTTATGTGTGTAGTGTATAGGATTGCGTTATGTGTGTGATGTGTACATGTGTGATGTGTACCTGTGTGTGTTTTGTGTGGGGTATTTGCATGGTGTTTGCATGTGTATACAAGTGTGCACTGTAAGTGCAGTATATATATTTGTGTGACATGTAATATTTATGTAGGTGTATATGTGTGATCTGTAGGAGGTATGTATTTATATGATGTGTTTGTCTACGTGTACATAGTATGTATAGAATTGTGGGTGTGACACATGCATGTACATGGGGTGTGCATGTGTGATGTGTGGTGTAGGTCATTTTTATGCATGTGTAGTATATCTATGTGGTATCTATACATAAAAGTGTGTGCTGTGTGTGGTGCATGAGTACAGCATGGGGTTGATATGTGCATATGTGTGTGATAAATATAGATATGTATATATGTGTTGTATGTGGCATATGTGTGTGGTATGTGTGTAAAGTGTGGGGTGTATGTACATGTGTGGTGCATGTAGTATGTGTTCATGTGGTATGTGTGCACTCTGTGTGGTATGCATGTGCCCACACACATATGTGGTGCAGGTAGTATGTGCACATATGTTGTGTGTATGTGGTGTGTGATATGTGTGCATGCATATGTCTGTGGTCTGTGTGTCATAGTTATGTGCATAGTGTGTGTCTATGTGTGTGGTATATGTATAGAGTATGTATGTTTACATGCATGGTACGTATAGTGCATGCACATGAGTGTGGTTTGTGGTGTACATATGGTGTGGCCTGTGTGTGATATGCACGTGTGTCCATGTGTTTGGTGTGTGTATGTGTACATATGTGTGACATGTGGTATATGTACCTGCATACTCTGTGTGGCATGTGCATATGCATGTGTGTAGTGTGTGTACATATGTGTGATATATGGTATATGCATGTGCATGGTCTGTGTGGCATGTGTACATGATGTGTGTGTAGTGTGTGTACATATGTGTGGTGTATGGTAGATGTATGTGCATGGTCTATGTGGCATGTGCACATGATGTGTGTGTAGCATGTATGTACATGGTATATGTATGTGCATGGTCTGTGTAGTGTGTGTAGTGTGTGTACATATGTGTGGTCTATGGTTTCTACATGTTCGTGATCTGTGTGGCATGTGCACATGATGTGTGTTTAGTATGTGTGTAAACATGTGTGGTGTATGGTATCTATGTGTGCATGGTCTGTGTGGCATGTGCACATGATTTGCGCATTTAGCATGTGTGTACATGGTGTATGTATGTGCATGGTCTGTGTGGCATTTGCACATGATGTGTGTGTGTAGCATGTGTGTACATGGTATATGTATGTACATGGTCTGTGTGGCATGTGCACATGATGTGTGTGTAGCATGTGTGTACATATGTGTGATCTATGGTATCTATATGTGCATGGTCTGTGTGGCAGGTGCATATGATGTGTGTGTAGAGTGTGTGTACACATGTGTGGTATATGGTATATGTATGTGTATGGTCTGTGTGGTGGGTGCACATGATGTGTGTATGTCGTATGTGTTCGTGGTGTGTGTGTGGTCTTCCAGCTGGGTAGTCAGGGAGCCCTCTGGGGGAACAGCTAGTATCTCTTCTTTCTCTCACTTTCCTCCCAAAGTACCTCTGTACTCAGCAAGATCTTGAGAGTATTGGCTGATGAGAGTCAATTTCCCAAGTAGCTTAGAGGCTGCGTGACTCCCACAGTCGTCCTTGACAGCGGCTCCAGCGCCCCGCCTCCCGCACACACCACACCGCCCAGTATTGGGCCACAAGCTAACCAACCGTGATATTGGCAGTCATGCTTATGCGCTCAAGCCACCCATGTGCACGTGAGGAACGGCGCGGGCACACGGCTGCACATGCCGCCCAGTCTGGGCTCCAAACAGCACTGCATTTTAAATGAGCAGGCTGGCTCATTAGAGGGAAAAGCAGTCTCTAATTCCGTGTTACATCGCCTTTTGGCTCTGCTTTGTCTTTGCAGACACCAGATCTCATCTGTTGGAAGCTGCATATGGCTCGTTAAAAGGACAGAGTTTGGGAGGGGCAACAGTGGGGTTCGCAAGCCAGATGCCACCACCCTATCCCTCCCTCTGTTTTTTGTTTTTTGTGTTTTTTTTTTTCAGCCTTTAACATTTTTCCCTTTCTTGGCTTAGCCTTCTTTCACCTACCCAGTAAAAACGGTGGGCTGGTAATAACTACCATTTATCAAGTACCTACTCTATGCCAGCCACAATTGTATGTGATCTCTGATCCTCACAACAAGCCAGCAAGGTAAGCATTCTTTTTTTTTTTTATTTTGTGATGGAGTCTCGCTCTGTCACCCAGGCTGGAGTGCAGTGGCTCAATCTTGGCTCACTGCAACCTCCACCTCCCAGGTTCAAACAATTCTCCTGCCTTAGCCCCCGAGCACCTGGAATTACAGACATCCACCACCACATCCGGCTAATTTTTGTATTTTTAGTAGAGATGGGATTTCGCCTTGTTGGCCAGGCTGGTCTCAAACTCCTGACCTCAGGTGATGTACCTGCCTCAGCCACCCAAAGTGCTAGGATTACAAGCGAGAGCCACGGCACCCAGCCCAGCAATGTAAGCATTCTAACACCGTGGTGCAGATAAGGAAACTGAGTCTGGGAGATTGGAGGATATGCCTTCATAGAGATGCATGGATGGAAACCAGGTCTGTTTCCAACCATCTGTTGCTCTTCCCTCTGTGTCACTTAAACACAGGGCCACTATACTAACTGCTTAGCAATGTCTTGGTTCATTGAAAAGGGGAAGAGATTTCTAACCTACCTAGCCTGTATTACAAGAGAAATGCTGCATTCTCACTTAAGTATCTCCTGAAATTGTGAAAAGCCCTATTTCTGTACTACTTCTCTTGGCATCTCCTTAATCCAAAAGACAAAAGTTACAATCTAGAGATGCTTACAAAATGCCCTAGCTTTTTACCACCCCATCCTAGAATACAGTGAGCAAAAGCTCCTGTCCTGCCAGCTCTGTCATTGGTCTTTGTCTTTGAGATACTGGCCCCTTGGCCATTGCTGGTTTTCTATAGCAGTAAACCACACCCCACATCAAATAAGTACACTCTCTCCCATTTATTTTAGTTCAGTCATCTGGTATTTTCAAAGACCTGTTTGTGACAAAGATATGCTCTACCACAATTTTCCTCCTATCATCTAAATTATCTCTTCTCTCTTTTGGCTCCTTAAGAAAAACCTGCTCCTGATTACAAGGATATGTCGATTGCAGGGAGGCAGAGGAAGAAATACAACAGGATGTCTATCGAACACAACTTTGGAGTAAGACCTTGGGACCCAACTCCTGTTTGCTTCATATACAAGCTTTGAGACGTGATGAGTTTGCCTCGATTCTCTAAGCCTCAGTTTCCTCATCTGTTGTTGTGAGGGAAATAATGCATGGAAAGCTTTTAACACAATGGCTGGCACACAGTGAAAGTGCAAGACGTTAACCATTATCATGAGAGTTTTCAATTGGAATGAATAGGAGACTTAAATTTGCATGATTGTACTTTTACACTAAGCCATTAATGATGCATTCATTTAGTTTTCTACTCCCAAAGAACATAGATTTGATTAATTATAACAAGAATTTAAAAATATTTCCATTATTCAGAAATAACCTACAGAGTCTAAGCCTGTCCTTTCCTTCCTCCCTTTTTCCCAATCTTTTTTTTTTTTTTTTTTTTTTGAAAGAAATAGCAATTATGTAGTCAGATTCACTGGCTCTTTCTTCTTCTCCCTGGTAACAGGCTAAGTCTTAACCTTGATTAGGCAGCATCGCATCTGATCTAAGTTCTTCCCAGCTTTCAGCCCAGCCTGCTTCCCCAGGCTTCAGAGCGCAGCTCTGCACCACCCTCTCCACCCCTGCTTAGCATCAGAACATTGCCAAAGCTAAGCATCTATGCAATGTTTCTTTTGAATAGTTGTCTACCTACTTGGATATTTTTTTCCTTCTCCCAGAGGCAAAAATTGGACCACTTAATCTATGCTGTAGGACAGTCTTGCCCCTCAGAAAATACTTGAGCATATTAAGTTGTTATGAAATGGATCTGAGAAGCAGAGTTCTGAACCATGCCCGTGAATTTCCCAGCCTCATCACACTGGCATTCTTTCATAGCCCCGAAATACTTTCCACTTGCCCTTCCTATGAATGCAAGTAAAGCAAAGCCTCTTGACAAAGCAAATTAAGAGTAATCAATGGTTTGGGTTTTTTTTTTAATTATTATTTCCTGTGACTCAAATCAAACCTATTTCTCAACTGTAACGTACGAAAAGAGAGAGATCAAGTTGACATTTAGGAAAATTGAACATTGATAAGTAAATTGCCTTCACTCAGTCTCTTAGGTCCTCTCTCCTTTCCCCCTACCCCACGACACCCCGTGGCCCTGCTCTCTCTCACACACACAGCTGAAGGTATCTTTAAAGGGTACCTATTTCCTGCAGATCACGCTTATGTTAATCTCACTTCAAGTACAGATGCACCGAGGACATTACAGGGTCAGTCATTCTTATCCACAAAGCTTTAGATTCCACTACATTATTCAAACTGGACAATGGACTTCCCCATTTTGTGCCCAGACTTGCTCACTAATAGAGTGACCTCCTTGTTATGGGTGAGGATATATTTGATGCTAAAACTGCTACAAATTTTTATCAGCATTTAATCTTGAGACTGTGAATTACTACATCCTGCATGTGTTGGTACCTTACTTTGATTAAAAATGGGATAAATCAATGAGAGAGTCTTTTTATCCAAGGCCATGTTCCTTTCACATGAAGGTCATATACGGGCTAATTGGACAAAATATAAATCATGTTTCTTTCCACATTCAGTTTTAGATCCTGACCTGTTTTGTGTCAAGAAATCACAGGGAGCCCAACCTGTATCATCAAGATTGTTTTGATTTACAGATGATTTCCTTAAATCATAGCATGATGACATTCAATGCAATTCCAAAATTAAGGAATGGAGAGTTCAGAAGGACATTTAAAAAAAAAATGCTTGTAGTGTTATAGGAAAAAGTAATCAGAACTTTGACTCCATTTGCTTTCCTGTGTCATAGAAATGTTGAGGACAGGACAAAAATATAACTCCCACCAGTAACACCAGTCATACCCTCGCTGGGAGAGGTGATGTAGAAGAACTTCTATCATTTTGATCAATTGAGCAGCTGGTCTCTTCTTGCTTTAGGGTTTATTGGTCTGCTCTCTAATTTTTATAAGGTATAGAAAATTTGGCCTTTAGTAAAATGGGCAGGTCTCATTTATTTTTTTCATGTTAAATATTAATTTTGAAGATTTCAATGAAAATTGTGCTAGGATAGCTTAAAAATAAGATGGACATGCTTACAGAGAAAGAAAATGTATAAACCTGTTTCTTGAATGCTAGATCCAATCTTGATGGCAATGAAAAGAAACAAACTTCTTCTCCCTCAGCCTTCCATCTCCCAAATGCAGGTGACCCCAAATGGGGTTGCTAGATAAAATATAAGATACCCAGTTAAATGTGATTTCAAAGAGCAAATTTTATTTTTGTATAAGCATGTCACAAATATTGCATATACTGTTTCCTTTGCTGAAGTTGGCCACCCAACTCCAAAACCTTTAAGCAAATGTTCCACAGCTGTCCTGGGAGTCGGAGCTTAAGAGATTGATAATCCCACAGATTCAAGAGCAGGGAGGTACCTGAATGTCATTAAATCAACCTTTCATTTTACAGATGATCAAACAGAGGTTAAAGAGATAAAAGCCATTTTCTAAGAACACACAGCTGACGATGAAGAGTCAGGTGGAGCTGCATCCTCTAAGGAGCATCGCCCCCCTATAGTGTTACTTGAGGAGTTTGACTTTAGCATTAGCACATGAGCAAGCGTATTCTCTTTCTCTGTGCATCTGTCTAATAAAACAATAGGAATATAGCACAAGTAAACTCTATCACCTCCACAGGAAGGGAAACAGAACTGGCTACCTTCATGGGGACGGGGGGTGGGACAGGGGAGGCAAATTACAGAGAACAAAGCGTAGATTAGTATCTCAATAAATTATCCTGCCACATAGGCTTTCACATGTCAGGTTTTCTTAAAGTGGGGCACATTCATGTTAGCAATTCATGATTACTGTGGTTCATTATGGAATCTTCCCCTGGAGACCTTTCAGAATCAGATAGAAGGCCATTTGTCTTTGTTAGCCAAGTTGCAGCCCTATCAAGGGACCTGCAGGAGGATGAATTTAAATGATTTCCCCAGAACTCTTCTGAACCATGGACTCTATGAAAATTTAAACAACTAATATTATAATGTTCAAACCTAAGACTAGAATAAATGCAAAAGTAGCTTGGTGTTATTACAGAGCTTCAATATTACTCAAGGATTTACAGAATCATGGAAAATCCCTCCAAAGGCCATGGGAATGCCCGGATTGCTTTCCTGAAACATCATAAGGGGGCAGTGTAGCCTATTTGGTCGATGATGATTAAGGGTGTTATTTATATGTATATAGGATACCCAATTTCCTCACTTTTTGCCTGAGATGCATTGTAGAGAGCCCTCAAAACAGGAAAATGCATTTTCCCCCACAAACAGGGATAACTAAGGTCAGAGGCTGAGATACTAGGGTCCCCCCTCGCCCCCTGAGTTCCCCAGAGGCTCTTCCGTTGCTGATTGGCTGCATTTCCAACTCCCATTTCCCATTTCTCTTGCTTTTCCTAAGTAAGCTAGTGAGGTGGCAAGGAGAAGGCTCAAGTGAAACGCCACACTCCCCCTGCCCCAGGTGGTCCTGAGTTGGAGATACGGGGGAGGCCACCTGCTCCCCAGCACCTGCTTCCAGCTGGATGAGGAACTTGCAGGCCAGGTCAGGTTCTCTGGGATCCAGGATGAAAAAGACTGAGGCCACAAAGCAAGAAATAACAGCGCTGCCTAAGTATGCCCCCTACATAACCCAAACAACCAAAAATGTAAGCCATGAGTATTAGGACTGGAAATGTTTCCCATATGTGGAGCCTTGGGATGGCTTTGGAGCTTATTTCATCTAACCTATTCATTTTTCTGTGAACATATGAGGGACTCATTACCAGAAATCAGTCTTTCAATCTTCACTGTTAAGGGAGAACCCTTCTTCTGCACACCTGATGTGTCCCTCCAGGTAGAAGGAGTCTCATTAGCGTAAAATTCCTGGCCTCTCTCCCCACACCTGTTCCTCATTTAAGGGAAGAAAAAGTGACCTAATATGATGGGGACTTGGGGGAAAAAACCTAGGTGAGTGCCACCTCGCCTCTTCCTCCTCTCTTTTTCTTCTGTGGGGAACAAGTTGCCCAGAGGAACACGCTCTGCTTGCCTGCTCCAGGACAGACTCTCTCTCCTATAGAGAGAGGATGAGATGGGATGCCCAGACCACGTGCTGAGGAGTGAGTAAATGTGCATAAATCTTGTATTCAATATCAGAAGACCACTTGTCAAAACATATAAGCCATATTTCTTGAGTAGTAACTTTTGTAGCAATATAGATGAAATTTGACCTCCATCTGCCTCCGTCTTTTGCCTTATTTCTCCATTCTGAATTTCCGCAAATGTATTGGGAGCCCTCAAATCTCCACATCCATGTGAGGGGTTCTTAAACATTTTCAGGTCGCAAATTACTTTGAAAAATCTCATGAAGCGTCTCCTCAGAAAAACACATTTCCTAAAGCCCATATGTGGATCTCAGTTAAAATCTACCCGATGTGTTTTCATGATGAATTTTATAAGGTGATATATACAGAGCAAGTCAAAAAGACTTAATTAGCTCTTTTTAGGAGTCCATGAAAACACAGGCATTTGACAAACATCTGCCTTACCAACATTCAGTTATTCTAGACGCATACCAAGTTTGATTTATTTCATTAAATAAGCAATGACTGAGGGACTGCTCTGTAGCAGGCTCTCAGGTAGGCACTAAAGGGAGAGAGAAGCATAAAGAGAAACAAGACAATACTGTTGACCTCAAGAAACCCAGTCTAATGGGAAAACACAGTGGTGAGTAAAAAATCACAACATGGCCAGGCGCAGTGGCTCCCATCAATAACCCCAGCACTTTGGGAGGCCAAGGTGGGTGGATCCCTTGAGCCCAGGAGTTCAAGATCAGCTGGGACAACATAGCAAAACCCTGTCTCTACAAAAAAACAAAAATACAAATACAAAAATTAGCAGGGCATGCTAGCGCATGCCTGTAATCCAGCTACTCGGGAGGCTGAGGTGGGGGGATCACTTGAACCCAGGAGTTTGAGGCTGCAGTGAGCTGAGGTCACGCCACTGCACTCCAGCCTGAGCAACAAAGCTAGACCCTGTCTCAAAACAAACTGACAAAAAAATCACGACACAATGGACTTTGCAACTCACTGTAGCCATATGATTCAGCTCTTGCCAAAGGAGTGAAATTGGAAGTAGTATGTGCAACTTCCAGTTCACGTCCTTAAAGGGAAATAAAAAACCTTTCCCTTCCATTTTCTCCCTTCACAATAACTAAAATGTATTTGCTATGTTGAAAGCTAGAGCATCCATCTTGGGCCCTTGAGAGAAGCCACATATTGAGGATGGCAGAGCAAGAAGATACAAGAAGTCTGGGTTGCTGACACCACTGAGCCAATACACCTACCCTGGAATACTGGCCTGGGAGAGAGAAAAATGAGAGAGAGAAAAAAATATAAGTTCTGTCTTGTTTAAGCACTGCATTTTTAGGTCTCTTTGTTACAGCACCTAAGGTTTAAACTAATACACTGTGAAATGCACTGAATCACGGGAGAACAGCACAGTTCATGGGATGAGGCTGGTGGCAGCAGGCCTTTTTATTCTTAGGTTATAGACATAGAAACCAAGGCAAATACGTTACATCTTCCAGAAAGTCACAAGAATCGAATCGAAGCTCAAATTTTCCTCTTATGTTCCAATCTAGTACTTATTATTTAGCGTGTCCAGTATCCAAGGATAGTCCTTGAAACAAATTCTTTAAAAAAATTCCAAGCAGTTGACTAGTGGCTGCCATGTGCCAATCACTTCAGTGAGCACTGAGGATGAAATACAAAGCAGAAACAAAGTCCCTGCTTTCATGGCCCTTGTAGTTGGTGACAGAGGTTGCTTAATCACAAAAAATGAGTATACTATTACATATCCATATGAGTTCTCTTGATGAAACAAACATGGACTTAGGAGAATATGTCATAAAGAAATCTGACCTGGATGGGTCTCTGCAAAGGCTTTCCTGAGCTCATGTGCTTGAACTGCACCCTAAAGGAATAGAAGAACTAAACACAGTGGAGAATGAGAGAGAATATTCTCCAGGTGGCAACAACAGCTTGTGCAAAGGCCCTGTGGTGAGAAGCTGCATGAAAAGTGTGAGGAACTAGATGAGGCTGGGTGAAGTGCAGAGGAACAGGGAGAGATTGGTGCAAGATGAGGTGGAAAGGTAAGTAGGGCCAAACTACACAGGATCTTGAGGAGCATATTAAGAATCTTGGTCTTTCACCTCAGAATACTTCATCCCTGGGGAAGGAGAATGAGAGGAAAGGGGAGGACGACATGATTGGTTCTGTTTGTATCAAGAAGAACAGATGGGGTTGGGGGGGCAAAGTGAATACGGGGGAGTGATTGCAACTGCCTAGGCAAAACATTATGATCATTTGGGCCGGAGGTATGGCAGGGAGTGGAGATAGTTGTCAGCTGGAGGCCAATGTCCTGGCATAAAAGGGAATCTCACCTGCTATGATTTGAATATATGTGTCCCTCCAAAATGTATACATTGAAACCTAATCAACACAGTGATAGTATTAGAAGGTAGGGCCTCTGGGAGGTGACTAAGTCATGAAGGCTCCACCCTTGTGAAGGATGAATGCCCTTATAAAAAAGGCTTCACCTGTAATCCCAGCACTTTGGGAGGCTGAGGCGGGTGGACAACAAGGTCAGGAGATCGAGACCATCCTGGCTAACACAGTGAAACCCCATCTCTACTAAAAATACAAAAAATTAGCCAGGCGTGGTGGCAGACACCCATAGTCCCAGTTACTCAGGAGGCTGAGGCAGGAGAATGGCGTGAACCCAGGAGGCCGAGCTCGCAGTGAGCCAAGATTGCGCCACTGCACTTCAGCCTGGGCAACAGAGCAAGACTCCATCTCAAAAAAAAAAAAAGGCTTCAGAGAGCTGCCTCCCTCTTCCACTTTTCCACTGTGAGAGGACACAGCAAGAAGGCATCATCTTGGAAGAGGAGTGTAAGCCTACACCAGACACCAAATCTTGAGTCCTAGTCCTTGATCTTGGACTTCCCAGCCTCTAGAACTGTGAGAAATAAATTTCCGCTGTTTATAAATTATCCAGTCTATAGTATTTTGTTATAGCAACAGGAGCAGACTAAGGCAACACCTTTAGCCAACTATACTTAGTTCACCTAGATAAGTCAGAAGAAGCAAATATACATAGAATTATATAAACTGTGTGAACTGCAAATGTTTCAAGCTTCCAGAATCCACTATGGCAAAGATTTGCTTTTGCTAGAAGTTTTGCCACCTTTGTTTTCTTATTTTTGCATTTGTTTTACCTTCTTCTTCTTCCTCTCCTTGGTAGTGAAAGAGCCAACAAATCTCTAATCCTATAAGTTACATCCAGGATAATTCCCATTTGGGCCTTTCCCTAGAAACAAACATGCATCCTCTGTGTGTGTATTTGTTAAGTGACTAATGCAGAAATCAGTGGCCATCACATTCTCTGGGCATGCCCCTATTGTTTTTTTTGTTTCAGACTTTGTTTGTTTTTATGCTGCTTTTTTACTAAAAATTGGAAAATAATACTCTCTTTGTCTAAAAATATCTCTTTGTACATATTCTTCAAAAGCTTATAAGCTACTTAAGAGAAACTTTTTCCCTCCCTTTTCCACCAGAAGTAGAAAGATAAGTTACTCCTTGATGAAATTATTGACTATACATCCCACAAGACTTCCTTCAATAGCAAGTAAATATTCCCTCCATAACAATGGATGTGGAATGGAATAACAATGGAATAGCACGAAGAATAGGAAAATTCTTAGAGTTTTAATAAAAGATTTCTGAGAGGACCCAAGGAGGCTGGTTTTACACAAAAGAGACTTGGTGATTCACAACAGCTCCCCTACCCCCTGCCCCCCCCAACTCATACAGTGGGGAGGGGGGTCTGCAGCCTAGTTGTGGGTGGCCTCTACCTGAAAGTTATATTCCCTCTTGGCCTATTCCCTCTTGGCCTGTAGGTCATAGGCTTGAGTCTTTGTTAAGCTCTGTCTCTTTAAGCTCACAAAAGAGAAATCACACTCTGAGAAGTGAAATCTAGTTGCATTTCAAACTCTTACTAATTTTTACAAGGGGGAATAACAATATAATTTTTTTAAATTAAATTCTGAAGAGCCTAAAATTCAGACTAATTCACAAGAACTTTCTTTTGGTCCCTATCAAATACACAGAAATTCAGTTTAAGTTTGCAAATTGATCCTTAAAAGACCTCCATGAGGAGAGAGAGTAATATTATTAGCATTTACATTGTTGGTATGTGCATGAGACTTCTTGATCTGCAGTCCAATACTCTGCCTCAGAGCTATACCCCCTCCTGATATGTGTGTGAGACTTCTAACTAAGCTGACCAACTGTCCCAGTTTGCCTGGGACTAAGGGGACTCCCAGACATGGTTTTTTTTTTGCTTTAAAACTGGGAGAGTGGCTGGCCGAGGTGGCTCACGCCTGTAATCCCAGCACTTTGGGAGGCTGAGACAGGTGGATCACCTGAGGTCAGGAGTTCAAGACCAGCCTCCCCAAGATGGTGAAACCCAGTCTCTACTAAAAATGCAAAAAATTAGCTGGGTGTGGTGGCGCACACCTGTAATCCCAGCTAGTTAGGAGGCTGACGCAGAGAGAATTGCTTGAACCCCCGAGGCAGTGAGCCGAGTTTGTGCCACAGCACTCCAGCCTAAGCGACAGAGTGAGACTCTGTCTCAAACAAACAAAACAAACAAACAAACAAAAACCTGTGAGAGTTTGGCCAGGCACAGTGGCTCACACCTGTAATCCCAGCACTTTGGGAGGCCAAGGCAAGCGGATCACTTGAGGTCAGGAGTTTCAGACCAGCCTGGCCAACATGGTGAAACCCTGTCTCTACTAAAAAATACAAAAATTAGGCCGGGTGCGGTAGCTCACGCCTGTAATCCCAGCACTTTGTGAGGCTGAGGTGGGCGGATCACGAGGACAGGAGATTAAGACCATCCTGGCTAACACGGTGAAACCCCATCTCTACTAAAAATACAAAAATTTAGACGGGCGTGGTGGCGGGCACCTGTAGTCCCAGCTACTCAGGAGGCTGAGGCAGGAGAATGGCGTGAACCCAGGAGGCGGAGCTTGCAGTGAGCCGAATAGTGCCACTGCACTACAGCCTGGGCAACATCGTGAGACTCCGTCTCAACAACAACAACAACAACAAAAATACAAAAATTAGCCGGGCATAGTGGCACACACCTGTAGTCCCAAGCACTCGGGAGGCTGAGGCAGAAGAATCGTCTGAACCTGGGAGGCATAGGTTGCAGTGAGAAGAGATCATAGCACTGCACTCTAACCTGGGAGACAGAGCAAGACTCCCTCTCAAAAAAAAAAAAAAAAAAAAACAAACCTGAGCGAGTTCAGGGGAAACTGAGATAAGTTGGGTACCCTCCCTAATATGCAGTTCATTAATTTTCTGAAGGAATTTAAGCATCAATCCCTCAATACGTATTTATTAAGGACTTATGTCTGCTCAGTACTCTGCTAGGCACTGTGAAAGATAAAAAGGGTATAAAACTCATGAGCTCCATCCCTTGTCTGAAATTCTGTGACTCCCTGATTGCTTCCTAGAAGTTAATAATCTAATTTTTCAAAATATGCAACAACTGCTTACTAAACGTTACTTGTCAGGCACTGTGGTTGGCACTTAGGATGCAAACATAAATGAAAGACCAAATCTGGCCACAAGGAGCTTACTGATTTAGGGGGAAGACGGATGTTACAGATAATATGTAATACAATACAACTTGGTAAAGGCTATCATACATCTATGGCAAAGTCTCAGGCACACACAGCATAGCAGGATGTGACTAGCTGGCTGCAGCTATGTGCAAAGACAATGATAGTACCAGGCAGCATGTGATATGTTTCATGCAGGTGGTGGTCTACATTCTGCATAATAAACATTGTAATAGTTCAGAGACAGAAAGAGCCCTCTTAACAGGGTCATTATATCTGTGTATATAGGGAAAGACCTTATTGAAATGAGAGGATTTAAGATAGACTGGAGTAAAAATGTAATATGTATGGATAAATATAAAAGAAGCCTTGCATGGACCAATCATACTAGTTTGTTATGAACCTACGATTACGTTTTATCCAGTTCTGTGAATCTGAGGTGCAAAAACCAACCAACCACCACCAACAAAACATTAATTAGCAGAGATGGGGAAGATAAAATTCCATGCGAATGTACCAGCATCACCAAAGATCTAGATTAGAAGCAAGAAAGATTAACACCCTTTAGCATTAGATGGATTTAACAAAAAAGGAAAGCTTTATGTAGAAGAAAAAGAGAAGAAAAAATAGGCTAAGGTCAAATTATGAAAGATCCTGAATTGCCGAGAAGCTTGGAATTCCTTCCTTAGACACCGAGGAGTGGTTGAAGGCTTTTGAGAAGGGAAGTGCTAGGGTGAAAGTTGTATTTTAGGAAGCTGAATCTAGAAAAAGTGATAACCCAGGTCTTGCATGAATTAGAGAAGATTCTGAGTTAATTAGTTAAAGCCAAGGAAGTTTTATCATGCATGGAAGGGAATATTAAATACAGTTCTCCCTTTTTGCGGCAGAACACAGCTGCTGGCTGAAGGGAGGGAGAGGTTCTTGGCATCTCCCTAAGAGGTTGGGAAGCTGATGCACCTGCCGAGAGAGAAACTGGCACCTCTTCTACATAGAGAAGCATGGCAGCCATGAGTGAACCTTTTGCCTTCATCAGGAGCCCCCTCATAACTGGAGAAGGTCATCTCCAAGGAGAAATCAAAGAAATAAGACCTTCCACCTCCAATTTCCAAATAAAAAACCACCTAGAAAATGGTTACAGCTATATATGCCTAGATTGAACTAAAACAAACAAAAGTAAAGCGAAAGTCTTCCATATCATTCCATATTGTAGACACTTTCAAATTCCTTTCTCATAATCTATGTCTATTTCTAATTCTACCTGTACAAAATATAATCATGCCTGCTTGTAATTACTCATGCATACATGAATACTAGTAAGTTAAACTCGCTCATCTATTTACAAAGACAGGGTGATACATAGTAGCTTAGGAATTGCTTCTTTTCCCTATGATTTTAAATGTACAACGAGTTTCTTTCTAAAACACATATTTGCAGATGTCACTTTAAACACTATTTTCTGAGATTATATTTTCCATAGAAAACAGATGTCTGCAATTATCCCTTTTTTGACCTCTGAGACTTATCAAAGTCAAATAGGTAATCATCCAATCAGACGGGCTATCATTATCAGAAGAAAAGTAATTATAATCTGAATATGTTTGAACATGATTATTATAAGCTTTAAACTGTTACACTTTTGATTGGGGCAGAATTGGAAGACATTATCACTTCATAATTCAAATGATGTAACTTCTCTTGTTTTTGTCATTTAGAATCTGGAGAGCTAAATTTATTTAACAATATAATTCTTTAAACATGAACAAATTATGCAATAATCTCTTTAAAACCATGAGAATGCCTCTCAAAACCTTGACAGTGAAATTAGGGGATTTTTTTTTTTTCACCAGAGCAAATCAGAGCTCGGCACTGAGCCCCGTCAGAGTGGGAAGCTTGAGGCAGACATGTTCATTTCACAGACATTTTGTGATCTGCTTGATTCTTTCAGAGACCAGCTGCTTTCCTGCCTACCTGTTGAGGCCCACACACTGCTGGTCCAAAGCAAAAGGAGAAAATTAGGCCAAATACAGAAATGATCAGAAAGAAAAAAAAAGATGTGTAAAAGAAAAAAATATCTTTCCAAAGAAGATGTATAAACAGAGAAATGAATTAGAACTAAGGATATGAATTTAGAGGGAAAAGAATGTTGAAAACTAAATGTCTCATAGATATAGAGTAAAACATCATTTCCTATTGAAAATAATTTTATAAAACCTGATTACACAGCCCTTCAGTCCAGATGTTTGTTTAACTTGGTGAGGGGTCCTGATTTTTCTCCTTCATCTTTTCCAAGATCTTTTCCCTTTGTATTCTATTGTGTTTTCCAGCCGACCTGCTCATCTCCTCAGGAAGGAGCTGTGGGGATGCCAGGGCATTCCTGTGCTGTTGCTGGGGCCTGAATTAACAGTGACCTGGGGAACGTCGATAAAAATGAGCACGTGGGCCCGTCAGAGAATTTCTGTAGCTCAGAAGAGCTGGGTGTTTGTTTTCTCTGAACATGGCGGAAGGTTAGAAACAGTAAGAAAAGAGGGGCCTTCGGAGAATTTGAAAGGCACTGAATGGATATTTTTCCATAATCAGAACATTTCTTAGACCAATGGTTTAGGAGGCATCATTCAACTTATAATTTTAGTTCAGCAGAGTGAAGACCGGAGCCTTCCCCTCCCCGCCTTCCTTCCCCACCCAAATATAGCAGACCTTTGGAAAAGCCAAATTTGCACTTAATATCTTTCCACTTCCCGTATTAAAAGTATCCCTTTCTTCTTGTTGACACATCTTTTTGACTTAATTTCTTCCCCTCCCCTGCACCCTCCACATCTATGTTTCAATATGCTTCATTCAACAAAGAGCTACTAAGTGCCTAATATGGCCAGGCGCTGTGGATATACCAGTGAACAAAATAGACAAATACCTCTGCCCTTCTGAAGCTTACATTCTAGTTAGATTCTTATCAATGCTGGCTGCTCTGTTATTAACTGATAACAAAGGTATTAAAGGTGTTATCGAGGATGTAAGGTGGTGTTCTTTTATCATTCAGGGAACCTGCATCTTTGGTGAGGGGTAGGGCCCAGTAATGTGCATTATTAAGCTCCCTTGGTGATCTGGACCCTACTAAAGTATAAAAGTGATGACACAGGCTGGGCGCAGTGGCTAACGCCTGTAATCCCAACAATTTGAAAGGCCAGATTGGGAGAATCCCTTGAGCGTAAGAGTTTGGGACCACCCTAGGCAACATAGTAAGACCTGGTCTATAAAAAAAAAAAAAAATTAAAGGTAGGTGGGCATGGTGGTGAGCACCTGTAGTCCCAGTTACTCATGGGGGCTGAGGTGGGAGAAGCCCAGGAGGTCAAGCCTGCAGTGAGCCATGATCACACCACTGTACTTCAGCCTGGGTGACAGAGCAAGACCCTGTCTCAAAAAAAAAAAAAAAAAGTGATGATAGAGAGTGTGACTCCCGCCACAGAAGTGGGAGGCTTGCAAGCTAAGCCATAGGAGGGTCGACCTTGCGCTGCCATAATCTCTGTGGGTGCCTCCTGGAATTTCACCACACAGACAGGCGCCCGTTCATTCCACCTTTCCAAGGCTGGGCTGCACAGACGCCTCCTCTGCTCTCTCTAGTGTGCAAAGACTGTGAGCTCACTACTTTTTAGTACCTCAGTGGCAGAGACCCTGTTTGATTAGCATGACTAATGATGTATAACTCCCTATCACCTAGCACAGTGCCTGGGACAATGTGAGTGCTCAGAAGCATCTAAACGAAAGCCTGGCTGTCAGTTTCACTTCCCAAAAGCTTTGATGCTCTTTTTAGTCCACATGGAAACATCTTCCATTGTCTGTGTGCTCCCTGTTGGTCACAGATTCCCAGCCTAACATATTATCTCACAAGATGCCAAGCTGGAAATTCCCAGCTAGATTCTTACTCTACATTTTACCCAGCTCAGGCACCTAGATTATGGCACTACTTTTAGATGGAGATACTTTCTTGATATTTAGACCACAGTGCCAAACCTTTTGCACATCCATGCACTGCTTCTGATGCATTTAGCTCATTAAAATAGGTGGCATCCAGCTGCATCCAACTTCTGTCTCCTCCTAATCTACTTTCAAATAACCAAGGCAGCCTATTAACACTTGGTGTTTTCATCAGACTTTGCACACTACTGCCTTTGAGCCTTGTGATCACATCATTTCCCATCTTTTCAGAATGTTCTTTCTCCCCAGTTTTGCCCAGACCCATTCTATCCAACTTTCAAGACCCACCCAGCAAACACAATGCCCATCATCCATCGTCTCTGAGTGGGGGCAGCAGCAGTCTGAATGACCCTTTTCCACAAGTCTTCTGTGACCACTACAAGCAATCCCTCCTCCTTCTCATTGCTTCATGCAATTATTTTCTATAGAAATTACTCAGCATCCTCATTTGCTCTGTAAATTATCTTTTTATACAATTATAGATGCCCACATGTATGCTTAATTAGCTCGATGAAGAACAGAATAGCACATTGGTAAGAGCATGGTTTGGGGGGTCCAGCAGACTCAGGTTTAAATCTAGGTCCTCCCCTTGGTGAAGATATGACTTACTTCTCAGGATTTCAACTTTGCCATCTGAAATATAGGGTAATTGTATCTATCTGTATCAAGCAGGTCTTTTTATTCTAATTCTTTGATGTGTGGGACCTTGCTGACCCTGGAGAGATTGCTGCTCCCAAAACTAGCCAACTCCTAGAGATAGTAACCAACTGATCTGTGAATGTGCCTTTCTATGCAAACCAACCAATCTAAAGCCCATACCCACCCATTACCTCCTTTCTCTGGGCTCTCACATTTGGGTCACTAGTCCTGTATCCTAGTCATTGCCAGGGCCAGGTAGCAGGCAATGAGGGGTAGACCCTATGCCTCAGAGCCTGCTAAAATTATTCAAACTATCCAATCCCAGTACCAGCCTGGACAACATAGTGAGACCATCTCTAGAAAACAAAAATTTAAAAATTAGCCAGGCATGGTGGCACGTGCCTGCAGTCCCAGCTACTAGGGAGGGTAAGGTGGGAGGATCCCTTGAGCCTGGAAGGTTGAGGCTGCAGTGAGCTATGATTGTGTCACTGCATTCTAGCCTGGGTGATAAAGCAAGACCCTGTCTCTAAAAAAATAATAATCATAAATTAAAAATAAATAACCCTAACAAATTCCAAGGTGATGCTGATGTATTGTTTAGGTACCATACTCTGAGAATCATTAGCCTAATCATAGTAATACTTCAGTGAATGGTATCCCATAATTATTATTTTATCAGTTCCTTTAGGTCAGAAACTAAACCTTATACCTTGTATCCCCCATATCAAAGGGGCTTGCAGCAGGCACTCAATAAAAGATGCTGAAGGCTATTTGACACTAAAGCTTACTAAATAGTGAACTCTACCTATTAAGATACGTTTGTGACTAGTCTGGGCATGGTGGTTCATGCCTGTAATCCCAGAACTTTGGGAGACCAAGACAGGAGGATCAGTTGAGGCCAGGAGTTGGAGACCAGCCTGGGCAAGCTAGCAAGATCTGTCTCTACGAAAATTTTAAAAATTAGCCAGGTGTTGTGGTTATGCACCTGTAGTCCTAGCTACTTGGGAGGCTGAGGTGGGAGACTCGCTTGAGCCCAGGAGATTAAGGTTACAGTGAGTTATGATGGCGCCACTGCACTCCAGCCTGGGTGACAGAGCAAGACCCTGTCTCTAAAAAAAGAAAAAAGGTACCTTTGTGAATAGACTAGGAACTTGTCTAGTTAGGAATATGTTCTCGTTAGCCATTGCTGCATAACAAATCACCCCAATGCTTAGTGGCTTAAAATAACAACCATTTTATTATATCTCATGATTTTGTGGGTCAGGAATTTGGGCAAGTCTTGGCTAGTCAATCTTCCGTTTCATGAGGCACTGATGGAAGCCATGCAAAGATACTTGACTGGCAGCTGGGCTGATTCATTTATATGGCTGATACCTTGCAGGGATGGCTTGAAGCTGAGCTCCTCCGAGACTGTCAGCTGGAGCTCCTCCATGTGACCTTTCCAATGTAGTGGCTTCAGCGTAGTCAGATGCCTTACACGGCAGCTTAGGGCTCTACGAAAGAGTGTTTCAGTTTGTAAGATGAAAGCTACATGGCCTTTTATGATCCAGCCCCAGAAATCCCATTTTGTCACTTTCACTGTACACTATTGGTCGTCAAAACACTCACAAGCTTCCCCCACTCTCTCCCCAGATTCAAGAGCAGGAGATATGAATCCCTCATTTTCATAGGAGGAGTGTCAAAGAATTTGTGGGCCACATTTCTAAACTATCCCATAATGTGTGGTTGCAGCCCTGTGTCTAGTGAAGGGAATAAAACAAGTAAGCAAATGACCTAGGGCTTTATAATTGTACTCTGCTATTCTCCGTTCTGAACTTTTGATATTGAATCCTCTTCCCCAATATTTCATTGGAAGCCAGGCAGCTTCCCCATGACCGTCTTCATCTTATGACTGTAAGTTGGAATGAGTATCCATATACCCGTCAGAATCGCCTAGTGCAGTAAAACCCACAATGAAATGCTCTTCCCTATTGCACGTTCATTATACAGTATGAAAAATCGCATCCCCCAAGGACACAGTCCCAGTTGGCATTTCTCTCTCCCGCTGTAATCTACAATGCCTGGGATACAGGTGTGCTCCTCATCTGTGTCTCCAGTGTTGGGATGGGAGAATGAACAGCCAGATTCAAACCCCATGCCCCTGTTGTCTCTGAGGGAAGCACCAGCAGTCTGAATGACGCCTTCTCTCATGTCTCCAGGGCTGTACTCCCTTTGAGATCCCCTGCTTTCTGACCAGCACAACATGTCAGCAGGAACTAAATGATGACCTCAGCAGCAGTCCAAGATTATTTTGGTTACATTACTCTCTGTGATTATCCAAAAGGGAAAACAAAAAGTCATTTAAACATGCAGCTCGTGCTCTTCCAGCACAACAAAGGATCTCCTGGAAATCTTTCATTTTTTAAATGACATTATAATGTTATGCTTTGTTTTCATCACTTTTATCATCATTTCTTAGCAGAGGCCCAAGTGGCTCAGCTAGGGTAAAAGGGAAAAAATTATAATGATTCATTTGTATACATTTGTCCTAGTGGGAATTTGACGTGATGGAAACATAAGAATATTAAATTAGAGGCACTCACTCCCTTATTCTCTGTTCTATTTGAACCAGACACAAGATACAAACGTTATATGGGGCCCAAGAATGCGACAGTAATTCAGTGATGCATAAGCCCCCACCAGAACACTTGGTTATTTCTAAACTGAGAGGACATGAGCTTTCTCTGCTCTCTGGTGCCACTGATGCCTCTCTTTTAGTGAATCCTTCACCCCATCCCAAATCAATTCCTCCATTAAAGTCCCTCCCTTAAGATAACAGCTTATGTCGTTCTGGAGAGAATGGGGTCAAGTAAGCCACATACTGGACTGTCCTGAAGTCGGTTGGTTTCCCTACAAACCTCTTTCAGCAAGGCGTCCCCAGGCCGGTCCTTAGCAGCTCTCTTCTAGGAATCAGAGCTGACCAGCTCCGGAGGCCAGTGTATCGGTCGGGATCTAACCAGGAAACAGAAACCACCAGGGAATTCCAGACAGGACTTTGAGGCAGGGATCAATTACACAAGGGATGGAGGAGCCGAGAGGCCAGCCAGGGTGGGGTGAGGAATCCAGACTGCAAAGACAGGAAGCTGACACCACCTCGGGGCAGAGGAAAGGGAGGAGGGGGTTCCCGGAGCTCAGGGTGCCTCGCGGAGTCTCCACGTCACTGGGTGGAGGCTGGACCCTTAGTGGACCTGTCTGGCAACAAATGGAGTGGGAGAGGTGCGCGGCTGGGAAGGAGGGGAGAAGGCCTCGTTTCTCCCTCTCTACCTCCACCATCCAGCCTGTCAGCGCCTCCTATCATCCTCCGATCTTAGAAAAGCAACCTACAAGGGTCAGAACCCTTTGATTTAGAACAGGGTAGAGGAAGGGCAAGAAACAGATCCCAGGAAAACAGAGCCAGAATGTGCACTGCCAGTAACCCCGCAAAGCTGGTCTCACTCAGATCTCCGCAGTCTCTCCAGGCCCCTGCACACATCCACCCCTAGCTCACGTTCAAAGGTCTCAAGCCACTGACGACTATGCTGACAACACTGATGCAACCTTGTGGGATACCAGCCTTTCTCATGAAGGCTCCGCTCCCATCAAATCTCCAGCATCAGTCAACCCGCTCCTTTGGCCTCCCACCCAGTGCTACCTTTAGCTCACTGTGGTTCCCGCTGACTCACCAGTGTCTTTACCGATTTGACTTGATCTTAGATCCATTTCTGTAAGCTGAACTCCAGCTCTAGTGGGTGTGGTCTGGGTTTGGTATCAAATAACCTTCTTTCTCACCACAGAAATATTCTATCCTTTTCTCTTTTCCAGCAGAAGATGGTGTTTTGCTCTCATGATAGGCCCAATTCAAGAGGGAAGGGAGGGAGACTCCACCTCTTTGCAGAAGAGCTTGTAGGGTGAGAGAGATTGCTGTGGACAACTTTGAAAATACAACGAGCCCCAGGAAGAGACTTTATAGATCTCCTCAATACTAATTAATAGTTTTTCTCAAAGATTTCCTCTCTCCCTTACTTTTTCTCTTTCTCCCTTCCTCCCTTTTTATTTTCTTTTAGTACCTAGACACAGGAAAACTTAATCTTTGGGAACCAGCACATTTCTGAATACAGCGTAATTATAGATTAAATTTTGAAAGACTTAATGGCTCTTTATTTTGTCTTGATTTTGTCAGTCTAGACTCTAACACCTTTACCACTAATATATTCTAATATATTAATAGAAGGAAACTGAACTCAGGCCCCATCCCCATGTTAGAGACTGATTGTGCCCTCTCAAATTTAATGTTGAGGTTCTTCCTAATCCCCAATGTGATGGCATTAGGAAATGGAGCCTTTGGGAGATAATTAGGTAATGAAGGTGTAGCACCTCACTCTCTGGGGTGCCCTTATAAAACGAAGACTCCTGAGAGCTCTTAGCCCTCTTTTTAGTTACCAACACAGAAAAGGGCCTTCACCAGAACCTGACCATACTAGCACCCTGATCTGCTACTTCCAGCCTCCAGGTCTGTAAGAAATAAATTTCTGTTGTTTATAAGCCACCAAGTCTATGATATTTTTGTTACAGCAGCCCAAGCTGACTCACACCCCCAAGAAAGCTGTCTCTACTTGCCATCTTCCCCATGGCTATCAGGCAACACAATCATCTTCTAGGTATGACATTATTACCCACAAAGTTTTTCTGCAACTTCTCCGTTTCCATCTTTGGCCATGTCAGGGAGTAAATAGACGCTCTCCCTCCCTAAACAACAGGACTTAACAGCAATCAAATCAAAGATTGGGCCTCAGAATTAATTGTACCAGGCCTACCCAGCAGAGAGCAGGAGCCCTTGAGACCATGGTTCAGCTGGGGAGACAGCCCTGGACAGAGCAGAGGGCACCTCTGCCAAAGTAGGTCCTCCAGCCCTGGCTGCCTTAGTCTTTCCACCAATCCCTGGAAAAGAGGCTTTTCTGGTGTGATCTAGCTCCCACAGCGGGAGAGAGAAGAGTTCACATGCACAAAAGATGGTCTCCTCTTGAAGTTAAGTGTGCTACAGAGATGGGACAGATGGCCACATCTTAATCAGAAACTAGACTTCAAGATTATTGAGGGTAGTGTTAAATCAAGTTTAACCTAAAGCTAAAGGTTGCTCTGTACATCGTGAACTATAGCCTACATGGAAGTAAACAAACTGTAGTCTACTCTTGTGCCAATCACCAAATTTTGATCAATCAAATGTGGCCAGATGTTTAAACCATGTTCAAATAAGGCAAATGCTGAGCTATAACCAATCCAGCTGTTTCTGGACCTCACTTCCATTTTCTGTAAGTCAGTTTCCCTTTTCTGTCCATAAGTCTTCCACCACGTGGCTGCGCTGAAGTCTCAGAGCCTATTGTGGCTCAGGAGGCTGCCCGATTTGCAAATTGTTCATTGTTCAATAAAACTCTTCTAATTTTAGTGCCACTGAAGTTTTTCTTTTAACAGAAGATACATGCAATATACCGAAATGCTCTGACCACCACATAAGCATTTAAATACCCGGCTAAAAGAGAACAGGCAAACTGAGAGCAAGTGAAATACCCTTTCTTTGGGTTCTGATTTCCTTGACTCAGGGACCGACTTTTGGGAACTACAACCATTATGATTATGCTGAGCTTAGCTCCAAAAACCTATCACAGCTAAACCTCCTTTTTAAAACAACTGTTTTATAATGGCCTTTTAATATCCTCAATAAAATTAATATGCATAACTCATCCTCATACATTTCAAGAAGAAATCAACACAATGCCCTAACTGATATAAAAGAGACACAACATTATTTATAATAAAATCATGTGCATTTCAATATATATATATTCACGCCCAGGCATAGCTACGCTAGAAGTCACAATCAAGTCATGAGGCCTCATGATGCGTAGAGGCCTTAGAAACATAATAGTTACAAATGCAGCTCCGACAGGTCATTGTTTTTGTCATCAGTGAGGTGACTTTCTGAAATGGGGAACCACTCCTGACAGCACTCTAAACGAAGCAGAGCATAATCTTCTTGATTGGTATGATCATTCAAAATTCAGTGTATGTGAAAACAATGCAAAAAGAACTCATGAAATTTTTTAAAACTGAGTTAGATTCTAAGTTCCAATAATATTAGGTTTTTCACCTATCGGGATGTGTACATCCCAGATGAGAACACTCAAAAGTCATGTGGGATACAGGATGAATTGTTTTGGTTGGCCTCCACCCACTAAATGATAGTAGTATCCCTATCCTTGTAACCACCAAAAGAAGTCCCTGCCAATGTCCAAAATGACCTCAAGGGCATCGAAACCATTCTCTCAAGTGTTTCTCAGCTAGTCTTTTTGAATGTATTCTAACTGCTAGGAACTTAAGAGTGCTAGGAACTAAGATCTTTATACGTATGAAGGTCTAGGTACAATTATTATTTCCCTGTCACACATAAGGAAACCAAGGCACAAAGAGGTAAAGTAACTTCCTAAGGTCACAGAACAAGGTTGCAAGTTGGGGTGGGAGGCAAAAGTAAGCAGTCCAGAACCCACATTAACCACCACTTCCTTCCAGTCATGGTGGCAGGCACCTATAATTCCAGCAACTCAGGAGGCTGAGAAGGGATGATCACTGGAGCTGGAAGTTCAAGACCAGCCGGAGCAACATGGTGAGACCCCCATCTCTAAAAAACATGTTTTTAAAATTAGCTGGGCGTGGTGGTGCATGCCTATAGCCCCAGCTACTCAGGAGGCTGAGGCAGGAGATTTGCCTGAGCCCAGGAGTTCAAGGCTGAAGTGAACAGTGATTGTACCACTGCACTCCAGCCTAGGCAACAGCAAGCGACCCTGTCTCTTAAAAAACAAAACAATTACCACTCCCTTGCTTTATTTGCCTCTTCATTTGTGAGACTTTTCAACCTGTTTCCTACTGATAGGTCTAGGTTCTGACAAGATGAAAAAGACCTCCAGACAATCCCAGAAGACTCTATTGACTTATTCTGTCCTGTTTCTCTTTCTAAGCATGAAAATCCAGCAACACGGTTTCCACAGGCTCCTGAAAGTGTCCTCGGAGCTCGGTTCTTAGCTCACCTCTGTGACCCTTCCTGAGTTTGCTTTTCACCCATGGGTTGCTGACCTATTTCACCCATTCGGGGTGATATGATAACTAAGCCAAGTAAAAGGGGCATAATTTACTGCCTGCCCCTGCTTTTCCAATTATCCCATTTGAGCCTCGCTAATCTTTTCCTCACCTCTCTCACCTCTCCTCACCTCACCGAGTTCTTCCATTTGCTCTGTCAGACCACTGGGTATAGTGATGATAACCTGCTTTCACTCCCGGTGTCATCTCAAACAAAGGCCTGCTTCACCAAATGGGGTGTTTCAGCAGCGAGCAGCTCACCTCTCACCCACAGCTGCTCTGCACGTGGCTCAGGGAGAGTCTCTGAGCACAGATGTGGAATGCAGAGTCCCCGGCCTCATGCTCACCCTTCTTTTAGCTGTACATCAGCAAATTCTAGTTGGCTTACCTGTGCAAGTTGGTTGGAGTCTCTGTAACACTGATGGTCCTAAATTGCTCTGTGGAAGACAAGGTCTCATGCTTCTCACAGGAACATCATTGCCAAGCAAGTAAACATAAGTCACAAGGTCTTTGAAAATTTGCTAGGTACTCTGGCCATGAGCTCCACTAGACTTCCCTCCAAGGATGACATCCAGCTGTATGAGATAGTTTAAAGAGATGCAAATGCACCCAAACAGGATTATGCACAGGATTTTAATTTGCCTGTGCCTAAACAGTTACTCTAAGAAAATTTTCAAATCAACACTTTGGTGTTATTCTCTGATATGGTTTGACTCTGTGTCCCCACCCAAATCTCATCTCGAGTTGTGATCCTCAGGGTTGGAGGGGGGGCCTGGCAGGAGGTGATTGGATCATGGGGTGGTTTCTAATGGCTTAGCACTATCTACCTGGGGCTGTTTCCTGATAGAAGTCTCAAAAGATCTGGTTGTTTGAAATTCTGAAGCACCTCCCCCTTCACTCTCTCTCTCTCTCTCTCTCCTGCTGCCATGTAAGAGGTTCTTGCTTCCCCTTCGCCCCTCCGCCATAATTGTAAGTTTCCTGAGGCCTCCCCAGCCAAGCCTCCTGTACAGCATGTGGAACTGTGTGTCAATTAAACCTCTTTTCTTTATAAATTAGCCAGTCTCAGGTAGTTCTTTATAGCAGTGTGAGAACCGACTAATACGTTCTCTCATAGCTATTTCTTCCCCCACCTCGCTTTCCTCTGCTCCTATTCAAGGAGCCACTATCATTGAGCCCAACACTCTATAGCAGAAACAGGAGAAGATATAGAAAGACAAGCAAAGAGAGAAAGCACAGCACAAAAGGACTGTAGGGCAGTGTTTTGGAGATTATAGTTTTAATCCAATGTGCCAAAGATAGGAGGTCTTCAACATGGAGTCCTTCAAAGCCCTGAGAGCAAGCCCGGCCTTATAAAGAACACATTTCACCTCAAGCAAGTCACAATCAGAATCCACAATGTTTCTCCTCAATCTTCAGCAAACAAAGGTGCCCATAAACAGAGACCTTGTTCTCTTTCTCCTTTTTCCTTTCTTCCCTCTGTAGTTCCTTCCATTTTTTTCCTGAATAAAACAAACACGGAGGCACTAGTCTAGTACAAAAAGCCTTTCTTTCATAGGTCTAATAGAGACCCTGGTCAAACTACATGGAAATATTCAAAGCCCATCACCCAAGAAAAGGCAGGGAAACAATGAAAATGTATTTTCTGAGTTACATCAGGAAATGGAATGTTTTAATTCATCTTTCAAACACTAAATTCAACTTCTCAGTGATTAAATTGAGGTCTAATAAGAAAAGATGGCATATCTGAGACACCTCTCTTGTGTTTTAATTCTCCTTCTCTGGCCTGCTGCACTCTTTTGACAATAGAATCCAGTCCTGCTTCATATGACACCAGTGTCCCTTGCCTTTCCCTCCTTCCAAGCCCTGGTCACACATTCTCTAACTCCTTGCTGGTCATCTTCACCGGATATCCTTCAACACCTCCAGCCCAAACTCACCTCCCCTTTGCACAACACTCCTCACTCCTTATCCCTCTGTACCTTCAGCCCCCTTTCCCATTCCTGGCTGGAAGCAACCCCATGGTATATTTGCTTATATTCTACTTTGTAACTGGTACATGATGCATCTCAGCACTAGACTGTAAGCTCCTTAAGAGTAGAATCTGTGTTGGATTCATTTTTGTATTCATCACATCATTTAGCAAGTGCCTTGCACATTGGAGTACTCACTAAATATTTCATGAATGCAGAGGGCACTCAGCCTTTTCTGTTGGTGGCAGGGAAATCAAAGGGACCCAAATGAATGGGGAAGGCATGGAGCACTATTGTGGCAAAGTCTGGGGTATGGGAAGGGAGCAACATCCTCTGCAAATGCCTTACAGAGTGCTGGTCATTCCAAATGTTCAGTAAGACATAGTTGACTGACTGACCAATGCTCACTGCTCTTGGAGAGCTGTTGGAGTGGTGGGGTGATGGCATTTTCTTTTCATTAGCCCTAAAGGCACAGAGTCAGGAGCCAGAGCAAGGGGGCATGTTACATACTCTTCTGCCTAGTGCCACGGACAACAAACCCCAAGTCTCTGCTCCTGCTGGACTGCCACAAACATATATAATGTCTACAAACTTTGGATGAAAGGTAATAGGTCATCACCACCATTATCACAGTTTTTCACTTTCCCACTAAACTATGAGCTTCCTAAGAATGAGGATCAATCTACCTTAGTACCTAACTCATTCATCTTGATAGCTATGATGCCTGGCACATAGGTGCTCAATGAATGTGTTGAACATCGAGTTCAACTTAACATAGAGAGCTCTTAATATACATGAGGCTAAAAATATGTATGTAAGGAAATGCAATTATTAAGAAAAACTATTAATCAGCTGTTTTTTAATGTTCATGGCAAATGGTCCTGGAATGAATATGCTTAAACTAAAATTAAAAAAAAATAAATCAGAACAATTTCTTTTCTCTCTCACAGTGTGTTTTACAGACCACCTGCATCAGAATCACCTGGGATATATTACACATAAATAGAATATGTATGTTTCAGATTCATGTGTCCCCACTCCAGAATGAGTGAATGTTATTCTTTGGAGTGGGCCTGGAAGCCTACATTTTAAACATACACTGTAGAAGTTCAGCAAATTTGAGTACACTAAAATTTCAGGACATTGGTCTAGAGTGACAAGTGAGAGAACTGTTATGGGAAGAGCTGATACAGCCCTGAGACTCAATTGCCCAAAATACCTGAGGAATTTTCTCTCCAGGTTCTTCGAGCATATGATAGATCTTTTAGTCTCTGATGACTCAGAGCCAGGAAACTGGTCAAGATGACCTCACAAGATTCTTTCCAGATATGTAATGTTATGAAAAACACACTCGCCATCATTTCAACACGTGCAACTTCAACATGCACAGGAACGAAACTCTGGAACTGTCATTTCTTTGCTGGTGATGAAAATGGCTTCGCTAGTTTGTCTTCCTTTTCAGTTGCTTTCTCTTCTGTTAATTAAGTCCAATATTATTGAATACCTTCTTAGTGCAAGGCTCATGCAAAAGGCTTTGGAAGGAAGTTAGAATATGAATCAACCATCTGTGAGATCTGTGAGGAGTTCACCACACAGGACATATGATGAGAGGTATGCATATGAAAGTTAGGCAGCAACTCAAAACACTAGGGAAAATGTCATGGGACAGTGTTTGCTGAGTGCTCAAAATTAATTATATAAAAATAATGTCTCAGGGTATTCTGTGGAGAGTGATCATTTCAAGCTGGGAGTGAGATTTGACCCAACCTCAAGGAATGGGGGAGGATTTGGAAAGGCAGAAAGGAAAAGGAAGGGCGTATCCAGGAACTGGAATGGCATGAACAAATTTTAGATGAGGAGAGGTAAACCCATTTGACACGAGTAGAGGTTTAATCAAGAATGGCGGGAAATAGATGAGTAAATTGAAGAGCTGCTTCATGGAGGGTTCTAATGCTATACGATGAGAACTTTGGGCATCTTCTTAGAGGGAAATTGGAGGATTACAGGTAAGTAAGTTTTGAGAAAACATTATTTATTTAGCTAGTTAATTTTTGGAGACATGGTCTCACTCTGTCACCCAGGCTGGAATGCAGTGGTGTGCTCATAGCTCATTGCAGCCTGGAACTCCCAGGCTCAAGCCATCCTCCCACCTCAGCCTCCTGAGTAACTGGGACTACACTACCATGCCTGGATAACTTTTTTTTCTTTTTATAGATGGTCTCGAACTTCTGCCTTGACTGCACTCCCAAAGCACTGAGATTACAGGTGCAAGCCACCATGCCCAGCCGAAAAGTAGTACTTTTAAAAGATTAATCCAATGGCAACTGTAGGGCGATTTTTGAAGAGAAAATATGTGCAGTAGGTAGACAATGAGAAAGCTATTGCAATGGACCACACATGAGATAAAAAGAGTCTAACTAGGGTTGGAGCACAGTAGGAACGAAAAGCAAGAAAGAAATGCAAGAGATATTATGAAGTGAAGAAAGGACAACAAAACTCAGTGACCAACTGGACATGGGGTTGCAAAAGAGAGAGGAATCAAAGATGGGCATCCTTTTTCATCTTGTAAGTATTGATCACCTCTTAGCCATATCCAACCTTTTGTAGACAAAGGTGTTTCCTCTGTTTCTGAGCCTTGCCCATGCATTTTTCCCTTGACTTATATTAGCTTCAGTAATAACCCTGTCTGTGCATTTCTAGGCATTTCTGTATTAAATGCTGCTATGAAAGAGACGTCCAATTCCACTTGTTGAGAGCAAACAGAATCTGGTGAAAACCAGGCCATTGTTCAGCGGTAAGTCATATCTTGGCACATCTGCTTTTTAGTGAAAATACTCTGGCTCAGAGGTAAGTGTGTAGCCAGCAAGAAGCCATTCATGGATGATAGATCAATTGATAGATAGATACATGGTGGGAGAACCATGATAAGGAAGAAATGTCAGCACATATGATACGCCATCATTTCAAAAAATGGAACTATAGTTTCTACACTGGATTTGGTTCCTAAGGGAAGAAAATGCAAGCTATTCTTGGGGCTTACTCAACAACTCAGAAAGAGAAGAGAAAGCAGACCCTGAAGCCCTGGAGGAAGATTCACTGTGCTCCAACTCAGACACAATCTAAAGCGCTTCTTCAGCTTCTACAATGAATGAATCTCTGGTAAATAAGGAACTTTAAGTGGTGAGGTCAGAGGAGAGAGAGATTGGCATGGCATTCACCTCCCATCCCAGAGAGAAGGGCAAGTGCTTTGGTTAAGGACGGCCTAATTACATGGAGTGTGTCTTATCTGGAGGAGGGTAGAAAATGTCTTAGGGTAACCCTTAATCAAAAAAATCCAGTGTTTGACGGAGATAGGAATAGAGATGTCTCCTATACATTTGGAAACAGAAGCTGGCCTCAAGGAGAACCAAGGAACACTGCAGAAAATGGTAGATGAGGTTGTACTTCTGGAAAAGGGGACAAGATGAATTCTCCAATTTGATATGGGTAAAATCTGGGGAGAAATAACTACCTAATAAACATCTCATCACAGCCAGAAAATGGGGGTTATTTCCACCCTGGGTCTGGGCCCTCTAGAGCTGTGTGGGCAGAAAGACTCAATGGAGCTCAAGTGCTTGGCGGAGGGTGGAAAGAGCACCTCCGCAGACTGCTCTGGCAACAGTCCACTATGCTGTGCAGGTGTGGCAGGCTGAGAGTGGGAGCAGCCGGACGACCTATGTGAGGAACAGCAGTCAGCAGTGGAAAGAAGAGGCAAGAACTGTCTGAGGACCCCACTCATGCCTGGGATTGGAGTTTCTGCCAGCTTGTCACCAATTCCGCCTGTGCTTGTTCCTTGCCCAAGAGGCAGAGACTGATATGAAGAGTCATGGCACTGTAGCCAGAAGTGCAGCGACATCTCTGGTGTATGGATTCCTCCAGCAGTTCTAGGGACCTGGCAAAGCAAAAGGCTGCCACATGGAAACGGGAGGATAGAAACAGTCATGATCATGATGCTGGCTGGCACTTAAAAGTGCTTATTATGCACTAGGCACTGTGCTGAGCTCTTCACACATTCTATGCTTTCAATCTTCACAATGAACTTATGAGAGCTATTATTATCCCCAAAGAAGACTGAGGCAGAGACAGGTTAAATAACTGACCTATATTTACACAACCCAGGCTCCTCACCGCCGTGAGAGAGCTCAGATGACTCGCCCTCAGTTTGGAGTCTGAAAAAGAAACTCTGAAGAAGAACAGAGACACAGATTGCCAGGCTCTCCCCTAGGCCCAAACCTCCCCCTTAAATACTGGCTCTTACAAGCAGATGCCTTGAACAAAGCCTGTGCCCAGCTAAGTGAAAATCTTTCACTTACCTTCCAGAGGTCACCCTGATGCAGACGAAGAGAAAAGATAAATTTGCTCAGCTTCAGATGTAGCCATCGTTCCTATCATAGGCAAGAGCATCTCCGTAGTGATGAAAAGCTCTATAATTTTAAATGTGTTATTGGTCTAAGCACAATTTACACTAGGGATGAAAAAAAGGAAGAGATTTATGAGATGTAAGATAGAAAGATAAACTCTTGTCCCTTAGTGGCTATTAGAAACATTGCCAACATACCATAAATGTGTGAAAGATGACGTGATTATTTTGCATTTCCACTGGGCATTTCATATGTTGCAAGAATTTACTGGGGCCAAAGTCCCCAGTAAAGATGGTAGAGTCTGGGGAGGGGAGGTGGAGGAGGCCCCACTGACCAAGCCCCCATCTGGGATGGGTATAGGGCAGGTGGCTTTAGGCAGAGAGAGCACACTCTGTTGCCTAAGGTGCAACACCTACCAGCATCCTCTTTATTTCCTGCCTCTAGCCACCTGCTCTGGGGGCAGGTTCGGTGGCCAGGCACTGCCCCATGTTTCATCAGGCTTTGGTGTCAGATTCTGGGTCTAAGTGTTCCAGTCCATCACAAAATCTGAAACAAGAGAGGGCAGCCAGGACAGGAGAACTGGCAAGGTTCATCTAACTACCCCTAAAAGCCTCATAAACATAAGCATCCAGTGAGTTAGTGCCACCAACCTGGCCCCAAGAGACACAGGATATTTTATCAAAGAGAAAGAGATTGGTGATCAGAAAGTGATTTACCTGAAACCCACTTGAATTATTCTCACAGCTGGCCAATCTGGACCGGTTATCCTGGCAGGGACATCATCAACATCAACATCTGAAAGCCCAGTCACAGGAAGTTAGTCACAGGGCAGGCTGCTGAGTCAGGGCTGGGATGAAGGTCACATAGAGTCCTGGGGTTAAACCAGGTGATGTGTCCGAATCTCCTCTGACCCAGCAGCCAGTGTCTTGAGCAGGAGGTAAACTCCAGCTCTGACCCCTGGAGAAATGTGATAGCAGGCTTGGGCTTTTAATTAATTTACTTATTTGTAGAAATGGGGGTCTCATTATTTTGCCCAGGCTGGTCTCAAACTCCTGGCCTCAAGTGATACTCTTGCCTTGGCCTTCCCACACTCTAAGATTACAGGTGTGAGCCACCATGCCCAACTTTTGGTTTTGGTGGGACAGGACAACAACTATTGGGAAATTAGGGTTCTAAGATTTGCTCATGTTTTGGTGACATCAGTCATTTCTTGTGGAGCCAAGTACAGGGTATATGTCCCATGGCCTGTAAGAGAGAAGGCAGATGACTGGGTGAGGTTTCACTTTCTGCAAGTCAGATATCTTTCCAATGGACCCACCACTCTCAAATACAACTGTTAAGAGAATTAGCAATAGAACATCTGCAAGTCAATTGAGGTGTCCTAAGGGGAAGTGCTATGGAAATGGTCTCATGAAGCACTTGTGAAGTTAGCGATATGGAGTCCTTAAATGGATGGAAATGAGGACTACATGTCAGAAGTCCTGGATTTCACTATCGTGACTCCTGTATCTGACCAGGAGAGTACTTTGGTGGCTGTATCCTATATTTAAATTTAGGCTGCAAATGGAAAAACAGTTTTTACAACTCTAAATACACTTTCTACTACAGAGAATGGTGACTGAAGCAAAAGTAAAAATAGCTGCTCGCACCACGGTTTGAGAAAATCTAAATCTGAAAATGATCATTTTTATTTGCATGCTACCAAATAAGGACATTGGGGAAGCAATGAGTCACCAGTATTTTAGCATTTACCAGATTCCAACATGATGTGAGGATATTCTTTAAGATGAGATTTGAATATGCTCTAATCTACGTTAAGCTTTACCCTTGAAGTGTAACCCTAAGTTCCTATCTGAAAAACGGGCCATACTTGGGAGACTCAAGTGGGAGGATCGCTTGAGCCTGGGAGGTGAAGGTTGCAGTGAGCTGAGATTGTGCCACTGCATTTCAGCCTGGGCAACACAGTGAGACCCTGTCAAAAAAAAAAAAAAAAAAGGCCAAATCACAGCTCTACAGCACAGTTACAGCAGTGCTCCAATTAATGATTTCAATGCCTTCAAACGCTCAAATACAAGGGAGTAAGACCTCACATCTGAAGAGTACCTTAGGCTTTTTAAAGTACTTTCACCTACATTATCTCATTTGATCACATTTGATTCTCACAAAATCCTTGAGGCAAGGTGTTTGTAAGTGTGTGGTTGCCATATTAGAATATCATTGAACTGTGGATCCTTCTGTGGAGACAGGATGAATCAGTACCCTGTAGGAAAAAAAAAAAAAAAGGAACAAACAAAGGAAAACTAGGAGGTTTAGAGATCTAAGCTCCCTGTTAACAGGCCCCTGTCACATGGCCCCTGTATAAACCAGTTCTCTTAGAGTGCCAAAACCCAGCAGAAAGCTTTAGAAATTGTTTACAACCCAAGTGTGTTTTCTTCTTTTCTATGCTTTTAGAAGACAGTTTAAAGAGAGTTAGGGAATGCTCTGGCCTTTTGTTTTGAAATTTTCTCTGCTTGTTGTCTGGTTGTCTGCAGACTGTGAGATTGGTCTATTTGCTTTAAACAGACTGAACAACTTTTAAAACAAGCAGGCTGTTATGATGGGTTGACTCATTTTGGATGTGCAAAGATGTTTACTGAGCTTCTCATTTAAAACTTGAAAATTCTTCTGTCTCAGTGTGACACAGTAATAGTTTAAAGGGGAGCGCCGTCTGTTGTAGTGTTTTGGAAGGTGGCATAAGAAAAATGTCTCTGTTCTACAGCATGATCAGCTATCTGCCTCTTCCCAAGGATTTTTCATGAGCCTTAGAAAGAAATCCATATCATTTAAGTTCCCAAGGGCAAACCACCTTTGCCAAGAGACCACTGAGTACAATTTCCAAAGATGGAACACATTTCTTGTTATGCTTCTGGTTTAGCCCAGTATCAGAGGTGGCGCTCAGTCCCTGCATCCCAGGGGAGAATGTTTTCTGGAGAGTTGGGGACAACTGCAATAGGTTTTACATATTAACTTATCACAGCAAAATAATGAAATGAATAAATTAAGATGACACCCACACTGTTCCCCTTCTTCACGCTACAGAGGTGGTGGGGCAGAAAGGGGGGTAAAAGGGATTACCAAGCCAGGAAGCTTGTACTTCTGTCCCCTCGGCCTGAATTAGCACCCATCTTTGTGGAACACAACTCGCTGTGAGGGGGTTTCTCCTGCCAGAAAGGAGGCCATGGAATGAGCAAGTCCAGGAGTGCTGGGCATTAGGACATCAAATAGCAGGTCGTAGGGACCAGGGATTAGGAAACAAGAGGTCTGGTCCTGCCTCCCTCTCTAATTATTTGTGTGACTTTGGACTAGGCATTCTACCTCTTTCATCTGTAAAATGAGAGGGTTGGACTACGTGTTCTCCAAGGTCCCTAACAGCTTCTAAAAAAGAAACATGTAGAGAGGTTGTGAAGCAAAACATGATGATCCCTGTTAACTGTAAAAGGAATAGACCTTGGAAGTGGTGCAAAAATAATCCGCAAGGAATGCTTGCGGTGGGTTGGAAAACTATAAGGAAACGGAGAATTGTGCGTCGTGTATAACATGAGTGGAGATATATGAGACAATCTAAAATGGGGCACATGTAAGCTCACATCTTAAAGCAGAAAAGTCAGGCTTTTGAACCGAGGCTTGCCCTATTCTTTTCTACAATCTCTCCCCATGATAATGTAGCACCTTGTGCACACAATTAAATGTCAGCCACAGAAAACATTTCCCTTGGCTTTGTTGTTCCAGAACGGGATTCTTTTGTCCTCAATATAATGGATATGCAGAAACAATGATAGAACAGAGATTTTTTTTCTAAAGCGATGACAAACACACTACTGCTTCCTCCCTCCCTCCCTCCTTCCTCCTTATCCCCACCCCCAAAAATAAATCATTGTTCCAAAAAAAAAATCCCATTGTCTATTGTCCACGGAGATCAAGATCCGCCTAGGAACAGCTCTGGCGGCCGCCGCAGCAGCCCCGAGCAGCCGGTAGGTGGCGCACGAAGGCAGCGCAGGCGGAGCGCGGGGCCGAGCCCAGAGCCGGGGTCTCGCCGCCCCCACCCCTGCCGCCGCCGCCGCCTTCCACCCCCTCCTCGCGTGCTAATTGCTGGATACTCTACTGGGACTTCGGTCAGGGAAAAAGAAAGCGGGAATGGGAGGCGGGGGTGGCGGGGGAGGTGGTGAATCCGGTTCCGAATACACAAAGCCTCCGGGGCTTCGGCGACCCAGGAGCAGGGCGCCCTCGGCCTCTTCCCCTCCTCCTCTCTCCCTGGGCGCGGGGCTGCTGCGGCCTAGCCGGCCTCGGCTCCCGCCGGAGGGACACACAGACCAGCAGGAGGAAAATGGTGACCGCGTGCACAGCCCCACGCGCCGCGGCGCCTGACGCCTGCCCGAGCCTGGGCGCCTCCCTCCCCAGCTCACCCATCCCGGCCGCGGAGCCCGGACCCACCCCGAGCGCAGGCCCGCCCGACGGGAGTCGCCCTCCCCTCGAGGAATGCCGAGGCCCACAGGAGGATTCCTTGACCTGACCGCGGGCCCCTGAGCAGCGGGTTCTGCCCGAGCCCGAGAGCGGGAGGCCCCACCAGGGGGTGCCCGGGCCGGCGGGCGAGCCCCCTTCCCGGTGGAGCCGCGGGGCCCATGCCCTCTGTGTCGGGGCTAACGCTGTCAGTTCCTGCAAAGATGAACGGCCCATGTGGTCGCCTGACCCCCCAACCTCTGCCTGGTGGAACATGATGTTAAAGAGTTCTGCTGGCCCTAAAGTCAGAAGCCTGGATTGAAACGTGAGCATGGACACCCTGGAGCTCTGTGACCTTGAGGATGTTCCTAAAGTCCCCAACTCCGCACCTCCCCAGCTATCAAATGCGGGGAATAATACTTACTTCCTAGGAATGTTGTGAAGATTTTTAAAAAGTGGTTCTTAACTTGGCAGGAAGCCTGGCATAGAGTACCTATCATTATGAACAACCCGACTCTCCTTGCAGGAGGAGGGAGAGGCACAGTTTGCCGCCCTTGAGACAGACCTGGCATCGCTGTTGCAGAGACTCAGCAGTAGGGGTTCCCAGCCGAGGAAACGTGGCTCCTAACAGGAGCTCCCATCTGTCCTCCGCTGCCCCCAGCCCCCATCCTCCTCCTGCCCTGCTGCTGTGACTGTGTGGGGCACTCCCCCTCTCCCTCCGCTCCCTGGATAGACCTGTGATTTATGCCCCTTCTCTTTTGGAGAGTTCTGACAGAGCCCTATCACCCAGGCTTGGGAGGCAGACCCTGGCTCCCCCATTTGCTAGCTGGGAGTTTAACCTCTGGGGCTTCAGTTCACTCCTCTATAAAATGGTGGGCCTGATACCTACTACACAGGTTTTTTGTGATGATTAAGGGAAATACTGTGTATAAATGCCTGGCATGTACTATCTCTTCAGTACATTTGAAAATTTAAATTTTACAGTTGAAATTAGGTTAGATTATCTTGCAGAAAATGATGGTGGTTCATTGGAATTTCCAGATTTCCATCGAAGGTGAACCCAGCAACTGCTAACAGCTTCTTACTCCCATCTGAGTCAGCAAGGTTATTTCCCTCCAGGAAAAGAGCAGAAATCCAGTGAGGCCGCATTCTCCCCAGAGCCTCACAGGTGTAACTCAGACACTTACTTAGGTTTAGTTGGCCATTTTAGAGCCCGAAGAGTCTCTGGGGGTGGGCCTGGCTTTAAAGTCGCATTCTAAGCCATGATTGTGTGTCTGGCTCATCAGGGCCTCCTTCCTAGCCGTCCCCACATGCACACTGCCGCCCAGCCAGAGGTGTGGTGGCTAGGGCAAGGGACTGAGCCAGCACCCACCTGAGGCAAGTAGGTCAGGAGCTGTGGACCCTTCTCTAAAAGGATACTGGAGAATTTCCGTGAGCATCGGATTTATATAGCTGTTCAGGCATTGGGCAGACTGATTCCCAGAGGCAGTGGCAGGACCAATAGGCAGCTGTGGTTGCTAGCCTCCCAGATGACCTCCAGTGACCCTTGCCTCCTGGTATTTATGTTCTTGTATATTCCCCTCCCCTATGAAGCAGGGCTAACCTGTGTGACCAAGTGAATATTGCAGAATGACAGTGTGACTTTCAAGCCCATGAAAGGCATTGTGGCTTCCACATTGCTGTCTCTTGCGTCATTCATTCTGGGGAAAGTCAGGCACCATGTCATGAGAACACTCAAGCAGTTGCTTGGAGTGGTCCATGTTTCAAGGAACTGAGGCCTCCACCATCAGCCAGCAGCAACTCACCAGCCGTGTGAGTGAGCCTTCTAGGAAGAGGATCCTCTAATGTTAATCACACCTTCAGATGACAGCAGCCCTGGCCAACAGCTTGGCCTGGTAAAGAGACTCTGGGCCAAAATCATGCAGCTAAGCTATCCCTGAATTCCTGACTCACAAAACAACTGTAAGATAAAAATATTTCAGCCTATTTGAGGTGCATAGATGCTGTATAGATGACGAACATGGCAACATGAAAAAAGTCCCAGGCTTCCATTGGCCAACGTGGGGCTGATAATAAGGGTTCTGCCCCCTCAAATGATCAGCTCTGCTAGTTCCATATATGTCTGGGATCTAAAAACCTTTTTTTGACCTCACCTGAGGCCCCACCTTCAAAGGATCTAGGGGAAAAAAACAACAACAACAAAACTCAAACCAGAGTCTCCTAGTAGCAGCAAGTTAATAGTAACCCTAACCTGTGTTTTCAAAAAAGTGTTCAGAGTACGGTATCCCCCTCCCTCCCTGCACCTCTTCCCCACTGTCGGTTCTGGCACCTGGCCTAGGTGTAAAATTGTCAGCACTGTCACTGCTTTTTGGTCTTATTACGAGTGTGTCTGCTCTGATGTGCTGGTTCCAGCATGTCATGGGAGAAGTGTGAGCACAGAAGAGGAGGCTGTGTCAGATCTCTGTCTTCGTGTTAGCAGCCTGCCTCTAAAAAGGCTGCAGGTGAACGGGAGGAGACAGGTTATGATGACCTGAAGGGTACAGAGCCAGGCTGCTCCATGGATCAGGTGTGAATGCTAAAGTGGTCAGGTCACTTTGCTTCTTTCTGAAGTTTCCTGGGTCAGTTCTAGGACCAGTTACCTGTAGATAGAGACGTGAGGCTGAGTCCATGACCCTAGCAGTGGCAAACTCTTGTGTACCGCTATCTAATAGAAGTCTTACAAATTTTCACCATTGCTCACACTTAAGAATCATGTTTTTGGCCAGGCACAGAGGCTCACGCCTGTAATCCCAGCACTTTGGGAGGCTGAGACAGGTGGATCACCTGAGGTCAGGAGTTCAAGACCAGCCTGACCAACATATTGAAACTCTGCCTCTACTAAAAATACAAAAATTAGCTGGGTGCCTGTAATCCCAGCTAATCGGAAGGCTAAGGCAGGAGAATCACTTGAACCTGGGACACAGAGGTCGCAGTGAGCTGAGATAGTGCCATTGCATGCCAGCCTGGGCAACAGAGCGAGACTCGTCAAAAAAAAAAAAAGAATCATGTTTTTAATTTAAGCAAAGCTATTTAAAATAAATCACTAGATAATAGTCTTCGGCTGACCAAATGCTACTTGAAATCTGTACTTTGATGAAATATCTGCCAATGCGTATAGTTAACTCATATTTTTAAGTGTAAACGAATCTAAGATATCTGAGTGGGTGTTTATACTATTCTGCTAGAGTTCTAGGCTGGTTATTTGGTGTAGACTTTAGATCCCCTAGATAGCGGCCTGTAATGGGGTTGGCTTGTCAGAAAACATCAACCTCTTGAAAACCATCCCGATCCCCTAAAATCCATTTCTTATTTTTGATGTGACACTGTTTCAGCTTTTTATTTTTTTCAGAAAGTTTTATTTCTGCTATATTTTTAGATTCAAAAGTATTTATTTAAGGTGAACAAATGATACAGCATACACAACTGCTGGAACTGCTTTTTAATTGAGAACAAAAAGGGAATACCTAGGACAAGAATATGCAATTACCACATTTATTGTTTTCAGTGAATTTTTGTCAAGTTTTATCTTATTGTTAATGTGATGATACAGCAAGCCTTGGAAAAGAATAACACTTGCGTTAAAGAACAAATCTAGATAAAAATGGAAAACTGAGTTAGCCACAACCCACAAGGCCTTCTTTGGGAAGACTCTTGAAGAAAACCGACTCACACTTCACAGAAGAATATGGCACTGTCATTTTTCCCTTTATAGTGCCGAAGTGTTCCTGAACAAAGGCCTCAAGGCATTATCAACTCATCATCTATTTTGTGATGTGCTTTCTATTTTCAGGAACCTGCCCTCCTCCCTCTTTGTTCCTGATGCATCTGATCATTGGTGCCTACTACTTTGGTCCCACACACACTCAGTGTAGCCAGCCCCCACCCGGAGAGTTCACCATGGTGCCCAAGAGCCAGACAGGCAAGGTCATTGTCCACCCACAGGACCAGAGGAAGACTTCAGGCCCCACCCACTCCTCACAGACAAGCTGGAGCTATATGAAGTCTGAAGGAATATAAATTATTCCAAATGATCTGGAAAGAAAGTAATAGACTATAAGTACATTTCCAAGCCCTGGATATTGTTTAAAAAGCAAACAAAACAAAACAAAACAAAAAAACTTCTCTTTTCTCTTGCTGGGATTTCTGATGATACAGTAAACAAGTCCCAACAGGTGACCTAATCAAAAATAGCTATATAGCACTTAGAAATGTATATAGCTCAACCATCAGCCTTGCGGAGTAAGGAAAGAAGAAACCAAAGTATTTATACTTCACTGGTAAACAATGGAATAGATTGTTTCTAAACATGTCTTCCAGCTAAAAAATTCTGCAGTGTAGTTTCTATAAATGACTTCAATCTGATTTTAATATTCATCCATTCAGCCAGATATTCAAAAATTATTTAAGTGCCTGTTATACACTAAACACAGATATACATTAATGAATAAAATAGACACAGGTCCCTCCTACGGGCTACAGCCAACCAAATGACAAACAATTACAGATATACTTACAAACTGCCTACATCTGGGGGAAAAATTAGATTCAGAGATAGAGAATAACATAATGTATCTATATAGACAGACGGATTAGAAATGGCCTCTCTAAGCAGAAAACATTTAAATTAACATTTGAACAATTAAAAAAAAAGGTCTACACTAGCCATGTACAGGGGTGGGAAGTATTGATGTTCCAGGAAAATTTAAAAACACATACACATGGCACACAGCATAGGGAAAGACCCTGAGAAGGAAAAGCATGGTCTATTTAAAGAGTAGAACATTATGGGTACCGACATTTGCAGACTGGAGAACAAGCTAGAATCAAAGCCTGTCAGTGTTTGATTGGGTAATCTAATCTGGCCGTCTGAGCAGTTCTTAAATCCCCATCATAGTATGCCCTCTAAATAGCCAACCAGTACTAGGAGAGGGAGATGGAAAAATAATAAAAATAAACAAATAGCCAACCAGCTTGTGCTCAAGTCTCTCCAACGAGAGGGAATGTACTACCTCTTGAAGTATCCATGCCAATTTGGTTTTAAAATATGAATGTGTTTCACCTTAAGGAAGCTGGAACTGGAATCATGAGTTGTAAGTCCCAGGCCTGCACCTGAGAAAATTTTTTAGTTGAAATGGAAGACGCTACTTAGATAGCCGTATCTCTCATTCATTATTATATAGGATGCCAAGAACAGGCAGCAAGATTTCAAGTTCATCATCTTTTTTGAAGGAGAAAAAAATTTGAGAATGATAAGACAGCTCTCACAAGCTTTCCACACTTTCTGTTGTAGCAAAATTCAGGTCAGCATCCTGGCAAGCCAGTGATGGTCAGTTGTACTCTTGCAAGACAGCCGTGTATTTGGGCTGCAGTGGGGAGGTGGGAGTGACTTTCCTGTGGTACTTGTGGCATGTCACATGGAGGAAGTGCATCGTACCCTCCAAGTTTACAAAGTCTTTGATAACATGAGTTGGCTTCCACATGGCCAGTTATTGCCCTCACTAAAGAAGCTCTGTAGGATCCCAGGAAGATCCTGCCAGTTATTTGCTGGTATTGCCCACAGCCAGCACATACCACCAATAGTTTGAGGCTGGTTTGAGTATTTATTTGTTCCAGAGCACGTAAAGAAACCTAAGTTTCCAGGTCTTAAGGGAGGCACTTCCAACTTTACAGTCCACAGACCATCTTCTCTTAAAGTCATCTATGAATTTTCATATGGTGACCGTTGACCCAGCCTCATTGAAACAGCCTTCAAAGGATTTTGGCTTGTCTTTCAATCCCAGCACTTTGGGAGGCCGAGGCGGGCGGATCACGAGGTCAGGAGATGGAGACCATCTTGGCCAACATGGTGAAACCCCATCTCTATTAAAATACAAAAAGTTAGCCAGGCGTGGTGACGCATGCCTGTAATCCCAGCTACTTGGGGAATCGCTTGAACCTGGGAGGCGGAGGTTGCAGTGAGCTGAGATCGCACCACTGCACTCCAGCCTGGCGACAGAGCAAGACTCCGTCTCAAAAAAATAAAAATAAAAAAAATAAAGTGTGAAAAGTCAAAACATTGACCAAGACAAAATGCGAACCCATGCAAGGAAATCCAATTGGGAGCCAAAGAATTTCACCACTGAAACACAATTAAAAATCACCACAGAATTTCAATTCTCAAATAGGAGTAATGCTCTAAAAATATAAAAGCGATGGAAAAATAGAGAAAAAAATCAGAATATCCTGATGAGGCTGGCAGGTGGAATATGGTGTCCATATGCCTCCTGGTTTTAGACCAAACTAAATAAAAATCCACAGACCAGTGCCGCAAATATCACCGCCAACTTTTTGAGCCAGTTCACGAGCCTATTAGACTGCTTCACATTAAAGGATATGCTAGATTCACCAACATGCCCTGGAGTGCAGCCAGCCCACCAGGACTGAAGGGATGTCTTCTGGGCTGGCCAAATGTTAAGAAGGAATGTCAACAGGATGCTCTTAAAGTTGCCCTGTGGTGAGCTGCAGTGGGACAACTTGAAGGAGCAGGCCAAAGGACCCATGTTAAGACTTACTCAAATGTTGCTTTTTGTGATGACTTCTAGCAGTAACAGCTTTACAGAGACAGCAACAGACCTTGCTGGCCAGCAGCAGGGAGAAACAGAGCAGATCCTTCTGACCAGAGGCATTTGAGGACTGGCCCCGCAAGGGAGCCCATCTGGAAAGAGCAACCAGCCCTGTGAACAAAGATTGGAACCATAAGCCACAGGTCAGTCCTTGACTTTCGTACAACCCAGATGCAACCACCAATTGTTCATCAGTGGATTGTGGCAGTTTGGAACTCAGGTTATAGAATCAGATGGCCTGGGTTCAAATCTTGACTCTATTGTTTAGTAGTCAGATGACCACAAGAGAGTTTCTCAACTTTCCTAAGCTCATTTCTTCACCTATAAAATTATAATAATCATACCTACCTTATAGAGGAGTCTATGAATATGTATGCTACTTGTTAGAACAGCGCCTGGCACATAGTAGCTGCTCAATAAATGTTTGCTAGATTGTTATCAGTCTTTATGGCTCCTCACAGAGAAATGGAGGTCATATTATAGTTTGCCATCGACAGGTCTGTGTTCATATTTCTGCCATTTACTATCAAACACTGAGGGCAAATTATTAAGAATTTTACAGGTCAGTTTCTTCCTCTGGCAAATACAAATAATAATAATACCTTGTGGCTTTTACAAAGATTAATTAGATAATAGGCACTAAACACAAGTGACAGGGTGTGGTATGCTATTGGGGCTCAGTATATGGTAATTATTATTATTTGGTCCTGATGGCCGAAGGTCTGGAAGTTTCTGCTGTGACAGCAGTGTTCCATATCTGTACTGTGTAATGTTGTAGCCATTAGCCACTTCTGGCTCCTGAATACTTGAAAGGTGGTTAGTACAACTATGGAACTAAATGTTTAATTTTAACTTAATTTTAACTTAAATATGCACACATGGCTTGTAGCTCATTCATTGAACAGCATAAGCTAGGTTGCTCAGGCCTTATCCTGTCCTCTCCATATTCTTTCCATGCACATGTCATGTACATCTCATTGACCTCTAGTGTCTATACCAGGGGTTTGGAAAAGAGCAGAGGGTGTAAATGTAGATTTTGGCAGGTTCATAAGTCTTGTGGCATAATCAAAAGAAGAAAAGTTGGTGAGTCTAGGGAGACCATTCCCTTCCCAGCTCTGTGTAATGTCCTTGGGCAGGTCATTTAGCCTCATCTTCAGAAGGGAGGTTTGATACTGACATGATTTCAAAGTTCCCACTTATCATATCACTATGGGGAGTGGATAAGAAATACTACACAAGAAATACTACACAAACTTAGACTTAGATTGTTTTTCAGGTTCTATGAGTTGCATTTAGCTATGTTCAATGTCTCCCAGATTTAAAGATGAGTGATGTAAGTGTTGGTATACAAACTAATATAAATGAATAGGCACAGATAAAAAAGAAATTGAGGCCAAGCAGAAATTAACCTCAGAGCAAAGAAAAAGGATATTGATGAAAAAGCACGTGTGTTCTGTCGGAGCCGAGTGCTCCTGCCATATCTTTTTGCAGCGATGTGGCCTTGTGACAGTGTGGACCAGCGCAGAGAGTGCTGGGGAACACTTGACTAGTGAAGACTTTGGATACATAAACCCATAACATGATGTGTGGTCTCCAGCTGAGTACAAAACCTAAAGGAAATTCTGCAAAACAGATCTCAAATCCACACTGAGTAGAAAGAGCACAGGACAAGGAACCTGGAGGCCAAGATTCCATTCCTGGATCTCTGACCAACCAACTGGGTGACCCACCCTTCATCTGCTAACTTCTTGGAGCCACAGTTTAATCATCTACACAGTGAGTTGGTTGGACCCTACTCCTGCCAGCTTGAAAAATCTGTGATTATGCTTAGAACCCTAGAAATTTCAAAGATGCTTTTCTATGCCAGGAACCTAAAGTGTGAGAAATTACAGGAGCTAAACCTGGTAACAATTCCCACACACAAACACACACACGTGCACACATCTTCTGTTAATCCTGCTGAAGAGTGAGGCCATGCCCTATCTAATATGACCCTGCAGTCCCTATCTGAAGCAACATATGGACCATAGGTGGTGGTACCCGCTTGGTTATAAGCATAATTGTGATGATTAGCCTTGATGGTACCCAAGGAGTATTTTTAGATTATTTAAAGAGACAGAGCAAAGCAATTCTTTGCATTATCAGGTTGTTATTGGTGGTGGTGGTGATATGTGTGTGTCTGTGTTAAGGCAAAATGGGAAAGCTCACCACCTGCTTCTGTGAATGTTGAAATATAATAAACACTGTTCTCACTGGGGATGTGCTGGTTCATAGCAGGAAAAAACAGCCGTGATTTTCAGAAAAGGAAAACCAGTGGCTAATGAAAACCATCCAGATAATTGAGTTTATTAATCTATTTGGCTTTAAGTCATCTTTCTCCACCATTTCCTAGTCTCTAAGTTCACAAGCTGTTTTGAAGCTCAGCTCCCTCCCTAATTCTCCCAAGGCAGCTGTGCGATAAATAACACTCCTTGCCCTCTCCTCAAACAACAGAAAGTGTTGGTTTTGGAGAACACCTGGGGAGTGAGTCCCCAGACATGCACACACCATTTTCAGACCGGGAAGTCCCTTTGAGGCGGTACTCACTGGACCCTGAACCCCAATCATCTCAGGAAGGAAATTAAGAAACTGCAGTGTTAGCTGAGTCCTTTGCCCATGTTCATTCTGTGCTGCTTCTCGGCCTTGCTGCCCCTCCAGCACCCAGACTGGCTACACTCTACACAAGAGCAGTCTCCGCTGCAGCTTTTACTTCCTGGTGACAGCCTGGCTGCCCTAGTAGGCGGGGATTTTCTCTTTTGTTGGAGCCCTTACAACTAAATTTATGACTCTTTTATTAGTTTGGCAGGTGCTTTAAGTGAGAGAGGAAAGAAGTGGCATAGCTTGCAATGTAGTTTCCGTTTGGAAAACGAGGAAATAGAAGTATTTATCCACAGTCATTTTCTGCTAAAAGCTTGCAAAGTTTTCAGGTATCATTAAGAAGGGGCCTTCTCACTGCTTCAAGCCTAGGTTTCTGGAACATGAAGGCTAGAGGGAGTCTGTAAGATCATGAAAACTTCTGCTGGTAGGAAAGGGGCCTAGACAGAGAAGTTAAATAACATGCCCAAGATCCTGCATTGCACAGCGAGCGAGAGCTCCAACACTAATGCCTGGATCAGCTCATTTCCCTGCATCTCACCACAACCGCGCCCCACTTCCTCTTTATCTCAATTTCTCTCTCTTTTCCTCCCTCCTCTGTATCACCTTCAAAAGGAACCTTTTTTGGTGGGCCTAGGAAGAAACAGTAAATCTATGGAAGAGACAAAGAAGGTTGCCAGCCTTTTTGCTTGCCTGCCTTCCTCCCTCCACTCCTTCCTTCCTGCCCTTCCCTTCTTCCCCATTCTTCCTTTCTTGATATTCGCTGTTCTGTCCTTGCCCAGGAAATAAAACTGCATTTTAAAGAAAAGTGCTTGTGCATGTGTGTATATGTGAGTGTGTGTGTGCATGTGTGTGAAGTGTGTGTGTGTGTGTGTGGAGTACATGTGTGTAGTGTGTGTAGTGTGTGTGTGTGTGTGTGTGTGTGTGTGTAACCATGACTATCTTTCCGGAATAAGCCAAAAAAAATGTAAATGGCCTTCCAAGCAAGTGGAACATATAAAATGATAGCTTTGTTTGCCTGTTCCTTGAAAACCTTAAAAATCAGTGTGTGGACAAATGATTCACACACCACAGACCCTGGGTTGCTGCCCTTCCTTTTGTTTTTCGAGATCATCCCATTTCCTTTGGGCTTCTCCCGGCTCTCCTCCAATCCACTCCTACCCTTGCCAAGTTGTCTTTTCCATTATTAGACATCCTAATAAACACTCCTAATAAATGCAGACCCTATAAACCAATCCAGGATGCTGCTTTTGGCTCCTCTGCCACCTTTAGGAAAGACTGATACCTGCATTAACTTTGTCATCTGTCCTGGAGAAACCCAGCTGAGATCTCTAACATATTCTGCTGCAAGCTGCAATATAATGGACATATTTAGTGTACATTCTGTTGTTAAATGGAATCTGCATTTCTAAGTGAACTAAAAATGCTTAATTATTAATAAACTCCCCAGGGATTGGTGACATTTGGAATGATTTTATCATGCTGTAGATATTTAACAACACAATATGTATGGTGGTATCTAATTCAACCTCTTTTGTTTAAAAGAACCTTCCTCCCAAAGTCATTTGGACTCATACACTATGTAGATTAGTCTCTGAGCATCCAGACCCAGGTAGAGGTAGAGGGAAGTCACTGAAAAATGGGATGGAGTTGAAGCTAGGGCAACAGTGCAGGGAGGGGTGGAAAGAGGCACCGAGGAGCCACATCCTGGGAGCTGGAATTGGTTTGGGGTGGGCTACAACAGGAGCTTTCATTGAGGCGGAGGCAATGGTGGCAATAAAAAGTTAATGGAAAGATCACAGGACTAGGAATTAGGGTGCCAGGCTTCTAGTTCTGCACCAATTTGCAGCCTGACTCTGAGCAAATTACCTCTCAGAGACAGAGTTTTCTTCTATATATGAAAGGCATAATTGCACCTTCCTTAGCTACCTTATAGAATTGTACCTTCCTTAGCTACCTTATAGAATTGTGAGCAAGGTATATAAAAGTATACCTTGGCTCCAAAAACTCAAGCATTTCATAACAAACATATTCAAAGGGGGAAAAAGGAAATGGTATTCACTAAGCACTGTCTACGTGCCAGGGGTTGCTTCCAATACTTTTACAAACATGAAGTCAATTAGCCTTTGCAAAAAATCTGAGACAAACCTGACTGCTCCCATTTGCAGAGTAGGAGATTGAGGTTCAGGGCCTTTGCCGAAGGTCACAAAGCTAGTGGCTGAGTCGGGCTGAAAGCCTAAAGGGAACAGGTACATATTTGAGCCGACAATATGTGAAGGAAAATGGGTCACAACTTTAATTTTTAAATAGGAATGTTCCATCAACCTAAGCATTTGGTTGACTTATACATGGTGATACGCATGATCACAACATATGAACATTAACATGAAATTTTAATTATTTTGCCATCCATCTAATTCTTGGCACAGTTCTGATATTAAGGAAGGAAAATCTCTTAGTGTCAAAAATAGATTTTTAAATAAAGTAAATGTGGCTCGGTGCGGTGGCTCACGCCTGTAATCCCAGCACTTTGGGAGGCTGAAGCAGGTGGATCACAAGGTCAGGAGTTTGAGAACAGCCTGGCCAACATAGTGAAACCCCGTCTCTACTAAAAATACAAACATTAGCTGGGTGTGGTGGCACATGCCTGTAGTGCCAGCTACTTGGGAGGCCGAGGCAGGAGAATCGCTTGAACCTGAACCCGGGAGGTAGAAGTTGCAGTGAGCCGAGATCATGCCATTGCACTCCAGCCTGGGGAGCAGACTGAGACTCCGTCTCAAAAAATATATATATAAAAATAAAGTAAATGTTTAGGAAGTCCTGCCATTAGGTTTATAGGATCTTGATCTGTTAGTAGTGGATTGACTGATGATATTGAATTTAACACTCATTACTTCCTCATTTCTGGAATTTCACTGTGAGTCTGGGTTTGGATGGCGTTTTAGACTCCAGTAGTAACAATTATTTCTCCTTCCTCCATTCCTGTTCAGCACCCTGTGTTCTCCCCAGGATGGTGGAGAGCTCATTTGCATACAAATGCTCAGCACGTTGTGGGTCCTGGTTGGCAGCATTCAGCCTGGAGATAAAGTTATTAATGGCTGTTTATAAGAAAGACAAATTGGAGCAGGGTTTGGAGCAAGAGACCAGAAGCCAGTCCATCACCTGCTCCCTCGGTGACCTCGCGTCACCTCTTCATGCTTCAGTTTCTCCATCTGTTGGTGGAAAGAATGATACATGATACCTTGCTCTCAGACTGTCAGGAACATCTTTGGAAAGCACTAGGAGATGCTGGAAGAGGCCCGAAAACCTTCATAGTTGCGTTTATGTGGTAAAATAAAACTTCATCTGATGGTTTATAAATTACAGAAAATATGATTTTTTTCTCTCAAAATAAGAAGATGAAAAAGTACTTATATTTCTTCATTCATTGGTCGACAGTATTTCATTAAATCCACTTCCATGGCTGGACCTAATGATTCATTTAAATATAAACAGATAACCTGTAGAAGGTGCACAAGTAGATGCTATTATTACCAATAGTTAACTTTACTACTGCAAAATGCATTTCTACACTACTTTTAACGTTTTTAGCATGCTTCCTCTCTCCCCCTCACTCCACAGTCACAGACACACACGCTTCCCCATGGTAGAATGGCAGAGAAATGGTATAATCTCCTCTATTTTACAAATGAGAAAACCTAAACTAGAAGAAGTCAGTAAACTGCCAACTCCATGCAGGTAATTACAGACAGAGTTAGAATAATCTAAGCCTTGAAACCCAGCGCTTATCCTTCCCAACTTCATTTTTTATAACCCTGAAGACTGGCTTTTTTTTCTCTTTCTGTTTTTGTACATCTTTTTTTTTTTCCCCTCCACTTACTGATCTCACAGGGCTACAGGTGCCTTCTCCATATTCCTTCTCTAGGAAGGCTTCTAAAGCAACTCTCATCTCTGAGGTTCTCAAGTAAAGTTTGCAGGAAAGTGAGAACTCAGGCATGACTGTTTGCTTGTTAAGCTTGCTCCTCCTTGTAAGCCCGAAGAAAAACCTGCCGAAAATCATATTACTGCGTCACTGGGCCCTCCAGACTGCTCTAAGTGGAGGATCCAGTCATGCTGCACAAGTCATCTGCAGGCTGAAATAGCTGCGTCGTGATGCTATTACGGACATGAGCTTGTATGAGCTTCTAAAGTGTAGCCAGGCTTAAGAATCAGAAGAGAAAGCATGGGTTGAACACCAAAAGAGCACCTTAAACTGATACTTTTTTCCTGTCGGAAATTAAATTGTAAAGCTTATTAGAAACTGATGAAGAGACACAGAAAAGCTATAGCTGATAATGTACCAACCCCATTGTTCACACATATCCAACAACGACTTAATTCTCTGCATCCCATTTGCCAAACCTGTCTGCTATTATTCCTTCCCAGCAAGTGCCCCCGAGTACCTGCCCAGTACCACTCAGCCAGAAAAGTTTCCCGAGATTTTTTAATACTGAAACAAAGAGGTCTGCAAATGGGAAACCCAATATAATAGACAGCTGGCTGCTGCTGGCCATGGCATGACTGCCCAAGCTCAGACAGAAAGAACGAATCTTCTCGAAGATGTTCCTGTCTGCCCCACTTGAGCCACTACTGCCAGGGCAGGCATCCCTGGGAAATTGCCCTGTAAAATGAGCAGCTCCTTTTCAACAGCAGACTCCCAGCTGCTTCCCACCTCGGAGGCTGCTATTGGGCATGACAGGGCAGTCCTCCTGGCCTGGCTGGCGCTCAGTGGGACTATTAGGAGCCTGGGCTGGGAGGCACAGGTGGGTGGGGGCAATGCGGCAGCCCCAGGTGGCACACCTGCCCCTTGCAGGGCCCTCTCCAGCTTTAGATTGACGGGGCTGGTGATTCTAGGGTTGGGTGCCCTTTCCAAGTGTATTGATCTCCCCTCCTCTTCCCAAATTGCGCCATGCACCTTCACCCACGCTAAAGCCCTGCCTGGAAACAGAACGCTGTGGCCAGCCCTTCCCCCAAGAGCCAGAAGGGCCAGCTCTGGCCCACAGCCAGGCTCTAAAGAAACAGCATAGGGCAGAGAGAGGCGGTGGGTGGGGCCAAGAGCCTTGTGTTACACATTCAAAGCCTAATTTTGGATCAGAGTCATCCTTGTAGCCAAGCCTGAAAGATCACTGAGGCCCCAAAATGAACCCGCAGCTCTGAGGCGGGGCCTGGACGAACCCTCAGCTCTCTTGCCCACATGCTGCTCTCCTTAGGGAAGTTAAGTTAGGCTTGTTTGGATTTTCACTGGTATTTTTTTAAGCAACATCAGTTGTCTTTTAGCCTCATGCTAGCCGAGGGCAGTTCACGTTTCCTACCCCTATCTCTCTGTACACATTCACAAAATGCCTCAGCTGAGAGGCTGACCAGAAGCCAGGGCTCCTAGTGCTACTGCCTAAGACACGCCATTCTGCTGGTGGTCACACCAGTCAGACAATAGGCCAGTCGGATGAAGGCAGCTGCAGGTGAAAGCAGGCACCTTCCCATTAACAATAGAACCAGCTCTCTCTGACTGACATGCAAGAGTCTCTTGCGAGAGGAGAAACCGGACCAGAACCAGCGCTGGCCTCTGGAAGCCACAGGAGAGAGAGAAGGGCTGCTCCCTCTTCTTACAAGGGTGTGGGCACTTCCTTCAGAGAATTTGTTGCTGCCAAGATCAGGCTGTTGCCTCCCAGGAACTCGAGGTATCGGGATGCTTGTTTGCAGAGCTGGCCAGCCAGCAGCCCAGAGCAGCTGGTTGTAATTATGCGTTGCAGCTTCAGAGGAAGTTGCTGGCTGCGGAGCGTGTGCTGGGCCTGGCTGCACATTGGCTGCTGGGCTTAAGGGAACAATGGAGATAGAAACCAGTGGCAGCAGGGGAAGGGGAGGAGCGGGACGAGGGTGAAGACAGGCAGAAAGAAAGGGCAAGAGCTGCTCCCAGCGCTGAATATGGAAAAACCCACATCTGCACTCCAAGGATCCGTCTCTTGTTCCCAGACTTAAAACAAAGTGCATGCCCCTCTGTGAACAGCCCCCTGACTTTTCTTTTTAAGCTGTACCTGCTGCACACTGTATTTAGAGAAGTGTGCCTGGGTGACATATTGAATAGCACTCCTCAGCCTGTTTAATCTAAATTGACTGCATCTTTGTAGCAGCTGGCCACAGGGAAAAACAAAAGAATTCATGATGAAAAAGGCAAATCTCTCTTGACGAGAAAGTACCTCAGCAGTGGTAGCAGCAGTTAAACATTTCAGTACCTTGCTAAATGCTGTGCCCAGATGCGTACATCAGGAGGAAAAGAAAAAAAAAAAACTTTATAGAAGTGAAATGTGGGTTAATTAACAAGTTTTTTTTTTCCTGGATGGAGAAAAACTTATTAATGTCTGGTTCTTTATACTTTCCAAGATTTCTTCAGTGTTTCCTAATTAGAACGTAGCAGGAAAACGAACAGAGGGAAACCGGTGAGTTGTTGGGGGTCAGAGGGCTTTCTTCCTGCTGCCTGTGTTTGGAGCCCCCGCCCCACCAACTTCAAACCAGCAAGGATCTTCTATCACATATTTATGGACAGTCACATCTACTTAGTCTTTCTGTGGTTCCTTCCTCCTTCAGCCGGGAGCTTGCTCATAGCATTCACACAGCTCAGAGTTCCCAAAAAGTATGCAGAATCCCGTGTTTCTGCCAGCTCAGGGAATATGTTGAAGGCCCCAAATCAGACAGTGCACAGGCCTGAGAGTCCTGTGGCCTCTTGGTGACCCCTCTCTACTCGTACAACTCCTGATTTATGTTGTTTTAAAAGGGCGGGTGTCCTACCTGTTATTGGGCACCCTTGATGTATAAAACTGACAGCCACGCACAATGACACATTATTGGCTTGGGTTGGTAAATGAGGAGGCAATTTCATTACCTTTTCCTCTTATCCATTGCCTAGCACAAGATTACTTGAAATGCTATCAATCAGTAGGGATGAATGCAGGGAAGTGCCCAGCTTGTGTGTGGGCATGGCAGCCTTGTGCCCTAATGATTACAGAAAATAAATGATGACGCTACTGTCTTTAGGACTGATTGCAGGATCTCCTTATTGCCTGAGTGAAGAGATTATGGTGACAGGTCAAAAGGATTTTTCCAGTAAGTTCTGAGTAGGTACTATTTTTTCTTCTTTTTCCTTCCTTCTCTTTCCTCCCACTTTGGTCCTAGTTTTTTGAGGTTTTTTTGTTTTTGTTTTTTTGAGAGGGTCTCACTCTGTTGCACATGTTGACCATGCAGTGGCATGGTCATAGCTACTACAGCCTTGAACTCCCGGGCTCAAGACATCCTCCCATTTCAGCCTTCCAAGCACGTAGGACTACAGGCACATGCCACCATGCCTAGTTAATTTTTAAATAAACATGTGGTCTCACTTGTTGCCCAGGCTGGCCCTAGCTTTTCTAAACACACATGTACACGTACACATACACGGTTAGTTTTCTAGAGCTGGGCTGTTCAATATAGTAGCCACTTATGGGAATTTAAATGAATTAAAATTAAATAAAATGTAAAACTCAGTCTTACAGTCACACTAGCCATATTTCAACTGCTCAGTAGCCACTGGTGGCAGTGGCTCCCATATTGGACAGCACAAAATTAGAGACTACTTCCATCATTGCAAAGTTCTACTAGGCAGCCCAACCAAGAGCATCTATTTGCTCTTCTATCTCAGGACTCCTGTTCCTTTTAGAATCCTTTACCTATAATTTCTTTAAAGGTGAAACTTTTTTTTAAAATCACAACTTAAAACTAATTAGCTTCCTCCCAGCAACTAAGGGAAAGCTGTCCAGCTACTCTGCTGATAGATCTTCTAGAAGAGTTAGTTTGGCAGGGTGTGGCAGAGTAGACACTGAAAGGACATAAAGTCAGCTAAACTAGTTTCAGGCTGTCTGACCCTAACCTATTTCTTTAGATAATTTTCCTAGATAATTCTTAATAATAGCTAGAAGGAGCCACTCTGAAGCTAAGTGGTGTGTCAAGAAAGATACCGGGGTATCTCCATAAAAATTTGCACAATAAATAAAAAGTAATAGCTCCTTTAGAACTACACGGTACACACTGCACTACGAATTCCTGCAGTGAGGCTTTGAAGTTGGGCGGAGATGCGCAGAGCAATGAAGCACTTTGATGCAGCTGGAAGCATCTTCAAAGCTTCCAGAGGGAAAGATTAAAACAACTACCTGTAACCAATTGTTCAGGTCTTTTGTGTGTGTGTTGGTGGGGGTAGGGGCTGGACCACACAAAAATTAAACAAATAAACCAAAAACTGCATGGAAGCACTGTACCCAAACTAACTACAACAAAATGAAACAAAAGATGGGCTATTTAATTTAATACTTTTGCTGGGAAATAAACTGCACCAAAATTTTTAATTTTTATTTTTATTTTTGAGCTTAAAATATAACCTTGTTCGCATATGGCACATACGTTCAATATTTTTAAATTTTTCATTTCAAGTTCCTTTTGCAAATCTTCCAACTCTGCTTTGTTCTCATCTTTCCTAGTGATAAGATAAACTATGTATCTTATTAACAAGTTAGACAACATGAACACAAAGTTTATCCTGAGCCTCCCACAATTAAATTTAAGATGAAAGTGTTCAAAGTGCAGGCCCTATGAGTATGTTATTATTCACAAATTCTTATGAACTTTTATTCCACTCTATTGTGGTGAGGGTATTGGTGGGTAACGGTGCGTTCCTGGAAGCACATAAACAGGATATTGCCAAAGTTGCTTTTTTAGTCAAAGCTACTTTATCACAAAGCAGCCATTACATGTTACTGCCACAACCCTGGGCGATCAACTGGCCTGATTTTCCCAGTTTTCAAGGCATAAATGTGAACTTGGCCTTGTTGGACAGTGAGGCTGAAACAGGGAGGAAGAGCAGAAAAGAGACTAGACCAGTCAAGTCCAGCTTGGGAAGTTTCTAGGGAAGGAGTTAGAAACATTTAGAGTTCAAGATCTCAGCCTCTTCCTTTCTGACCCCTGCTGGGGAGACTGGGATGAAGATGCGGGGAGGGAGGGCTGTTGAATGTTCCCTGTGGACCATTTCAGAAAAACAGCTGGAGATGTTGTCCTACTCAGTGAGTCAGGGAGACAATCTGACAGAAGCTACTAGCCTGGGTGTCAATAAAACTTCACCCCTTTTTAATCATTTTCCCCATGCCTTGGGCTGTAGACCAAACTTTGAAGTAAGCAGTTCCAGGCCCAAACAATACCTCTGATAGTCAGTTTGGCAGGTTTCATCGTCACTAAGGCTCCTGTGGCAGGTGAAAGCCACAGATCTCTGTTTGTGGCTATCTGTTCTCTTGTTAAACTAGAGGTTCCCTTCTTTATGCTGGAAATAGAGCAAATGAGGAGGAGGGAGGCAGGAGGGTGCCCTCTGACCACTTGCTGGCTGAGGCAGGCTCACTGTTTCACTCAGAGAGTAAGCAAGAAAGGACCAAATGGTACCATGATCCTTGATGAACAAATCCTCTGAAAACAAACCCCCTTCGTAATGAAGCTGGCTGTTTTCTTTTTCTTTAAGTCTTCATAAATCATATGCAGCAGTGTTGGCATGAGTCATATGGCTCGATAGCAAAGCTCCTGCTAAGCCACACAGCTGCACGGGACAAAAATACCTCGGTGAATAGAGCATGTTTGTCCTGCATGGTTTATGGTATAAATAAGAAATCAGTGAAATTTAGGGTTTCCCCAGCCTCTCATTTCTGAGTCTCATAATTCCTGGCTGCCTCCTCTGTCCCTTCAGCTGCCCAGTGTCAACCCATGTCCCAGCATCCTTGCTTCTGTCCAGAAAGCCAAGGATCTGATCAGGGTCATCTTCATGTACTGACTGTCTCATTCATTAATGACCTACACTTTAGTCCAAGTCAGGTTTAGTCAACATGGAACCCCAGCCAGGTAAAAGTACTTGGTCCTTTAATTCTACAGACTAATGAAGGATGGCCACCTTATTAAAGGACTTTTTTTTAGACAGATTCTCACTCTGTTGCTGGAGTCATATGGCACTGGAGTGCTGTGGCATGATCTTGGCTCACTGCAACCTCCAGCCCCCTGGTTCAAGCGATTCTCCTGCCTCAGCCTCCAAAGTAGCTGGGACTACAGGTGTGTGCCACCACGCCCAGATAATTTTTTTTTTTTTTTTGTATTTTTAGTAGAGACGGGGTTTCACTATGTTGGCCAGGATGGTCTCAATCTCCTGACCTCATGATCCGTCCACCTCGGCCTCCCAAAGTGCTGGGATTACAGGCATGAGCCACCACGCCTGGCCTAAAGGACCCTTAATGGATGGGGCAATATGGAGCACAACGAGATTACATATGTGTAACTCCTACCCTGATTTTGCCCTTGTTGGGTTTGGGGGCCTCTTGTGAAAGGTGCCGGTGGGGGTGGGGGGGGGTGGGGGCAGTCAGAGGTGCCATCTCTCCTCTCCAGATAGTCTGTGTCATTGCAGAGACTGGGCCAGACCCAGCTCCCTCTTCAAAGCCTGTTCTGGGCTGTGGGGGGTGATCGAACAGGGCTGAGTTTATTCTGCTGTAATCCAGACTAGTCTAATCTAGTCTATCGCATAGTCTTCTTTTTCAAACCTTTTCTCTGCTTCCCTGGAGGGTCACAGGTTAGCCCTTTGATTCCAGCTTCTTTTTAATTATCTATCCCTATCTTAGAACTTCCAAATACTTGTTTTCTGGCGCTGTTTGATGTAATTTTGTTTAATATTGAATAATGTCATACTGTACCAACCTCTTTTCTGTCTTCCTTGGATGGGTCCTTATGGCTTCTGTGTTATTGCTTCATCAGGCAATGAAGTTTCTGACACTAAAGTGTGCTGCTAGAATGAATTTGCCTCATTAACGGAGGTATTACCATGTGTGTGGGTCACTGAGTATCTGTTAGGTAGCATATCTCATTTACCTTCAGATTAGGGTATCGTTTAATATGTATTTAGGGCCTTGGTTTTAAGAGATGTATTTCTTTAATTAAATACATATTTTGAGTCCTGACACTTGACATGTTTTGCTTATATATAAAATGTTTATATAATTTGCCTAAGTTCAGTGAAGTATAAAATACACTAATGAATGATAGTTAATCATTCTACAAATATAAGGCTAAATTTTTGTGGCTGGACTCGAAATAGCCTAAGACTTTTTGAACATTCTGGGCACTGTTGCTTTTGGATTTATTTTCCTCAATACACAGGATAGATTCTTGCCTGCAATGATACTTTAAAACAGTTTTCCAGCCACATTCTGTTTGGGGACTTTGGGTGTGGAAAACAAGGAGAAAGGTAGAAGGCAAGATGTTTTCAGTAATTGTCTTTTCTCTTTGAACTTTCTGTTTACTTCCCTGATCCTTCTTAATGTGGAAAGACAAAATGAACTTCAATGTCAGAAGGAACTAGATTTGAATCTATTAGCTTATAACCTTGAACAGGTTGCTCAACCTTTCTCATCCTTGTTATTCTCATCTTTAAAAGTGGATGATGATATACATTTCCTAGGTTGGTTGTGAATTAAGGGTGCTTAGCCCAATCCCTATCTATAATGGAATTCAGTAAATGCCAACTCTTTTCCTATCTCTATCTTCACTTAGATATCAGTATCAGATAACCATATTTAGAAGATAATACATGAAGGTGTTTTAGTTTTGTCCCCACCATCTTGTAAGGTAATTAAGCTACATTGTCAAATAGAATGTGCATCTAGAAAGTTCCATTGGTCTCACAGAATATGGATGTCAAAGCATCAAGCCCCAAGGCTCTTTTGTCTGTTCATCTGCAAGCGGTCACATGGAATCAATCCAGTGCGAAACTGGGCAACCAAGAGTCTAGCTAGTCTCCAGGCTGGAGGAGGACCGAGTGAGGTGCATACCTACCTGCTGCCATCAGCTCCTTTCTAGATGTGGTTTGAAGACCACAGACTATTGCCTGCTGCCACCCCACCTCCAACAAGTCTCTGCTTTCCTTTCGTTTAAGAGCTTGTCAGTGAGAAATATACAACTCAAACCTAGCTTTAAAAAAAAAGTTCGACGGGGGGGGGGTGTTGTGGAGTGGGGATCTTACTAGTTCACGTAACTTGAAAGCATAAGAAAGTGACACTGACTTCCAGTACATCTGGAAAACATGTTCACCCACTAAACTAAACCCCATGGTTGGGAAAGGCAATTATTTAATTGGTTAGACTTGAGTCACAAGTCTACCCCTGGAGTAAGGGGTAGAATCAGTCCTACCTAAACTACGTGGACAAAGAGTGAGTATGGGGTGGCTTGCGAAAATAAAAATATTGGTTTCAGCACATACAAATGCAATAGATACAGATTGCAAGCTACTCATAGAGGAGAAAATGTTGTGGGAGTGTTAACATATGAATCCAGATTGTCAGCTGGTATCAGTCGGGTTCAATCCAAAGGCAGAAACTAACCCTGTTATTTTAACAGAAAGAAATATGGTATAAGGAATTCAAAACTAGGCAAAACGTTGTTAACTAAGTAACTGTGGTGGTGGTTAATTTTATGTGTCAACTCGACGAGGCAAAGGGATGCCCAGATAGCTGGTAAAACATTATTTCTGAGTGTGTCTGTGAAGGTGTTTCCAGAAGAGATTAGCATTTGAATCAGTAGACTGAGTAAAGAAGATTGTCCTTACCAATGTGAGTGACCAGCATCCAATCCATTGAGGGGACTGAATAGAACAAAAAGGAGGAGAAAGGGTGAATTTACTCTTTCTGCTGGAGCTGGGACATCCGTCTTCTCCTGATCTTAGACATTGGTGCTGCTGGTTCTTGGGGTTTTGGACTCAGACTGAACTAGACTGACTCTCCTGGGCCTGCAGCTTAGAGATGGCCGCTCAGGGGATTTCTCAGCCTCTGTGATTGCATGAGCTGATCCCTCATAATAAATCTCTTTTTACGTATCTACATAAACCCTATTGGTTCTATTTCTCTGGAGAACCGTGACTAATATAGTAACTAAAAGTATAAAAAGAAGATATTAAGATACCCTAGAGGTCACAGCCACAGGAAGCAGCTTTAACTATTAGGCTTGGGGAAGAAGGGAAAGGATGGAATTGTTAAAACCTAGAAGATTGGAGGAGATGCCCTGCAGACCTAAAACTCAGCTCTCTGAGAAGAGGCACTGCTCAACAAATGCCAGTGACCAAGGGAACACAGCACAGCTGGTCCTGCAAGCGTTGGACAGAATTGACATTAGGTTCACTCATTGCTAGATGAAAAAGAAATGCTGCTTCTCAGTGAAGGAGCATAGCTGCGGGCTGCCCACAGCCATGGCAAGCACACATCAAGCCAAGAGGGAGCAAACAGGAAGGAGGTGGTCCCTTTGCCTCTTCCAACCTTGCAGGCTTCCTCTAATACCCTCTATTTTCAGAGCCTACCATGGACCTGCTGGTGGAGGAGAAACGTGGTTTGTAGAGTCTCCACCTCAGAATCATAAATCCAAGTATACGAGGGCGGGTGTGGAGCCCAGAGACAATACCTTCATGACTGGCAGGTGATCACACCCTAGTGTGCATTTGGTGCTTCCTTAAAGACTAGCAGACAGTGAATGTGCTAAAGAAATGGAAGTTTGCATATACACCATGGAATACTATGCAGCCATAAAAAAGAATGAGATCATGTCCTTTGCAGGGACATGGATGAAGCTGAAAACCATCATCCTCAGCAAACTGACACAGGGACAGAAAACCAAATACCACATTTTCTCACTCATAAGTGGGAGTTGAACAATGAAAACACATGGCCACAGGGAGGGGAACAACACACACCAGGGCCTGTTGGTCAGGGGGTGGTGAGGGGAAGGAACCTAGATGATGGGTTAACAGGTGCAGCAAACCACCATGGCACACGTATACCTATGTAACAAACCTGCACGTTCTGCACATGTATCCCGGAACTTAAAGTAAAAAAAAAAAAAAAGAAAAAAAGAACCATATTCAACTAAAAAAAAAAAAAGAAATGGAAGTTTGTACAGCATTGAATAATGCATGGAGAGCTCAATAATGTTTCTCTGCTACTGTCCAACTCAAGGTCCTTCCTGGGGCAGAGCAGACCTGAAATCAGAGGGGCTATACTAGGTGTGGCCATGAAATAAAGAGAGAGCGTTCCAAGGAAAGCATCTCATCACCTTGAGTGATGCTTTTGGGGGTCCATGCTACAAGTAGGTCAAGCTTTGCCTTTTCGATCCAGGCTGTAGGTAGTCAATGTCTTGGTAATTACTGAGCCATGTTGACCAAAGTTCATCGGAAACTTTCCAATGACTAAGCATAAACAACCTTGCCAGAGGAAGGAGACAGCTTATTTACACAAAATGTTTGTGCTTTTCTAAGGTAAGGTTCTTCTCTTGGTCAAAATTTTTCAATAACTCTGTCACTTGAGATTAGCTCTTGAAGCCCTGAAGTTTCAGAAAAATCTGATTTCTCTGGTTGTTCTAACCATACTAGGATGGCCACTTTGATATCCAAGCAAATTGTGTGTGTGTGTGTGTGTGTGTGTGTGTGTGTGTGTGTGTGTGTGTTTAATAAGGCCAGGTGGAAAACACATATTCTGTAAGCAATAAATGTCAGAACACCAAGTACAATTTGGTGAACTTTAGTAGAACCATTATTAAGCAATACAGCCCTTCTCCTTGCTGCAACAAATTGTAAGGGCACAGCTTTTCAAAAAAGGAGAAAAGCTGAACAGTGCTATTAAACCAGGGCTCCGTTTTTTCCTTATTGTTAGCAAGGGTTGTCGTCAAAACTAAGGTCATGTCTGTTAATAAATAGTAATAAATTACAATTGTTCCAAGTTAGGATAAACTTTTAGGAAAAAAATACGGATCTAGAAATCAGTCTTCGTAAGTGACTTTGAGCATAATAAAAATCATAAAATACTCTAATGTATTTAAGCCAACTGCTTTACAGTTTTCAAAATGGGTTCGTTATCTATCTTTCCATTCAATCCTCACAGGAACTGTGTGAGGTAGGTAAGATTTAGTGTTCAACTTTGCATACATACACATACACACACACACACACACACACACACACACACACACACACACACCCTGATGCTCAGATAAATGGAGGAGCTAGGGTCAAGAACCAAGTTTTTGAATTCTACTTTGGCCCTCTTTTCATTGTTGCTCCTTTATAAACTCCATGGCCAGATTTCATAAAATGTATAAAAGTAAAGGATCATAGTCTGCTATTTCTTACATACGCAAAAGTAGTATATCTATCATTTTAGATACTACACCTGAAATATAACTTACAAATAATTGGGAAGCAAGATTAGGAACCAGAAGAAGAATAATATGAAGAAGGAGGAGGAGGAGGGAAAGAATGGCAAACATGTACTGATGGTAGATACTTGCCAATTTTTCTCCTTATTGTCTTTCCATTTGTGTTGCTATAAAGGAATACCAAGGCTGGGTATTTTATAGAGAAAAGAGGTTTGTTTGGCTCACAGTTCTGCAGGCTGTACGAGAAGCATAGCACCAGCATCTGCTCAGCTTCTGATGAGGGCTTCAGGCTGCTCTCATTTATGGTGGAAGGCAAAGGGGAGCCGGCTTGTGTAGAAATCACAATGTGAGAGCAAAAGTGGGAGAGGGGGTGGGGAGGTACCAGGCTCTTTTTAACAATCAGTTGTCCTGGGAAACTAATAGAGCAAGAACTCACTCATTACCCAAGCACGGCACCAAGCCCTTCATGAGGGATCTGCCCCCATGACCAAAACACCTCCCACCAGGCCCACCTCCAACACTGAGGATCAAATTTTAAACTGAGATTTGGAGGGGCAAATATCCAAACAAATATCATTTATGTAACCCCTAAAACTACCTATGAGGTATATATTTTTTTAGCCTCATTTTGCAAATGAATAAACCAATGTTCAGGTAACCTTCCAAAGTCATTTAGCCAGTAAGTTGCAGAACAAGGATCAAGTCAAGGTTTGTCTGATCTAGAGCACACACTCTTCTCTACTCTTCCATGAAGCTTCAACCAGTGGCAAAGCTATTTTAAATGCTGATCCATCCCATTATCTCAGAACTGCCCAAACACAGAGTAAATAAATAGCATGAGGCCACAGCCTGACGCATTGCAAATATAGCCTCCCTTCAGCTTTGATTTGCTGTATGGTCTTGGGTAAGGCTCTCCTTCATGTTCTTCCTCTGTTAACAGGGAATGGCAATATCAGGGCTATCTCATTGGCTATTTGCCTCTGATTTACCACCATTACACCTGGCCACCAAAAGGGCAGACCACTGACCAGAAAAGTAGACATTTCCCTCTGACTTTGTTTAATAGCTTATAATGAAAGATGACATATAAATCCCCATTATTACCTAATTAACTGTAGTGGATAATATTTTTCATATTGTAGGCCTGAAGGCAGAAACTGAAATTCAATGCTGGTATAAGCAGTGGGGTTTTTTGAAATATTCTTCACAATATAGCATATTTCCCCGCAAGTAGTTTAGTTGTTCTTACTAGCTTTGTGTTGTCTTCATAACATACCAGAGGCATTAATCCATATTATGGACTTGTAACTTTCTTTTCTCTGCTTAAAGTCTAAGCAATTTTCAACTTATAAAACTTAAAAGTGCCTGAAACCACAAAACTTTTTTCAGCGCCCATAACTAAAAAAGAGCTGGCTTTTCCCCCCGGGAGATTTTCATAAGAACTTCGCTCATAGGCTGATGCTTATTAACTGGAGTTCTTTATCCTGACCAACTTTTAATTTCCTGAAAATTGGGGCTTATAATGCAGAGAAGACGCAAAGAAATCCTAATCTAGGATGATGAGCTGGATGGGTAGATGAGTAGATGACTGCTACCCGAAGATTATAATGTCCACAGGTTTTTTTTTTCTTCCAATTAAGTGTAGATGTGATTATCTGAACATGCAGAAGTATTCCTTTAGTAATTGTGCTAGACTAACAATCTAAATTTATTTTATGTAACATTCTTTTTAATAACAGTGTCTATTAAAGACATCTGTCAAAAGTCTGTAAAGCTTATTTCATGGGTAGGCAGCATAAAAGTGTCCTTTAAGAATTCTGTTTTCAGTTTAATGTTATGGGCTGTTAAGGAGAAGGTTTATGGGTGTAACATTATTAGTTGGAATTCGACTCAAATTGAAATCAGGCCCAAGAATTTACTTATCCATAATATTATGAAGGGCTTTTTAAAACATTAAAAAGTTTAACTAAACAAGAATATTAGTACAATTTAATGTTTTACCTGCAGTTCTCAAGGCCATTCAAAACACTTTCTAATCACCAGATTTCAAATTCATATGTTAGCATGTCTCTCATACTACAAGGCTTTTAAAAATCAGAGATTTATTATATCTGGCCAATACTTTAACTGTGACAGAAAAGGGAATATATGTTTTCTGAATTATGTGACTATAAATGAAAAGGAGAAAAATCCCATATGTCATGCACCCTTTGTTAGGATTTGAAGCAGTAGCTGATCCATGGGGATGGTGCTAGAATGGGGAGCCATAGGGCCCCAACCCAGGCTTGGCCTGGACAGAAGCCACCATCCCTAACACCATTGCCAGCTAGAAATTAATCACCCTAATCACCCTACCCATTGGCTAGGCTTAGCATTCCTATAATTTTATTTTAAAACCTCAATGATCAAGATTAAAAGAAAGCAATAAAACATATCAAATTTTTACTAGAGCAGTTTGAAGAGCCCCCCATTCTCCATGTCTGTGGCCTTGACACTTCTTTTGGCATCGCTATTAGTGACATGAGGAATAATTCACCACTGTCAGGGAATTTGGCTGTTTCATCACCTACATAAGAGACCTGCATAACTCCATGGTGATTGCTGTCTAGATGAATTATGTGTATCCTTCATGCACTTTTTGATTGAACAGTGATAACAAATAATGCATTATCCTGTGCCACTGTCGAAGACGAACCTGCTATTTTTTCTCACCGAGCAGTCAAAGAAAGACCTTATAGAGGCATTTAAAATGACATCATGATACCAATCCCAATTTATTACAATCAGTAAGAAGAAATTGCCAGGCCAGATTAAATATAATAAAGGTAAATCTCAGTGACAACACAGTCCATTGTTTACAGCTGCTGCTAATTGGTCATCACGTACTTAGAAAAGCACAGATTAAATAATGCCCAAACTGTGGCTGATAAAATTTATATTATAATTTCATATTCACACCTGCCAGTGGGGATCTACTGGCTTTGCGATTCATTTATTCATTCATTCAACACATATTGTCGCACACCCACTAGAGGCCTGAGCCGGGCACTAGTGATTCAGCAATAAACCAGACAAATAGGGTCATTGCTCTCCAATGGCTTATAGGCAGTTGGGAAGACAGAATTTCAGTACAGCTGACTCGAACAATATGAGTTTGAATCTGCACAGGTCCACTTATACATGGACTTTCTTCTGCCTCTGCCCCCCACAGAGACAGCAAAACCCACTCCTCCTCTTCCTCCTCCTCTTCAGGCTACTCGGCATGAAGACAACAAGGAAGAAGACATTTAGGATGATCCACTTCAGCTTAATGAATAGTAAATATATTTTCTCTTCCTGATAATTTCTTTTTTTTTTTTTTTTGAGACGGAGTCTCGCTCTGTCGCCCAGGCTGGAGTGCAGTGGCGGGATCTCGGCTCACTGCAAGCTCCGCCTCCCGGGTTCACGCCATTCTCCCGCCTCAGCCTCCCAAGTAGCTGGGACTACAGGCGCCCGCCACTACGCCCGGCTAATTTTTTGTATTTTTAGTAGAGACGGGGTTTCACCGTTTTAGCCGGGATGGTCTCGATCTCCTGACCTCGTGATCCGCCCGCCTCGGCCTCCCAAAGTGCTGGGATTACAGGCGTGAGCGATAATTTCTTAATAAGATTTTCTTTCTCTAGCTTACTTTATTGTAAGAGTACAGTATATAATATACATAACACACAAGGTATGTGTAAGTTGACTATGTCATCAATAAGGCTTCTAGTCAACAGTAGGCTATTAATAGTTAAGTCTGGGGGGAGTCAAAAGTTATACATGGATTTTCAACTGTGCAATGGTGCTGGTGTCCCTGACCTCTGCATTGGTCAAGGGTCTAGAGTATTTACAAGTGTGAAGAATATTGGGAAGAGATAGGCAGGATTCTCTAGAAGCATGTCGCAGGAAAACCTAACCCAGTCAGAGTCAGAAAGGCTTCATAAAAGAAATGATGTTTAAACTGAGATCTAAAGGACAGGAGAGACTGGGTACCGTGGCTCATACCTGAAATCCCAGCACTTTGGGAGGCCAAGGCTGGCAGATCACTTGAGGCCAGGAGTTCGAGACCAACCTGGCCAACATGGCAAAATGCTGTCTCTACTAATAATACAAAAATTAGCCAGGCATGGTGGCGCATGCCTGTAATCCCAGCTACTGGGGAGGCTGAGTTGGGAGAATCGCTTGAACCCAGGAGGTGCAGGTTGCAGTGAGCTGAGATTGCGCCACTGCCCTTCAACCTGGGTGACAGAGCGAGACTCCGCATTTAAAAAAAAAAATGGACATGAGACTGGAGAGGGAGCACCATCAGGCAGAGGGAAAGACAAGCACAAAGTCCCTCAGACAGACAGGAGACACAGGGCAAACCTGAGAAACAGAAAAGTCCACTGTGGGTGTGACATAGACAGTGAGAGGGAAGCTGGCCTTATATGAAGTTTACTGATGATCCAAGCTGAGCCGTGAACAATAAACCAAGAGGAAAAAAAAGAATTATTTTATCAATAAGACTTTATTATAGTATTATTACAGAGGCATGGAGAATCTTAAAACTTTTCTTTAATGAGGTATATTTTATATACCGAGGAACACACACACACACACACACATACATACACACAGTCATGCACTGCATAACAACAGTTCAGGGTTCAGTCAATGACAGACCACATATACAACAGTGGTCCTATAAGATTATAATGGAGCTGAAAAATTCCTATCGTCTAGTGTCATAGCCATCATAATGTCATAGGGCAACGTGTTACTCACAAGTTTGTTGTGATGCTGGTGGAAATAAACCTACTGAGCTGCCAGTTATATAAAAATATTGCACATACAATTATGTACAGTACATAATACTTGATAATGATAATAAATAACTGTGTTACTAGTTTATGTATTTACTATACTTATTATTATTTTAGAGTATACTTCTTCTACTTATTAAAAAAAAAAGCTAACTGCAAAACAGCCTCAGGCATGTCCTTCAGGAAGTATTCCAGAAGAAGGCATTGTTATCATAGGAGATGACGTGTGTTATTGCCCGTGAAGACCTTTCAGAAGGACAAGATATGGAGGAGGAAGACAGCGATGTTGATGATTCTGACCCTGTGTAGGCCTAGGTTAATGTGTGTTTGTGTCTTCATTTTTGTTGTTGTTTGCGACAGAGTCTTGCTCTGTTGCCCAGGCTGGAGTACAGTGGCACGATCACAGCTCATTGCTGCTTCAACCCCTTGGGCTCAAGCCATCCTCCCACCTCATCCTTCCAAAGTGCTGGGATTACATGTATGGGCCACTATACCCAGCCTGTGTCTTATTTTTTAACAAAAGTTTTAAAAATTAAAGAAAATTACATAGAATTAAAGCATTTTAAGGATAAAAAGAAAGAATATATATATATATAATTTTAGGAACAGAGTCTTGCCCTGTAGCTGGAGTGCCGTGGCGTGACATTGGCTCACTGCAGCCTCAAATTCCTGGCCTCAAACGATCCTCCCACCTCAGCCTCCAGAGTAACTAGGACTACAGATGCACAACACCTTGCCTGACTAATTTTTTCTTTCTTTTTCTTTTTCTTTTTTTTTTTTTTTTGTAGACTGTCCCTCACTATGTTGTCCAGGCCAGCCTTGAACTCCTGGCCTTAAGCAATCCTCCCACCTTGGCCTCCTAAAGTGCTCCGATTACAGGGGTGAGCCATCATGCTAGACCTGATCTAAAGAAAGAAAATTTTTTTGTACAGAGGTAGGATGTGTTTGTGTTTTAAGCTAAGTGTTATTATAAAGCAATCAAAAAGTTTTTTTAAAAGTTTGTAAGTTAAAAAGTTACATAAGCTAAAGTTAATTTATTATTGAAGAAAGAAAATTTTTAAAAATGAATTTGGTGTAGCTCAAGTATCCAGTATTTATCAAGTCTACAGCAATGTACAGTAATGTCCTAGGTCTCCACATTCACTCACTACTCACTCACTGACTCACCCAGAGCAACTTCCTGTCCTGCAAGCTCTATTCAGAATAAGTGCCCTATGCAGGTGTACCATTTTTTAATCTTTTATACTGCATTTTTACTATGCCTTTTCTATGTTTAGATATGTTAAGATACACAAATACTTACCATTGTGTTACAATTGCCTACTATCATGCTATACAGGTTTGTAGCCTAGGAGCAATAGGCTATACCTAGGTGTGTAGGAGGTTACACCATGTAGGTTTGTGTAAGTACACTCTATGATGTTCATACAATGACAAATCACCTAAGAGACACATGATTGTATATACAGTGTGTGTGTATGTATATATAAAATAAGTATTAAATGTAAATATATAAATATATAATATATATTAAATATATAGGCATATATAAACTATATAGGTATATATAGTTTAAATAACTTACTGAACTATTCATTTTCAGCTCCATTGCTACTTGGAATGAAGATGGGTAACAAAGGCCAGAGATATTAATGAATAAAAAGAAATTTGAAGATTGCCTCTAGATTTTCAAAATTCATAATATTTTGCTTCTTTCACCACAAATTAAAGCTTAGCTGTATATTGAAGTTCTATTCTATTGCCATGAAAGGAAATGTTTGTACATCAATGTGGATGAATCTCAACATATTTTGTGCATAAAAGAAAGTCTCAAAAAATATAGAATATAATTCAGTTTATATAAAATTCAGAGAAACACACAACCGATAAACTGTTAATAATATACATTTATGTGTAAAATAAAAATGAGAGAAAGGAAATATGTTGAAGAGGGTATAAAGAGTGATTTAAAAATTACAGTGATGTATTTCTTAAGCTGGTTGATGGCATGACATGATATAAAATAACCATTTTATTATTTTTATTTAACTTATAATTTGATAAATATATACCTATATAGTTTATATATGCCTATATATTTAATATATGAACAATAACTTTGCCAAATAATACCTGATATTTGCAAAAGACTTACTACTTTCTGCAAGGTGATTATTTAAGCCTCACCACAAATATAGGAAGTAGGCATACCCCAAGTTTTCAGTTCGACAGGTGAGGGAATTGAGGCTTCAAGATATTTGGTGACTTTACTAGGAAGCTCTTGATGTGGCAGAGAGGTACAAAAATCCACTGCTTTTCTCTCTCTCTGCTGCATGCCCATGGATTGATGGGAAATAAGAACAAGAAGGAACTACAGGCTTGAATGACTTGAAAATGTTGTGGTCGGGTGCAGTGGCTCACACCTGTAATCCCAGCACTTTGGGAGGCCGAGGCGGGCGGATCACGAGGTCAGGAGATCGAGACCATCCCGGCTAAAACGGTGAAACCCCGTCTCTACTAAAAATACAAAAAATTAGCCGGGCGTAGTGGCGGGCGCCTGTAGTCCCAGCTACTTGGGAGGCTGAGGCAGGAGAATGGCGTGGACCCGGGAGGCGGAGCTTGCAGTGAGCCGAGATCCCGCCACTGCACTCCAGCCAGGGCGACAGGGCGAGACTCCGTCTCAAAAAAAAAAAAAAAAAAAAAAGTGCCTGGCACATAGTGGGTGCTCATGAAAATTTGCTAAATGAAAGGCTAAATAAATACATGTTTCTTTTTCTCCCTTCCCATTTAGAAGAAATAGAATATCTCTCTGATCCTTTCATCTGTTCCTCCCAGCCTTTATGTCTTATTGGACACCCACCTGTCCCATCTACAATTATGCCAACATTTTCTATTTTCCCATTAATCACCCCATTCTATTGAACTCTCCTGTTTCTGCTGTGCTGTGCTCCTCTTGTCTCCCATTGTTCCAGAGGGTAGGAGACAAGAGGAGCAAAACCTCAGCTGGTTTGTTGTGCTCATCAGTGTCCAGACCCTCTTCCTTTCATTGCAGCCTTTTTTATTTCACATTAGTGTTGCTTAAAGTATAAATGAATGTCTTACAGAATATCCTGCCAATGTCCATTTGCATCCTTTGATTTGTGTGATGTCTCAAGGAACCTGCAGTGGGAAAGCAGCACTTGACTTCTCCCATGACTGGATGATCTTCTTTCTGCTTGACGGGACAGCACAGGTTGAGCCAGGAAACTTGGAGTGGCCACAATGCTTCCCGTTCCCCAAAGACAGCTGCTTCACACCCCCATGCACTGTCTCCTGCCTGTTCCTCCTTCACACAGAATCCATGACCTCTGTCCTTTATTTATTCCTAAGTATTTTCTTCTTTTTGCTGCTATTGTAAATGAGATTGTTTTCTTAACTTCCTTTTGGAGAGCTCATTGTTTTTTGTGTAGAAACACCACTTATTTTGGTATGTTGATTTTGTATTGTGCAACTTTACTAAATTCATTCATTAGTTCTAACAGATTTTTTTGGTGAGTCTTTAAAGTTTTCTACATATATGATCATGTCCTCTGCAAACAGAGATCATTTTAATTCTTCCTTTCCAATTTGAATGGCTTTCTTTCCTGGCCTCCATCCTCTATGCCTGGCCTGTTCTTTGGAGAATAGAGTGTAGCCATTCCTGAAGGTCTCCTCTCATTCCTTAAAGCCTCCTCCTCACAGCCCATCTGTTTTGTGTGAAGGAAGGCAGGGGACTGCCAGCTGCCCTGTGTTTGTTTGTTTGTTTTGAGACATGGTCTCATTCTGTTGCCCAGGCTGGAGTGCAGTGCCACAATCACAGCTCACTGCAGCCTCGACCTCTTGGACTCAAGCAATCCTCCCACCTCAGCCCCTCGAGGAGCTGGGACTATAGGTGTGTCCCACCACACCTGGCTAATTTTTGTATTTTTTGTAGAGACCTGGTCTTGCCATGTTCCCCAGGCTGGTCTCAACCTCCTGGGCTCAACCAATCTGCCTGCCTCAGCCTTCCAAAGTGCTGGAATTACAGGTATGAGCCATCGCACCCTGCTGCCCTGTGTTTTAACACCTCCAAAGTATATTATGTAGGACTCACAAATCCAACTTAAAGTACTTTAATCAAAAAAGGGAACTTTGTGGGAAGGGTACTGTGGAAACTCTTGAGAGTCAAGGAAGAGGCCCCAGGAGAAACAGGCATTCTGGAGCACTGCAGGAGTTCTGTCTCTCCTCTCTACTTCTTTTGTCACATCTGTGGCATTTCCCTCATGCTGCAAACTGGTGTCCTTTGCTCCTTGGTCCACAAGGCAGTTTCATGCGCGTCCATGTGAAGAGACCACCAAACAGGCTTTGTGTGAGCAATAAAGCTTTTAATCACCTGGGTGCAGGCGGGCTGAGTCCGAAAAGAGAGTCAGTGAAGGGAGATAGGGGTGGGGCCATTTTATAGGATTTGGGTAGGAAAAGGAAAAAGGGGGGTTGTTCTCTGGCAGGCAGGAGTGGGGTTCACAAGGTACTCAGTGGGGGAGCTTTTAAGCCAGGATGAGCCAGGAGAAGGAATTTCACAAGACAATGTCATCAGTTAAGGCACGAACAGGCCATTTTCACTTCTTTTGTGGTGGAATGTCATCAGTTAAGGCAGGAACCGGCCATCTGGATGTGTACGTGCAGGTCACAGGGGATATGATAGCTTAGCTTGGGCTCAGAGGCCTGACATTCCTGTCTTCTTATATTAATAAGAAAAATAAAATGAAATAGTGGTAAAGTGTTGCGACAGTGAAAATTTTGGGGGATGGTATGGAGAGATAATGGGCGATGTTTCTCAGGGCTGCTTCCAGCGGGATTAGGGGTGGCGTGGGAACCTAGAGTGGGAGAGATTAAGCTGAAGGAAGATTTTGTGGTAAGGGGTGATATTGTGGGGTTGTTAGAAGGAAAATTTGTCATTTAGAATTATTGGTGATGGCCTGGATACAGTTTTGTATGAATTGAAAAACTAAATGGAATAAGAGAAGGAGAAAAACAGGTATAAAAGGTCTAAGAATTGGGACGACTCAGGACATCTGATTAGAGAGTGCCTAAGCAGATTCAGCATAGTCCTGCCAGCAAAGATTATTTATTTACTTCAAGAGTTAAGAGTGGCAGTTTGGGGATAGCACCAGGAGATATCAGCTGTGATGGCTTGGAGAAACAGTGTAAACCGGCAGTGTAAACAAGAGCAGGGCAGGTATGAGTAGTTGAGAATGGTGAATAGGAGTATGACTAGATAGAAGATAGTAGGGATGACAAGTTTTTTGGGGGCACAGTCTAAGTTGGTCTGGTGTCTGGAATGAGACTGGGGCCTAATAAAAAGGAGCATCTATATAGGAGCTCAAATGGGCTGTACCTTGTAGCATTCTGAGGACAGGTCTGACTTCTGAGAAGGGAAAGTCATAAAAGTATTGTCCAGTCCTTTTTAAGTTGGTGGCTGAGCTTGGTGAGGTGTGTTTTTAAAAGACGTTTAGTCCGTTCTACTTTTCCTGAAGACAGAGGACCGTAAGTGATATAAAGGTTTCACTGAATACTAAGAGCCTGAAAAACTGCTTGGCTGATTTGACTAATAAAGGCTGGCCTGTTATCAGACTGTATAGAGGTGGGAAGGCTAAACCGAGGAATTATGTCTGACAGAAGGGAAGAAATGACTGCGGTGGCCTTCTCAGACCCTGTAGGAAAGGACTCTACCTATCCAGTGAAAGTGTCTACCTAGACTAAGAAGTATTTTAGTTATCTGACTCGGGGCATGTTGAGTAAAGCTAATTGGCCAGTCCTGGGTGGGGGCAAATCGTCCAGCTTGATGTGTAGGGAAGGGAGGGGGGCCTGAATAATCCTTGAGGAGTAGTAGAATAGCAGATGGAACACTGAGAAATTATTTCCTTGAGGACAGATTTCCACGATGGAAAGGAAATGAGAGGTTCTAAGAGGCTGGCTAGTGGCTTGTACTATAGCATAGCCTGCCTTTGCTGGTGTGTGGTGATTAGGCCTGGTGGAACTGCCACCAATAAATCAAGCGTGATCAGGGTGAGGAACAGGAAAGAAGGAAATATGGGGAAATGGGGTGAATGTCAGGTGGATCAGAGAGATACAGTCATGGGGGTCAGGTGTGGTATCTGGAATAATGTGGGAGGCCGGATTGAAGTCCGGGCCAGGAACAATGGTAATTGTGGGACTTAACAAAGAGTGAGTACAGCTGAAGGAGCCAGGGAACAGAAAGTATATGAGTCAGGTATGAGGAAGAAAATAGATTTTGGAAGTTATGAGAAATGTAGAGAGTAAGTTGAGCATAATTTGTGATTTTGAGGGCCTCTAAAAGTATTAGGGTGGCAGCAGCCGCTGCACAGAGACATGATGGGTAGGCTAAAACAGTAAGGTCAAGTTGTTTGGACAGAAAGGCTACAGGGTGCAGTCCTGGCTCTTGTGTAGGAATTCTGACTGCACTAACCATGCCTTGGAAGGAAAGGAGTTGTTGTTTTGTAACGGATTGAGGTTTGGGAGATTAATCGGACATGATCAGCAGGGAAAGCACGTGTGTTTTTATGAGAATTATGCCGAGATAGGTAACAGATGAGGATGAAATTTGGGCTTGATTGAAGTAATGGGGGCTGTCTGTGAAGCCTTGAGGCAGTACAGCCCAGGTAATTTGCTGAGCCTAATGGGTGTCAGGGTCAGTCCAAGTGAAAGCGAAGAGAGGCTGGGAAGACAAGAGCAAAGGAATAGTAAAGAAAGCATGTTTGAGATCCAGAACAGAATGATGGATTGTGGAGGGAGGTATTGAGGATAGGAGAGTATATGGGTTTGGCACCATGGGGTGGATAGGCAAAACAATTTGGTTGATAAGGCACAGATCCTGAACTAACTTCTAAGGCTTGTCTGGTTTTGGAATAGGTAAAATGGGAGAATTGTAAGGAGAGTTTATAGGCTTTAAAAGGCCATGCTGTAGCAGGCGAGTGATAACAGGCTTTAATCCTTTCAAAGCATGCTGTGGGATGGTATATTGGCATTGATCGGGGTAAGGGTGATTAGGTTTTAATAAGATGGTAAGGGGTGCATGATGGGTCACCAAAGAGGGAGTAGAGGTATCTTATACTTGTGGGTTAAGGTGGGGGAATACAAGAGGAGGATGCAAAGGAGGCTTTGGATTGGGAATAAGGGCGGCAATGAGATGTAGCTGTAATCCAGGAATAGTCAGGGAAGCAGATAATTTAGTTAAAGTGTCTCGGCCTAATAAGGGAACTGGGCAGGTGGGGATAACTAAAAGGAGTGCTTAAAAGAGTATTGTCTAAGTTGGCACCAGAGTTGGGGAGTTTTAAGAGGTTTAGAAGCCTGGCTGTCAATACCCACAACAGTTATGGAGGCAAGGGAAACAGGTCCTTGAAAAGAAGGTAATGTGGAGTGGGTAGCCTCCGTATTGATTAAGAAGGGGACGGACTTACTTCCCACTGTGAGAGTTACGTGAAGCTCGGCTTCCGTGATGGTCTAGGGGGCTTCTGAGGCGATCAGGCAGTGTCAGTCTTCAGCCACTAAGCCGAGAAGATATGGGAAGGAGTCAGTCAGAGAGCCTTGGGCCAGAGTTCCAGGGGCTCTGGGAGTGGCTGCCAGGTGAGTTGGACAGTCCGATTTCCAGTGGGGTCCCACACAGATGGGACATGGCTTAGGAGGAATCCTGGGCTGCAGGCATTCCTTGGCCTGGTGGCCAGATTTCTGGCACTTGTAGCAAGCTCCTGGGGGAGGAGGTTCTGGAGGAACGCCTGGCCACTGCGGTTCAGGCATTTGGAAGTTCTTGTGTGCTGGAGATGTGGCTGGGGTTTGTCTCACAGTGGAGGCAAGGAATTGCAACTTTTTTCTATTATTGTACACCTTGAAGGTGAGGTTAACTAAATCCTGTTGTGGAGTTTGAGGGCTGGAATTTAATTTTTGGAGTTTTATTTAATGTTGGGAGCAGATTGGGTAATAAAATGTATTTTGAGAATAAGACGGCCTTTTGACCTTTTAGGGTCTAGGGCTGTAAAGTGTCTCAGGGTTGCTGCCAAACAAGTCATGAACTGGGCTGGATTTTTATATTTGATGATAAAGAGCCTAAACGCTATCTGATTTGGGATAAAGAAAAAGGAGCATTAACCTTGACTATGCCTTTAGCTCCAGCCACCTCTCTAAGAGGAAATTGTTGGGCAGGTGGGGAAGAGCTAGTCACGGAACTAAACTGTAAGCTGGACCAGGTGTGAGGAGGGGAGGTAATAAAAGGATTATAGGGTGGAGGAGTGGAAGCTGAGGAAGAATTGGGACTTAGCCTGGCAACGAGCAGCCTAGGGAGGAGGGGAAAAGTCAGATGGGTCTGTAGAAAAGGAAGACTGGAAAGACTCAGCGACTCTTGGGGTTGGGACTGAGGGGACAGGGTGAAAAATGCCTGGATGTAAGGCACCTCAGACCATTTGCCCATTTTTTGACAAAAATTATTTAGGTCTTGTAGGATGGAGAAATCGAAAGTGCCGTTTTCTGGCCATTTAAAGCCACTGTCAAGTTTGTATTGGGGACAAGTGGTGTTGCAGAAGAAAATAAGGCATTTAGGTTTTAGGTCAGGTGTGAGTTGAAGAGGTTTTAAGTTCTTGAGAACACAGGCTAAGGGAGAAGAAGGAGGAATGGAGGGTAGAAGGTTGCCCATAGTGAAGGAGGCAAGCCCAGAGAAAAGAGAGCATAGAGACATGGAGAGAAGGGGTTCAGGGGTTCTTACCCTCCAGAAAAGTGGGAAAGGGGTCGGGGTGCGGAAATAAGGGATTGGGGGTTCTTGCCCCCTAGAAAAGCAGGACTTGCCGCTAAGGGTGAAGGAGAAGGGGTTGAGGGATACTTGCCCCTCCCCCAGAAAAGCAGAGAAGGGGTATAGACACGGAGAGAAGGGGTTGGGGTACTTGCCCCTCCCCAAGAAAAGCAGGACTTGCCGCTAAGGGCGAAGGACCAAGGCAGGTGTCCCTGCGTGGTCTGACACCTTTGAAACGTGGGTGAATAATCAGGCATCCCTGCAATGATTAAACATGAAGGGAAGGCTGCCTTACCAGTCTGTGACTGGCACCAGAGTTTTGGGTCCATGGATAAAACGTGTCTCCTTTGTCTCTACCAGAAAATGAAAGGAATTGAAATTAAGAGAAGGGAGAGATTGAAGTGTGGTGCCAAGACTGAAAGGAGAAAGAGGTTGAGGGATAGTGAGGGATAGTAAGTAGTGAGCTTCTACTTACATACAGAAAGCATTGTGCTAGGCAGTGAGGATACCACACTGACAGACTCATTTAGTCCCTACCCCTATAGAATTTATATTCCAGTAGGGAAGACACATCATACACATATACTACATTATTAAATTCATGAATTACAAATTGTGATGATGGCTTTTGCTGGCCATGAACATGTGCTGCTTGGTCTGTTGCAGCAAGCATGATTGACTGGTGGCCCCTGGCCGCTGCTTCTCTGGATTTACTGCAACATTTCTGCAGGGACCCACCCACTCCTAATGTGCAGATATACCTTATGGTGACCCCCAGTGAGTCACACCCTGGAAGACAACCCTCCCTTGAGTGCTGGCAGAACTTGTGACTCACTTCTAGCCAAAAGAATACCAGCAAAGGTGAAGGGATTTTGCAGATGTAACTAAGTTCCCAAATCAGTTAACTCTGAGTTAACCAAAAGGGAGATTATCTTGGTTGTGCCTGACTTAATCTGGTGAAAAACCTCTAAAGAGGTACTCAGATCCTCCCAGAGATCAGAGTTCTCCAACTGGCCTTGAAGAAGGGTGCTGCTGTGTTGACAGAGGGCTGAAAATGAGAAGTACACATGGCAGGGGCCTGTGGGTTCCTCTAGGAGCTAGAATGGCCCCTACTGACAGCCAGCAATAATATGGGGGCTTCAGCCCTGCAATCTCAAAGAACGGAATTCTATCGACAACCACGTGAACTTGGAAGAGGATCCTAAGCTCCAGAAAGAAAAACACAGCCTGGCTAACATCTATATTACAGCCTCTGAGAGCCTAAGGAGAGGACCAAGTTCAGCCCCACCCAGACTCCTGACCCACAGAAACTGTGAGATAATCAAGGGTGTTGTTTTAAAACACCAAGGCTGTGGCAATTTACTATGCAGCAGGAGAAAACAAACACATCTGGTAAGAGCTAGCACTTTCCCCATAGTGCCTCATTCCCAAGAGCAACAAGGAGCTGCCCTCCTCGTCTCTGGTTGCCAAGCTCAAAACTAGAGGTACATGTGGAAATCACAAGGTATCTGAGACAGGTCTCAATCAAGTTAGAAAGTTTATTTTGCCAAGCCTAAGGACTCACTCGTGACTCAGTCTCAGGAGGTCCTGACGACATGTGCCCAAGGTAGTCAGGGTACAGCTTACTTTTAGGCATTTTAAGGAGACATGAGACATCAATGAATATGTGTAAGATGTACCTCGGTTCTGTCCAGGAGGGCAGGACAACTTGAGTGGGGGGCTTCCAGGTCATAATTAGATAAGAGATAAAGGTTGCATTCTTTTGAGTTCTTGATCAGCCTTCCACGGAATACACAATTTAGTGTGGCTCAGTGAATCTGCCTTTTTACCTAAACAATAGGGCAGAGGAAGCAATCAGATATGCGTTTGTCTCAGGTGAGCCTCAGCGGGATGACTTTTGAGTTCTGTCTGACCTTTGTCCTCAAGGAATTTCCTTGTGGGCAAATTGTGAGGAAGGTGTGTAGCTTTTTACCTTTGTAGCTATCTTATTTAGGAATAAAATGGGAGGCAGGTTTGACTGACATAGTTCCCAGCTTGACTTTTCCCTGGGGTCCCAAGATTTATTTTCCTTTCACACAAGCCAGCAGAACCTGGCTAGGTATGTGCTGTTCTGATAAGGGAAGAAAGGATGATACACTGAAGGTATATCATCTCTGGTGCAAGCGTTAGTTGTCATGTACCAGCAGAAGCCAGGGGAGTACCCCTGGGATTAGATTTTGAGGGTGTTTGACGGATAGGGTCAAATGTAAGACAGATAAGTAGTATATTAAGGACATCTTCACAGGACACTGGTTTAACAACCTGGTGAGGGCCTCAGGGAGCAGCATGGTTCTTAGAAGCCTAGAGGTAGTGCTGGACAATGCTGGGCAAAGTGCAAATATCTGAGTTGTCCTGGCAGATAGTAGAGGAAGGAAGACAAAGGCTGAAGGATGTGGGCATGATGAAATGGATAGATATATTATGCCCAGAAAATCCATCAGGATTATGTCAGGTAGGAGGGCCCAGAGGACACCACACTGTTTATCAAGCCAATTCAGCTACTGTTGCCTGTGGTTGCCCAATTTGTCAGCAACAGAGGCCAATGCTGCACTCCAATGTGGCACTATTCCTCAAGGAGAACATCTGGCCACTTGGTGACATGTCAATTACATTAGGCTCCTGGTATGCTAGAAGGGCCAGCTGTCTGTGCTCCCCAGGATAGATTCCTTTTCTGGTATGACTTTGTCTTTCCTGCACATAGAGCCCCAGCCAGTACCAACCAGGAGCTTATACAAACATTATGTCCCATACATCATAACGTCTGACCAGGGAACTGATGTCAAAGCAAAAGATGTGTGGGAGTGGGCCTATGACGATGAGATCCACTAGTCATATCACATATTGTATCCTCCAGTCTCAAAGAACAGAAGAACAACCTTCTAATGTCACAGCTGAAGTGTTAGCTCAGATGTAATACTTTGCAAACATAGAGTGCTATATGCATTAAATCAGAGAGAACTGTCTCTGGTGATATGTCTCTAATAAGAGGAACCTATGAGTCCAGAATGAAGGGCTAGAAATAGGTGATACCATTTACCACCACTCCCAGTGACCAACCAAGGAATGAGTTCTAGCTCTGTGATCTTCAAGGTTGGAGGGTCCTAATCCTCTAATCTTGCCAGGGACATATCAAGAGTCCATTGAACTGTAAGATATGACAGGGCAATTTAGACCCTTAGTGTCCAGGGACCAGCAGGCAAAAGAAGGAATCACCCTAGTGGCAGGGTAATTGACTTGATCAGCAGGAGGAGGTAGAATGGTTTATATATAAACAGGGCAGGAAAGAGTATGTGTGGAACCACAGTGATCTCCTTGGATGCTTTCCAGTACCCTTTTTTCCCTTGGAAACTGAGAAGAGTGTGGTAACCAAGAGCTTAGACTCCTTAGGAATGAAGGTTTTGTCACATGAACAGGTAAGTCACCAAGACCTTCTGAGAGGATAGCTGAGCATAAGGGAAAGGTAGAATAGATGGTGGAAAGTGAGAGGATGAGTGTGAGTTGCAGCCCTGAGACCAATTGCACAGATTGGGACTATATTTTGTACCACTAGCTTCCCTTTTCTAAGTTTTCCCTCAGAAGGGGAGGACCATAGGACACATCAAGGAGCTGCTATCTAACCCTGCATGAAAAGGAAATTCATCTGGGACAAGGAGTAGACCCTGGTACCTTTGTCAGCTTGGGCTGCTGTAATAAAACACCTTAACTTGGGTGGCTTAACCACCAGCCACTTACAGTTCTGGAGGCTGGGAAGTCTCACAATTCTATAGACTGGGAAGTCCAAGATCAAGGTGCCAGCGTGTCTAGTGAGGGCTCTCTTCCTGGTTTGCAGAGGGTCCTCATCTTGCTGTACCCTTACATGATGTAGGGAAAGCAAGTTCTGGTCTCTTCTTCTTAGATGGGCACTAATTCCATCATAAGAGCACCAGCCACGTGATTTCATCTAAACCTAATTACCTCCACACAGCCTTACCTCTAAATGCCATTACATTGAAAATTAGGGTATTAACATATTAATGGGGGGGCAGGGAGCACACAGTCAGTTCATAGCACTTGGCAGCCATGAAAATGCACCTGTCAGCCGGGCACGGTGGCTTACGCCTGTAATCCCAGCACTTTGGGAGACTGAGGCAGGCGGATCACGAGGTCAAGAGATCGAGGCCATATTGCCCAACATGGTGAAACCCCATCTCTACTAAAAATACAAAAATTAGCTGGGCGTGGTGGCTGGCGCCTGTAGTCCCAGCTACTCAGGAGGCTGAGGCAGGAGAATCGCTTGAACCTGGGAGGCAGAGGTTGCAGTAAGCTGAGATCGCGCCACTGCACTCCAGCCTAGCGACAGAGCGAGACTCTGTCTCAAAAAAAAAAAAAAAAAAAAAGCCAGGCACGGTGGCTCATGCCTGTAATCCTAGCACTTTGGGAGGCTGAGACAGGTGTGTCACCTGAGGTCAGGAGTTCAAGACCAGCCTGGCCAACATGGTGAAACCCTATCTCTACTAAAAATACAAAAAAAAAAAAAAAATTAGCCAGGCATGGTGATGGGCACTTGTAATCCCAGCTACTTGGGAGGCTGAGGCAGGAGAGTCACTTGAACCAGGGAGGCGGAGGTTGCAGTGAGCCGAGATCACACCATTGCACTCCAGCCTGAATGACAAGAGGAAAACTCCATCTAAAAAAAAAAAGAAAAAAAAATGCACATGTCAGATAACTAACTGCAGGGTTGTAAATGACTAAAGGTCCCAGATACTGCCCTTCTGTACCCATCATTGTGTTTGCAACAAGGCCAAACCTGTGGGCTCCCAACCAATGACTGAGCATGGCACCGGTACTAATGAAGACCCACTCCTACAAGATGAGGGGCTCCTTCTCCAGTGGGTGCCTTTGGCTCAATGATTCCCTGTAGGCCTGGTTGAAACTTTCTCTGACATGTGCCAAAGTTTGAAGCTCTTCAACTCTACTCTTCTTCCTTCCTTTGCTCTCTCCTCACAGGTATCAGACCTGCACTGCAGTCTGATGGCACTCCTCACCTCCTCTTGCTCCCTCTCCCTTTATCCTTCACATGCAATTCCCCCAATAAATCTCTTGCATGTCTAATCCCACCTAACCATCTGCTTCTTATCAGACAAGACTAGGTATTCCATAAAAAATGTAAGAAGTTGGATGCTGTGAAGAAGAATGTGGTGATACAAGGAGGGGGGACTACTTTACATAGGCTAATTGGAGGAAGCATTGGTGAGATTTGATCCCAGACTCTAAGGAGGTAACTTTTGAGTTGGGATGTTAAATAAGGGGAAGCAAGAGCTATGCAGACAGCAAAAGCATTGTATTCTGACATGGGGGAGACCAGGAAGGTTGGAGTCTAGTGGCAAGGGAAAATGGCAAGAATAATATGGAGAGTTCTGCAAAGACAAACCCAGTAGGGTTTTGTTGATCATCTGGATAAGATGAGATAGAGTTACTGTAAACAAGGGGAAAGCAATACTATATGTGCAAATAACACCATAATATAGAATTTACAATTTTGTGTGGCAATGTCTTCCAGTACTAATTTATTCATTCATCTGCTATGTCATTCATGTTGAAGTTTCTACGAAACAGAAAACTATTCTCTGCATATTCATGTCAGGCCCACAGAGCAAAAGCTTGTTTATGGGGATTATAAAATTCTAGGGTCTAGACCTCAGCTTTTCAGGTTCAGAAATGCAATGTTTTCTGTGTCCTAACAAAATATCAGACAGTCCAGGATAGTCTCACTCTAACCAAACTCTATACAGGCTGATGTCTACCCCAAAATTGTACTTATAAAAGCCAAAATGTTAATTGGTCATGGTATTCTTGCTCTATAGCAGAATCTATCCAAAGAGTTAAAATTTAATCACAGAGTTATTTTTATCAACATCCATCTCCTAACAGATGAAACCATCCCTCACTTTCCTCTAATAGTCTATGTTCTAGATTTCACACAGATCATATCCACACTTCTGTTCACACATCATCGGACAGAGCACAGTGCAATTGATTAGATTAAAGCTTTCCTTATTATGATCTCATAACCACCATGCTTCCCTTAGCCTACCTTCCAGGTTATTATGAATGAGTTTGGGATTTTCCTGTAATTTTTCAATTGCACATTTATTGGAAAGCTTCTTGGACTATAAAAATAGTAATTAGTAGTAGCAAATACGATTATAGATGTCATATAATACTTGCTTATTATTGGTTAAGCCCTTTACATAAGTAACTTAATTAGATTCTTAAAACTACTGTGCTGGAAGTCCTAGCTAGAGCAATAAGACAAGAGAAAGAAGTAAACCACATCCAAATTGGAAAGGAAGAAGCCAAATTATCCTTGTTTGCAGATGAAATGGTCTTACATTTGGAAAAACCTAAAGACTCCACCGAAAAACTATTAGAACTGATAAACAAATTTAGTAAAGTTGCAGGATACAAAATCAACATACAAAAATCCCTGATAAGAAATTAATAACCAGAATATATAAGGAGCTCAAGCAACTCATAGAAAAAAATCTAATAACCTGATTTTAAAATGGGCAAAAGATCTGCATAGACATGTCTCAAAAGAACACATACAAATGGCAAACCAGTATATGAAAAGGTGCTCAACATCACTGATCACCAGAGAAATGCAAATCAAAACTACAAAGAGATATCATCTTACCCCAGTTAAAATGACTTTTATCCAAGAGACAGGCAATAACAAATGCTGGAAAGGATATGGAGAGAAAAGGGAATCCTTGCATCTTTTTGGTGGGAATGTAAATTAGTACAACCATAATGGAGAATAGTTTGGAGGTTCCTCAAAAAGCTAAAACTACCATATGATTCCAACAGTTCCACTGCTAGATATGTATCCAAAAGAAAGGAAATCAGTATATCAAAGAGATATCTGCACTCCCATGTTTATTGCAGCACTATTCACAATAGCCAAGATTGGGAAGCAACCTAAGTGTCCATCAATAGAAGAATGGAGAAAGAAAATGTGGTACATATACACAATGGAGTAATATTCAGCCATAAAAAGAATGAGATCCTGTCATTTGCAACAACATGATGGAACTGGAGGTCACTATGTTAAGTGAAATAAGCCAGACGCAGAAAGACAAATTTCACATGTTCTTATTTATTTGTGGAAGCTAAAATTTAAAACAATTGAACTCATGGAGATAAGAGAGTAGAATGATGATTACCAGAGGCTGAGAAGGGTAGTGGGGACAGGGGGGATGAGTGGGGATGGTAAATTAGAACAAAAATATAGTTAAATAGAATGAATAAGATCTAGTATTTGATAGCACAACAGGGTGACTGCAGTCAATAATAATTTATTATACATTTAAAAATAACTAAAATAGTATAATTGAATTGCTTGTAAGAGAAAGAAAGGATAAATGCTTGAGGTGATGGATACTCCATTTACCCTAATGTTATTAGTGTGCATTGTCTACCTGTATCAAAATGTCTCATGTACCCCATGAATATGTATACCTACTTTGTACCCACAAAAATTCAAAATTAAAAAACCCTACTGTGTGCATGAGACATTATAATCCGCTTTTTACAGAAAAGGAACAGGTTTAGAGAAGTTAAGTAACTTGTAACTTCCAAGCCAGTCCTTGATTTCTTCAATTCTCTGTTGTTTTTTGCCTTTTCTCTTCCCCTTTCTCCTTTTCCCTCTTTTTCTCTCTAATTTATATTTTAAAAACTATACATGCAACATATTAAAATATTTCAAAATTACAGAAGGGGATAAGATGAAAAGTAAAAATCCTATCTTATCCACTCTCACTTCCTTACCCCAGCTCTGGCCCACCCTAGAGAAAGTAAATCATTCAGTGTAACAGTTTCTTTTGTATAAATCTCATCATATTCTAAACACATGCACATATGTGTGTATATATGTGTACATGTGTGTATAGTATATATGTGTTTCCCAAAACATACATACTGTGCACAACGGGGTATCTTCAACCTTTTCCCACCTTATTTCTTCCTGATACATTTCACTCTTTTAAATGGATTCATCCAGACGCTACTATTTTCCATTGATCTGCCTATTTGGACAAAGTATTTTAATTGCTATAGACACATTTTAGTATAATATAATTCTTCTTTTCCTTTATTTTTAGAATTTTCTTGACAATCTTCACATTTTTTTTCCAAATGGATTTGAGACACCCCTTTTTCAAGTTCAAAACAATAAAATGATGGGAAAGAAAAAACTGCTTACATTTTGAGTGCGATTGTATTTAGATTACAGACGAATTTAGAGAGAATTGATATTTATATACTATTTTGTCTTGTTATTAAAAAACATGGAGTACATAGTTTAGTTACAAACAGAAAAAACACCCACAATTTTTAAAACTAGTTAACACAATAGAGTGTAATAAGTGTGGAAGCAACGTATGTGAAGGTGTTATGAGTGTGTGGAAAAGAAGAGAAGAGGAGCTCATGAATTCACCTTTGCGGTTGACTTCTGGATTGAAATCCATCTCCCAGTCATCAACTCCCTGGTTCTAGTTATGGCTTCTGAAGCTACTCAGAATTTTATCTCTTCCTAACTGTTGAAGAGAGTGTTCTCAACTCTTTAAAACTTTATTCCAGCTAAACATCACCAATTTTTTAAATGACACGATTTTTCTTTCTCTTATAGACATCAACCTCTGAGATTGTGGTGTCCAGAATTTGATGCAGTGGACCCTTGGCATGTGAGAATTTTTAATTTTGCAGTTTCAATAATTTGTGTGAAGTTTCATGACACCCAAATTTGAAACACAAATTTGAATCATGTAGGCTTCAGTGGAGATGTATATTCACTTATTCATCCATACTTGAGTTCACAATAGTTTATATTGATGCAAGAATAATTCCTTTGTGATACTCTCTGGTTTTCAATCATCTGCATATGAGCCTTACTGAACCGTATGCTAAAGTGCATATGAATCATGTGAGAAACTGTGTGAAAGTTCTATGTGAGGGATATCATCAAATACCTTGCTTTGTATGCTATCTTTCTTTTTTACGGTTTTTTGAGGTATAATTGATGTACGACACACCAGATTTTAATTGTACAATTTGATGAGCTTTTACATATGTAAAAATTCAGGAAAACTTCACCACAGTAAATATAATTAACATCTCCATCTCCCTGCTAAATTTCCTCCTGCCACTTTGTAAGCCCTCTCTCTCTACCCTCCCATCCTTCAGTCCATCCTGAGGCAACCAACTACTGACCTGCTTTCTGTCACTATAGATTTGTTTGCATCCTCTAGAATTTTATATTGATAAAATCAAATGTATATACTCTCTTTTGTCTGTTTTTTTTTTCCACTCAGTATAATTACTTTGAGATTCATCCATGTTGTTGCGTGTACTAATCCCTTATCCCTTTCATTGCTGAATGGTCTTCCTGATATGGATTTGGCACATTTTGTTTATCTATTCACCTGTTTATGGACTTATAGTTTGTTTCCAGCCTGTGACTATTACAGATAAAGCTGTTATAAATATTTGTGCACACATCTTTGTGGAGACATATCTCTCACTTCTGTTGAGTAAGTGTCTAAAATGGAATGGATGAGTTATGTGGTAGATATATGTTTGACCTTTTAAGAAACTGCCAAGCTGTTTTCCAAAGTGGTTGTACAATTTGACATTGCCACCAGCAGTAAATGAGAATTAGAACTGCTCATTATCACTGCAAATACATGGTATGGTCTGTCCTTTTGATTTTAGCCATTTTAGTATGCATGTTATGGTATCTTATTATGGTTTTATTTTGTATTTATCCAATGAACAATGATGTTGAGTATATTTGTCACCTGTATATTTTCTTTGGGAAGTGTCCATTCAAATCTTTACCAATAGAAGATTGCTTTTTTATTATTATTGAATTAAAATGGCTATTTTTTCTAAATACAAGTTTTTTCTTAAATATATGTCTTGAAAATATTTTCTGTAAGTCTGAGGCTTGCTTTCTCACTTTCATAATAGTGCCCTTTGAATAACAAGTTTTTAATTTTGATAAAACCCCATTTATTTGTTTTATCTTTTCTAGTTATGTCTTTTGTGTCCTATTTAATAAATATTTGCCAAAACAAAGGTCATTAAGATTTTCTTCTGGATTTTTTGTCTAGAAGTTTTATAGTTATAGCTCTAACACTTAGGTATGTGATCCATTTTAAGCTAACTTTTAGACATTGTGTCAGGTAATAGTCAGGTTTCTTTTCTTTGCATATGGTTATCCAGTTGTTCCACCACTATATATTGAAAAGATTGCTTCTTTCTGTTGAGTTGCCTTGGCACTTTTGTCAAAAATCAATTGCCCATTGTGAGTCTATTTGTGGATTCTTCTCTTCTATTGATCTATATGTTTATTCTTATGCCAATATCACACTACTTTGATTACTATAGTATTAGAATAAGGCTTAAAATCACATAATGTAAATCTTTCATACTTATTGTTTATAAAAGTTGTTTTAGCGATTGTAGGTTCTTTGCATTTTCATATACATTTTAGAATCAGCTTGACAATTTCTTTTTTTAAGAAGCTTGCTGGGATTTAATTTGGACTGCATTGAATTTATGAGGATAGTTGATGTCTTAATAGTAATACACCTTCCAATTTATGAACATTGGTATATCTCTTATTTATTTTTTTACTTTCTTTCAGCAATGTTTATAGTTTCCAAAGTACAGGTCTTGCATATCCATTGGCAAATGTATTCCAGTATATCATAAAAGTATTTCATATCTTTATGCTCATGTGAATTGTATTTTTTAAAATTTCCATTCCCAATTATTTGTTGCTAGTATATATGGAAATGCAATTAATTTTTCATTAACATTGTATCTTAAATACTTGCTGAACTTGGCCGGGGATGGTGGCTCACGCCTGTAATCCCAACACTTTGGGAGGCCAAGGCGGACAGATCATGAGGTAATGAGATCGAGACCATCCTGGCTAACACGGTGAAACCCCATCTCTATTAAAAATACAAAAAATTAGCCGGGCATGGTGGCACATGCCTGTAGTCCCAGCTACTTGGGAGGCTGAGGCAGGAGAATTGCTCGAACCCGGGAGGCAGAAGTTGCAGTGAGCCAAGATCGCACCACTGCACTTCAGCCTGGGTGACAGAGCGAGACTCCATCTCAAAAAAAAAATAAATAAATAAACAAAAACAAAAAAAACTTGCTGAACTTATTAAGTCTAGTTTTTTTTAATTTCTAAAAATGTTCTGCATAGTTGATCATGTTGTGGCCAAATAAAGACAGTTTTACTTCTTCCCATTAAATCTGCCTATTACCTCAAATACAATGCTAAGTAGAAGGGGTGAAAGGAGACACTTTTGTCTTTTTCCTGATCTTAGAAAATATCATTTTTTTCACCACTGAGTATGTTGCCTATCAGTTCATACTATAGGCATCACAGTATGCTTGTAGGTTCTTTGTAAATGCTTCCCTAACGGTTCTTTGTAAATGGTTTTTATCGGGTTGAAGATGTTCCTTTCTAAGCCTAGTTTGCTGAGAATTATTTTTAGAAGTGAATTTTGGCTGGATGTGGTGGCTCACACCTGTAATCCCAACATTTTGGGAGGCTGAGGAGGGAGGATCACTTGAGCTTAGAAGTTCAAGACCAGCCTGGGCAACACAGCAAGATCTTGTCTCTACTAAAAATTAAAAAAAAAAAATTTAGCCAGATGTGCTAGTACGTGAGGTGGGTGGCCCAGTTGAGCCCCAGAGTTTGAGGTTCAGTGAGATATGACTGCACCACTACACTTCAGCCTAGGCAACAGAACAAGGTCCTGTCTTAAAAAAAAGTAAAATGAATTTTGTCAAATGTTTTTACTGCATCTATTGAGATGATCATGTGGTGTTTTTTTTAGTCTGTTAATATGGTGAATTACATTACTTTTTTAATATTAAGGCAACTTTCCATTCCTGGGGAAAATCCCACTTGGTCATGATGTCATAAAATAATAAAGGATTATTGTCACCAATATCCTCCCTGTATATTATGAGATTTGATTTGCTAAATTTTTGTTGAGAATTTTTATGTCTATTTCTATGAGAAGCATTAGTCTCTAATTTTACTTTCGTGTAATGTATTTGTCTGGTTTTATATCAGGGTAATGCTGGAGTCATAAATAAGTTGAGAATTCTTCTATTTTCTGGAAAAATATGTTTAGCATTGGTGCTAATTTTTAAAAAAGATTTGGTAGATTCACAAGTAAAGCCACATGTGCCTGCAGTTGTTTGAATTTTTGGGTTTTTTTTTTTTTCTGTTAGAAGACTTCAAACTGCCAACTCAATTTAATAAATATAAGGCTAGTCAGATTACTATTTCTTTTTTAATGAACTGTAACAATTTGTGTCTGTCAATTAATTTGTTCATTTCAGCTAAGTTGACAAATATATGGGGATTCAGCTGCTCACTCTACTCTCTTATGTTTTCTTAATCTCTGTAGGAACAATTGTGACATCTTTCCTCTCATTTCCTATAACAAACCCATTTTTGATATAAAGATAGAAATAGGCTTATAGTAAGAGAATGGAAAAATATATACCACCCTAGCACTAATCAAAAGGAAGCTGGAGTTGCTACATTAACATTTTGTATCTTCTCTCTTTTTTTCCCCAACCAACCTGGCTGAAAATATCCTTTGGTCACATTGTTTTTTATGTATTGCTGTTTGAATTTTTAATTAATTTCTGCTCTAATCTTTACTATATTCTTTATTATATCTACTTGGATTTCATTCGTTCTTTTTTCCCTTCTTTCTTAAAGGTTGAAGTTGTTGATTTGAGATCTTTCTTTTCAAGTACTACAATTTAATGCTATAAAATTTCCTCTAATTTTAAATTTTCCTCTTTAGCTGCATTCCACAAATTTTGGTGTTTTCCTTTACATCAGTTCAGAATACTTTCTAATTACTTTTTTTATTTCTTCTTTGACCCATGGGTTATAGAGAAGCCTATTATTTCATTTTCAAATAGTGGAGGAATTTCCAGCTAGTTTTTAAAAATTGATTTTTAATTTAATTTCCTGTGGTCCAGCAACATCTTTTGTATTTTCTGTCTTCTCATTTTATAATTCTTAAGAGAGTTATTTGGAGTCTCATATTATTATAATTATAGTTTTTCTATTTCTGCTTTTGACTCTACCAAAATTTTGCTTAATATATTTTGAGGATCTATTATTAGGTACCTACATGCTTAAAATTATTATCTTCTTTTGATAAATTGACTCCTTTATCACTATGCCATTTAACCTTAGTAATATTCTTTATTTAGAAATCTACTTTGTCTGATGTTAATGTAGCACCTCCAGCTTCCTTTTGATTAGTGCTAGGATGGTATATATTTTTCCATTCTCTTACTATAAGCCTATTTTTATCTTTATATCAAAAATGGGTTTGTTATAGGCAGCTTAGAGTTGGGTCTTGCTTTTTCATGCAATTTGAAAATACTGGCCTTTTAAATGGAGCTGTTTACACCATTTACATTTAATGAGATTATTAATAAATTTGTATTTAAATATAATATGCTGCTAGTTGTTTTCTATTTGTCCCATGTCTCCTTTATTCACATTTTTATATCTTGAATTAACTACATATGATTTTCCCTGTTTTGGTAGCTTATTAGCTATATCTCTTTGTGTTTGTTTTTAGTGTTTGCTTTGGAGTTTATACATTTCCAACTTCAAGTAATCTATCTTCAAGTATTATTGTATTATTTCATGTAGAGTATAAGAACTTAGTGATAGCGTGCTTCCATTTTTCCCCTCTGGGCATTTATACCTTTGTCCTATATTTTATATGTAATTGTTGTAAATGCACAATACATTGTCATTATTTTTTGCTTTTAACAGTCAATTACATTTTAAAGACATTTTAAAAATAAGAAATAGAGCTTTTTATATTGACTGATGCAGTTACAATTTCTAGTGTCCTTTATTCTTCTGTACAGATACATATTTCCATCTGATGTCATTTTCCTTCTGCCTTAGCATGTAATATAGTACTGATCTGTTGGTGATGAATTATTTCAGCTATTCTGTATCTGAAAAGTCTTTTTGCTCTTGCTTTCAATAGGTATTTTATGGTGTATAAAAATATAGATCATATTTTTAAAAATTTAGTACTTAAAAGATGCTTCCCCATTGTCTTCTGGCTTGCATTTTTCCCCACAAAAGTTTGCAATAATTCTTATCTCTGTATGTAATGTCTTTTCACTGTTGCATCCTTTTAAAATGTTATTTTTATCACTCCTTTTAAGCAAGTTGATTGTGAACTGCCTTCTTTATGTTGTTATTATTTCATTGAACTGCTTTCATCTATGAATTTATGATTTTCAGCAAATTTGGAAAATCTTTATTCTTTCTTCATAGGTTTTTTTTCCATCCCCTCTTCCCACTCCTCTCCTTCAGAGACTCCAAATACATTTATATTAAGCTGCTTAAAATTATCCTACAGCTCACTGATACTCTATTTTTTTCCTCAATTATTTTTTTCTCTCAGTTTCACCTTCAATATAGTCTATTGCTATGTCTTCAAGTTCAGCATTTGCTATAGTGTGTATGTTGTGTCCCCTCAAAATTTATATGTTGAAACCTAATCACCAACATGATAGTATTAGGAGGTGGGCCTTTGAGAGGTGATTAGGTCATGAGAGTAGAAGGCTCATGAATGGGATTAGTGTCCTTGTAAAAGAAGCCGCAGAGAACTGCCTTACCCCTTCCACCATGTGAGAACACAGTGAAAAGTTGCCATCTATGAGAAAGAAAGCTCTCAACAGACACTGAATCTGCTGGCACCTTGATCTTGGATTTCCCAGCTTTCAGAACTATAAGCAATGAATTTCTGTTGTTTATAAATTTCTGTTGCCATGGAGCTTTCTGAAAGGGTTGCAGATTTATATGTCATAGAAATAGACATAAAAATTCTCAACAAAATTTTAGCAAATCAAATCTCATAATATACAGGGAGGATATTGGTGATAATAATCCTTTCTTATTTTATGACATCATGACCAAGTGGGATTTTCCCCAGGAATGGAAAGTTGCCTTAATATTTCCATTCCCCAGGAATGGAAAGTTGCCTTAATAACATATTAAAAAAGTAATGTAACTCACCATATTAACAGACTAAAAAAAAACACCATATGATCATCTCAATAGATGCAGTAAAAACATTTGACAATCTAAGGTATTTTGTTTTAGCAGTCTGAATAGACTAAGATACCAATCTTTTCTTCTAAACTCTCTAATCCATTTTTAACACCATCCACTATATTTTTCATTCCAGACATTGTTTTCTCATCTCTAAAAGTTTAATGTATGCCTTTTTTACATCTTGCATGTCTTTCTTTAACATGAATATGATTTCATCTACCTTCTTGAACATATGGGATATAGTTACAAGAACTATTTTAATGTCTTTGTCTACTAATTATATCATCTGTATCATTTCTCAATTGGTTTTGATTTTTTTCTCATGTTTCATTTTCATTTCCTGTTTCTTTGTATGTTTGCCGAGTTTTGATTGGATGCTAGACATTGTGAATTTTACCTTGTTGGGTACTGAGTATCTTGTATTATTTTAAATATTCTTGAGCATTGCTCTGGGACATAATTAAGTTTGAAAACACTTCAGTGCTTTCAAGGCTTGCTTTTAAGCTTGTTTGAGAAAACCAGAGCAGCCTTTATTCTAGGACTAATTTTGCTCCACCACTGAAGCAACATCCTCTGAGTACTCTACCCAGTGCCTCATCTACTATTAGGCTTTTCTACTCTAGCTAGTGGGAACAGGAACTATTCCCAGCCCTGTGTGATTTCCACACATTTTTACCTCTACTCTTTGAGTGGTTCTTTCTTGAGACTTGGGTTATTTCTTCGCATACATGCACCAGTGGTATTTAGCTGATTAACCAAGGAATACACTCTGAAGATCTCTGGAATTTTTTTTCTAGGCAGCTTTATTTTTTCTGATACTCTACCCAATGAACATAAGCGCCTTGGTCTCCTTGAGCTCCCAACTTTATCTCTTCAACGTAGGGAGATTGCCAGTCTCTTCCCGGGTTTCCCCTCCCTGTATTGTGGCCTGAAAACTTTATCTAGGTAGTACATTGAATCAGTTGTAAAGATCAGCTTGTTTGCTTCTCTCTCAGTGATCACTGTCTTGTGCTGCTTGTTATCTAATGTCTGAAAAACAGTGTTTCATATTACTTTCTAGTGTTTTTAGTTGTTTAAGGAGAGAAGGTAAATCTGATCCTTGTTAATTCATCTTGGCAGATGCAGAAATTCCTTATATATTCCTATTAGTGACAACTAAGATTGCTTTTACCCATTTTAAAAGCTAAGTTTTTAGCTTGCCATCTATCACAATCTATGGGTTTTTCATTCTTAGCATTCAAATTCCTGATAGGTAAAATCTCCTTGATCTTGTACTTGTATGATTGATTTATCCATGTGAACTCAGATCTTTTATTTATTCTGTTAAATTTTTTTATATTAATTTTGATCCTTAGGTATTTTTGAATATTGCTTCTGCCATGCATTCTACTGTCTATTCAATTTATGCAATGAATATTTATCGATGCCAGTTACGTGCCTGGAACTGTTCTAGATGATATGGGGCATACAAACACAGTTTTTGTTCTCATGGAATTGATTTTGGGGGTTGGGAAATAAACAATAAACAGATTAAAACAGAAACATAAGTACATTATTTCAGATTAGGATTTCAGCATACAAATTTGGGGGGTGGGAATGGGTACAATCGTTCACTTCTGTAATTCCAATACTTTGAGAGGCCGAGACAAAAGAATCACTTGAGCCCAGGAGTTTGAGGCTGCAGTGAGCTATGATCATGCCACTGAACCCCAGTTTGGGTGACCAAGTGATGCCCTGTCTCTAAAATAACCAAAAAAAAAAAAAACAAAAACAAACTTGAGGGGGCACTACCAATATTCAGTATATAGCAGGTAGTGCTATGAAAAAAATAAAACCGAATACTGTAACAGAGAATAAGCAAGACAGAGGAGTGGCTACTTTAGCTTAGATTTTTCAGGGAAGTTCTTTTAAGAGTTATTGGTTGCAAACAATAGAAGACAATTCTGCTTAACTTAAGCAGGGAAGACGTTTTGTGTAAAAGTGTCAGGTAGCCAATAACATTGATACATTGGCTATTGAACCCAGGTTCAGGAGGACCCAAAGGAGGCAAAGCACAACCAAGATAGAATCACTGGATAGTCTGCGTGTTCGCTCAACACCAACTAGCCACAGCCACTGCTAGTAGAACCACCACTCAACAACCATCACTGTGATGATCATCAACCATCATGTCTGCTAACATTCCACCAGACTATCACGGCACCAGAGTTGCCATGAAACTATAATTGCCCCTGCCCCAATACACCATGCTCTTGAGATATGAAGTCCAGGGTCAGGAACTGATTGGCTACACTCAAGCCCATGTCTTAGTTCTCACAGGGAGTGAAAGAGAACACCTGCCTCTTAGCAGTTTCCATAGTGGGAGCCAAGGATGTTTGTTGGGCAGATAATAAACCATATCTCTACAGCCTCTCTAAAAAGTGACATTTGAAGTGATATTTGAATAAGGAGTAAAGGCAGCCATGTGAAGATCTGGAGCAAACACACTCTCGACCAAGAGAGCAGCAGAAGCAAAGAGTCTAAAACAGGAATCAGCTTGGAGTTTTCAAGGGACAGAAAGTCCCTGGCTGGTTGGAACGTAATGGACAAGGGAAAGAGAGTCAACAAATGGGATCCAAAAGGTGGCAGAGACCAGATATGCAGACTCCTAAAGACCATGGAAGGACATTTGCATGTTATTTTTATTGAACAGGGAAAATATTGGAGAATTGGAGGATTATAGAAAAGGAAGTTATATGATCTTTCCTGACGTTGTGTCACTTAACATTTTAAAAACGTTTTTTCTTTTTTATATTTGGTTGTTAAAATGTTATAGCCACATTAAAGAAGTTTAGAAAAAAATCATTTTAAATTCCATTCTGTTGATCCTATTTTCATTCCTGCCTATTCTCTTCAAATTTGGCCTATGATTTTATATCACTATTTTTATATCACTGCCCATTGTACATTTAATTTTACATTTTATTATTTTTACTGAATATTATGTATTCTACATTGTTCAACACTAGGGATACTGCTATATTATAAATTTGCCCTTGCAAACTTTCTTTAGGATGAACATTTAGGAATGAAACAATCAGGTCACAAGATATGATGTCTTATTTAAAATGCAATGCACATTGCCATGGAGCTTTCTGAAAGCGTTGCAGATTTATAATGTTACTGAAGTCCGTGAGAATATTAGTCTCACTACAGAATAACTTTTAAATAACTTTGTTGACTTTGCAGATGTCGTATGATCAAGGCCACTGTCATTTTCATTTATTTGATGACTACAGCTATCCATGTTCATTGAGGCCACAAGGAAAGAGTGGAACGAGGCAGTGGACTTGTAGGAAGAAGTAAGAGGGGAGGCAGTGTATCTCTGGCCCAGCCTTTAGCCCTATCTATAATGGTGAAACCACAGCCTTCCATGCTGCTCCATTCTTTCAAGCTTGGGGTTCCTGAAGTGTCTCAACAGTGACTGCAAATGGCCACCACGTGGCGTTTTCTTCACCGTGGCTCCCATTAATGGCTGCTTCCAAGTCAGCTCCAAGCCTCAGAGCCTAGGTCCTCCTGCCTTTCTCCCTTTCCCTGACTTCCCACATATCCTCTGCCTTGCTCGACAGGCAGCCACTCCTCCCTTCTACACTTCCAGATCAGGTTGCCGAAGTGGGGAAAATTCCTGCCATCCCCACAGCCACTAGTTTTGCTGCAAAGAGTGCTTTCTGGTCATCTGTTTTCTTAGCAATTCAGAGTCATTCATTCATTCATTCAACACTAATTATTCAGCAATGTATCAATCAAAATCCCAGTGGGTAACAGATGGCACACTCAAACTGGGCCACTGAGAAAAATTTAATAAAAAATTATTTACAAATATGGGAAGACGTTAGGGAAACCAACAAAGGATGATGTAGTACCCAGGGGCTAGCAACAAACAGGAGCTATTGCCACCTAAAGGGCAAGCAGAGAGAGTGGTTACAGGGGTCCAGAGAGAGTAGCTTGAGGGAGAGGGCTTCCTGGCAGGAGCCGTGGCCTTGGAAAGAAGGATGCAGGCAGACAATGGCAACCCCACCAGGAGGACTTCAGGGGAAGGCACACTCCCTGAGTTCACCCTCCTCCTGTCCCTGGTACAGCACCATGCCTCTTACTGGCTGACTGCAACCACACACCAGAAGGCAAGGGAGCCTCTTAACAGATTCTGGAGTTGGAGGACAGAGTGGAAGTATCACTGACCAGGGTTTAACGATGGCCTGGGCATCCTGAGCTTCTCGTGACAGCTAATGTAAACAGGAATGAAGGCCATGATGAAATTCTTCATTGTCTCAAGGCAAATAATACTGCTGAGGCTGCCACTAATATTTGGAGGGGATGAAGGGAAGGATGAGAGTCTTGTCAAGAGTATGCAAAGTTCTGGTGCCACCTCTTCACTCTTCTTAATGATGAGAAAATGTCTGGGGAGGACAGGATTTTGCTGAATTCACCAGCTCTAAGGCCTACTCTTAGACTCACACCATGGGAGTGTGGAGGCCGGGTTGTAATTTTACTTTCTTTGTTTTGCTCAAATCACCCTGCGGCCTCCCACTGTCCCTCTACCAAGAACATGTATGCCACTTATTTCATAACTAACAAGTGTTGGGTCCCTATCAGGTACAGGACTCTGGGAATAAAAGATGCAAGCCATGGTTCTTCCACTCAAGAAGCTTCCAGTCTGATGGGGAAGATTGCACATAAACGTATAATTAGAATACAAAATAATAAGCACAATGAGAAAAATATGGAGAGGATATCGCAGGAGCACAAAAGGGAAGTATCTAATGGCGGAGGTGGGTGTAGATGTCAGAAAAGTCATCCTGGGAGAGGTGATCATCTCTTCTGGTGGAGGAGATTCTCTGCTAAGAGTCTTTTGTCCATTTCACAGACAGAGCTTAGTCGGATGATGATCCCAGACACTCCCTGAGACTCTCACCGCTCTGCACAGTGTGAACTGCTCCTCCTATGAATGTGTCTTTTAAAGAAGTATATTTCCTCCTCTGTGAATTATTGTTTCTATTCATCATGTTTTTTCTTATAAAATTTAACCTAGTTTTTTACATATTATAGATATTATTCTGTCATGTTTGATGAAAATCTTTTTCACAGCCTGATTTTTTTCCTTTTAATATTAGTGATCTTATTTTGCATTGTATGGAAGTTTTTAAATTTCACATATTTAAACCTGTTATTTGTCAGCCTTTTCTGTTTAGATTATGTTTCTTTATAGCTGAGAATATTATCATTCCTCTATAGCTCTACAAATATTTTACTCTATTTCTTTTTTTTTTAATTTTTTTTTTTTTTTTGAGACAAGAGTATCACTTTGTCGGCTAGGCTGGAGTGCAGTGGCATGATCTGAGCTCACTGCAACCTCTGCCTCCTTCGTTCAAGCAATTCTCATGCCTCAGCCTCCTGAGTGGGACTACAGGCATGCACCATTACTCCCAGCTAAATTTTGTATTTTCAGTAGAGACAGGGTTTTGCCATGTTGCCCAGGCTGGTCTCAAACTCCTGGCTTCAAGTGATCCACCCACCTCGGCCCCCTAAGTGCTGGGATTACAGGTGTGAGCCACCATTCCCAGTCTACTTTATCCTATTTTCTACCAGACTTTTGTATAATTTTTAATTACTCGACAATGAGTTTACATGTTTTTAACATATGGACATAAATTAATTCTCCTCCCAAATATGATATAGTTTCTATACCATCCAACTTATTGATAAAACTATGGGAAATTCCAGAGCCAAGCCCGCCACCCAAACCACTGGAAGCTTCCTTTGAGGCTTATCCAATCTATTAATATTCTTGGTAAGTCCCCTACAGATCACCCATTTCATTGTGTATATTTTGCATGGTACTTGTCTCATTCCTGCCAGAGATGGTAATGGTAGGCTCCATGAAGTCAGGAACGAACACACTTACCACCTGACACATATTATTTATTTGGCACTATAAACATTTGTTGAAAGAAAAAAAGAGAAAAGAGAAAGAAATTAGATAGCTGAGAATCCACCCACTATCTTATTATTCATCTTCCTGTAAGTACACAAGGATAATGTGAAAGACTCTCAAATGCTACTTAAGCCACCTGACTTATATTATTTCCTTGATCCACTAGTCTAGTAACCTTATCAAAAGAGAAAATTATGTTAGGCTCAACGCTTGTCCCTAGTGGACTCATACTGACTCCCAATAATCACTGCTGTCTTGTCTAAGTGCTCTCAAAACATCTGCTTAATAATCTTTTCTAGAACCTTGTCTGAAATCTCCAGTAATCTTCTTGACTTCCAGAATCCATTCTCACCTTGCCCTCACTCCTTTTTGAAAACAAGGACAGAGGCCATGTTCTATTGGACTTTGTATCCTCTTTGCTGAGTACTGTTCTGGAAAATAGAAAGTAGTTGCTTAATAAATGTTTAATGCACAAATGACCACATGAAAAATAACCGATTATCATCCAACAAAATCATCTAGACAGCTTAAGTGAAATTATTCAAATAAACATGCAATGTTGAGTAACACGTGCCAACAAATCAGCTCTGTTTCATTGTCCTTCTGGGTATGATGTACAGGCAGCCATGAAAGAGCTCACTGCATTAGAAGGGATTGACAGAGAGGCAAAAATATTAAGCTAGTCCCTAAAGGGGGTTCTGACATCAAAGAAAAGTGCTGCCTGATCAATATGGCAATCCCCAAGTTTAGGTCTTTTGAGCAAGATATGACCTAGACTGTGAAATGGTTGCAGAGATATGGCTTCAACACTGATTTGCTATTGTTTGAAAGGTCTTTTATTCTATTCCTTTGTCATTAAAACAAGGAAGAAAGAAAGCTTCTTGTGCCACAATGTCTTCTCAGGTCTGACTGCTTGTGCAAGGGTCTAAGTTGAATTGCTAGTCTCTGGGTGTACAGGAAAAAATATTTAAAAAGTGAAATAAGCTGCATTAGTGAGTTGTCTGCCTTTGAATATTTAACTTAATTCTTACAGTTATTGCCCACGGATGGTATGTTTAGCACCATTTGTCATAAAGCAGAATAAAGCTAATCTACTGAAGGTCAGGCTGAAGGTCTTCCAGTTTAATGAAGCATCAATATTAAATTGGAATGAATAAATTTGTATTAGGAGGATCTGATAAGCAATGCCCAATCTAGGAAGAGGAATGAATGCAAGGCTAACTAAGGCCACATTCTGTAATGACATGTTCTAACCAAAGATTATCAGGCCCCTCTGCTGGCCTGGAGACCTGTCGGTACAAGTGAAGAGAAAGGGTATACCCAGAATAAGCCCCCCACTCCAGAAGTGATGGGCAACAGGGGTCATGGGAGAGCCCTGCTTGCTGGGCTCCACACCTCCCTGCAGGACTCACATGCCAACCTCCAACCTCATCAAGCTCCTGAAGGCACCCTTGCCCTTCCTGTTCACAGCCTATCACCACCTACCTTGAGACTGTGAGGTTCAAGGTCTTCGTACCCGTAATCACTGTTCATGTCAGTCCCACAAGAAGCCCAAGACTCCCAGATTGCCTCCCAGTGCCAGACTGTCATCTGCAGTATCTCATGTTGCTTTATATGACCCCCATCTCTCACTCCTCCTTGCCTCCTGCAACCCTTTCCCTGTGGTCTCTGAAACTCAAGGTCAATAATCATGAATAAAATCCACTCCACCAGGGTTGGCAAGCTTTTTCTGGAAAGGAGCAAACAGTACATGTTTTAGGCTTTGCGGGCCATATGATCTCTGTTGCAGTGGTTCAGCTCTGCCATTGCAGCCCCAAAGCAGCCATAGACAGTGCATAAATCAATGGGCATGGCTGTGGTGGCTGCAGAAAACCTTTATTTACAAAAATAGGCAGCCCACAGGCTATAGTTTGTTGATATCTGCCCTATATTCTCAGCCTCTTCCAAGAACATTCCTTGACTTTTTTTGGCGGCCTCCTTGAGGATGTGTCTTCCCCTGCAGCCCTGTCGGGTGGTCTGATAGCTATTTATTCTTTGTGTGATGGAGTCAGAGGTGGAATAGATACTCTTCATGTTCTACATTGTTGCTTCAAGCCTAGTCTCCTTCACTTCTTCCTAAAAATGCTCAGCTTTAAATCTCATTAATCAGCTGCTATCACCTCCTCAACCCCTGGTTTCAGCCATCGACTGACCCCAAGGCCAGTACCCCTCATGCCTTCAAAACTGTAGCAACCAATTCACTATCACTCTCTTCAAAACCAGTCCAATTATTATTCCTGTGATTTTAATAATCAAATATTCTTTCCAATGCCTTGGCCTGGCAATTCCTTAATCTCCTTTCTCTAAAGGCCTTGTCCTCGCCTCAATCTCTGCTACTCCCTTCTATGGTTATATCTTTGATCTTTTCATTGTTAATAATTTCAACACCTCCAAAATCTTGATTTCAGACATCCTACTCTCTCACCACCACCTATCATCTCTCCAGCTTGTTCTCTTTGCACCCCAATACAACCAATCCTTCTACAACACCAGGACTTTAATGCAACGATCCTATCTCCTCCCTGTTCAAATCCCTCAGCATCCTCTCTCCCCTCCCTACCCAGTTTCATTCCATGGTCTATCTTTATAAGCATTCCCTTGCATGCAGATTTGACTCCTTTGCTCCTGTCTCTCTCTCTCTCTCTCTCTCTCTCTGGAACTGGCTTGGCTAAACCAAAACCTTAGTTAAATTTCAACTGAGCCTATTGGTCAAGTATCCCCTCACTACCAAATAATTCTTAGCAACAAGCATGTTGTTAGTTTCCCATTTGGAAAAAAAAACAACCCTCTTGACTCCACTGCCCTGCATTTATTAATATCTCTTTCCCTTTATAGCAAAACCTAGGAAAAGACCTGTCTATTCCCACTGTTTGCAATTTCTCTTCTCCCATTCTCCCTTAAGCCCTCTCTAATCAGGCTCCCCTGCCACCACTCCACCAAAGTTGCTCTTATCAAGTCACCACGTTGCTCAGCCTCAGTGGATGGCACTGAGTCCTCATCTCACTGAGCTATCAGCATTTTTTCTGCCTACACACACCTGAGAGTCTGCGGTAAACAGTGCCTCTGAAGAATGGAAATAGGGTTCTTGTTTTATGAAATTAAATTTGTGGGATATGAACAAACCAATCTATAAGAATATGTCTTATAGCTACTCACCCATCTGCCTTCTCCGAGTTAACGATGATTTATGACAGAGAAGTAGTAAGGAATGTTAATTGGCTTCACTTTAGTACACGAAGATTTCTTGCCAGGGACCGTGGATTGATAGGAGAAAAATTTTAAGGAACATTGAAATTTTTGTTTTCCAACTGAAACAGCTCCTCCACTCTTCTATCCATCTTAATAGTGGGAATCACAGAATAGTGTTAGACTTGGAACATATCTTACAAAACAACTAGTCAAACTTTTCATTTGACAGAGAAAGACTATATTAGTCCAGAGAGGCTAAATGACTTCCCAAAGCCTCATAGCCCATTTGAGAGTGGAACTTGAACTTCACATTCTGTGTCCTTTCTATCACACTCACTGCTGCTAAGTACCCTTACGGTTCTCTCAACATTTATATTCTGTGGTGATGCTTTTCATTCATTCTCAAGAATCCTTTTATTCCCCTGGACTGTGTGGGGTCTTTAACAATAACATCCCTTCCACTTGCAGCGCATAGGTTTTCCTTTTTTTTTTTTTTTTTTTTTTTTTTTTGAGACAGGATCTTGTTCTGTTGCCCAGGCTGGAGTGCAGTGGCACAATCGTAGCTCACTGCAGCCTCAAACTCCCGGGCTCAAGTGATCCTCTTGCCTCAGCTTCAGTAGCTGGGACTATGGATGTGTACCACCACACCTGGCTAATTTTTTAATTTTTTGTAGAGACAGGGGTCTCACTTTGGCGCCCATGCTAGTCCCAAACTCCTGGCCTCAAGCAATTCTTGCTCCTCAGTGTCCCAAAGTGCTGGGATTAGAGGCATGAGCTACTGCACCAAGTCAACTGATAGATTTTTGAATGTGTACATTCTATATTGATGCATTTCATTCACTCTTCAAGGGGTCCTATTGTCCTCTTGAATGAGTTGGGATCTCTGGTTCCATCAAGGAACACACTTCACTTATTAGGGCTAAAACTGACAGTGGCTCTGATTTGTTGCTTTGCCCCCAAGTTGTAAGAGAGATATACTTGGCAGAGTCCCAGACTGCATTCCAGAGCCAAACACTTAATGATATTCTTGATTGTGCAACATTTGAAAATACCCTCCTAACATGAAATTCTAGGCTTGCTGCCTGTTCAGCCACCAGTCGAATGCAGTTGCAGTGCTCCGGCTCCATGCTTCCAGGAGTCTTCTGGCCTCTGCACCTCCTGGCACTCTGAGTCCTGTCCAAGTTGTTCTGCAATAGAGTTGTTTTTCTATGTATCTGTATAGTCAGGACAATGGAAGGAGAAATGAGTCATCCTCCTTCCCCAACACACAAATGACAGACCTCTTAGGATGATGATAAGCAAAGACCCCTCTTTTTTAAACCACTTTATTGAAGTTAGATAAAAACGTGTACATATGTAACATATATATCTGGATGAGTTTGGGGATAGGTATACGCCCATGAAACTATTACCACCATCAAGGCCATGACCATGTCCATCATCTCCCAAAGTTTCCTCCCACCATCCTTATTGTTATTATTATTCCTGTTGTAGTTTGGTAAGAACATTTAACAAAAGATCTACCCTCTTAGCCAACTTTAAGTATATAGAACAGATTGTAGGCTATAGGCACTGTGCTATAGAGATCTGCAAAGACCCCTTAACGAGACCAACTGGTTCCAAGAACAGCATAAAGCTTGCTAAAGACTATTAACATACCTAAATTGACTGTGGCAGCTTAAAAGGGGGTTCTTAATAGCAGCAATAATGACGACTAACACTTAACTATGCATCAAATACTATCCCAGGCTCTTCATATGTATTATATTTAATCCACACAACAACTCTATAAAATAGGTACTATTATGGATGAGAGAGCAGATGCAGAGAGATTAAATATCTCCCCAATGTCACATGGCTAGTGCAATGGCAGGACAAGGTTTGAACAAGGGGCATCCTGACTCCAGAGTCTTCACTCTTAACCACTGCATACCCTGTATCTCTGGAAGCTATGAATAAGGGAGCCAGAATCTACCCTTGGCAGAGCCAGACAGGAATGTGAGGATAAAGGGTTTCCCTCTAAATAACCCTGCGGGCAAGGCTATCTCTTTGCTGGAGAAGAGTTCCTCAATGGATGCTATAGCATCTATTTTTCTGAATCTCCACTTATAAACTCACTTTAATATTGTAATTTGGTCCCTCATGAAGCTTAACCTGCAGAGAGAGAATGCCAATCAACACATGGGCATTCTGGTTTTCTTCTCAGACTCTGTGGGTTTTGGTTAACATGAGTCTAACAGTTCCTCTGAATTCACTCTCCAGCTGCTGACAGATCAAATTCAGGGCTGAGAACCAAAGGCCTGAATGTAGCAAGTACCACCCTGGGGAGATCCAGGTGCTGATCTCTCCTGGAAACTGCAGACATCTTGGCACCATGAACCTTTTCCTTTGAAACTTCAATGGGCTTATCTCCCTTATTAGAGTAGTGGCTTCTTGATGGAAACTACAGTATTTTCTATGCCTTGGTTTTCCCCCCTGTGCCTGTCATTGCCCTGCCCAGGTCCCTAGGACATGCCAACATGCTTCAGCTGACTGCCTACTGCCAGAATCTGCATCTCTGTACTGAGGGCTTTCCTGCCCCAGAACAGCAGAGAGGGAAGCCATGCAGCAGGCTGAAATTGCCTGCAAATTAATCTACTCCCCTCCCAGTAGCCCTCAACCAATGATTCTTGGGAATAGGTGTATAAATACCCCAGCACTCTCCTCCCTCGGGGGGAATAATTCTGAGGCTCTGTGTTACACTGTTCCCCTGCAGGATTAAGTTCCAGCACCCACACTGGTATCTGCTTAGTAATATATGTTTACTGGCAGCTTCCCAATCTCTGCTTCACTTCCCCACTCCCCTGCAGCATCCCTTGTGTCCTGGAATCCTTGTCTCTGGGTCTGCTGTGCTTGAAACCCAAAATAAGATAGGGAAGAAGGCAAGTAGTGGTTTCAGAATGCCTGTTGTGCCTGGCATTGCTACAGGTATAATCTTCTTGAGTCCTCACCACAGCCTTGGTATAAAAAAAGCTATTTCATAGAGGTGAAACCTGAAGCACAGAAGGATGCGTAACTTCCTCGTGGTCACCTGGCAGCTCAGTGGTCAAGCTGGATGCTGAATACTCATCCATTCTCTTTGGCCTGATGGCCATCCTGCTTCCATCCTATCCCCGTGGCCTAGGCCAGGGTTTCATACTCTATAATAGAGACGCAAAAATATGTGTAAAATAAATCTGTGGATATTTCTGGAATAAACTCTGATGACTTGCCATCCTATTACCTATTCTGTGGCTACAGCTGCAAAGATAAAACATGTATCAACATAAGCAAGTGTTTTCAAAACACCTTTTCCTCCTCTGTTCTGTCTCTCTTCATAGAGATTGAGACTGTGCCAAAGTTAAGGCAGGGAGCGGGCATGACTCATTAACAGCCTGCTCGGCAGGCTGGACTGTGAAACTCTCCATATACCCACTGATGACACAGACACAGAGGCGAGGAAAGGAGGAGACCAGGTGAGGCATGAAGGCGGATGCCCACACCGATGTGCCTGGCTTGACTCCTGCAAAAATGCTGTGCTTTTGTGTAGACATTGCCTGAACTCCACTGAGAAAGACAGCTCAGTGAAGGGTTAGTGTCTTCTCATATCTGGCAAGAAAGCAACCAGATTTTTTTTTTTAACCTCAGAGGAAAGCTACAGTTTTTAGTCTTTTTTTTTTTTTCCTCAAAGATCTCTCTAGGGTTAGTCAGCCAGTCATTATTGAGCATACATAGAATATAAACTTAGCAACAGGTTCTTATCCTCAAAAACTTTAGGGTCTAATCACAGAACTTAGCAATCGAATCCTCCAGTTGGACTGAAGGGTCCTGCTCTCCCTGTTGTCCTGCCTCACCTGCAACTCAGACCCAAGGGTGACTGCCTTAAGTTGTCCCAGGAGACAGCACTGCCCATTCTGCTGTCTTTTCGGTGATACTCTAGTAAGCGTCTAGCTTCTAGGCAGTCCTCAACCCCGGAGGCAAGGGAAGTGGTGTTGGCTAGGGATTCTCCATCCAGATCACCTGTGAAGACCTTCCCTCTTGATAGGACGAGATGGATTGTCTGTAAGGGAGTAATTGTCCTATATCGCTACTATTGATTAAACGCTGAGAAACATGCTTAGGTTGCATTTGCTGTCAGCCGAACTAGTGATGGTTCCGTGTCTTCCTATAAATTCTTTTCCAGCTGGGCTTTTTTGTGGTTTAGTATTAAAATAGACACTTCCTAATTAGACAGATCTCTGTCGTGAGGATCAATCTGAGAATTTCTGTGGTGTTTTCATATTAGATATCTCTTCACAAATCAGCCCTGTGCTCTCCAGCTTTTCTAAATCATAACTCACTGAATAGCTTCTTAAGCAGGCAACAGCCACATAACTAGTAATTAGAGTCCTGTCAGCTGATATCAGCAGCATTAGTTTTCAGCGGCTGACATCAGCAAGTCCATCATATATTTAAAGCCATAGCTACTCATAGTTGTGATGAATACATCAGGAATATCCAATTAATAAGAAAATTGTTTTTTTAAAAACAAGTAAAACCATGTTTGGGTGAAAATATAGAAAACAAGTTAAAATCAGAATTACAAGCCAAATATCAGCACAAAAATGAGTCTGTAAGAGCCCATAGATCCTAGACAGTCTTCCAGGGTCTGGCACAGACATCTATCATAAATCCACAAACAAGTCTGCTCTTTCTGATTAGAGAATGGAGTTGTTTGGTCAAGGTTATAGAGAACATCTGTTTTAATGACAGAAGTCAGGAGAAGAGCAGCACTTTGAGCATCTCCATTCTTTATTCAGATTGCTCATAAAAGAGCTAGTGATTATTTTCTTTCAAATATGTTCTGATTTAAAATAAAGCGTTGACTCTTATTTGGAAGAAAACACACCATAGAAAGCTTGTGTTTATTTAAAAATTCAAAAACTGAAATTTCAGAATAACACTATTTGAACAATAGCCATATATTTTTCTCAAAATAATTAAGAATTGATATGACCATAATACAGAAGAGGAAAAGTAGAATAATTTCAAATTAATTAAATATAAATATTATGAAAGCTATTTTGTACTTAGAAAATAATCAGAGAAATAATAGTTTTCTTTAAGGAATGTATTTCATCTATTATTTAACTGCTAGTCCTCAAAAATGCTATCAAAGTGATATCTATTTTTAGACTTTGTTCAAGGCTTTGCACCAAATGAATGATGGCTACACCTGCAAAGGCTTGCCTATCAAATTGAGTTAGCATGAACTAGACCGCAGTTGCAACTAAACCTATCAACCTCCAGGAAACTCTGTCTGCTGCCACCAAAATACAAGGGCTAAAATTTAATAAAGGAATTCTAAACAGGTAACATTTTTCTTTCTCCACAATTTGAGACAGCATTTGTTCATCATATAGAAATGGCAAATACGCATGTTGGAAATTCAGAAAACAAATATGTCAGGAAGCATTTTATGCACCATTTAAAATTATATTTAAACAGTTCCCTGGCTGTAAATTAAAGAAAGGAAAAATGATGTGCCTAAGCTTTCATAAATGTCATATACCAAATTCATAGAAATTAATAAATACAAATCAAGTACAATTTATCTTTTTTTCATTAAATAAAGCAGTAATTCACCAAGGCCAAATGAGAGTTACAGACACTAACACATTATTAAAGGGAACAACGATACTGTATTACCAGAAATGTTTGTAACACATTAGATATGTTGCCTCAAATGGACAGGAATAAATTAGAAATAGTATGTATATTTTATGACATATTGATAGTTTTTCTTCCTTGTTTAATCCACCCCTCTTTTCTCATAGTTTAACCCTTCCTCGGGGCAACAAATGCTATCAGCTCATGTCACAAACCAGTTCAAGACGATGCAATGGCTAATAAACCAAGGGCAATGCATAATAAGGAATATTTATATACTTGAGCCAGATCGGAGAATAAAGTGCTGATCCTTCACAAGCTCTTCTTGTTTGTTGACCCACACAGACATCTAATCCTGCTTACATTTTTGAGGATAGTCTGGACAAGGGGGCAATTTATAATGGTGGCTTGTAATTACCTGCAGTGCACTATAACCCAGGGATCTCTATGTGCTCTGTGACCTGGTGCCAATTGGACTAGAGAGGGAGACAAGAAAGGCACAGGGATGAAGGTTGTTTTCTTTATTTAAAAATAGCTTTTTCAGGCCAGGCACAGTGGCTCACGCCTGTAATCCCAGCACTCTGGGAGGCTGAGGTGGGTGGATCACTTGAGGTCAGGAGTTCAAGACCAGCCTGGCCAACATGGCGAAACCCCATCTTTACTAAAAATACAAAAAAAAAATAGCCAGCTGTGGTGGTACACATCTGTAATCCCAGCTACTTGGGAGGCTGAGGCAGGAGAATCGCTTGAACCAGGGAGGTGGATGTTGCAGTGAGCTGAGATTGTGCCATTGCACTCCAGCCTGGGGAGAAGAGGGAAACTCTGTCTCAAACAAACAAACAAACAAACAAAAATATATATATAGCTTTTTCAGATGATAAAATTTATGTTTGTTATACAATCTGGAAAATACAGAAAGATTAAAAAGTAAAAATCATCAATCCCTTAACCTCTCAAAGAAATTATTGTTAAATTTTGGTGTGTTTCCTCCTGGTATTTTAATATATATGTAAAAGACACAATTTGAAGTATATCTTATATCCTGCTTTTATTTGTGGGCATATTTCCATCTTATTAGGTATCTCTCAAATGTATGGGGTGTTTTGTTTGTTTTTTGGCTGTATAGCATTTTATTGCAAATACTGTCATTTATTGACATCCCCTGATATTGGGCATCTAGGTTGTTTCCAATCATTTTGTGCTCCAAATAATTTTGTAGCAAAAACATGCTTGCATCTTTTTTGCAAGAATACGTACATTCTATGTGCATCTTTGATTACTTCCTTGGAATTAATTTCCTATTATGGTAAATGTACTCTTATTACATCTTGCCAGATTCCTTTTTAGAAAATACGATACAGATTCAAGTGGCCAACATCCATGATCAAGGGTAAAACCTAAACGCAGGCTTACCATCACTCATTATTTTACAGTCATACATCACTTAATAACGAGGATACGTTCTGAAAAATGTGTCATTAGGTGATTTCATTGTTGTGGGACTATCACAGAGTATACTTACACATACTTAGATGGTATAGCCTACTACATACACACCTAGGCTATAGGGACTAGCCTATTGCGCCCAAGCTGCAAACCTGTACAGCATGTACTGCACCGAATACAGTAGGCAATTGTAACACAATGGTATTTGTCTATCTAAACATACCTCACCATAGAAAAGAAACAGTAAAAATACCATAGAAAATTTTAAAGTGGTACACCTGTATAAGCCACTTAATATGAATGAAGCTTGCAGGACTGGAAGTTGCTCTGGGTGAGTCAGTGAGTGAGTGGTGAGTGAATGGGAAGGCCTAGGACATTACTGTACAATACTGTAGACTTTAAACCCTGTATACTTAGCCTACACTAAATTTCTCTAAATTTTTTTCTTTCTTCAATAATAAGTTAACCTTAGCTTACTGTAACTTTTTCCCTTTATAATTTTTTTTTTTCTTTTTGAGACAGAGTCTTGCTCTGTCACCTGGGCTGGAGTGCAATGGCACAATCTCAGCTCATTGCAACCTCCACTTGCCAGGTTCAAGCGATTCTCCTGCCTCAGTCTCCCAAGTATCTTGGACTACAGGCACGTGCCACCATGCCCGGCTAATTTTTGTATTTTTAGTAGAGATGGGGTTTCACCAGAAACTTTTACACTTTTTTTAACTTTTTGAATCTTTTGTAAGAACACAGCTTAAAACGCAAACACACTGTGCAGCTGTACAAAAGTGTTTTCTTTTTTTGTATTTTTATCCTATAAGCTTTCTCTGTTTTTAAATTTTAATTTTTTTTTTTTTTTTTTTTTTACTTTTTAAACTTTTTTTTTTAGAAACCAAGACACAAACACACACCTTAGCCCTGGCCCACACAGGGTCAGAATCATCAATATCCCTGTCTTCCACCGCCATATCCTGTCCCACCGGAAGGTCTTCAGGGGAAATAACACACAGGGAGCTGTCATCTCCTATGATAGCAATGCCTTCTTCTGGGTACCTACTGAAGGACCTGCCTGAGGCTGTTTTACAGTCAACATCTTTTCATGAGTAGAAAGAATACACTCCAAAATAACAATTAAAAGTATAGTATAGTAAATACATAAATCAGTAACAGAGTCATTTATTTATTATCATTATCAAGTATTATGTACTATACAAAATTGTGTGTGCTCTACTTTTAGGTAACTGGCAGTAGATTTGTTTACACCAGCATCATCACAAACACATGAGTTGTGTTGCACTGCATGTGATACTATGACAGCTATGATGTCACTAGGCAGTAAGAATTTTTTAGCTCTGTTATAATCTATGGGAGCACTGTTATATATGTAGCCTATTATTGGCCAAAACATTGTTATATGTTAGACGACTGTAAATTTTTTTAAGTGAAAATGCAAATAAGTGAAAATTGTTTTTTAAATTTTAATTGACATTTCTAAGATAAGTGAATTGTGAATATCTATTTCAATAGTTCTTGTTATTTGTATAAAAATACACATGATCATTAAAAATATAGAAAAATTGCAAAGAACATCTATTATCTACTTATAACTGGAGCTAACCATTAAATTTTTTTATTTATCCCTTCTGATATATATATTATATAGATATGAAATTATACTGTACATATTTTATAATCTTTCTGTTCAACAAAATATTTGTACAACTTTCCATATGATATAAATTTGAAGCATCATTTTTAATATTTGCTATGTACTAACATCTTCTTAGCTAGATTCCTATTGATCGGCATTTAGGTGATTCTGAGGAAACTGAACATTTTGATGATTTTTCTTTGTCTTGATTTTAAAAATATAATTTTAAATTTAAATGTTTTAAATAAAATATTTCAAACCTACATAAGGGTGTAAAGAATAATGTAATGAAATTTCTATGCCTATCTCTGAGTTTCAACAAATTCCAACATTTTGCCATAGTTAGCTAAAATCTTTTTAAAGAAATAAAACCATATAAATATGGCTAAGGCCTCTTATGTATATGCTTTCCAATCACATTCCCTTTATTCTATCCCCCAGAATAATTGTTGTATCACGTTCCTATGGCTGGTTTTATTATAAATTATATCAGCAATTACATAGTATATCCATAAACAACATATGTTTTTTGTTCTTAAGCTTTTAATATTATTATGCTCCATATATTCTCCAACTTACTTTTTCGCTCAGCATTATATTAAGCTTTATCCCTATTGAAACATGTAGCTTTAGGTCCTTCATTTTCACAGCTGCACAGTATTTTGCTATATGACTGTATTTGACAATTTACATAGTCATTCTTCTACAGGCATACCTTGAAGATATTGTGTGTTCAGTTCCAGACCACTGCAATAAAGTGAATATCACAATAAAGTGAGTCACACAATTTTTATGGTTTCCCAGTTCATATAAAAGGTATGTTTACACTACATTGTAGTCTAGTGTATGAAATAGCATTATGTCTATAAAAACAATGTAATACCTTAATTTAAAATACTTAATTGCTAAAATATGCTAACGATCACCTGTGCCTTCAGCGAGTCATAATCTTTTTGCTGGTGGAGGGTCTTGCCTCCTTGTTGATGGCTGCTGACTGATCAGGGTGGTAGTTGCTGAAGGCTGGAGTGGCTGTGGCAATTTCTTACAATAAGACAGCAACAATGAAGTTTGTCGTATCAATTTCTTTCTTTCTTTTTTTTCTGGAGACAAAATCTCACTCTGTCACCCAGTGGCACGATCTCAGCTCACTGCAACCTCCGCCTCCCGGGTTCAAGCGATTCTCTTGCCTCAGCTTCTCAAGTAGCGGGGACTAGGTGTGGGCCACTAGGCTAATTTTTGTATTTTTAGTAGAGACAGGATTTCGCCATGTTGGCGAGGCTGCTTTCAAACTCCTGACCTCAGGTGATCCACCTGCCTCAGCCTCCCAAAGTGCTGCGTGCTGCATCAATTTCGAGAAAGATTTCTCTGTAGCGTGTGATACTGCTTGAGAACACTTTACTCATTTCTGTCAATATTAGAGTCAATCCTCTCAACCTCTGCTGCTGTTTCACCAACTAAGTTGATATAATATTCTAAGTAATTTGTTGTCATTTCAACTATATTTAAAGCATCTTCACCAGGAGTAGATTCCGTCTCAAGAAGTCACTTTCTTTGCTCATCCATAAGAAGCAGCTCCTCATTCATTCAAGTTTTCTAGCAAGATGGCAGCAATTCAGTAACGTCTTCAGGCTCCACTTCTATTTCTAATTCTCTTGCTATTTTCACCACATCTGAAATTACAATAGTAACATCAGAGATCGCTGATCACAGATAAAACAGGTACAATAATAATTAAAAAGTGTTAAATATTGCAAGAATTATCAAAATGTGACACAGAGACCTGAAGTGATCACAGGCTGTTGGAAAAAAATGGCCCCAATAGACTTGCTTGATGCAGGATTGCCACAAACCCTCAATTTGTAAACAAAACAAAACAAAACAAAACAAAACAAAACAAAACACAGTATCTGTAAAGAGCAATAAAGTGAAGTGCAATAAAACAAGGTATACCTGTATATTGAAGGTGATTTCTGATATTTTGCTACTACAAATAATGCAGTAATTAATATTCTGGTACATTATTCCTATGTAAGAGTTTCTCTCAACTAGAGAATGTTTTCTAGAAATTGAATTACTGGATGGTTAAGTATAAGCATCTCAACTTTCTGTTCAATTTACTCTCCAAAGCTGTTCTACTAATTTGGACTCCCAACAGTAATAGCATATGAGCCCCTTTTAGAGTCAAACTTTTAATTCTACTAATATGATAGATGTGAAAGGGTATCTCATTTTTATTTGCACATCCCTGATTGTTAGTAAGGTTGACCATCTTAACATATGCTTATTAACCATTCAGTTTTCTTCTATAAATTGCCTGTTTATGCCTTTTGCCCATTTATCTATTGTTTGTCTTACTAACTCTTTGTGAGTTAAATACATAGCAAATATTTCTCTTAGTCTATAGCTTGTCTCTACGTATTTTGGCTTTTGTTGTTGTGTGGTTGTTCTTTATCTGATGTTAAAGTTTTAAATTATAATATTATCATGTGTCCATTTTTTATGGTTTGTGCTCTTATGTCTTATCTAACAAATTTTTCCCTACACTGATTTATTGGAATTAAAGTCCCAAATTTTATCTTAAAAATTTTGCTTAAAAAATTTAATTCTCTAATCCATCAGGAATTTTTTTGCATAGGACTCTTATTTCTTCTCCATATGAATTGTTTTTGTACCATTTATCAAATATTGATATTAAATTGTGATGCAACTGCTCTCCTATACCAACTTTTCCATAGGCCAATTTCTGAACTTTCATATTTTGTCTCATTGATTTGTCTCTTCTTGCCCTAAAATCACACTATCTTAAATATTCTCAGCTGATATTGGTTTGAGATTGTGACATTTTGTTCCACTTCAGAATTTTCTTGGCTAGTTTTTATCCTTTACTATTCCACATGAATTTTAGGATTAGCTTGTCAAATTCTATGAAAAACTCTACTGTAGTTTTGATTGGATTTGTATTTACCTTGTACAATAATTTGAAGGAAATTGACTTCATAGTGTATTAAGTGTTTTTATCTAAGAACATAGAATTTCATTCCATTTTCTTCAAATCTCCTTTCATATTCTTCAACAATGTTTTGTGATTTTTTTCAAAAACTTCTTACACATCTTTGTTGGACTTACTCATAAATAGTTACCATTTTTATTACTCTTGTAAATTATCCTTTGCTTATTATATTTTCATATTTATCATTACTTATGTATAGGAATGCTATAGATCTGTACTTTGATCTTGTATTAAATGTATTTGAAATAGGTCAAATTCTCTTATTAGCTCTAACAGGTTGTTCAAAACTTTTTTTTTGCACTCCTTTTATAGACAATCATATGGTCTACATATAAAAATAATTTGTCTCTCAATTTCCAGTTCTTAGTCCTCAAATCATTGCTTTCATCTTACTGCATTGTTGAACAGCAGAGTAATACCAAATATTCTTGTACCTTTTCTTACTTTAAAGTTCTAAAATTGTTCTATTAAGAAAAGGAGTTCTAGCTGGGTGTGGTGGCACATGCTTGTGGTCCCAGCTACTCAGGAGGCTGAGGCAGAAGGAGCAATCAGCCCCAGGAGTTCGAAGCTGCAGTGAGCTATGATTGCGCTACTGCACTCCAGCCTGAAAACAGAGTAAGAGCCTGAAAAAAAAAAAAAAGATAGAAAGAAAGAAGAAGGCAAGCAAGCAAGAAAGAAAAAGAAAGAAAGAATGGGGTTTCTATCTTTTTAAAATATTTCATACCCATTATCAAATTTATTCTGCCTTTCATTCCACACATTCTTATTCAGAGCTTACTCTTTGCCAGGCACTTCTATAAGTGTTGCATATAGAATGGTCAATGTGACAAAGTCCTTCATGGAGCTTGCAAAATAGTAAACAAAAATATATACATTCTATATTATAGTTATATTATATGTAATAATTATATTTATATGTAATATACACTGTAACATATAATATTATATATGATATATTATAATATATGTTATATATATACACACACTTTCAGGTATGGATACATGATATGAAGGGAGATAAAGAGTGACAGATAATGCATTGTAGATAGAGTGTTCAGAGACAATCTCTCTGAGAAATTAACATGTGAGCCAAGAACTGAATAAGTGGTTTGGGGTGTATTTTGCAGGCTCTGAGACAGAATTCAGTATGCAGGTCATCCAGGAAGTGCCCTTGGGACCAACACCTATGAAAGCAAATGGAAGAAAAGAAGAATGGGTAGAAGGAGAAATTGAATGCATGGCAGGTCCAATCACAGCCTTGCCCAGTTCTGATAGGGAGCGTTGAGCTAAAATGATCCCATTTAGGAGTTAGAATAAGTAGGAGCAAGGGTACTTGGACTTTATAGCCTTGCAATGATCAGACGTTGAGCATGAGCCACCCAGAAAGTAGTAGGAACATGAGCAAGGTTGCTTTCTTCAACTAAGACAATCCCCTGAAGAGGCCATCCACTCAGGGCTGTCCATTGAGATTCTAGCAGGTCAGATAACAAGACCTTCTGAAAAGGATCTGGCTGGTGCACCACAGGCCATGTGACAATCTCTATGCAAGAGGCAATGAAAGAAATGACTGAGTTAGGTATGAGCCCGGTATGTCCAAGAAGCTGAATGAAGGGCAGTGTGACTAGAAGGGAGGAAGCACGGAGACTAGCAGGAGATGAGTCATAAGGTAGACCAGGGTCAGGCCACAAAGATGCTAACAAGAACTTCAGACTTCCTTGGGAGGGAAGACTTTAGGGAATTATAAAATGGAAAATTATATAAACTGAATTATGGGCTGGGCACGCTGGCTTATGCCTGTAATCCCAGCACTTTGGGAGGCCAAGGCAGGCGGATCACGAGATCAGGAGATTGAGACCATCCTGGCTAACATGGTGAAACCCCGTTCTACTAAAAATACAAAAAGTTAGCTGGGCATGGTGGCATGAACCTGTAATCCCAGCTACTTGGGAGGCTGAGGCAGGACAATCGCTTGAACCCAGGAGGCAGAGGTTGCAGTGAGCCAAGATCGCACCACTGCACTCCAGCCTGGGCGAGAGAGCAAGACTTCATCTCAAAAAAAAAAAAAAAATCAAATAAAATAAACTGAATCATGTTTTAAGAAGTTCTCTCTGGCTACTGTTGGTGGAATTAACGGTAGGGGAACAAGAATTGAAGCTAAGAAACCAGTTGGGAAGCAACAGCAATCATGTAAGAGATTATGCTGGCTTGGACCATGTTGGTAGCTATGAAGGTAGCATGAAATGGATGGATTAAGGATATATTTGAAGATAAAACCCACAGGATTTAATGGTGGATTTAATGTAAGGTTGGGGAAAAGAGAGCAGTCAAGGATGAATCTACATTTCTGGGCTTAGCAATTGGTAAAATGGAGTTGCCTTTACAGAGTTACAAAGGACTTAGGGAGGAAAGGGCTGAGGAAAGGGAGGATGTTAACTACAAGGTTGGAGCTGGATGTGGTTTGGATGTCATTAGTGTACGCATGGTATTTGAAGTCACAGGAATGAATGCAATCACAAGGATGGCTGATATAAAGAGACGAGGTAAAACTAAGAAAATATAGGGCTGCGCTCCAGGGAACTTTGATATTTAAATATCAGGAAATTATTGTGGCCCCAGAGAATGAGAATGAGAATGGATGACTATTCATCTAGGAGGAAAAACCAAGGGCATGGAGAGTCACAAAACCCCAGGGAAGAAAGTATTACAGAAAGAAGGGAGAGATTTTCCATGTCAAATGCTGCTAAGAGACTAAAATAATAATTGCCCAATAAATTTGGCAGTGAAATGGTGACGATTATACCCTGATTTAGTTGGGTTGAGGTAAAAATACTAGATAGTGAGTCTAGAAATAAGATAAGGAAATTCCCTTCTATTCATAATTTACTAAGACTTTAAAAAATCTAAAATATTTAATTTTATCCCAGTGTATTTGTGTGTGTGTGTCTATTGAGAATTGTTTTTCTCTTTCATTCTGATAATGTTGGATTACATTTATGTGTTTTATGATGTTGAAACATCCTTGCATTATGGGAAAGCTCCATTTAATAGTGATATATAGATATGCAATACATATGTGTGTTTAATTCAATTTATTCTTATTTTGCTTAAGATATTCATAAATGAGATATGACTGTTTTATGATGATCTTTTCTTGTACTCTCCCCTTCTACTCTTACTTTCAAAGTTATACTAGCTCCATAAAATGAAATTGGTAGGTTTTCTGCTTTTCTAGTTATCTAGTTATCATACAAAATAATTTGTATAACACTAGGATTATCTGTTTAATTTTATAGAACTGTCTGGCCCCAGGGTCTTTGGGGCAGGGGGTTAGGAAGGTTACAGAAGATATTTACCTGTAGATTCCATTGCTTTAATGTTACAAGTTTACTGTTGTTGGGTTTTTTGCTTTTTTCTTCTCCTTGATTTAATTTTGAAACTTGTTTCCTATTTGCTCTCAGGTCAGTTCTCTGTCTTCCTGCTGCAAATTAGATTTAGATTTCTAAGACTCCCTATCCAATCAGTTAGTTTTGATCAATGGGAGGCACTACTAGAAGACTAGTGGGATGGCAGAAAGAGAGAAACCAAGCTATTTCCCCTGCCCTCTTTTCTGCCTCCAGCATTGGCTGTCTCTTCCAGGGTTCCAGGTCCCCACTAGATCACTTTTCCCTGGCGTCCCAGTTCCCTTTCAGCCTCTGTCATAAGTCCAGTTCCCACCAGTGACCCTGGGTCTTACACTCTAGTAATGCCAACTCCCCTCTTGGTCCCTCCAGTCCTAAGGGTGTTAATAACTTCCTGATGTTACTAATCTCAGGGTTGCCTCATCACTCTCTGTTTCGCTTTGAGGTTCTCCCTTTGTAGTGACTCTTCTGTATTAAATTTCTTTTACCAGACTACCTGGAGAGGCTGCAAATCTATAAATCTCAATGTATAAATCTAACAAAATGTGTACAGAAGCAGTATGGTAAAAATTACAAGGATCCAATGAAAACTAAACATGATCTGAATAAATGGAGAGACATCAGGGGCTCATAGATTAGAAGGCTCAACATAATAAAGATGTGAATTCTTCCAAATTGATATACAGGCTTAGTGCAATTCCTATGAAAATATCAGTAAGATTTTTTTGTAGATATAGTTAAGATTATTCTAAAACGTGTATGAAAGGCAAACGAACTTGAGTAGCTAAAAATTTTGAAAAAGAATGAATTGGGAGGAAACAGTCTACTTGATTTCAAGACTTATATAGCTGCAGTAATCAAGACTGTGGAGTATTAGTGGAGGAATAGACGCATTAATCAATGGAACAGAATAGGGAACCCAGAAATGGATCCACACAAAAATACTCAACTGATTTTTGACAAAGGTACAAAAACAATTCAGCGAATGAAGGATAGCTTTTCCAAAAAATAGACTGAACTAATTCGATATCCATAGGCCAATAAATAAATAAATAAAGCCTCGACCTAAAGCTCACACATCTTACACAAAAATTAACCCAAAATGTATCACAGACTTAAATGTAAAATGTAAAACTATAAAACTTTGAGAATATCATTGGAATTTAGACCTAGGCAAAGTTTCTTTTTTTTTTTTTTTGAGATGGAGTCTCGCTCTGTTGCCAGGCTGGAGTGCAGTGGCGTGATCTCACTGCAACCTCTGCCTCCTGGGTTCAAGTGATTCTCCTGCCTCAGCCTCCTGAGTAGCTGGGTCTACAGGCATGCACCATCACGTCCAGCTAATTTTTTTTGTATTTTTAGTAGAGACAGGGTTTCACCATGTTGGCCAGGATGGTCTTGATCTCTTGGCCTCGTGATCTGCCTGCCTTGGCCTCCCAAAGTGCTGGGATTACAGGCGTGAGCCACGGCGCCCGGCTGGCAAAGTCCTTAAAATCTTTTTTTTCTTTTTTTGTAGCGACAGGGTCTCACTTGTTGCCCAGACTGGTGTTGAACTGACTTCAACCCCTCTTCCCACCTCAGCTTCCCAAAGTACTAGGATTAAAGGTGTGAGCCACCATGCCCTACCAAAGTTCTTAAACTTGATGCCAAAAGTGCAATCCATAAAAAGAAAAACGAATAAATTAGACTTCATCAACATTAAAAACCTTTGCTCTGGGAAAGATTCTCTTACGAGGATGAAAAGACAAATTATAAATTGGGAGAAGATATTTGCAAAACACATATCTGACAAATGACTTGTACCTAAAATACATAAAGAATTCTCAGAGCACAACAGTAATTTACAAACAATCAGATAAGAAAGTGAGCAAAAGACATGAACAGATACTTCACCAAAGAGGGCAGACAAATGGGAAATAAGCACATAAAAAGATGTGCAACCTCATTAGCCATTGCTACACATCCATTAGAATGACTAATTATTTTTTTCTTTTTCAGAGATAGGATCTCTCTCTGTCACTCAGGCTGGAGTACAGTGGTGCAACCATAGCTTACTGCAATCTCCAACTCTTCGGCTCAAGAGCTCCTTCAGCCTCAGCCTCCCAAGTAGCTGGCTCTACAGACACATGCCATGCCTGGATAATTTTTACAATTTTTTTGTAGAGATGGGTCTCTCACTATTGTTGCCCAGTCTGGTTTTTTGTTTTTTAAAAATCTCCTTCTTGTCAGGAATGTTCGCTTTTAGTTGATTTCTATAAATAACTACTCAGTTGTGTAAATATATATTTCTATATTGAGGTAAAGAAAATTTAGGACTTTGACTAACTAAATTTTCAAGAGAGTAATGCTTTAAACTCACTCATTCTATTTTACGTAGTTACAATATTCAGAAATTGAGTGCCTATTTTCTGTAAAAATCACTCCTTCGTGGTGATGAGGATTCTTAAAATATCTCATCTTGTTTAGCTCCCTATTTCATTACACTCAGGGAATCAACTATGTGCACCAAACATATTCAGACTGTTCTCACATTCCACAGAATATCAAAATGAAAGGTTGCAGCCATGCAAAAATATAGTGACTTATTTTACTTATTCCTTATTTCTTCTCAGGCAATGCAATGGGCCCGGGTTAATTCGCATGGCTCATAGAGGACAGTAATTGGGAGCCTCCTGGATTCAGAATACTACTGGTCTTGCCACAGTTCTGACAACCTGTCTTCAACTTCCCGTTAGAAAGCACCTCAGACTCATTCTTCTATGCAAGGGAGCCCAAGTTGCCGGGGCAGAACAAAATGTTAGGACGTATTTTCTTTATCAAAAGGAGGTTGACACCAAAGCACTTACTCAATGGTCCCTTTCAATCTGAAAAAATATAGCCGGTTGTCCTGGATTAATTCTGTTTCATCAGGAGTTCAGACTCAAAGTATCCTTTTTATCTCAAAGAATCCCAAGTCCTCAGAAAGTTATGTGCCAGAAGACAAGTCCTCATCTGAAGACCAGCCTCCTCTGAAGTGTTGGTCTGGACTGAATCTCAAATCTGATATTGATTTTTAACTGCTGTGAGGTTGGTTAGAGTCACTGAACAACAACAAGGAAGCCCTCAGTTTTCATCTTGTTGTAAATGGTATAAGATATAGTAGCATCTGCATTTTCAATAGTATTTAATACCCAAAGTTATTCAAACATTTTTCAAGGAGATGAATGTATCACATATCCTTATACTTTTAAAGGATGTATGTATGTTATTACTTTAATCCTTGTTACTATTTTGTTGTAGAGGCCTGTAGCAGTGTTTCCAACTCAAAACATGAGAGTCCCTTTTCTTATCTTTTCCTTGATAGGTCCCTGTATACCCAAATTCACTTTAATACACGAAGTGGAATAACTTTCTTGTTGATTAGCTTTATTTATGAGGAATAAGAGAATTCTGGAGCTGAAAGATGATATAGCTATTAACCTTCTGATATACATAGTCAAGATAACAAAGCACCAGTAAAGTCAAGATCAAACAATTAATTAGTATCAGGCCTAGGATTTTAGAATTTATGTCTCCTAACTCCTGGCCTAATGTTCATGAAAGCAGAAGGGCCTGTGAATAAACAGGAATATAAAGTCCATTGAGAAACCACCTGAGATATCCCTGTATTTTATAATGAGTCTATTAGTAGTATAAAAATGGTTACTTCTGACATGTTATAAACAAAATCAACAATCTCATGGACTCATTATGAAGCACTTAAAAACTATGTTTTG